>NC_000008.11:99464222-100089222 GCF_000001405.40 Homo sapiens
TGTTGTTGTTTCTTTTGACAAACATTCAGTGACTAAGGTAATGAAAACAAAGAAAACTGAGGAAAGTATCTCCAATATTGACCAGCATTCTTTCCACATTTGCTAAATAGATATTTGTAAGGTGATTCAAACTGGCCTCAAGTACATACACTTTTTCCTGTAGTGTAGTAGAGTGTTTTTTGAAAGGAAAAGACTGATTATCTTTCCAGAATATTGATTCCTACCCAAAAAGATTCAGGGTCATAAATTATATTTCTGTGATAAGGATTTGTATAAATAGTCATTGTTCACTAACCGCAACATTGACAAAAACGTTTTTTATATCTATATTATTAAAATTATTTTTGTGTCATGTAAACCATAATCTTTTGATTATAGCATGGTATGATATCAGCAACATGTGATACAATATAAAGAAATCCCCTGTAATTTTCTTTTTAAGTTTCACTCATTTGTAAGTTTAATATGTTCCTTTGGGGACCTCCTCCCTGCTCCACCCCTTGGCGTTGACACATGTAACGCATAGTCTCACTGGTTGTTCTTTATTTATTCATTTTGTCCCAAAGCTTTCTGTCATATTCACTTTCTTTCACATTATTTGGTCTGAATTACATCAGTGTTTGGTCATCATTTTCTTGAGAATTGTTTTGTTTGTATTCTTTTCTCTAATGATAATATAGAGGGGTAACAAATTCACATACAAAGAGATTCTCAATCTTCCTGCCTTGTTCTTTTTTTCTTATTCTTTAGACATTTTGCTTGAAAATTTTTTAATTCTGCCGGCAATATTTTCTCTAAAATGAAAGACTTAGATTATAGCATTACAACTTTCCAAGTAAAATAAAAATCTTAATCTTGAAGGTCAGCCCAGATTGATAGAAAGCTATATGAAGTTCTCAGAATAGTATGTGGTTCTGGCCAGTCATGGATGTCTGAACATATTTTATGGAGTGCCCAGAACATTATTTTGCCAGTATTATAAGTAGATAAGGTGTTTTCATTCTGGTGTGTGTGTGTGAAAGGAATACTTGTGCAGTTAATGTGTTTTGTGAATTTTTCTCACAGTGGGAAATTGTGGAATTTTTGTCATTGCATGTTAAAATTTCATCTTCTAGGTATAGTGTGCTTTTTAAAACAATCTGTATGCTAAATAAATGGACATGAAGTGTAGTACCTTGAAAGGTTTTTTTTTTTTTTTTAGGAGTTAGGGTATGATATGCTCAATTTCAATTTCCTAATCTGATTCCAAAGAAGACGCAGAAATATAACTGTGATAGTACCAATGTTATTTGGGATTTTTAAAAATTTAACAAATTTTAATCTGGTCCCCTTCCATCCAGCATAACCACCATTTAGCATTTCTTGGATACAATAGGATTTGAAAAAATATATATAGCTCACTACCAGCTTTAAAATATATAATCCGAACTCAGTCCAAAATATTTTAAGACAAATTTGGCAGAGCCTTTATTTTTTAAATAGCATGGAATTTGATGTAGGTTTTAAAATAATTTTAGAATTAGTTACAGATGATTTAGTTTGTCATTCTTCCTAGGGGGAAAAATATTTTAAATCTTAAGACAGACAAAGTACCATAGTGCTGACCACATATTATTATGCAGTTATCATTGTTTCCAGTCAAGTTATTGTGAACTATGTTGCTAGGTTTATTTTATTATGCAAGTCTCACTTTCAAAGTTTCTAATTTTATAATAATTTTATTAACTATATTTGGTCAAGACATTTTTAATGTTCAAACTTATAAGAATGTATCTTCTGGTACCTACTGAATATTGAATATATATTTAGACTCCTCTAAAATATTTGTAGTATGATCTACCTAGTAATTCACTTGGTATTTTTTCTTCAGTGAAAAAACAAGGGAAGACCATGAGTGCAGTGTGATCTCTGATCTCATCTCTGCCTGGGCACATCCATCACCCATAGGGGAAAAAATATATATGAAGGAAATATAACTAAGTGTTAATATTATTTATTATTGGGGGTGGCAAAATAGAAGGTAAATTATGAATGGTTTTGATATTTTCTTCTTTATATGTTTCCCAATTTATCTGCAGTATGGCATCTATTACCTCTCTAATTAGAAAATAAATGTCCTCAATTTGTTCTAAAATAATTGAATTACTAAAAATGATGTTCGTGTTATACTCTCTGTACTGACAAGCACTAGTAGAATTGTAAAGTCCAAAATACAAATGATATAAAATTGATATCACCATAATAAATGTTTAAAAATATTCTAATACTAAATGGACTTTTTAAGAGTTCAAAAATTACTTTCCTATATTTACAAGAAATAAATGGCTTTATCTCAAATGTTTATATTAATAAATTAATTTTACCTGAGATAAGTCAGTAAAAGCTCAAAGTATAAAAAGGGAATTTTGCTTTTAATCCTGAAATTTATGAATGCCAATTTTTTATCAAGTGCATTTTATTTAAAAATAACTCAAATGTAAGAATAATCTAGGGAACATATCAAAATTCATGCTGGGTCGTACCATCAGAGATTTTGATTAAGAAGGTCTAAAGTCCTAGGAACCTGTGTTTTAAACCAGCATCCCACATGAATTCTGAGGCAGGTGATCCAACAGACCATATTAGATTGTTTATTCTTTTCCTGTCTCATTCCATGGCAAGATCTATGGTCATTTTCAGTACCATAGATAAAATCAGGATTCAAGTTGAATCTGTTCCTCTACATTCTATCAGGCAGAGCTGCCATAACAAAGTACCATAAACTGGGTGGCTTAAAGCAACAGAAACATATTGTCTCAAAGTTCTTGGAGGCTACAGTCCAAAATCAAGGTATCAGATCACATTTATGTAATGTGATCTGTTTTCTCTGGCCTCCAGGGTTTGCATACGTCCCCAACAGTTTCACAATACAACCAACTAGGGTAAGGGAAGAAGAAGTTAGAACTTTTATTTTTATTTTTATCCCATATATTTAATTTCTGTTAATGTACGGTTTATAGTGTATATAATTACTGACAGAATTTTCAGTAGCATGTAAATTGTTTAGCACCGTGGTCTCAGGAATACTATATTCACTTTTTATGATGCAGTATTAGTCATAAATGTTAAATGTTTTACATTTTACTATCAAGTGAAAATTAATTGTCTTTTTGTTTGTGTGCTTCCCTATTCCCTTTTATCCCCTATATCAGGTGATGCTTTTCCTTGGACGATCAGCTTGCATAATTTCAGCATATATACCCTTCTTGGAAAACAAGTGACACTTTGCCTAGTGGAACCTATGGGTTGCACCTCCACTCTAGCTGTCACGTCTCAAAAACTGCTTGCTACGGGACCTGATACACGACATTCATTTGTTGTCTGTCTCCATGTTGACCTAGAGTCACTAGAGATAAAATGCTCTAATCCCCAGGTTGGTACATTTGATTTATGAAAGGAAATTTAAAGTAATGTGATTTAAAAGCAATTGTTATCCATTTTGTTGAAGGGTTTCTCTTCTCTTGAGTATCCTAAATTATTTTTAACTTGGCCATCAAGATCAGGGTGGTTAGATTAAGAATTGCTTTGAAGCTCTCTCAAGTTGTGTAATTTAAACTCTTCTGAAAATGTAATGGTGGCAGTACAAATGTATCTTTTGGCTGATGGAATGAAATCAGTTGCAGATGTAATGTTTTTAAACACTGAAGAACTATTTTACTGTAAGACTGGAAGAGTCTGTTGAACTGATCGAGTGTAATTTTCATTCAGATTCTCACTCAGAACTTCTTTGCTTATCATGCAATTTTTTTATTATTATACTTTAACTTCTAGGATACATGTGCACAACGTGCAGATTTGTCACATATGTATACATGTGCCTTGTTGGCGTGCTGCACCCGTTAACTCATCATTTACATTAGGTATATCTCCTAATGCTATCCCCCGACCCCCCAGCCCACGACAGGCCTGAGTGTGTGATGTTCCCCACCCTGTGTCCAAGTGTTCTCATTGTTCAATTCCCACCTGTGAGTGAGAACATGCAGTGTTTGGTTTTCTGTCCTTGCAATAATTTGCTCAGAATGATGGTTAGTCTATTTGAGGGTAAATAAACAAGGGTTAAATTGTATGCAACTAATTATTTGTGCAAACCCAGGTGATGTGAATTCATATTAAACTGTAAAATTACAAGATACAGCATGATTGGTCTATGACACCTGAAATCTTTTTCTTTTTAAAAATATTATTTTTAAAAAGAAATATTAAAAAAAATTTAAATATTATTTTTTAAAAACATTATTTGTTATATTTGTTATATTAATTGTTATAAGCCAATTTTTAAGAGTACTTTTTTAAGTAGGTTCAAGTTAGTTGAGCTTGATGGCACATGCCTATAGTCCCAGCTACTCAGGAGGCTGAGGCAGGAGGATCCTTGAGCCCAGAAGTTAGAGGCTGTAGTGTGCTATGATTGCACCCGGGAATAGCCACTGCACTCCAGCCTGGGCAATAAAGCAAGACTCTTTCTCTTAAAATTTTTTGTTTTGTTTTAATTCACTTTTTATGAAGCAGTATTAATCATAAATGTTAAATGTTTTACATTTTACTATCACGTGACAATTAACTGTATTTTTGTTTGTGTGCTTCCCTACTCCATTTCCTCCCCTATATCAAGTGATACTTCTCTTTGGACTATCAGCTTGCATTCCATATTTTATAGAGCGTCTTTTTTGAAACCATCCTCATCCTTTCTTTTCTTCTTGCCTCCTTCTCCCTACTATATACTATACTGTTTGATTTAACTTTTATATTTGAAAAGATTAGACCTAATAATATATTGGTAAGAGTCTTATTATAAAAATGCATTTAATTGGAATTATGACAAGGCAGCTTTATTAAAAGAACACTGTCATAAAAACTTAAGAACTCATCTTCCACTACAGTAAACATTATTTCATGTTTTCTTTCTTTCCTTTTTTTTTTTTTTTTTTTGACACAGGGTCTTACTTGGTCCCCCAGGCTGAAGTGCAGTGGTGCAATCACAGCTCATGCAGCCTCAAACTCCTAGGTTCAAGCAGTCATCCCATTTGAACCTTCTGAGTAGCTGGGACTATAGACACATGCCACCATGACCAGCTAATTTATTTCATTTTTATTTTTTTGTAGAACAGGGTCTCGCTTTGTTGTCTGGGATGATCTTGAACTCCTGGCTTCAAGCGATCCTTCTGCTTCAGCCTCTCAAAGTGCCGGGATTACATGGTGTGAGCACCATGCCATAAGGTCATTTATTTTAGAATCAGTAGTGAATACTTTTGAATGACACTAAATATTTCAGTTTAATGGCTATTTGCCTTTCTATTATACCCATAGTGATATAGAAGAAAATAATTATGAAATGACTATCTTCTTTGAGATTACTCTTTGAGTGCTGCTGCTAATGGTTGCTTTAAAGTGTTTTTAAAAGGAAAGGAAACTGTTATGGATTGAATTGTGTCCCCGCAAAAATATATGTTGAAGTTCTAACCTTGTGTATCTCAGATATAACCTTATTTGGTTATAGGTTTGTAACAGAAGTAAGTTAAAATGAAGTCATTAGGGTGACCCAATGTGACTGGTATCCTTATAAAATAGAAAAATTTGGACATAGACACATACAAAGGGAAGATGATGTAAAGATACACATGGAGATTGTCATGTGAACATGGAAGCAAAGATTGAACTAGTGGAGCTGTAAGCCAAGGAGCACCCAAGATGGATAGTTCCCACCAGAAGAAGCTAGGCAGAGAGCCAAGGAAGGATTGTACTCAGAATCTCAGAGGTTGCATGGCCCTACTGATACCTTGATTTTGGACTGTAGCCTCCAAGAACTTTGAGACAATATGTTTCTGTTGTTTTAAGCCACCGAGTTTATGGTACTTTGTTATGGCGGCTCTGCCTGATAGAATGTAGAGGAACAGATTCAGCTTCTTTAGACACTTTATCACAGAAGTTGTTAAAAAGGAAAACATAAGATATCTCTTAGCATGGCAGTATAAGCTCCCTCAGCCTATCTTTCCTACTGATTATTCCTATATACTCTAGGAAAAATTCAAAAACAAACAATTGACTACCCCCACATAAATGCATGTTCTCAACTTGTTTTAAAATAATTGAATTGCAAAATGACTTTAAGGCAGCTTTTAGAAATTTTTATGAGGTGCAAAGGAAAGCATACTAAATGAAAAGGCAATAAATCTCAATTGAGGAATAAAAAGTATAAAAAGAGTCAAATGGAATTTTAGAACTAAAAAATACAGTACCTGAAGGAAGAAAACCATATTATGTGGGCTTAAAGGTAGCTTGGAGATGATAGAAGAAAGAGTTACTAAACTTGAACATAGATCAGTAGAAATTACTGAATTTGAAAAAGAAAGGAAAAAAGTTTTTTTAAAAAGTGAACAGAGCTTCAATGATTGTAGAATAGAAAAGTCGAATATTGTGTACTACTTGGAGTTTCAGAAGGAGAGGATAAAAGGATTGGGATAGAAAAAAAAAAAAGAGGAAATAACTACAGAAAACTTTGCAAATTTGGGGAAAGAGATAGTCTTTACGCATCCAAGAAGTTCACCTAATCCCAAACAGGATAAACCCAAAGTAACAAACATTTGGACACATTGTGATTAAAATATTGAAAACGAAAAATAAATTTTTTAAAATTTTGACAATTTTGACAGCAGATATAGGAAAAGACACATTCCATATAAGCAAATAATGATTTGAATTAGAGTAGATTTCTCATTAGAAACCACAGGAGACAGAAGACATTGGAACAATATTTTGGAAGTGCTAACATAAAAGAACTGTTAACCTAGTGAAGATACCCCACAGAAATGAAAGAGAAATAAACCCATTTTTAGATGAAGAAAAGCTAAGAAAGTTTGTCACCAGCTGCTCTATTCTACAAGAAATGCTAAAGGAAATTCTGCAGGATGAAGGAAAATGATACTGGATGAAAAATTAGATCTTTAGGAATGAAGGAAAACCAACAGAAGGGATAAATGGCTGGGTAAATATATTTTTTAAAAAACTACTTAAAAATATGTGTGACTCTTGAAATCAAAAAGCATAACATTGTCTGCTGGTTTTTTCAGTGTATGTAGATGTAGCATACAAGACAACTATAGCATTAAGGCTAGTGGAAGATGGAGTAAAAGAATCTATGGTTGCCAAGTTTCTACATATCATATGAAGTGGTACAATATAAACTCTTAAGTAGACCGAAAGTTTTGGTGCATATGTTTTACTCTCTTAGGACAACTAATAAGAAAATGCAAAAATACAAAAGGATAAAGCCAAAAAGTCAATAGAGAAATTAAAATTAAATACTAAAAAATATTCAAAGAAGCCAAAAGAAGATGGGAAAAAGTAACAAAGGAACAAAAAATGGAGGGTAAAACAGTACAAAAAATAAAATGCTGGAGCTAAGCCAGCTATATTAATAATTACATGAAATATTTATGGTCTCAATTAGGAATCTGCAAACTAATGCCCATAGGCCAAATTTGCCCACACTCCTTTTTTACATATTGTCTATGGTTTCTGCCATGCTACACCTGCAGAATTGAATAACGGAACAGTATGGCCCACAAAGCCTAGAGTATTTACTCTCTGGCCCTTCACAGAGAAAGTTCACAAATTATTGGTGAAACACTCCAAGTAAAAGGCAAAGATCTACAGTGGGAAGTAAAACAAGATGCTACCGTATAATACCTAAGATTGTATTTTACTTAAATATAAAGAAACGTTATAAATAGATGCATAGTAAAAGATACACCATACAAACAGTCAGCATAAAAAGGCTGGACTTACTTATTTTAATCTTAGATAGAACAAATAAAAAGTGTGTTACCATAGATAGAGTGACATGAAACAAAAATTAACAGAATTAAGGGAAAAAGATAGAGAATTCTAGAATCGTAGTAGGAAATTTTTATAACACCTCTTTCAGCAATGGATAAAACAACTGGATTAAAAATAAATAATTGAAGATATAGAAGATATGAAAATACTATGCACTCACCTTGATCTAATTGGCATTTATAGAACAGTATATCCAACAACCGTAGAATGTGCTTTTTTACAGATATACATGGTCTCATTTTTAAGAGGATCAAAAATCACATGAAAGTATTATTTGACCACAGTCAAATTAGAAATTAATAATAATAAAATAGCTAGAAAAACTTTAAATATGTGGACATTAAACAACATGCTTCTAAATAATTTATGGAACAAAGACATAATTATTTGGGAAATTAGAAAATATTGAATGACACTAAAAAAAAACTGGATAAGCTAAGGCAATGTTTAGAGGGAAATATAACTTTAAAGACATATTAGAAAGGAAGAAAGATCTTAAATCAGCCATTTAAGGTTCAATTTTAGAAAGCTAAGAAAAGAACAAGAGAAACCCAAAGTAAGTAAAAAGAAGAAGATAATAAAGATATGAGCAGAGATGAATGGAACAGTTAACAAAAAAGTGAGCAAGAGATAGAAAATTAATAAACTGATTCTTTTAAAAGATCAACAAAATTGACAGTTCCTTAGCTAGACTGAAATAATAGAGAGGGAGAAAAAAATGCAAACTACTAATATCATGAATAAAGGGGAGTTGATAACATTAAAAGCATAATAAGAAAATAATGAACAACTTTATGCCAACAAATGCAACAACTTAGATGAAATGGAAATTTTCATTGGAAAAGAATTCCATCAAAGTTGACACAAGAAGAAAAGAGCAAAACCAAATAGCTCTATATCTTTTAAGAAAATTGAATGTGATGTCAAAAACTTTCCCATGGAGAAAACTTCCAATCTAGATGGATGAATTCTATCAAATATTCTGGAAAAAATAACATAAATTTTTCACAAATGTTTTCCCAGAAATGAAGCCTGAAGCATCCCTGCCCAACTGGTTTTATGAAGCTAGCATAACTCTAATAACAAAACTTCAAAAAGACTTTACAAAAGAAGGAAACTAGGTATTAATATCCCTCATGAAAATGATATATAAGTTCTTAACCAAATGTTAACAAATCAAAGATAACAATATCTAAAAGGCATAATATATATATTATACGTAATGGCCAACTAGGAATTATCTTAAAAATGCAAGTTTGGTTTAACATTCAAAAATCATTCAATATAATTTACCATAATAACAAAACAAAGGAGAAAAATCATATGATCATCTCAATAAATTCAAGTGAGACATTTGACAGAATTCAACATGCATTCATGATGAAAAGTCTCAGCAAATTACAAGTAGGAGGTAACATTCTCAAACTGATAGAGATCATATAAGGGAAAACAATGGTAAATATCATACGTAATGGTAAAATATTGAATTGTTTCCCACTAAGATCAGGAAAAAGTCCAGGATTTCTGCTTTCAATTCTATTCTGTATCATACTAGAGTTCCTAACCATTACAATAAACCAAGAAGAATTAATAAAAGATATAAAGATAAGAAATGAAGAAGTAAAACTGTTTGCATGTAACATATTTTATAGAAAACCCCAAAGGAGTCTAATAAACTATTACTAAAACTAACAAAACTCACCAAGCTTTTATGAGACAAAGTTAATGTATTAAAACCATTTGTATTTTTATGTACTAGCAGCAAACAACCGGAAAATGGAATGAAATCAACTTCACTCTTTACTAACATCCAAGAAACATAAATGAATAAATCTAACAAAAGATATCTAAGACCTCTATCCTGAAAACCATAAAGCGTTGCTGAGAAAACTTAACACCTGAAAGAAGTAAAGAGATATATCTCCTCATAGTTTGGAAGACTCAAATTGTTGATGGCTTATTGATCTTGATATTGGGCGTAATCAAGTTTAAAAAAATACTTTTTGAATGACACATTGAGATAGCAGAAAGCCCGACATTTGGAGAAGGTGTTTACAAGACATTCTTCAAACAATGGACTGTTATCCAATTTTTTTTTTTTTTTTTTTTGTGGAGACAGAGTCTCCCTCTGTTGCCCAGGGTGGAGTGCAGTGATGTGATCTCGGCTCACTGCAACCTCCTCCTCGCAGGTTCAAGCGATTCTCCTGCCTTAGCTTCCTGAGTAGCTGGGATCACAGGTGTGTGCCACCACACCTGGCTAATTTTTGTATTTTTGTAGAGACAGGGTTTCACCTGTTGACCAGGCTGGTCTCAAACTCCCAATTTCAAGCAATCCACCTGCCTCGGCCTCCCAAAGTGCTGGGATTACAGGCATGAGCCACTGCACCCGGACTAAAAATTTTTTCTACTCAATAACATGAAGATGAACAATAAATGATAAACATAAAGACAAATAATGGGGAAAAGACTTGAGCAGATACTTCACAAAATACTTATTTGAATAGTCAATAAGCATATGAAAATATGCCCAATATCATTATCAGGGGAAAAACGTCATGAAGAAATAGAAATACACACCTATTAGACTGGCTAAAATAAATGATAGACTCAATATGTGGACCAACTGGAACTCATCATACACCGCTTGTGAGAATGTAAAAATGATGTAACAACATTGGAAACCCCTTGACAATTTCTGAAAAAGTTCAGCACACACTTATCATACAACCCAGCGATTTCTCCCTATGTATTTCCTCTGAGAAACAAAAATATATATCCACAAAAGGTCTTTTACACAGATGTATATAGCAGCTTTATTTGTATAGCCCCAAACTGGACACAACTCACATGTTTATCATCAGGTGAATTAGTAAAAAAATTATGGCCTACTCATACCAAGGTAATACTAATCAGCCATTAAAGGGCTGAATTATTGATAAAATGCAAAATCATTGACGAATCTTGAAATCATTATGCTGACTGAAAGAAGCCAAGTGGAAAAAGAGTTCTTACTCCATAATTCCATTTACATAAAATGTTAAAATATGCAGATTACTATTAATATATAGTGATAGAAAGTAGGTTACTTGTTGCCTGGAAGTAGAACAGCGAGAGAGAATAAAGAGGGGGTGATAGGAAGAGGACATATTACAAAGGGATATGAAGATATTTTTGGAAGATACAGAACTGTTGTTTTTCTAAAGTCATAGTTTATACTTAGTGGTAGCTCAGTCTCTCTCTAAAGCTACATATAATAGACAGCCCCCTGCTACTTGGAGTTATCTACCAAAGTTCTTATAATTTAGGAAAGATAATTGTAGCTGTGAGAGGATAGTCCTACTCCACATGTTCTAGTTATCCATAGCTGTCCTAGCTAACACAAAAAATATTCTTAGACTCCACTATTATTCATATTTTTAAAATTTTCTTTACTTTGAGATACTTAATAGTTTTGTGATTTTTATGGTGTTACTAAATGTAATACTTTGGCTCAAAACTAGAGTACTTGGTATATTCTCTAGCTATCCACATTGTTTGGAGCTAAGCTCAGATTTTGTTGTTGTTTAAATGTAAACCAGCTCTAAGCAAAGTCATCAGCTAGATGGGGCTTGTGTTTGGCCTTGTATTTCCTTCCTATGTCTGTTCCTTCCCTGTTGTCCTTTCTTCAGTTATCTGGCTTCCAGAGTCACCTGGTTCCCAGTGCCACCTTTCTCCTGTTCTCCTGATGCCAAGAACCTTTTTTTCTAGAATTACTCCAAGGATGAATGAACCTTATGCACTGAGAGTTCATTTTTACTCGAAATGTAGTAACTCTTATCTCTTTATGTAATTCTACTTTATAAATCTCATAAAATCCTTGGAGTTACTCAATAAATCCTCATAAACAAAATTGTGTTAAACTGTCACCACCTGGTGTAACCAACATTGATCACAAGGTTGTTGGGAAGTCTGAAATATTTATGAAAATATTTTGTAAACACTGAAATGTTATATGAATATCATTTTATTAGTGTAGACTGACTCTGATTAAAATGTGAGACCATCTTTGCAAATTGGTATGAACATCCCTGGTGAAATGTAGCAACATTCCTGAAGAGATGTGAAACCACAAAATAACAGCACTGAAGAATCTATATAAACTAAAAGACTTGGAGAGGGATTAATACTCTTTGATATCTTCAAGTGAGAGATTAACCTAAATTTTAATGACAAAACATGAGACTCTAAATAAACCTCTTTGTTTTGAGTGATTGCTTTAGCTTATGCTTCCAGACTCTCTTTGGATGCTTTCAAAATTCCAAAGGATGGCTTGATTTTTTTTTTTTTTTTCCATATGCAGTAAGCAAATTCTTATTGAGTGCTACATGTAAGGCAGACATGAAGATGAATAAAACAAACACGCAAAGAACGCCATATCTACATACCTCATAATCCAACTATTGAAAGCCACAAGTAAAGAACAAATATTGAATATATCACAAGAAAATACATGTATGATACCTTACGTTCAGGGGAACCAAGATTTGATTAACAGCTTACTTCTCGTAAGAAACCACGAAGGCCAGAAGAACATCTTTAAATTAGGAAAATAAAAAATAAAACGTTGCAATCAATTTAGAAGTTCTTAATTAAGCAAAAATAACTTTTATAAATGAAAACTAAAGAAAAACATTTTCAGAGAAAAGACTCTATCACCAGTAGGAACTGCATACAGGAAGTACTAAGGAACATTTTTCATGCTGAAAGGAAATGACACCAGATGGCTGAGCATCTCTTCAAATGTTTATTGGCCATTGAGTTTGCTCATTCGTGAATTGACAGTTTACATTAATTTATATTTTTCTAATTACTAATAAGATTGAGCTTTTTTCACATGTTTATTTTCCAGTGAATTTGCTCTTTTGTGATTTGTTAATTCATATCATTTAGCCAGTCTTCTATTAAATTCATTTTTCTTAGCAATTTGTAAAAGCTTTCTTTAGGCTCTATAAATACAAACCCCATAACTGTAATGCAGTTCATTTGCTTTTAAACTTTTTGACATCTTCTGCCAGAAATTTAATCTTTCATGGTCAAAGATACCTATATATTCCTTTTTATTTTCTGGGTATCCTGTCTTAAAAGGAGTATCATGGACCCCTAAAATGCACGCAGACATACACATGACCTAAAAATGTCTTTTACTGTTTTTTCTTTTAAAATTAATGTCTCAGAATTTCTTTCTTGTGCTTTCTCATTTATCCATCTGTTTTTGTTGTTTGCTTTTTGTTTTTAAAATATATTTGTTGTAAGGAAGAGGAGCAAATCAATACTTCTTGTCCTTTTTATACCATTGGCTAAAAGCCGTGAGCCAATTCTCAGAATATTATATAGACCCATTAAGATTGCATACTGAGGTATACTGTCAGAAGGTTTGTGAGCTTTTGACTGTAGCCAGTGTGTACGTTTCTTGATTACATTTTATGGAAATAATTCCTACTTAAATACCTTTCTTTGACTTATCCATTAGGATGACATCAGAATTGTGACCCTTGTACACTATTGAATCTATTTCATTGTTGCCTAGATAGAGTACCTTCATGTAGTTAATGTACTTTAAAAATAGAGAAGGCTATGTATGTAAGGTAGGCTGAGAGCAAATTTATTACTGTATCAGACATTACTGTCTGTCTATGTTATTCCTGGAACTTTCATTGCCATTCAGTGTTCTTAGACACTGTGTATATTTATCTGGGTTGAATATTTGGTGCTTTCGTGACTAGAAGAGATTTCTGTTATCCATTCCCTTCATCTTAACTATGTGACCAAAGTTACCCTGTTTCCTTTAATGTCTTTAGACACCAGTATCTCAGACCCTAAATACTATGCTTATTCCAAAGTTAAATGAGCCTGTCCTGTAATCCCAGCGACTTGGTAGGCTAAGGTGGGAGGATCACTTGAGCTCAGGAGTTTGAGACCACTTGAGCAACATAACAACATGCTGTCTTTATTTAAAAAAAAAAAAGAAAAAAGAAGCCCATAGAATCTTTTTTTTTTTTAATGTGATGAAACTTCTGTTTACCTTTGGCCAACAAACTGATACATTGTTTTCTTATAGGCATTCACAGGAACATAACACTTTCTTAGCATTTTGGGGTTTATATATGTGGAACTGAGAAAGAACAGATTTATGCCAGTTTTCTATTCATTTATTTATCGTTTTTATTGCTGTTATGTTGATCAGTTTGCTGTATAAGAACACAGGCTTTGAGTTTAGACAAAACTGGATTTGTATCCTTGCACCACTCACCCATTTTTTATTTCTCTGAGCTCTTGATTTTTTTTTTTTTTGAGACAGTTGTTTTTTTGTTTTGTTTTTTTTTTTTTTTTTTGTTTTTTGTTTTTTTTTTTTTGCCGAGGCAGGTGTGCAATGGTGTGGTCTCGGCTAACTGCAGCCTCCGCCTCCTGGGTTCAAGCAATTCTCCTGCCTCAGCCTCCCAAGTAGCTGGGATTACAGGCACCCACCACCACACCCGGCTAATTTTTTGTATTTTTAGTACAGACGGCGTTTCACCATGTTGGCCAGGCTGGTGTTGAACTCCTGACCTCAGGTGATCCGCCTGCCTTGGCCTCCCAAAGTGCTGGGATTACAGGCATGAGCCACCACACCTGGCGCGAGCTCTTGATTTTTGTTTTAACTTTTAAACGAAATTAAACTGGACAAGTGTAATCTTTTATGTGAAAAGTTGTTTTTGTGTAAAAAAAAAAAAAAAACAAGTTTCTGAAACTGAGTTTTAATGATTAGTAACAACCTACATGCCAAATGAAATAGTTTTTCTAAGATTGTATTAACTTAGAGCTCTCTGCATTGTTCAACCCAGATCACTAAATTGATTGGTGAAATTCCGTTTCTCCTTGATTTCTGTTGACATTGTATATCCATGTTTTTTCTTCTTCCTCTCTACCTTTAGTGATTCTATTCTGACACTATCTCCTGATACTCTGCAAAATGGGCCCTTCCTCTCTAGCCACCTAGGGACTCTTCATCAGCCCTGTATCTTGTCTTGATCATCCCCTGCGCTTGGCTTTTGTTCATTCTGTATTTCTGAGTAGAATGACTTTGTACTCATCTAAATCCTGTCTCTCCTTCAGGAATATACCTTGAGGCTTTTCTCAGCCTCTCCAGTGAAATTGAATCTTTTTTATGAACAGCTATAGATTAAATGAAAAAAGTGTGTGAATAAATTTTTTAAACATAATGTTACATATTTATATTCAGTCAGCATTCAATACACAAGACATTGTTGATATTCAGACACCTTCATACAGAACTCATGTAAAGCCACCTCACATGGTATTTATTTTTTAGGGATTTTTAAAAAATGTTTTATTGAGGTTTACTTAACATACAATAAACTGCATGTTTAAATTAGCTAATTTGTTAAGATTTGGCATACATACACACATGAAACTACGCCCACAATCTAACATCTTCAAGTTTCTTTATGTTCTTATGCAGTCCTCCCTCCCATTCCTCCCCATCACAGGTACCATTGTTTCTGTCATTATAGACTAATTTTTGTTTGTTTTTCTTAGCCTAGCTTCTTTCATTCTGCATAATTATTTTCAGATTAATTCACATTGTTGCATGCATCAATAGTTTATTTCTTTTTATGGCTAAACAGCATCCTGTCATGTGAATGTACTTCAATTTGTTAACTACCTGTCAATGTATATTTGGGATTTTCTCCAATTTTTGCCTATTACAAATAATGCTGCCATGAACATTTGTGTACACATCTTTGTATGGACATAGGCTTCATTTTTCTTAGGAAACTACTTAGGAGTGGAATAGCTGGATCATATACGGTAGGTATATGCTCTTTTTAAAAACTGTCAAATCGTATTCTAAATTTTACATTCCTACCAGCAGAAAATGAGAGCGTTAGTTACTCTACATCCTTACTAATACTTGATGTAGTTAGGCTTTTTAATTTTAGACATTCTAAACATGGGAAGTGGTAGTTCATTGTGGCTTTACTTGGCATAGTGTTTTAGCACAACTTGAAGGATAAAAGTTGAACATTTATCCTACATGTTTTTGCCTTATTTCTTTAAACCTCTGAATTTGGAAAGTCTGAGTTCTGTTAGCAACTTTCTTCTTTGAAAATAAAAATACGTTTAAAGTGTGTGTCATGGTTTGCATGGCACTTTAAACACACAGTGTACTCGTTGCCATTCAGGCACAGTATTTTCTAACACTTAAAGGAATCAGAAGTAGTGACAATAAAAGCAGCATCATTTCTCTTAAATAAATACCCTTAGAAATACTTAGAACCTGTTTTGGCTTTTTGTTATTGTTGTTTGCACTCTCTTTATTTATCAGTTCTAATTATTTAAGAAAAAGCAAAATAATCTTTTTAAAAACTGGTTTGCAACAAAATTGTTTCTCTATAGAGAGAAACATTCATAATTATGAAGGACAAAAGAATTTGAACAAATATTTTTCTAAGACCTTTTTAATAAGATTTTTAGCTACTAGATTACTTTTAAACAAAAATAGCTGTAACCTGAGATTTGAAACTTCATTACACAAAAAACAGGAGAAAATTGTACACCCAAGTACTGTTTTATATCAAATGAGGATTGACAATAGTGTTTTTATGCATCTGTTCTGCCCACATAAGAAGCCAGCTTCATCATCTGGATGTGTCCTGGGGCTGAAACTTTTTATAAATACGAGAATTTCACTTTTTTAAAATGGCAAGCAGAATATGGTGTCCAGCTGTGGATTTGCTTACATATTGTGCTTGCATTTTTTCTTCCTGGGCTTGTTTTATACAGTATATGGCACTACGTTGTCATACAAATTTCATGATTAATGCTTATTTATGAAATCTTGTGTAAATATCTTAGGACTCAGTCAAACAATGTGCAAATTAAACAGTTTTTTCTCCGAATATTGGAATGACATCTCCTTTGGGAATAGTAGGTTGGATATGTTCTTTATCTATTAAAAAAAAGTCTCATATGTAACATTTGCCTTTTACTGTTCAATGTTATATCATTCTTTTTAAATTTGTTTTGTGGGACAAGAAATCCAGTTTCAAGAAATCACAGAGAAAATTAGATGTGGAAATTAAGATGGTAGTTATTTCATATTATGCTAAATAATTACATTTACTAGAACGCCTTTGTTTTTTAATTTTGATTCTGTCCTCTGGTTGAGAGGCATTTGTATGTGTTCTATTGTTCACATATTGAAATCAATCTACTGTTTGCTAATAAGCTGTGCTTACATTACTGTGGTTTTAATCCACAGGAATGCTAGGTTGATGAAAATATCACAGAGTGAGTATGAAGCAAATTTCAAGTGTAAGTTAAAGTGATCAGTGATGCATTGGTAGAGTTTGTTTTATAAATTTTATTTCTCTGGAATAGTTAATTTTCTCATATTATTATTTTAGTGGATTGAAACTGGAAGTTGAAAGACTTGTTTTCTTTTCTTTTTTCTTATGCTCTCAGGTCCAGCTCTTCTATGAACTAACTGATATCATGAATAAGGTCTGGAACAAGATTCAGAAGAGAGGCAATCTCAACCTATCTCCAACCTCTCCAGAGACCATGGCAGGGCCTGTTCCTACTTCTCCAGTTAGAAGCAGTATAGGCACAGCTCCTCCAGATACCAGCACATGCAGCCCATCTGCTGACATTGGGACTACTACTGAGGTAAGTGTTTTTGAAAATCCTGTTACAAAATGAAGGTTAATATATAACACAGATTTCCAGATCATGGTTTAAAATGAAGATAACCTCACTACTGTGAAAACTGATAGATTCTGAAGGTTCAAGAGGAGCTGTGGCAGCAGTGACTGTCTATTCCTTTTAGCTACAAGAATTTCTGTTTTTAATCACTTTTAGCAGCTTATGGGGTAGTTCAGGATAGTGCAGGTTCTGTGAAATGGTGAAAACTGAGACACAGTAAAGGTATGTTTCCTCGGAAGTATGGAAATGTAGAAACTGAGTGAAAAAGAGACTCATGCTTCCCCTTTCCCTACCTCTGTTCCGCTACACCTTTTTTGAACCAGGTGACTATTATTATCTAGTCACCTGGTTTAGATTAGTGGTTTTCAACCCTATCAGACCCAATGCCCTCTCCTCTTCCTCCCAATTATAAAAGCTTTTCTTTTTATTTTTAACGTCCTAACCTAGCATGCCAGTACCTCTTTTGTATAAGAAATATTTTATAATGCCTCCTTTACTATCCTGATATGAAAATAAAAATATAACCAGAAATGAAAATGAAAAATAATGTAACTTACATATACATATAATTTCAAAAATATATAATGTCTTAAATAAAAGGAAAGTAATTTAAGATACAGTATTATGTACTTCAATATATAAATGCCTGGGCATGACTACATTAGAAGACATAACGGAATAGTCACATGCAATTACTGTGAATATGATGGCTGCAAATAGACTTGTACAGGTCTGTATTTAGTACCACAAGTGGTATTGCTGTTGGTGACATGATTTTCTAAACTAGTGACAAACTCTTGGTAAAGTTTCAAACACAACACAGTTCAATCTTTCATTATAGTAGTTGAATTTTGGAACTTCTAGTGTATATTGAAATCATGCAAAAATGAAGAAAAAAGTGTTTAGATTTGAAACATTTTATAAACAGGATTTTTATCTATGTGAATATGTATGAGACAGTCTTCATTTTTCAGGACTGCCCTATTCTACACAGGATCTCTTGAACCCCTAACTCCTAACCTTTAAATCCCAATAATGATACACAAACATTGAGTCAACAAAAAATACCCCCATTCATTTCCAAAACATTGCTTAGAGAACAGAACTTTCCCCAACGAGAGCAACTGTTCTATAGTAGATGGAGGTAGAAGTTAACGTTTTTTTGTTTCTGCATAAAGACACCATTTCCTCTGGGAATAAAGCTATTGGCAAAATACAGAATGGGATAAGAATCAAGTAAACGGGATGTTAATGTCTTTCATCTTACAAATCAGTAAAAGCAAACAAACTCAGTTAAAAGGGCAAATTTCAGCTGCTATAAAGCATTTAACACTTTAGAGTACATCTATTTAACCCCCTGTACAAGCAACTTTTCTATCTTGCCCATTCCAAATCTTAAGAATCACAGTAACCTAGGTGATAAGATTATTCTTTCTCTTTTTTCTTTTTTCTTCCCAAATGAGGAAGCGATAGGAAGTCTAGAAATGAGCCTGTATCAAGTTAATGGGACGTATCGTTTCTAGAGTAAAAGCAGTGAATTCTTTCTTGAAGAGTTCCAATATTATTAGCATACAAAATCTTTTAGAATTCCTGCAGTAAAAAAAGCTATTTAACTTTATTGAATACAGCAGTTTCCACACTTACTTAACCAAAAGTTCATCTTTCTCAGTCTGCCTATTAACACTTTACAAAATATATTTTGTGAAATCCTTTGGTAGAGTAATCAAAGTTTAAGGTAATCAGTTGCTAGACAAAGATAATACAAGTGAAAATGATAAATACAGTTAAATCTTAGAGACATTTTAGTGGCTGAAAGGAGAGTGTTCCATTAAACAGTTGTTTTCTAAGTACTGTGTGTACAGGAATGTCTAGAAAAACATGACATCCATTTTGGAGTGCTCACTCAACTCTTTTGGAAATGTGTTTTTTTGAAAGAAACATTTAAAAGACATTTCAAGTCCAGGAAAGACAGGGCTCACATGAAATGGTGACAGCTTTTGGTCATACATCTAGAGACTGCCGTTCATACAAGGTATAGTGTGAATCCTACACTCTAGCATTGTGCAGTGTACAAACAACACAAAAGGACATGATGGCCCTGATGTGAAATGTAATAAAAATAAAATAAAATAAAAACATGCCCTACATTTATAGAGGAAGGATTAATAAATTCATTCTAAGAGGTCTGTGGCTATTTTGTGGAGAAAATAATATTTGAGATGATGGATATTTAAAAATGAGTAAGACATGAATAACAATTTTGTTTTACTAGATGTATAATAATACATACTAGAAGAATAGTATCTTCATCAGCCAAAGTGAAGAAGTTAAGAAAGGGGAAAATTTTGCTAAATTGCTTAAAAAGAATTAATTCTGATTTTAATAATACCCTTATATGACTGAAATTCATTTCAAATTAGAAAGTTGAGGATTTTTTCTGATTGGGTTATAAAGACAAGTAATGAAAATGCTCATAGTAGATTTGTTTGTTTTGTACTATCTATAGATTTAATCTGATCTGTATCAGATTTGAAAGATCTGAAAATGACAAAATTTTCAAAATGTACCCTCTTCTCTTATTTATATAGTGTGGTCAAGAAAAGAGGTGATTACTACTAGTCCAATATCAATTTGAAATCCACTTAGGAAGATTATTTGCTGAGAAGTACCTTAAAACAATTTAGCTGATTTGTTTTTCATAAAGGGCAGGAAGATTTTTATGAAGATGGTTATTCACTATTGAAGCTACTGAATGAAAACAATGACTATGTTTTCTTATGTCATCATTTACTGGCTAATTTTGAAAGAGGTAAATTTAAACCCAGATGCACACATAGTTAATCTTAATCTACCTGTAAATATTTTTTGAGAGCAAGAATAGAAATTAAACATGAAATATTCGATAGACAAACACCTCCTTATAGGTTGCAAGGTAAAGTTAGATCAATGCCTTAAAATTGATCATCATATCATAACCATCTGGGTGACAGAGTGAGACTGTGTCCTGTCTCAAAAAAAAAAAAAAAGAGATAATGCTTGTAAAATACTTAGTTTAGTGAGTACTCCAAAAGGGAAAGCTAATGTAAATCTCCTTCATAAAATTTTTGCATTAGGCCTTGAGTACACGCAAATTTCTATATACACAGGGTACCATTTAAACATTTTCAATTTAGTGAGTCTTCATTTTATGTTCCCAGCTCTTGTAAAGTCAGGAACAACACTAGGATTTACTCACAACAGAGCAGGCAAGTTGACAGTCAGTGATATGCTTCATGTAACTTGTTAACAGATTTTTGAAACCCTACTAGGGTTAACTAATTATGTCATTTCAATTCAACTTTTAATTTTCTCCTTAGCCCTAGGCAGAAGATTCTGCCACACTAATCAAATGCTTGCTGTACCATAGTAGCCCTATGCTGTTATTTGTTATATCATTTTGTTATAACAAGAGAGGAAGGAGCTATAATTATAAAATTATTTCAGTGTAACAATGTTATTTAAATTCATTAACACCTTATTAATAAGGCAATAAAAAATATTAAGAACATATTTATGAAAGATGAATTATAACTCAGAGCTTGCTAACGAGTGCGCTGAAACACCATGAGATGTGTCACAGCTATGCTGAGACATGGATTACCTTGGCCTTTAGAGTCTTTGGATGGGACTAGGGTGAATGAAGCTTTCAATGCTGTGGAGATTTTTCTGCTTACCACAGATACAAATAACATTTCCTACATATGCAATGATATGAAAAAGGTTGGGAAGTACTACTATAACTATCCACAACACATATATTCTATATTTAAATCTGTATACAGATAGTTATGTTGTTGACATGATAGTGTGGCTAATAGAAAATATTCTTATAATCAACAGATTATCAGGACAATGATTATTACTAGGAGGAGAGAAGGACTTCTAGAGCTTTCCAGGAATGCTATGTTCAAAGAAGCATAAAGGCTTTTGAATAGATTAAAACAAACAAAAAAGTATTTATATAGTCTCCTCTTCATATTGTTCATTCTTTTATTTCTTAACATTTTAAAATAATTGGTTTATAGTCCTTTTAGATTTCTTAACTCCATTTATTGGAGATGCTAAGTTTTTGTTATATCTGCTGACTCTCCCTTTTTCTGGTTCATTTTCTCATGTGGTTTGTAATATCTTATTGTGAACTCATCTTCAACAGTTTAATTTTTCTGTGTGATTCCTATGAGCCCTCTGTTGCAGAATTGTCCCTACAGAGCATTTTGACTGCTTTTGCCAGGGTGCTAGAGATTTCAGGGAACCTTGGGCAGTTTTTAGGTTTCTTTATCAACAAGGGTTTGTCTTATCATATAAGTAGTATGCACGACGTCCCACACAAGCAAATAATAGCATTTAGTTTCTCATGTTTGTTTTGGTTTTTTTTTTTACTATAGTTGTCCAGGCTGGAGTGCAGTGGCGCGATCTCGGCTCAGTGCAACCTCTGCCTTCCAGTTTCAAGCGATTCTCCTGCCTCAGCCTCCTGAGTAGCTGGGATTACAGGCGCCTGCCACCACTCCTGGCTGATTTTTGTACTTTTACTAGAGATGGGGTTTCACCATGTTGGCCAGGCTGGTCTGGAACTCCTGACCTCAGGTGTTCTGCCTCCCAAAGTGCTGGGATTACAGGCGTGAGCCATCCTGCCCAGGCATGAATGATTTTATCATGCCACCACTTTCACCTCTTCTCTGTCCTAGGAATCTGAAAAACATCCATGGCATTTCTTAGCCTGCTGAAGCCTAGTGTCTAGTGTATCTTTTGCTTAAAAAGCAGCTCTGTTTGCCTCCAGGCTTTATGCAAAGAACTCCCCAGTTCAGACTCTACACTATGTCTGCAGTCCCTGAATGAGTGTTTAAACACCATTGCTCAACCCCTCGACCCTTATCTGAGTTTGATACTTCTACATACTCCCAAGGACTGTTTCCACTTGTTACCCTGACTTTGTGTTTCCTCTTCGTTTCTGACACCATAGTATTTGTCTTTATTTCAAGTTTTGCTATCGTATTAGAAAAAGATGGTAGTCTGAAATTGGAGTTTATGAGAATTTAGTAAAAGGTCAAAGATGTTAACTGGGAAGGGAAATCTCAGTTAACAGGAGATGATTGAGTATGCTGGAGCAGTTGGTGACACCAGTAGGCTTAAAGGGCAGGAGAGAGAGTTTATCAGAACAGGGAATAAATACCCAGACTTCATTCTCCACTTCCTCTGTCTCCTGCCACTGTTTCTCATTGACCGAAACCAAGAAAAAAAAAAAAAAAACAGAGGACCAGGAAATCCATTCATATTGTTCACATAGATTAACTTCCCAAGCACAGAGGGTAGTGAAGGGTAGAGAGTAGATCTAGAGGGCCAAAGAAAAGATATGTAGCACTTTTCGGTATTAAATTCACCTGGCATTTTATCCAGAATATCTGTGCTGTGGTAGTACAAATGGTAAATGTTCATTTCAGCTTAGTCTCCATATTGTTAGTATTAAAATTTCTTACTAAGAACTAGTCTTTTTAATCTCACTCTCCTTGTACATATTAACTTCTCAATCCTATCAATTAACTTCTTTGGTGATTTTTTTAAATTGTGGTAAAAAAATATACATGGTAAAATTTACCATTTTAACCATTTTAAAATGTACAATTTAGTGGCATTAGGCACACTCACAGTGCGTAGCATAACCACTATCTATTTCTAGAAATTTTCATCATCCCAGACAGAATCTCTATCCCCATCGAACAACTCTATCTTCTCCTCTCCCTCCATCCATGGTAACCTCTATTCTACTTTCTGTCTCTATCGATTTGCCTATTCTAGGTACTTCATATAAGAAGAATCGTATGGTATTTGTCCTTTTGTGTCTGGCTTATTCTACTTTGTGTAATATATTTAAGGCTCATTCCTTTCTTTGTGTGTATCAGAATTCCACTCCTTTTTATGGCTGAGTAATATTTCATTGTATGTATATAACACATTTAATTTATCTGTTTCTTTGTTGCTGGACATCTGGGTTATTTCTACCCTTTTGTCTGTTGTGGATAATACTGCTTTGAACACTGGTGCACAAGGGTTGATGAATTTTTAATGAAATAGTTTTGCCTTGAAGTAATTGTATGCATGTTATATGACTTGCACCTGAAAAACCATTTTAAAACTCATGTAGTACTAGAAATAGTATTTAATTTTTTAACTGTTGAATATGTTGATAACTGATGTATTTGGTTTAAAATGCAGAGGGAGGGGAAAGAAAGTAAATTGAAGTATTTTTAAAGATACTTTATTCGGTGCTGATTTTCTGATTTAGAAGAGCACATTTCTGTCATCTTAATATCATTTGCTTAGTACTATCCTGAATGGTCCAGAATTATAGTAGCACTTAATATTATCCCTTACTGTGTTCAAGTATATTTCAAAATTTTGGCAGAAAATATGGGTCCCAAAGAGGAAAAAAGGGAAAATTCGAGTAGTCTGTTTAGTTTCTATAGTAACCCTTCAAACAAAAAAAGAATGTTAGTAATTGCTTTTCTCTAAGGTGTATGTTTTTTTTTTCCTCCTGGGGAAAACTAGCTAAACTGTCTACTACTTTCCTACTCTTTGTTGTTATGAAGTCTCTCTTTTCTCCTTTTCTCAGTCTTAACAATTGGCTTCCTCTGACTTTGGTGTAATAGTTTTGTGGAACTTGATAAGTGAGCAAAGATCTTTGTCTTAATTCTGTCAACTTACAGTTGTATTTTCGAAAAAGATTGTCAGACGGATACTTTAGACCAGCATTTTTATTTTATATACTAGAAAATTGAAACCCAGAGAATTAAAATTTGTGTTACTGTGTAGGGACTGGGCTGACTGATATTAGCTTGATTCTAAGTTAGTGGAACCTCTGGAAGAGACTTTGTAAATTTGTTTAAGTTCTTTGTAGATTCTGGATATAAGCCCTTTGTCAGATGGGTAGATTGCAGAAATTTTCTCCCATTCTGTAGGTTGCCTGTTCACTCTGATGAGAGTTTCTTTTGCTGTGCAGAAGATCTTTAGTTTAATTAGATCTCATTTGTCTATTTTGGCTTTTGTTGCCATTGCTTTTGGTGTTTTAGTCATGAAGTCTTTGCCCATTCCTATGTCCTCAATGGTATTGCCTAGGTTTTCCTCTAGGATTTTTATGGTTTTAGGTCTTACATTTAAGTCTTTAATCCATCTTGAGTTACTTTCTGTATAAGGTTTAAGGAAGGGATCCAGTTTCAGCTTTCTACATATGGCTAGCCAGTTTTCCCAGCACTATTTATTAAATAGGGAGTCCTTTCCCTGTTACTTGTTTTTGTCAGGTTTGTCAAAGATCAGATTGTTGTAGATGTGTGGTGTTATTTCTGAGGCCTCTGTGCTGTTCCATTGGTCTGTATCTCTGTTTTAGTACCAGTACCATGCTGTTTTGGTTACTGTAGCCTTGTAGTATAGTTTGAAGTCAGGTAGCGTGATGCCATCTCCTTTGGGTTTTTTGTTTTGTTTTTTTTTTTCTGCTTAGGATTGTCTTGGCAATGCGGGCTCTTTTTTGGTTCCATATGAACTTTAAAGTAGTTTTTTCCAATGCTGTGAAGAAAGTCATTGGTAGCTTGATGGGGATGGCATTGAACTTACAAATTACCTTGGGCAGTATGGCCATTTTCACGATATTGATTCTTCCTATCCATGAATATAGAACGCTTTTCCATTTGTTTGTGTCCTCTTTTATTTTGTTGAGCAGTGGTTTGTAGTTCTCATTGAAGAGGTCCTTCCCATCCCTTGTAAGTTGAATTCCTAGGTATTTTATTCTCTTTGAAGCAATTGTGAATGGGAGTTCACTCATGATTTGGCTCTCTGTTTGTCTGTTATTGGTGGATAAGAATGCTTGTGATTTTTGCACATTGATTTTGTATCCTGAGACTTTGCCAAAGTTGCTTATCAGCTTAAGGAGATTTGGGGCTGAGACAATGGGGTTTTCTAAATATACAGTCATGTCATCTGCAAACAAGGACAATTTGACTTCCTCTTTTCCTGCTTGAATACCCTTTATTTCTTTCTCCTGCCTGATTGCCCTGGTTGGAACTTCCAACACTATATTGATTAGGAGTGGTGAGAGAGGGCATCCTTGTCTTGTGCCAGTTTTCAAAGGGAATGCTTCCAGTTTTTGCCTGTTCAATATGATATTGGCTGTGGGTTTGTCATAAATAGCTCTTATTTTGAGATAGCTTCCATCAATACCTAGTTTATTGAGAGTTTTTAGCATGAAGGGCTGTTGAATTTTGTTGAAGGCCTTTTCTGCATCTTTTGAGATACTCATGTGGTTTTTGTCGTTGGTTCTGTTTATGTGATGGAATATGTTTATTGATTTGCATATGTTGAACCAGCCTTGCATCCCAGGGATGAAGCCAAAGTGATTGTGGTGGATAAGCTTTTTGGTGTGCTGCTGGATTCGGTTTGCCAGTATTTTATTGATGATTTTCGCGTTGATGTTCATCAGGGATATTGGTCTAAAATTCTCTTTCTTTGTTGTGTCTCTGCCAGGCTTTGGTATCAGGCTGATGCTGGCCTTATAAAATGAGTTAGGGAGGATTCCCTCTTCTTCTATTGATTGGAATAGTTTCAGAAGGAATGGAACCAGGTCCTCTTTGTACCTCTGGTAGAATTCGGCTGTGTATCCATCTGGTCCTGGACTTTTTTTGGTTGGTAGGCTATTAATTTTTGCCTCAATTTCAGAGCCTGTTATTGGTCTATTCAGAGATTCGACTTCTTCCTGGTTTAGTCTTGGGAGGGTGTATATGTCCAAGAACTTATCCATTCCTTCTAGATTTTCTAATTTATTTGCATAGAGGTGTTTATAATATTCTCTGATGGTAGTTTGTATTTCTCTGGGATCGGTGGTGATATCCCCTTTATTATTTTTTATTGTGTCTATTTGATTCTTCTCTCTTTTCTTCTTTATTAGTCTTGCTAGTGGTCTATCTACTCTGTTGATCTTTTCAAAAAACGAGCTCTTGGATTCACTGATTTTTTGAAGGGTTTTTTGTGTCTCTATCTCCTTCAGTTCTGCTCTTTGATCTTAGTTATTTCTTGTCTTCTGCTACATTTTGAATTTGTTTGCTGTTGCTTCTCTAGTTCTTTTCATTTTGATTTTAGGGTGTCGATTTTAGATCTTTCCTGCTTTCTCTTGTGGGCATTTAGTGCTATAAATTTCCCTCTACACACGGCTTTAAATGTGTCCTAGAGATTCTGGTACTTTGTGTTTTCGTTCTTACTGGTTTCAAAGAACATCTTTATTTCTGCCTTCATTTCGTTATTTACCTAGTAGTCATTCACGAGCAGGTTGTTCAGTTTCCATGTAGTTGTGTGGTTTTGAGCTGAGACATCCGCTGTTAGTCTGATGGGCTTCCCTTTGTGGGTAACCTGATCTTTCTGTCTGGCTGCCCTTAACATTTTTTCCTTCATTTCAACCTTGGTGAATCTGACAATTACGTGTCTTGGGGTTGTTCTTCTCAAGGAGTATCTTTGTGGTGTTCTCTCCATTTCCTGGATTTGAATGTTGGCCTGCTTTGCTAGACTGGGGAAGTTCTCCTGGATAATATCCTGAAGAGTATTTTCTAACTTGATTCCATTTTCCCCATACCTTTCAGGTTCACCAATCAAACATAGATTTGGTCTTTTCACATAGTCCTATATTTCTTGGAGGCTTTGTTCCTTTCTTTTCACTCTTTTTTCTCTTATCTTGTCTTCTCACTTTATTTCATTAATTTGATCTTCAATCACTGATATCCTTTCTTCCACTTGATTGAAACGACTATTGAAGCTTGTGCATGCATCACGTAGTTCTCGTGCTGTGGTTTTCAGCTCCATCAGGTCATTTAAGGTCTTGTCTACACTGTTTATTCTAGTTAGCCATTCATCTAACCATTTTTCAAGGTTTTTAGCTTCCTTGCGATGGGTTCGAACATGCTCGTTTTGCTCGGAGAAGTTTGTTATTACCGACCTTCTGAAGCCTACTTCTGTCAATTCGTCAAAGTCATTCTCCATCCAGTTTTGTTCCATTGCTGGCGAGGACCTGCAATTCTTGGAGGAGAAGAGGCGCTCTGGTTTTTGGAATTTTCAGCTTTTCTGCTCTGGTTTCTCCCCTCTTTGTGGTTCTATCTACCTTTGTTCTTTGATGTTGGTGACCTACAGATGGGGTTTTGGTGTGGATGTCCTTCTTGTTGATGTTGATGCTATTCCTTTCTGTTTGTTAGTTTTCCTTCCAGCAGTCAGGCTCCTCAGCTGCAGGTCTGTTGGAATTTACAGGAGTTCTACTCCAGACCCTGTTTGCCTGGGTATCAACTGCAAATATTGCAGAACAGCAAATATTGCTGCCTGATTCTTCCTCTGGAAGCTTCATCCCAGAGGGGCATCCGCCTGTATGAGGTGTCTGTCGGCCCCTACTGGGAGGTGTCTCTTGGTCAGGCTACACGGGCGTCAGGGACCCACTTGAAGAGGCAGTCTGTCCGTTCTCAGAGCTTGAATGACATGCTGAGAGAACCACCACTCTCTTTAGAGCTGTCAGACAGGGACGTTTAAGCCTGCAGAAGTTGTCTGCTGCCTTTTGTTCAGTATGCCCTGCCCACAGAGGTGGAGTCTAGAGAGGCAGTAGGTCTAGCTGAGTTGCGGTGGGCTCTGCCCAGTTTGAGCTTCCCTGTCACTTAGTTTACTTACTGAAGCCTCAGCAATGGTGGACACCCCTCTCCCCGCCAGGCTCCTGCCTCGCAGGTTGATCTCAGACTGCTGCGCTAGCAGTGAGCAAGCCTCCCTGGGAGTGGGACCCATGGAGCCAGGCACAGGGTGGAATCCCCTCGTCTGCTGGTTGCTAAGACTGTGGGAGAAGTGCAGTATTTGGGCGAGAGTGTACCGTTCCTCCAGGTACAGTCTGTCATGGCTTCCTTTGGCAGGAAAGGGAAATCCCCCAACCCCTTGCGCTTACCAGGTGAGGAGACACCCCAGCATGCTTTGGCTCACCCTCCATGGGCTGCACCCACTCTCCAACCAGTCCCAATGAGAAGAATCAGGTACCTCAATTGGAAATGCAGAAATCACCCATCTTCTGCGTCGATCTCACTGGGAGCTGTAGGCTAGAGCTGTTCCTATTCTGTCATCTTGGAAGCGACTTCGAAATTATTATATACGTAATTTATCTCCTTTATTCTCTTAATGTGACTAATTATATCGATTGATTTTCACATGTTCAACTGACCATGCATTTCTAGAAAAATCCCAGTTTAGTTGTGATAGATATTGCTAGATTGAGGTTGCTAATTGTTTAGGATTTTGGTATCTATAGTCATGAGTGATACTGACCATTTTTACCATTTTAAGTATATAATTCTGTTGAATTCTATATTTTTTTCTTATAATAGCCTTGTCATCTTTTGGTATTAGATTAGAAGTTTATACTCTCTTTATAAATGAGTTAGCAAGTGTTCCCTCTTGTCCTACTCTCTAGAAAACTGTTTTCATTTGAAATTTCTCCTAATCACTGTATATTTCCATGTTAAAAAAGTAATCTTAATTGAAAAGGTACTTGGCTATAACACATATCTGATCTAAATTTGAAAGTCTTAGTTTAGATGTCATTTAGAAAATTATTTGAAGAGAGAGAGAATGGGTTGGGCGTGGTGGCTCACACCTGTCGTCTGAGCACTTTGGGAGGCCGAGGCAGGCAGATCAGCTGAGATCAGGAGTTCGAGATCATCCTGGCCAACATGGCAAAACCCCTTCTGTACTCCAAATACAAAACTTAACTGGGTGTGGTGGCGTGTGCCTGTAATCCCGATTCGGGAGGCTGCAACAGGAGAATCACTTGAACCTGGGAGGCGGAGGTTGCAGTGAGCTGAGATCGTGCCACTGTACTCCAGCCTGGGCGACAGAGCAAGACTCTATCTAAAAAAAAAAAAAAAAAAAAAGAAAAGAAAAAGAAAAAGAAAGAAAGAGAATGAAATGGTAAGGACCATATGGACAAAGGACCCTAATTTAATAATTTTAAAGAGAACACAGAGAAGCATCTTGATCCTTTTTCCATCTCCAACACTGATATAGCTTTGTTCCTAGAAATTAAACTTCATACTATGTATTGATAAAATAATACTTAATGATAAGATAAATATTTCTATCCCACTCCAGTGGCCCAATTTATGTCAAGTAAAACTAATGAACATATAGATGCTAAACACATGTAATGTGTTTTTGTTACTGTACAATCATGATTTTATATTACTATAAGTTTTTTGGCTTAATTTTTTTGTTGTGGTACAATATACACAACATAAAATGTACTGTTTTTACCATTTTATGTATACAGTTCTGTGGTATTAAGTACATTCACATTGTTATACAACCTTCACAACAGTCTCCAGTATTTTTTCATCTTCCCCAACTGAAATTCTGTATCCGTTAAAAAATAACTCACCATCTTAATATTAAATCTTCCAATGTATGAACACTGGATGTCTTTCCATTTATTTGTGTCATCTTAATTTTTTTTAAAGATATTTCATAGTTTTCATTATGTCTTTTACTTCCTCAGTTATGTTTATTCTTAAGCATTTTATTATTTTAGATGCTATTGTAAAGGGAATTATTCTGTTAATTTCTTTATTGTTTGCTTTTAATGCATAGAAACACAACTGATTTGTGTATGTTGGTGTTGTATCCCACAACTTTGTGGAATTCATTGATTAGTTCTAAAAGTTTTCTTGGAATCTTTAGTTTTATACATATATGATCATGTCATGTGCTAAAAGACATAATTTTACTTTTTCCTTTCCAATTTGGTTGCCTTTTATTTCATTTTGTCTCCTAATTTCTCTGGTGAGGACTTTAGTAGTTTTTGAATAAATTTTCCAATTTATTTTGAAAATATTAGACAATATTTTGAAGTTTACCATAATTATCTCTTTTTATAATTTTCTTCTCAAGGGAAACCTCTAACATTCTTTTGGCTGTAAGTAAATTCTGTACAGATAGCCAAAGACATATTGACAAACTGGCCCTTTATTGCTTTTACTTTTTCCATGTTAGTTGTACTTTTTATACTGTTTTTTTTTTCTATCTTAAATATTTGTTAAGTCAAACACTATAGATTACAAATAAAATGATTCAGACTGGGAGACTTCCACTGACACAGAAGTAAAGATGTCAAATAGTGATTATATTGTTTCAGTGCCATACTGGATGTGAAATATAAACTTTCCATCACCATTCATCACTCATTATCTTTATTAAAGGATAACCCCAATTTATCTTAAGTATGGTTCAAAGTAGGTTCTAAACATAGTCTTCTTCATAATATAGATGTTGAATAATTTTGGAATACTAACTCACATTATGATTAATTTAAATCACATTTATTGTGGTACATGGCATAGACATGCATATGTTCATTAAGTCACTACACATATTTTTATGTAAATACGTAAAACTATATTTACAATATGAGTTTGTATTTTCAGTTTGTTTTTTGTCCTTAATCATTTTAAACATAATTATTTTCTTTTATTTTTTATCAGATCTGGTATCTGAACTTCTTTAGAGTTGAATCTGACCACTTGTTGTTTTCTTAAATCTTGTTCATGTTGGATTGTTTTCTTTGGCACTGTGTAATTTAGTGTTGGGTGATTCTCATCAATGGAACTTCTTCTATGAAGCCCTTACATGGTGGTTGAGGGCCTGTCCTCTGACAAAGACATTTTATGTGTTTGCTTCTCTAAGGGACTTCAGCAGCTGCCTCTAGCCTGGGACCCCTATACTGTTAATCTTACAGCTAGAAGTTTTTTGAAACATTTAGGCAGTATGAAATCAAGTCCTTAAACCTACTTGCACTTTAGAGTTGTTTTTAAAAATTTTCTGGGGTAACTTTGTTGCCCTACTTAGGCTGAGATAGATATTGCTTTTTTATTGGGTTTATTCTGTTGTTTTTTGAATTTCTTAAATTTTATTCTTAGCTTATTAATATTCAGTATTTTCTTTAAAATTGATTGATGAAAAGGCGGTTGAGGCGTCTGGTGAGTAGTGCATGGCTAGGAATAGCCCTGTGGTGATTTGGAGGATCAGGCAGGCAAACCTAAGTTATTAAGACATAGTCCTTTATCATTTGAGGAATTTATAATATTAGTGATGGGGCATGGATGTGCGTATAAACATAATTCCAAAGTGGGCTGGGAAATTTAGCCCATAGTTGGATTACCGTTACTCACAGACAACTTTGTATTATAGAAGGGAGAGCAAAATTTGGGAATACAGCCACCTGTTTCTGCCACACTCACTGTTGCATTGGTTTTAAAGATAAATAAAACTTTATATTTTATGAAGAACATACTGCACTGTACTTCAGCTAGGTGAAGTTGTCAAATTTTTGTTGAGGTCAGTGGTCTAGAAAGTGGAACATTATATAATTATACTCATTAAAATTTTTATGCTATTTTGCTTATAGGACAATACAACAATAAAAACTGCCATTAAAAGCACTAACATTAGACTGGGCATGTTGGCTCACGCCTGTAATCCCAGCACTTTGGGAGGCTGAGGCGGGTAGATCACGAGGTCAGGAGATCGAGACCATCCTGGCTAACACAGTGAAACCCCGTTTCTACTAAAAATATAAAAACTTACCCAGGCGTGGTGGCAGGCACCTGTAGTCCCAGCTACTTCGGAGGCTGAGGCAGGAGAATGGCGTGAACCCGGGAGGCGGAGCTTGCAGTGAGCCAAGATCTCGCCACTGCACTCCACCCTGGGCGACACAGCAAGACTCCATCTCAGGAAAAAAAAAAGCACTAACATTTTGATGATTCCTCTTCATGACAAGTAAACAAAGCAAACACATACATACGTACACAAGTACACACACATCCTTCCCTTACAGGATACTTTCATAACCTGTATGTCTTTGGGAAACTGTTATAACAACATAAAATCATATTTTGGATCTCTGGGTTTTCAGTAGTTTCAATAAATGTGATTTTAAAGGATTATATTCTGTTGACAAAATTAAATTCCTCTGAGTTGTGATTTTAGGCAAATTATTTAGTGTTTTTTTCATTTTAACTTTTTCTGTGTATATAAAATGTTTTTGGTAACGTCTTCCTTAATCACAGCAGTAGTATAGGAAGTAATTTCAAAGCTGTAGAATAATCTAAAATTCTGAGTGAATACTAGAATATTTATTTACAAATAATTTATTTGTAATATATATAAATATATATATTTATGTAATATAAAAATATATTTATATATTTCATATATAAATATATATATTTATGTAATATAAAAATATATTTATATATTTAATATATAAATACATGTATTTATATATTTAATATATATAAATACATGTATTTATATATACATATATGTATGTATTTATGTATCATATATGTATATATTTATATATACATAAAAATGCATATATACATAAAATAATATGTATATATTTATATACACATAAAATACATATATACATAAAATAATATGTATATATTTTATATTTAAATATAAAAATATATTTATGTAATATAAAAAATTATTACAAATATTTACTCTACCTAAAGTAAGAATTGATATATTAACTACTCAATGTTTGGAAGCTTAGGGTCATGGCAAAGTGTGACAAGCATTGTTTATTGATTCAAGAATTAAAATTGCTTTATTATCAGCGTTGTTAAAAAAATTAAGCATGAAGTGGTTCCTTTTTTAATGTCCAGTAACTGTTGAACATACATTGATAATTGAAAAGTGAATATTGGACTGAGAGATTGTTTGGCATCAACTTCAGAGTTGTTGACAGAGTTTGCTGTAGTAGCAAAACTCTTGTCAGTTTTTCAGTTATTCAAGTGCAATTAACCTATGCAGTAATCTACCTCAAATTATTATGCAAACAACCGTTTAGATAGTATATTTAGTTTGAATTTACTCAATTGCTATTTTTAAAATTTCTTGTAATTGTTTTAAAACTCCTGAAAATACTTATGTCATTTCATATTTTTCCTTAAATGGTTTTGTTCTTAACATTTAGAGAGAAACTTTTATTCAGAATGTAGAAATCATAACATTTAAACTATCATCTTATTTGAATATCTATGAAAAAAATAAATATATCAAAACAGGTTAGAAAAATGAAGGTTATTGTTTAGCCATCACATACCATTCAACACAATATTTTGTGTATGAAGCCTTTCCTATTTCAAAATATTCATATAAAAATGTCTTTAAATTATTGGCTACTTGATTTTTAAAAGCTCAGATAGTTTTATCATGTAAATATAAGCTAATAATCTGAGGTTAGCTTACATTTCTTGTGTTACTTGTATTAATTATGTATCTGGGGAACACTTTGAAATTGCAGGTTTGATTTTTTTAAATTACAATTTGCATTCAAAAACAATCATTAAAATTTTTAAACATTTTACTATTAAAACATTGTTTTTCTTGCTTAGTTGGGTCAAAACTATTGAATATAGAGAACTTACTGTAAATGAATCTAGTTTAAGAAAACACATTCTAGGGAAAGCATTAGGAGATATACCTAATGTAAATGATGAGTTAATGAGTTAATGGGTGCAGCACACCAACATGGCACATGTATACATATGTAACAAACCTGCATGTTGTGCACAAGTACCCTAGAACTTAAAGTATAATAATAAAAAAAACAATAAAAAAGAAAATAAGCTCATGAAAATAAAAAAAAGAAAACACATTCTAACAATTGTTTGTATTAAATGGAAATATTTGTTTATATGATCCTTAGATGATTTATACTTTAAACTATGAGTAATTCTTTTCATGCTGACATGTTGATGGGGAGCACTGTACTTTTGTGCACATATAGCTGCAGCTTCCTGTGTTTCAGTCTGAGTCATGGTAAAGTGGGAAATATGAGTTTGAAGCTTAAGTACTGAGCTTAAAACACTTAATCATTTTTTCCCACTCTTGCATTGAAATAGTGGGAGCAAAGGTAGTTGAGACCACAGCAGGCCACTTGTTACTGTTGACTTAAGTACAAACAGTGGTCGAAGTGTTTAGCCCTTTGGGAAGTTTTGTAATTGAACAAGAATGCAGGAGTTATTTTGATAAGATAGAGTAGCAATGGGGCCAAAACTATGATCATCCTTAAGCTCTGAAGCAGGCCAAGGATGAAGGGATATAAAGTGTTTGCTCTTCCAAATAAACAAAGATAAATTCACCTAGGAAAATAAACTTAGCATTTGGTCAATTTGCAACAAAATGGTAAAAGAATTGAACTGTTTATTTTAGAACTTGGCCTAAGGATGTATGGGAAAATAGTTCAGCATCTCCATTTCCGGCCTGATTTTCACAACAGATTTGGAAACAGAGCAGAAAATTAATGCACAAACATGTTTAACAATACCAAACAAAATGCTGTAAATCCAAAATGAAAACTGAAACTGCATGAGGAAGTACAGCAAAGCTTTTACTGAGGAGTGCTTACTAAATTTGCAGCCACAGTTTTCTTAGCATTCTTACCAAGTATACCAAGTAGTGTTAAAAATTGAAGTCTTAGTGATTCGAGATGTTATTTTCTCTCAGTTCTCCATCCTTGGAATATGATATTCTTCTGTCTGTTGGAAGGAGGGTTTAATTTAAGCATACTTCTACTCTATAAACCTATACATAAAGAAAGGCTATATATATTGCCTTTTATTTAATAAGCATCCTTATCTGGAATTAGTTTATGCTTTTTATTAGATGTTGTGTTGCATTAGACAGCTAACCAAAAACCTGATTTTTTTATAGCTTCTCAAGTTGTAGGAATTTCTATTGTAGCAGATTTAGAACTACTTATTTTGTAAAAGCATTTATATGAAAACTGCACAAACAGTGAGATATTTGCTTTGCTTGGTGTATTTGGGACAAAGAGTAACTATACTGTCTTCAGGTTTAACTCTATAATTTTCTCTAATAGTAAATCCCAGAACACTGTTACTTTGCTATGCTTGGTGCCTAAGTGTTCTTGCAGTAAACACTTGCCTGTCATTCTATGAAAATCTTCCCCATTGGGCCTCCTTCTGAGGTTGCAGGGAAATTGAATTTTCTTCTGACTGAAAGATGTTATAAAACAATGAGGTTAAAATAAAAGCCTCATGTAGGAGCTGAATATACCTGTGTTTAGATGGCATGTCTGTGGTAATGAGAGCCGGGACTTTGGTTTGTTTTGTACAGGATTTTAATTATCATTCCTGCTTTTAAGTGTTTAGAGATTAGTGGCTTCTGCTCTGACAACCTGTCTATAAAAAATGGAATACTGACCATATTATATTGTCTTTGTTTAAATTTTAAGGGGTATTTTGTTCTGACAGTTAACTACTGGTTATGACTCGTTAGCACAGGAAATTAATATTTTTGTTTGAGACATTCAAAGCAATAAACTATTGGAGGTTGAGGATATACGGCAAAACAAAACGTGTCTGAAGTTAGAAAGATGAGAAAATGAGAATTCTATAAGAATGTGAGTGAAAAATTTCTTAAGCATTAGTTCAACTTGATAATGATAATTATAACTACAATTTATGAACTATTTTCTATGTGTATATTCTTCATTCACATTCATATTTCTATTTAATCTTAACTGTATGAGATAAATATCACTATAATAACCATTTTACAGAGGAGTGTACAGTTAAACTACTTGCCTCAAATCACTTGACTGGCATCTGACTTCGTTAACCCAGTACACCATACTGCCTGCCAGACTAAGCTTAACTAAGTATCTGTAACTGATATGTAAATATATATACATCTTTTAAACAAATAAGAATGTTATATTGTGTTTGATCAGTTTTCAGAGTATATGGGTTTAAGCTCGCAAGTTTTGTTTGCAAGGTTTAAACGGACAGCAAAGTTTGGGATTTTAGGAACCCAATACTTCATAGCTAATCCTAAAAGAACTCAACATATCAATGATTGCAGCATCTCTTCTGCATTTGAGACTGAAGCTGTTCAACTTTAAATAAAAGGGTTTATTTTATTCTGGCCTGCTAAAAGCTGCTGAAAAGACCAAAAACAAACAAACAAGACTTTGACAGCAAGTTCGTTAGCACTGACTTTAGGACCTTATACATATTCAGAGTTCAGTATGTATTTGTTGAATCGGATAAGCTTATGCTCTATTCCACTAAGAAAGCTTTAACCATATAAGACACTTAAAAAAATCTATTGTCAAATCTACTAATTTTTAATGTCTCCTTAATTAACATGCAAGGCATGATTAATATTTTGCTGTTTCTTAAACTGATAATCACTTTGCTATAGTTATTCTAGATTCCATTATAAATACTCTATAGAAGGGGTAGACAAATATTTTTCTGTAAAGGGCTGGTTAGTAAATACCTTTGGACTTTGTGGATTGTAGCTTCTCTGTAGCAACTACTCAACTCTGCTGAAAAGAAGTCATATGCAGTCAGTACATGAACGGATTTGGCTGTGATCTAGTAAAAATTTATTCCCCAATACAGACAGATTAGCCCCTTCACTGTAGCTTGCAGACTCTACTCTATAGGAACATACTCATTGGTTTAATCTTAACCTTTTCTAGATCTTAACTACTTTTAGAGGAAGCTGGAAACATGCATGTGCTTTCTAACAATAAAAATCATTTGAGAAGTGTATGTTTATACATTAGCATTATGTATTGGTATTAACATTTATATGATTATCATTTGCATGTAAGATGTGAAAAAGTTACAAATAATAATTTCTGATTTTAATTTATAATTTGTATTTTCTGTTATTTTTGTTTATGTTACAAAGTAAGATTTTTTTTTCTCCTCATCCCAGGGAGATTCTATACAAGCAGGTGAGGAATCACCATTCTCAGATTCTGTGACCTTGGAACAAACTACAAGTAATATTGGAGGAACCAGTGGACGTGTTAGTTTATGGATGCAGTGGGTGCTTCCCAAAATTACTATAAAGCTCTTTGCTCCAGATCCTGAAAATAAAGGCACAGGTACAGGATTCCTTTTCTTTCTTCCCTCCCTCCCTCTGTCCCTCCCTCCCTCCCTCCCTCCCTCCCTCCCTTCCTTCCTTCCTTTCTTTTCTGTCTGTCTGTCTGTCTGTCTGTCTTTCCGTCTGTCTGTCTGTCTTTCCTTTCTGACAGAGTTTTGCTCTTGTTGCCCAGGCTGAAGTGCACTGGCGTGACCTTGCCTCACTGCAACCTCTTCCTTCTGGGTTCAAGTGATTCTCCTGCCTCAGCCTCCCGAATAGCTGAGATTACAGGCGTGCACCACGACACCCAGCTAATTTTGTATTTTTAGTAGAGACAGGGTTTCTCCATGTTGGTGAGGCTGGTCTTGAACTCCTGACCTCAGGTGGTCCGCCCACGTTGGCCGCCCAAAGTGTTGGGATTACAGGCATGAGCCACCATGCCCGGCCTGGATTGCTTTTCTTCTTTACTGAAAAGTGCAAATATTAAACGCTATTTTGGAAGAAATATTAAATGTAATTTATTATTGTCATTTATAATTAAATAATTATTATTAGCTCTAATTCAAGTAATTTCTAGTTGCAGTGCTAAAATGTTGAATCTTATTAACATTAAAGGTTTACGTGTACATATTTTCCTTGACTTTGTAATACATAAATTTTGTCCTGTTTGTATTAAAATTCATCTAAAAGACCATGAGGAATTTTCCTCAATGGTCATATTGATACATTATAGTATTGTCACTAAAAGTATTGGGAAAATCCTTGACTGATATCAAATATAACACTCCAGACATTAACTGGGCTTTCCCCTTTCTTGAAATAAATGTCTTATCTTAATAAACAGGCCTATGCTGATTTGCTTATTATTCTAGAAGCTTTTGTGATCTCAGCGCCTCTGTACATATCCAGCATGCATTTGTCAATGTGAAATGTAAAATAGAAAGTTTTAATATTAATTGTGAAGACTGTGTTGATATTACTGCTTGTTTCTTATTGCAGAGGTTTGTATGGTCAGTGAACTAGAAGATCTCAGTGCTTCCATAGATGTCCAGGATGTATATACCAAAGTGAAATGTAAAATAGAGAGTTTCAATATTGATCACTATAGAAGCAGGTAAATAATGAATAATGAATATAAGAAAATCTGTATTTTTCTTTGAACAAAGTTACCATAAGACTTTTTCTATTTTAATTTGGCTGGTTATTAAAATAAATACTATACAGGCATACCTCGGACATATTGAGAGTTTGGCTCCAGACTATTCCAATAAAGTGAATATTTCAATAAAGGAAGTGACAGAAATTGTTTGGTTTCTCAGTGTATATAAAGTTGTGTTTACACTATACTGCAGTCTGTGAAGTGTACAATAGCATTATGTATTTTAAAATGTACATACCTTAATTTAAAAATACTTTATTGCTAAAATGTGCTAATGATCATCTGAGCATTCAATGAGTCATAATCTTGTTGCTGATGGAAGGTCTTGTCTTGATGTTGATGGCTGCTGACTGATCGGGGTGGTGGTTGCTGAAGGTTAGGGTAGCTGTGGCAATTTTTAAAAATAAGTCAATGATGTCATTTGCCACATGGATTGAATCTTTCTTTATGAAAGATTTCTCTGTAGCATGTGATGCTGTTTAGTGGCATTTTACCCACAACAGAACTTCTTTCAAAATTAGAGTCAGTCCTCTCAAACTTTGCTGCTGCTGTAAAAAATGAGATTATGGAATATTCTGAATCCTTTGTTGTCATTTCAACAATGTTCCCAGCATCTTCCCCAGGAGTATTTTGCATCTCCAGAAACCACTTTCTTTGCTCATTCATAAGAAGCAACTCCTCATCCATTCAAGTTTCATCATGAGATTATAGCAATTCAGCCCCATCTTTAGGCTCCACTCCTAATTCTTGGTCTCACATTGTTTTCACCACATCTACCATTACTTCCTCCAGTGAGGTCTTGAAACCCTGAAAGTCACCCATCGGGGCTGGAATCAACTTCTTACAAACATCTGTTAATGTTGATATTTTTACCTCCTCCCATGAATCATGAATGTTCTTAATGGTGTCTACAGTGGTGAATCTTTTACAGAAGGTGTTTCCATTTACTTTGCCTAGAACCTTCGGAAGAATCACTATCTGATACAGTTTGGATATATGTCCCTTCCAAATCTCATGTGGAAATGTGATCCCCAGTGTTGGAGGTTGGGCCTAGTGGGAGATATTTGGGTCATAGGGGAGGATCTCTCATGAATGGCTTGGTGCCTCCCCATGGTGACAAGTGAAGCTCTTGATTTCTTAGTTCATGCAAGAGCTGGTTATTTAAAAAGAGCATAGCATCTCCCTGCTCTCTCTTGCTTACTCTCTTACCATGTGACACACCTGTTCTGCTTTGCCTTCTTCCATGAGTAAAAGCTTCCCAAGGCCTCACCAGAAGCCAAGTAGATGATAGTGCCATGCTTGTACAGCCTGCAGAACCACGAGCCAAATAAACCTCTTTCCTTTATAAATTACCCAGTCTCAGGTATTCCTTTATAGCAATGCAAAATGGACTAACACACTGTAGCCTTACAGAATGTATTTCTTAAGTAATAAGTCTTGAAAGACAGAATTACTGCTTGATCCATGAGCTGAAGAGTGGATGTTAGCAGATGTGAAGACAACATTCATCTCCTTGTATATCTCCATTGGAACTCTTCAGTGACCAGGTGCATTGTCAATGAGCTACTGCTCATTTACAAAGGATTTTTTTTTTCTACACAAGCAGTCGTTCTCAACAAAGAGCTTAAAATATTCAGGAGACCATGCTGTAAACAGATGTGCTATCATCCAAGCTTAGTTGTTCCCATGTATAGAGCACAGGAGAAGAGTAGATTTAACAAAATTCTTAAGGGCCCTAGGATTTTCAGAATGGTAAATGAGCATTATCTTCAACTTCACCAGCTGCATTCACCTTTAACAAGAGAGTCAGCCTGTCCTTTGAAGCTTTAAACCCAGGCATTGACTTCTCCTCTCTAGCTATCAGTCTGAGATGGCATCTTCTTCCAAGAGAAGGCTGTTTTGTCTACACTGAAAATCTATTAGTGTAGCCACCTTCATCAGTGAACTGAGCTACATCTTTTGTATAACTTGCTGCCACTTATCCTTCAGCACTTGTTGCTTCATGTTGCACATTAATGTTATAGAGATGCCTTCTTTCCTTAAGCCTCCTGAACTAACTTCTGCTAGCTTCAAACTTAACTTCTGCAGCTTTCTTACTTCTCTCAATTTATAGAATTGAAGAGAGTTAGGGTCTTGCTCTGGATTTAACAGAATGGTGTGTCTGGTTTGATCCTCTACCCAGACCACTCAGACTTTCTGCCTATCAGCAATAAGGCTGTTTCACTTTCTTGTCATTTGCAAGTTCTCTGGAGCAGCACTTTCAATTTTCTTCAAGAACCTTCCTTTTCATTCACAACTTGGCACAAGAAGCTTTGTTTTCTGCCTATCTCAGCTTTTGATATGCCTTCCTCACTAAGCTTAATCATTTTTAGATTTTTATTTAAAGTGAGAGATTTGCAACTCTTCTTTCACTGGAACACTTAGGGGCCATTGTAGGGTTATTAATTGGCTTCATTTCAATATTGTTATGTTTCAGGGAATAGGAAGACCTGAGGTGAGGGAGAAAGATGGGAAATAGTGGGGTCAGTGGAGCAATCAGAAAACACACAGCAATGATCAATTAAGTTTGTGTCTTCAGGACATCACTGTTCATGATGTCCTGAAATAATTATGATAATGTCAAAAATCACTGATCACAGATCACCATAACAGATATAATAATAATGAAAAAGTTTGAAATATTATAAGAATTACCAATATGTGACACAGAGACTGGAAGTCAGCATATATTGTTGGAAAAAACGCTGCTGATGGATTTACTCAATGTAAGGCTGCCACAGACCTTCAATTTGGGTAAAACATAATATCTGCACTATGCAATAAAGCAAAGCCCATAAAACCGAGGTATGCCTGTACTTATTCTCAAAGAGGGTTCTTAACAGATACATTGATTAATTTTACTTAGTAATTGTTCATGTATGGAGTATAATAAAATTTTGTTTTATAAGATGACAAATCTGTTCATAAATATATACATTGCCATATTAAATGAAATAAGCTACTTTTACTAATAATCTTACATAATTTATTTTCTATATTTTATATTTGTTAAGATGCCTGCAACCCAGTTGATGGCTCTGATTTTTGCTGTATACGTCCCATCCATTCTCTATACCAATATAATCATTGGTATAGAGATATACAATACAATCATTGGTATAGAGATATAATCACTGAGATGGAGCAATAGCTCATTTCCTAAGCACTTTGATGACTCTCATCTCACAGATGATTATTATGTATATGGATATGATAATTATTTTTGTCATATTAAACAGTGACTTATTAATTGGCTTTTGATAATAGAATGTTCAACTCTTTAGTTCCTTTGAAATGGTATGTGTCTGTATCAAAATGATCTTTGCAAGTGATAATACAATATTTTGGCTGAAGTAATTTTTAATGTCATGAATATTACGTATTATGTTGTACTTTATCCCTGACTGTACCGCTAAATTTATATAAATTATAGATATTCAGATAATTTATTAATTTATTAAAAACATACATTTCTTGTGTATGTGGTATGCACCAAGTGCTATGCTAAATGAGTACTGGGGATGTAGTGTTTAAGAAAAATAGCCTGGCATGGTGGCTCACACCTGTGATCCCAGCACTTTGGGAGGCCAAGGCAGGGGGATTACTTGAGCCCAGGAGTTTGAGACCAGCTGGGACAAGATGGCAAGACCCCATCACCACATACACACAAAAAGGAGCTGGGCATGGTGGTGTATGCCTGTAGTTCCAGCTGCTGGGGAGGCTAAGGTGGGTGGATTGCTTGAGCCCAGGAGTTCAAGGTTACAGTGAGCTATGATTGTGCCATTGCACTCCAGCCTGGGCGACAGAGCAAGGCTCTATCTTTAAAAAAGAAAAATAGACATAGATGTTACTCTTATCGAGGAGATGGAAGTAAATAATCAGCCAAATAAATACATAATTTACCATGAAGACAAATGTTCTTATGCAGAACTGTCAGAGTGCGGTGCTAATGTAAATTGTTCTATTGATTGCATTGTCAGATTTATGTTTTAGTTCAGTGCAGTGTTGTGAACTTTAGACTTATTTGAAATAGTTATGTATGTTCAATTTCTTAACTCAGAAAAATTGAAGAGAACAGATAAGGTGAACTTATGTTTTCCAGGCCAGGGGAAGGTTGGCAGTCAGGACATTTTGAAGGAGTATTTCTACAATGCAAAGAAAAATCTGTGGTGAGACCCATTTAGTTACTATGATTTTTGAAAATGTACTTTAAACTGTTTATCTTGTTATTTCATAAAATAGGACTAATGGTTACAAGAATTTGAGTTCAGAATAAATTCTTATTAGCCTGTTTCTTCAAAATTACATATAAATTTAAAGCTATTTATTCTTTGAAACTGCTCCTGTTTTGTAACCATCTTCCTGTTATAACAATTAAGTAAATTTATCAAAGAGGCAAAGGTAGGCTTGCTTTTGTTAATATACTTTATCTTTAATGTACTATTGTGTTGACTTTTTGGAATTGTTTCCCAATTCTTATGTGAGTTTATGCTGGATTGTTCTTTACCATAAACTGGAAGTAGTAATTTTATACTAAAAGCAATTATTTTTTGTTTACTTTCATTAACATTGCTTTTGCAGAAGATGGTCCAGGCAGAGGCCATACCTAGCGGTTGCTCAAACCTAAATTTATACAAACTTGAGGAGAATTTAAAACTATCCAGATATTTTTTTGCTTATGGCTTTTATTGCTTTTTGTCTTTTCACCTTCTTTGCTCCTGTCCATCACTTCAAGCCTTGGGGAAGAGTGTTGGTCTTTGGGGCAATGTGGAGGTGTCTTCCTTTCCTGTACTGACAAGCTGAACAGACGCACCTTGTTGGTTCGACCCATCAGCAAGCAGGACCCTTTCAGTAATTGCTCTGGCTTCTTTCCTTCTGTAAGAAATTACTTTAAATTATGCTACACAACTCCCATTAACAGGAACCCAGAGAAGGAATTGAATGATTCATAGAGTCAACTCTTGATTTGTGTTTTCCTCCATATCATAAACTTTATAAATGAAGTATAATGTAATTTAAAATCATAAAACTGCTTTTCCACTAAAACCTGTTTCTGGGTCACTTGCATGAGTACAGACTAATTTTACCTCAATATAAGGAAATCAAAGTAGGACATTCATTATATTTTTTTAAATTGTGCATGTATTGAATGATCAAGAGTTGACCAATACTGCTTTTGTCATTCCTCTTACGATTCTTAATAAGATTGCCTTTAAAAATTTTTTTTCTATTATTATGCCATTGTTTTCTTACAACTAATTCAAAGTAACTTGTGTGGTACCTTCTTGAATCTGAACAAGTTTGCATTTCTGTCATTGATTAGGTAGATGAACACAAGGCTGTATCAGTGACTTTTAGACGTTTAGAACCTTGACTTTTTTAATGGTACAACATCTGGATATGTTCTTAAGCTAATTCTTTTAACTGATATTCTTAAAGTTAACTTTGTTCTTAAATTTAATTTTTAATAGTGTATTTGCATAGCAAGTGTTATGTTCTGATTTTATTTTGAGCTTTTACTAGCAATAGTCTTTAATCTTTAGTGCAGGAAAAAAATGTGACTTTTGTGTTGGAGGAAGTGTTTAGATTTATTTTCCTCTCTTTGAATGTTCATTAGTGTCTGTGAAAAACATTCTTAATAATTTTAACAAATATTCATAAAGAAACCGTAAATTTATCGTTAATGTTCTTCAGAAATTTTTTCTAAATTTATAAATTAAATGCCATTTAAAAAGTTTCTTTACTTAGTGTTTTTTAACATTTTATTTTAAATAGTATAAAGTATTATTACTGTATGAAAAAATGATATTTATATTACCTCAACTAGTATTCACTTTTTGCCTTATGTTAAGGGAGTTAAGGATGCAGCAATTAAAAAAAAAACACCCTTTCTTCATGTGGCTTACCTTTCAAGTATGCTTACATTCCACGTTTAAAATATTTTTCCAAATTAAAACATTTATACATTGAAATACCTTTTATACTCTTTACAGGATTCAAATGTTGCTATTAATAAAGATTTATTATGAGTTAGATTTTTTTAGATTAGTGGTCAGTAGTAACCCTCTCCCCAGTTTAGACACTTAGAACAGACAACATCACTGTGATCACTGTGGCCTCTTCCACTGGGGGTATACCTTAACAATCCTTCTCCATCTGTTATTGCTCATTGTCCAGCAACATGCTAATAAAACTGGTAGCACTTTTCTTGCTTTACTATACATCTTTTTGTTTTTGAGTGCAGAAATAAAAAAGAAGGGGAATCAAAAGAGAAACAGTGAAAATGTTGGGAACAGTGAAAAATGCTTTGAGAGCAGGCTATTATTGGGAAAGATGATTATACTGCACAACCATTTAATGCTTACTTTCCAGGGTTTTTTTAATGGTCAATTAAAAAATACAAAAATAATTTATTTTCTTATCTTCCTTCATTATAAAGTCTAAATTAAAAGCAAAATTAGCAGTGATAACTGAATTGCATATTTTTTCCTCTCACCATGTCAGTGGGTGATAGGCAACAAAATGAGAGGAAGAAAATGGAAGCAATTGAAATGTAGGAGTGATGGGATAATATAGCTCAGACTCATTACTGCTTTCCTATTTCTCTTTTTTTTCTGTTTATGTGAATATATTTTCTTCTTTTTGCTTTGTTCCAGTTCACTTCTCCTCTTAAAAATCTCCTCTTTGGACCCTACTAACTTTTTCAGGTGTTGGAAAGAGGGGCAGGGAATGTGGAATATAACAGTTCTCCTCTAATTCTATGCTGAGCAATTTCCAAAACAATATTTTATGTCTATTAATTGGTTGAGGAAGATTTTTTTCAAGTGACATTCTTTTTGTACGTTGAGGAATACAAAAGTATATGTTTTACTTTACTCTTTTAAAAGCATGCTGTTTTACTCTAACTTGTTTATAGTGTGCAATTTGGATAGGAGAGCTAATTGAGATAGTTTTAACAAAAATATTGAAGTTATGATAATTTTTTTACTCTGTTAAATGTTATATGTGTACTAATATAGTAGTATACCCAAAGATTATGATTTACAGGATAGTGATAATTAGATTTTATAAAAAATGCGTTAGCTATTGATAATAGGCAAGTTCTGAAAGACAAATGTTATATTGTTACATCACATTACTGTTTAAATATGCAGTAACTGTTTATTTAGTTCAGTTATCAAAGCATGGTATCGATGAGGCTTCTTTTGTAGGCTCTGTCTTTGTATAAATTAGCCAAATTATTGAAGGAAAAACTCCATTTTCACAAATGTTATATCCTATCTAGTGAAGGTAATCATCTGGCCTATTCAGATTTGGTCTCAAATAAAAATATGTAATGTGGTTATTTCAATTTCACCTGAGTAAACAACCCTTCTGTGACCTGTGATACTTTTTATGACAGCCTCTTAGTACTCATAATGAAAAATTATCACGAAATGAAAAGATAAAATCAAGATAGTCTTTTCCAACCTATGTTTTTTTGTTTGAGACAGAGCCTCACTTTGTTGCCCAGGTTGGAGAGCCGTGGCTCAATCTCGGCTCACTGCAGCCTCTGCCTCCCGGGTTGAAGCGATTCTTGTGCCTCAGCCTCCCAAGCAACTGGGATTATAGGCATGTACTACCATGCCACCACATCTGGCTAATTTTTTGTATTTTGAGTAGAGACGGGATTTCACCATGTTGGCCAGGCTGGTCTCAAACTCCTGGCCTCAAGTTATCTGCCCACCTTAGCCTCCCAAAGTGTTGGGATTACAGGCATGAGCTACCCCAGCCTCAAATTCTTAATGTTACAGAAAATGCAGAAGTCACAGAAATAGCCACAAAAAGATTAATAACCTCCCTCAAGATCTAGAACTGGAACTCAGGATTCCCATCTTTAGTTCAGTCATTCTAACCATCTTAGAAGCTTTTTGCCCACATCTGCAGAATTGATCAGTCATGTGTTTATTAAGAAGTGTAGGGTAAGACCAAGAGGTAAAAATACTCACTGAGGTCATTTTCTTCTTTCCAATTTTTAAAAAAAATCTTTTTAATGAACTGTGTATTGTGATTTCCTTTTTTTGGAACAGACAACTACAAAACTTCTAGATGGCACTCATCAGCAGCATGGATTCCTCTCTCTGACATACACAAAAGCTGTAACAAAAAATGTCCGCCACAAGTTAACATCAAGAAATGAGCGAAGAAGTTTTCATAAGTTATCTGAAGGCCTAATGGATGGTTCTCCTCATTTTCTTCATGAAATTCTTCTTTCAGCACAAGCTTTTGATATTGTTCTTTATTTTCCTTTACTTAATGCCATTGCAAGTATATTTCAAGCAAAACTACCAAAGACCCAAAAAGAGAAAAGAAAATCTCCTGGTCAGCCCATGAGGACCCATACACTGACATCCCGCAATTTACCTTTGATTTATGTCAACACAAGTGTAATCAGAATTTTTATTCCAAAAACAGAAGAAATGCAGCCAACTGTTGAAGGTATTGTCTTCTGATTTTTTTTGTCTGATTTTAAATAATTTTCTTCTAGAGACCTTAGTTTTCTGGGTTTTTTTGTTTCTTTTAAAAAATATGAGCAGTTGGTTGTGCTTTGTGGTTTGGTATATTTTATAGAGAGGAAATATAGATATTCTACAAATCATTAGGAAATACATCAGAATACTATGTAACTATCTGACTTCGTTAGTAGGATAAGAAATTGAGGAAATTTTTTCTTCAGGGCTTTTGCCAGTAAAGCATATATATACTTTGTGTTAATTGTTTTACTAAACTCAAATGTTGTGTTCTGTGTATCTAAGAGAACTAAAATTTTTTTTAAAAACAAGGTCAAGCACAGTGGCTCACATCTGTAATCCTAACACTTTGGGAAGCCAAGATAGGAGGACCACTGGAGCCCAGGAGTTTCAGACCAGCCTGGGCAACATAGTGAGACCCCATCTGTACAGAAATAAGATATTAGCCCAACATGGTGGTGCACACCTGTAGCCCCAGCTTCTTAGCATATCATTTTTGTAATAAAATATTTGTATACGAACCTTATAGTGCTTAATTACCAAGCTAGAACTAAATTCAATGTATTATACTTAACAGATTCTTAATACAAGCCAGTTTCTACTTTTTATGTCTAACTTTTCTTAGAAGCTATCTTAAAATTAATTACTTTGAGATGTGAAATTACTATTCTCTGAATATCCTATATTCTGACAGTGGTATACAGTTGCTTTCATCTGTTCAGATAGTTTGTAGAAACACATGAATGGTTAAGAATAAAGAGTTAGTCTTTATTTACCAATTACAAGTGATAAACAACTCGCTAACCAGAAAAGTAAGAAGCAGTATATTCATTGCAAAGGTAATGACCTTTATGCTTTTTCCTTATTATATAGGAGCACCTAATGAAATTTTAGAGAATGTAATTTACATTAAGTTTACATAGGTTAGAAAACAGAAATCTACGTTTTTATACAGATAATTCCCTGAGGACTGTAGTTTCAGTTATAATAACATTTTTCCACAACCTTGGAAGAGACACAGACATAAAAGATTGGGGAGATTGTCAAACTGTTTTTGGCATTACAACTGAGAATGGGAGGAAAACACCATGGAAACAAAAGTAGATTGTCTTTATTACACAAAATTTATCAGTGTTTTGGGAGAAGAATTTGGGGTAGGTCATTACATTTAATAAAGACCATGGGCTGGGCACGGTGGCTCACGCCTGTAATCCCAACACTTTGGGAGGCCGAGTCGGGCAGATCATGAGGTCAGGAGTTTGAGACCAGCCTGGCCAACATGGTGAAACCCCAGCTCTACTAAAAATACAAAAAATTAGCCAGGCGTGGTGGCACGTGCCTGTAATCCCAGCTACTTGGGAGGCTGAGGTGGGATAATTGCTTGAACCCAGGAGGTGTAGGTTGCAGTGAGCCAAGATAGTGCCATTGCACTCCAGCTTGGGTGACAGAGCAAGACGCCATCTCAAGTGGGAAAAAAAAAAAAAAAACCATAATGTTGCAGTATCTGTAACTATTTTATTAAAATAAAATTACAGAAGTTTTATATCTAGATAAAAATAAGAATAAAGTTTTATACTATATAATATAAAAAATTCTAGGTATAGTTTTTATACAAGGATATTGTTTTCCACAAATACCTCTCTGATTGTTATAAAACATTCATTTTTCTAACTTGAGTTCCTGTATTTCATTTAAAATATGTTAGTAGGCTTTTATGATTTCCTGAATATTTCCTGAAGTGTTTGTTTTATGTTCCCCATTCCTTAATTGTAAAATTATTTTCAGTTTAATGCAAACAATTAGGAAGGCCAAAATTTCATTGAAACATAAGAAAAAATGTGATATTAGAGGTGAGAGGGTGGGATGAGGTATAGAAAAATACAGGGAGAATCTCTATGAAAAAAGCTGAGGAAATAGTGAGAGGCTATAGAGACAGAAAAGGAAGTAAAGCAACTTATCTAATTGGTAGACTTTTTTACTAATAAAGAAATGTTGACGATTTATAAATGATTCTCAAATTTTATGATGTAATTGTGTCTGAATAATAATTGTATAATGGACACTAAATTTAGTCATTTATCACATATTATTCCCTACACTGTTTTAATTTAGGGTTTCCTTCTTGAAAACCCATTTCACACCACAAAATATCAATTTCAGTAACAAATTTAAATTTTAGAAGACGAACCAAATGTGTATGATTCATTGCCTATTTATTAAGTTTTAAAACTTGACCAAGAATATGATACAATATCAGTGTGTTGTTTTTTTCTGCATCTTTGGCAGCCAGGCTGAGACTTTTAAAATGGGTATCTAATAATGTATACACTGGTAAATCTTTCTGAGTCAGACATAGCGGCTCCTCAATGTGGGCATTTGATCTGTATTCAAAATTTGCTCATTTGTCTTAAAATATCTTATCTATCTGATGTCCTGAAAGCTTCTGAAAGTCTTTGGTATTTGTTAGTGAGGAATATTTTCACAATAAATTGCTTTTTCATTGCAATTAGATCTTCATTGCAGAGCTTCTTTGACTCAAATTTTTGTGGCAATACCTGTGAGAGAAACCTACATGACTGACTTGTTTTCACCATCCATGTCAGTGTTCGTCATAGCCCTTAGGTGTTCTTCACTGGATAGGTCTTATTTATAGTGATAAATGTTTCCTTCTAAGGCAAAATTTGCCTATAAATGTAAATAGTTTTCATTGTTAATTTGGAAACCTTGTTTTTTCTCTTTTTTATTGTGGTAAAATATATATAACAAATTTTCTACTTTAATCATTTTAAGTATATAATTCAGTGGCAATAATTACATTCATAATGTTGTGCAACCATCACCACTATTTCCAAATGTATTTGTCACCCCAAACAAAAGCTCTGTAGCCATTAAGTAATAGCTACCTTCATCTTCTGGTAACCTCTAATCTATTTTCTGTCTGTATGAATTTTACTACTCTAGAAATTTCATGTAAGTGGAATCATACAATGTTTATCCTTTTGTGTCTGTCTTACTTTACTTAGCATAATGTTTTCAAGGCTCATCCAAGTTGCTGCATGTATCAGAACTTCATTCCTTGCTATAGCTGAATAATATTGTTTTGTATGGATATACCACATTTTGTTTATTAATTAATCTGTTGGGCAGTTGGGTCATTTCCACCCTTTTTTGGTTTAATGTGAGTAATGCTGCTATGAACACTGGCATGGAAGTTTCTGTTAGAGGCCCTGTTTTCAGTTTTTTTGGGGTGTACACCTAAGAGTGGAATTTTTAGGTCCCGTGGTAATTCTGTTTGGAATTCTGTTTTTGAGGAACCACCAAACTTCTTGGAAGCCCTTGTGGATTAGAGCACGATTTGTGGTATTTTCTGAACAATGCCAATGTGCAGGCATAGTTCAGTCAACAAGAAGAGCAAAGGGAGCTCACGCTTAGCATAGCAGCACCTGTGTGCCGAGCACCTGAGCAGCTCTGTGGTGAGGCAGAGGTCTGAAGTTCATTGTTTAACTCTAGCTTTATTTTCTGTGATACTTACCAATGGTTTATTGAAACAAGTTATGTTTCACTGATATGTTTGTGACAAAAAGATTACAAATCAGGCTATTTAAGAAAGAAGAGGAAAAAAAAGAACAACTTTATTTTCTGTGGGGCTTTTTTAGTTTGTTTATATGTTTTTGTTTTGGGCTTATTGTGTTATAAACATTAATACTACATATCACACAGTTTTATTGTTTCCCATTGAGTTGCTTCAACTAGGAAAATCCCTCAACTAATTGTAATTGCAGAAATATTTCCAGACTTCTGCCATCTTATTTTTAAAGCTGCTGCTGCTGCTGCTGCTGCTGCTGCTGCTTCTGCTTCCTCCTCCTCCTCCTCCTCCTCCTCCTGCTGCTGCTGCTGCTGCTTTTTCTTCTTTTTTTGGTGGTGGCTGTGGTGGGTTTTTAACATATAATTTCAGAATTCAGGTGCCTAGGTACTTCCTAAGGTCACCTTGAATAAGAGTATGTGAGATTGGGGAAGGTTTTTATAGTTGTCTTTGGAAAACATAATTTCTTTTGTTTTTCTGTGGACTTTAAGTGGAATCCTTTGCAAATATGCATATTTTTAGCAACAAACAACTTTTTAGTGGTGTTTTTTTTTGTGGCTTGGATGTATGTATCTGTAGAATAAATTACCAGCAAAAGGATTGCTAGGTCAAAGGATTCCATACCTTTAAAATAGTAAGCGATGTCTAATTGCCTTCCTAAATGGCTGCTATTTCTTACTCTTACCCTAACAGAAGTTTATTTTTAGCCTTTTGTACAAAGGTCTCATTAGTGAAAAGTACGCTACTTTTTAAGGAGTTGCTTATCTTTTCCTTATTAATTAATACATTTTTTGTGTATTAATCCTTCTGTCTGGCATATGTATTGCTCATATCTTTACTTTTTTGTGTTCAGCCTTTGCATCTCTGTATCTGTGCATGTATCTGTATCTTTACTTATAATTGTACTTGCATCTCTATCTGAGGTGTTATAAATAGCCAGACTGTGTGCCTAAGCTAAGAATGCAAATACAAAAATGCATGCCAAAGTTTCAGATTTTGACACATTATGTTAGTATTTTTTATACTTTATCTTTCTTCTTTGCTACTCTTAATTTAAATAATCATAATTCACCCATGAAAAGGTCAGAAAACAAATTTTTATTGAGGTAAAATTCATATAACAAATTCACCATTTTAAAGTGTAGATAATTCTTACATTATATTTTATATGGGAGATTGGATGTGTCCATTTAATACATGTTAAAAGCTATAATGTGGACTGTGGAAATCATGATTGAAGGAGCAATTTCATTAGAAATAAATGTCATTAATGACTCTAGTAAGTTGGAGTCAAGAGTATACTATTCATTTTATTTTAGAAAGCCTTTACAAGAAAGTTTGAATAAGATGATTATCAGATTAATTAAATTAAAAATGTAGGCCAGGCATGGTGGCTCATGCCTGTAATACCAGCACTTTGGGAGGCCAAAGCAGGCATATAGCTTGAGCCTAGGAGTTTGAGACTAGCCTGGGCTACATGGCGAAACCCCATCCTACAAAAAATACACAAATTTTCTGGGCATGGTGGCCCGGGCTTGTAGTCCCAGCTACTCAGGAGGCTGAGGTGGGAGAATTAATTGAGTCCAGGAGGTCAGGGCTTCAGTGAGTTGTGGTCACACCACCAAACTCCAGCCTGGGTGACAGGAGGAGACCGTGTCTCAAAAAAAAAAAAAAAAAAAAAAAAAAAAAAAGTATATGTAAGTTGTTTTAATAAGTGTGAAAGAATAACTAAATCTTGCTACATCATACTTTTCAGCAGAAACTTTATTATAAAAATATCACAGAGCAATCTGTGCTTGTCACAGAGTAAGTAATCTGTGTCAAAGATGAGTGGTAAACCAAATGCAACTAAACTTTCTATTAATATGCATAATGGTCATTGATTATATGTTTATTGAAACGTTTGTCTTCAACTGCCAGTATGGCAATAACTGATTAAAAACTTTTGTTGAAAGCTGTCACAACAGTTTTGGCTTTATGAAAGCATAACATTAAACAGTGGCAACTTCAAATACTCTTGAGACTTCAGATGTTTTACTAAATTGAGTTTATTTTGAGAATCTTAAAGGAAAGTTGAAGTCTCCAAAACACTTTTATTCAGGTTGGAATTAAGAAAAGTTTGTTGTAAGCAACATTCTTATATTATCTGACAGTTGCATGAAAATTCTGGTCTTTATTCAAGCTATTGGTTACTGATACAAACTCCTGATTTCAGAGTTGTTTATAGCCTTTTCATATGCCATACACAAATGTACATTCATGCATCTGTACACACACGTATACACACTCTCTTGCCCCAAGAAAAGATGAAATCTTTCAGGCTTATAATATACGCTACATTAATGTAAGACTCTTTAATCATATCTAAATTTCAGTTAATGATAAAAAAATTGAACATTCTACTATTTTATTTAGAAAAATGATATTGAAAGTCTGCTTTTCAACCTGGATATTATTTACATTATGTGCAGTTACTATCAGGATTCTAAATCTACAAGTCTTTGACTTCCAGCTTAATCTTTTTATTTCACAATAGATGACTTTTAAAAATCTAGCATGTCTAGAATGAGTAGTTCCTCATGAGGCTCAATTTTAAAAAATAGAGTTAAAGCAAGGAAGGAAGGCATTCATTTTCATGTTGAAAATATTTCTAGAAGGAACATTTCCTCATATGGTCCAACTATTAAATACAGGTGAAATAACCCAAAAAAGAGAAGCTGATTTTTTTTTGCGGTGATAAAGTAACTGAAGAAATGACTCAAGGCACTTTCATGTATAAATACATATTTTTATTATTTTTTTTTACATCTCGGTGATATATTTTGATAAGTTGAATACTTTCTATAATAAAATTAATTATTTTAATCTAGTTTATGAATGATCTGCATTAAGTGCTCTTTTTTTTAATTATAACTTCATAGTCAGTATAATCTACTGAGAACACTTTTGGCCCTAACAGAAACAGAATTCTGTTCTTGGATCTGGCTTTGTATGTAACACCAAGTACGTCATTTCTCCTCCATATTTACCTCATTTACTGCAATGTTTCTATTACATTTCAGACTTTCATATGGTGAGTAGTATCTGTAGCCTGGAAGAACAGTTAGCAAATATACTAATTGCACCTTTGTGGTACGGTTTATTCTCCAGGCTTACTACGTAATTGAGGACTGCTGCTTAATCAGAGGTTTTACCCACATGGAACTATTTGATAAGGTTGGCATAAAATGCAAGACCTGTAAAATGTAAACAATGTTCATATTATAAGGACCCATAATCAAACCAAACCTCTAAGTCATTTGAAAATAGTGCAGCTGCATGAGAAGTAGTTTTCTATTTGATCTTTTGCTATGGATGTAAAAATACTGTCTTTACTGTGACATCCGTATGCTAATATTTGTTATGATAGTTCATCTCTTTTTTTCTCCTTTTGCTGTCCCTTCTCCCACCTTCCTACTATTTTGCCTTTCCCTCCTCCCTTCATGGTTATCTTATTCTGGTTCCTTATTTCTCTCACTGAATATCTTATTCTTCTTATGTTTTTCTGATTTTCTTAATTCTGACGTTCTTTCCTTGGACTAATCTGAATTAGACCATACCAAGTATGTGAAAATATACTGAAATATACTGAATATACTGAAAACAATACACTGAAATAATATACTGGAAATACAGCTGGAAATAATCTCGTAGCTTTTGCATTCTTTGGGCACCACAGTTTGGGAAATATGGATTGTATGCCTTTGTAGGCAGGTTCTGTTCAGGATATTTCTTAGGTCTTGCAGCCAGTCATTTTCTGTTCTATTTTTGGCAGATGGTAGTTCCTTGAGAGAAATTATAAGTTTTAATATACGTTTATTTTAAGACCTAGAAAGTTGTATATTGTTAACATTTTTTAAACAGGGTTTATACAGCTACTATAGTAGAATCATCTGTTGGAGAATAGAGAGTAAAATGTAAATGTATTTTTTTCATGTGTCTGTTGGCTGCATAAATGTCTTCTTTTGAGAAGTGTCTGTTCATATCCTTCACCCACTTTTTGATGGGGTTGTTTTTTTCTTGTAAATTTGTTTGAGTTCTTCATCACTGGCCATCAGAGAAATGCAAATCAAAACTGCAATGAGATACCATCTCACACCAGTTAGAATGGTGATCATTAAAAAGTCAGGAAACAACAGGTGCTGGAGAGGATGTGGAGAAATAGGAACACTTTTACACTGTTGGCGGGACTGTAAACTAGTTCTACCATTGTGGAAGTCAGTGTGGCAATTCCTCAGGGATCTAGAACTAGAAATACCATTTGACCCAGCCGTCCCATTACTGGGGATGTACCCAAAGGATTATAAATTATGCTGCTATAAAGACACATGCACATGTATGTTTGTTGCGGCACTATTCACAATAGCAAAGACTTGGAACCAACCCAAATGTCCATCATTGATAGACTGGATTAAGAAAATGTGACACATATATACCATGGAAGACTATGCAGCCATAAAAAATGATGAGTTCACGTCCTTTGTAGGGACATGGATGAAGCTGGAAACCATCATTCTCAGCAAACTATCGCAAGACAAAAAACCAAACACCACATGTTCTCACTCGTAGGTGGGAATTGAACAATGAGAACACATGGACACAGGAAGGGGAACATCATACACCGGGGCCTGTTGTGGGGTGGGGGGAGGGTGGATGGATAGCATTAGGAGATATACCTAATGTAAATGACAAGTTAATGGGTGCAGCACATCAACATGGCACATGTATACATATGTAACAAACCTGCATGTTGTGCACATGTACCCTAGAACTTAAAGTATAATAAAAAAATGTAAATGTAATGAATGGGGCCATTAATTTCCCCTTTCATGCCAAATAGTCCTTAGAAAAGACATTGAATTCACTGTTGAGTTGTGGAAAAAGTGCTGAACTTCAGCCCTAAATGAGAGCATACAGTCAAATATCATTTTATTTAGTACAAAAAAGAGAATTAGAACTGATACATCCTTTTACCTTTTTTTGTTTTCTGGGATTATTTATCATAGTTTTAGACGTCATTAGGAGGTAGAACTTTTAAAGGGGTCTGGGGTTCCAATTTCTAAAGCAATTTTACAGTAGAAGTTATTAAAATTAAAAAGTATCTAGAATAACAGGTTGATATGTTCTCCCATATTGAATAGTTGGTGTTTTCCATCTTCAACATTGCAGCCATCATATTTCTTTTGAATTTTCTGACATTTTGGAGCTTAAAGTGATATACTTTGTGTGTGTGTGTGTGTGTGTGTGTGTGTGTGTGTGTGTGTTGTATTTAATTATTATTTAGCATGTAAATTTAAATTGCTTTGAGAATTTGTCACTGACTTTGTAATATCCTTCAATATATTTGTAGACAACAATGAAGTATTAAGAACCCAAAGCTGAAAAGCATTTAGGAGAAATATGCAGATTGTGAAGTTAGATAAACATTTGGCTTCAATATTACTTATATATATTTAATATCATAATTTTTAATGTTGGGAGTGGAGTTGTTTTTCTTTTCTTTGCTATTTTAATTGTGTATTTTAACAGGAAACCACTTAATGGGTATTAACAGAGTTAAGAAAAGCATCAAAGATTTTTATTTTAAACATGATTTTTTTTCATTTTACTTTTTCTTATTTATTGGTCTTATCTTAATGTGTCTCTATTCCATTCCCTCAAAGATTTCTCCTTATGCATAAAGTTATGTACAGATCCACAGTGTATTCATGAATCTCCTTCTTTTGTTACAGCTAATCAGGCAGCAAAAGAAGACACTGTGGTTTTGAAGATTGGCTCTGTTGCCATGGCTCCCCAGGCTGACAATCCCCTTGGCAGATCTGTCCTTAGGAAAGATATTTACCAGTAAGTTTATTTTCTTATGTCCAATCTTGCAACAATTTTCATCCTGCAAACACATATAGTGGTCAATAACTTAGTGTGGCCTGTAGAAATATTTCTCATTCAGGATCTTTTGATATTTAAAACCAGGTTTTTCTGATTTTCTTCAGTTGTGGGTTTTTTAATTCATTCAGACAAATCAAGTATTTCTGTGAAGTGTTGATGAATAACAGAATGTAAGTACTAAGTCACCATAAAACTGAAGAAGCATAGTTTGGAAAATTTTAGCAGATGTCAAATTTGACCAAATCTCTAATCACATAAGAAAACGAGGTCCTCTGTAGAACCACCACATCCTACTGTAGTCATGTTGTATCAAAGTGAAACATTTTATTAATTTAAGTGTAAGCTATTATTTGAAATGTAGGAATGTGGATGTCATATGGATCAAAGCTATAAAGAAAAGCAAACTTCTAAAGAGAAATTTCACAGTAAACACTTTCTGTGAAAATGCTATGCTCTGGATTTTGTCACTGAGTATTTGCAAACCACACCAAGCATACATGGACAACTAAACTGGTGAACATATGTAATCAACATGATAAAAATAATATATGATTCATACTGAAGTTGGCACTGCTGCCAGACAGAAAAGTACAGTTGCAAATAATACCAAGTGAGAAAAGTCACAGAAATACAGATGAACAAGTGATTTATTCTTCTTGCTGGTCTGTTTTTCAGATGTTGTAGTCTCACTCTTCTAAAAAATAAATTCCTACTGTTCTCCAGTAAATGTTACTGCTAGGAAAAGATTCTAATTTTGGTGATTCATTTACCATCTAGAGGGTGATGGCTATTTTTACTTTAAATAGATCTAGGAACTTTATTTCTCATATTTCTCTGATATTTGAGTTATAATTTCTTCCTTTGACTTATGTATGTATGATCTCTTCCTTGTATTTTTTTTAGGTATTTAATAGTATTCACCCCTTAAATAAGTTTTTATGCAGCTAGCTTATATATAATCTTAGGATTTCAGAGCAGAAAGCGTCTTTAGGAATTATCTAACTCAACTTCCCTGTTTTACAGATTAGGAAACTGAATAACCAAAAGAATACTGTAGTTGTCCCTGGTGAAAGAGTAACAGAGCCAAGATTATAATTCATATCTTTTGACTCCCTTAGGATCTAGGGAAATGATTATAATAGAACATAAATTCTATATGAGAATACTTTAATTTTCTAACATTTGGAAATTCTTTCAGGTGTCTTTATCTTTTCTACTTCAGAAGTAAGTGGTCCTAAAATAGAGACCTACTTTACTTTTGGTGAAAGAAATCTAGGTTATATTAAGAGATCCTATCACCATCAGTAAAGTGAACCACTGAGATAATTCCTTTCCTTCTGTACCCTTTCCGCTTTCTGGCTTTTGCATGAGTTGTATTTTTACTTTCTGGGAACAATTGTGTGAAATTGTTTTTTTAGGGTTTCCTTCTGTCTGTCTTGCAACTTTTTTTCAGTCATCTTTACTGGTCTTCCTCTTAAACAATCTCTTTGCTATTAGTATTTCTTAGGGTCTTCCTTTTATTCTTTTTTTTTGCCCAACTCTTCTTGGGTGAGGCTCTCTGCTCTTTTGGCTCAGGACAACTTGAATTCTAAGCATGTAGGGTAACTTGGGGTGACCCTGTAGACCAAGGTTAGCAATATGTGTTAGAATGTCAAATGTAAAATTCTAGATGCTGGATGGCAAACTCAACCTAATAATTTTTCTTTGAAAGCTCACATTCAAGTCATTTCTACATAAACAAACTAACAAAAGGTATTCATATAAGAGTTTATCAAAAATGTATCAAGATCTCAGTGAAATGCTGTATCATCGATATCAAAGGAGTAACAGCAGAATTAGAAACCACTTTTGAGTGAATGATCAGAGTGGGAGTAGCTCAGTATAATAAATGTATACACAAAGCAAAAGACCCTGCATACTAGGGCTGATTTTATTATTCCTATGATTTTGTTAACCATGAAATCTCAGTGAACTAGATGCAAAAGTCCACATATTATGTGATTCCATTTATTTGAAACGTCCAGAATAGACAAACTCAGAGAGACAGAAAGTATATTAGTGGTTGCCAGGGCCTGCTTGTGGAAAGGGGAGGGAAGAGTGGGAAAGGACTTTGTCTTGCGGCTTGGGTGCCAGCTCATCCTCAATAGAACAGAGCACCAAGTAGATTCCTAAGGTTTCTGACTCCAGGCCCTGGCTCCTGGACAGCATCTCTGGATGCATTTGGGAGCCGGGGAACTCACCACTCTGAAGGGAAGGACACAAGCCTGGTTGGCTTTTCTATCTGCTGATTGCTGAGCCCTAGGGCCTTGAGTGAACACAGGCCATAGCCAGGCAGTGGTTACCACGGGCATTGGGTGGGACCCAGTGCTGTGCTGGCTTCAAGTCTGACCCAGCGCAGTCCCAATGGTGGTGGCAGCCACAGTGCTTGTGTCACACACACACCCACACCCCTTCCACAGCTCCAGACAGCTCAGCACAGGCTGTGTTTGTTTGGGAGAAAGTAAGGGAAGAGAGCAAGAGTCTTTGCCTGGTAATTCAGACAATTCTTCGGGATCTTATCCAAGACTACCAAGGTGGCACCTGTACAAGTCTGCAAGAGCCACAGTGTTACTGGGCTTGGGTTACTCCCTAATGCAGATATGGCGGCAATGACCAAAAACTTAGATCACAACACCCAAGCTTCTTCAAATAACTGGAATTCTTTCCCTAGAAAAATGGGTACAAACAAGCCCAGACCACAAAAGCTACAGTAAATACTTAACTCTTAAATGCCCAGACATCGATGAACATTCATAAGCATCAAAACCATTGAGGAAAACATGAGCTCACCAAACAAACTAAATAAGGCACCAGGGACCAATCCTGGATAGACAGAGATATGTGACCTTTCAGACAGAGAATTCAAAATAACCATTTTGAGGAAATTGAAAGAAATTCAAAATAATAGAGAAGGAATTCAGAATTGTATCAGATAAATTTAACGAAGAGATTGAAATCATTTAAAAGAATCAAGTAGAAATTCAGGAGCTGAAAAATACAATTAACATACTGAATGCATCAGAGTCTCTTAACAGCAAAATTGATCAAGCAGAAGAAAGAATTAGTAAGCTTGAAGACAGACTATTTGAAAATACACAATCAGAGGAGACAAAAGAAAGAATGAAGTACACCTACAAGGTCTATAAAATGGCCTGAAAAGGGCATAGCTAAGAGTTATTGGCCTTAAAGACAGGCAGAGAGAGTGATAGGAGTAGAAAGTTCATTCAAAGGGTTATAATAGCAAAGAACTTCTTAAACCTAGAGAAAGATATCAATTCAAGTACAAGGTTGTAGAATACAAAGCAGATATAACCCAAGGAAGACTACCTCAAGGCATTTAATCATCAAACTCCCAAAGGTCAAGGATAAAAAAGGATCCTAAAAGAAGCAAGCAAAAGAAACAAATAACATACAATGGAGCCAGGTACAGTGGCTTGTGCCTGGGATCCCAACCCTTTGGAAAGCTTTACGTGGGAGGATTGCTTGAGCCCGGGAGTTCGAGACCAGCATAGGCAACATGATGAGACTTCGTCTCTATAAAAAAACTTAAAACTTAGTCAGGTGTGGTGGCACACGCCTGTAGTCCCACTGTTCTGCAATCTGAGATGGAAGAATCACTTGAGCACAGGAGGTTGAGGCTGTAGTGAGCTGTGGTTATACCCCCACGCTCCAGCCTGGGGGACAGAGAGAGACCCTATCTCCAAAAACAAACAAAAACCATACAACTGAGCTCCAGTATGTCTGGCAGCAGACTTTTCAGTGGAAATCTTACAGTCCAGGAGTGACATGACATACTTAAAGTGCTGAAGGAAAAACAGTTGTACCCTAGAATTGTATACGCAGTGAGAATATCCTTCATACATGTTGTAGCAGAAATGAAGGTTTTCTCAAACAAAAGCTAAAGGATTTCATCAACATGAGACCTGTCCTACAAGAAATGCTAAAGGTAGTTCTTCAATCTGAAAGAAAAAGACATTAATGAGCAATGAGAAATTATCTGAAGGTACAGAACTCACTGGTAATAGTAAGTACACAGAAAAACTCAGAATATTATAATACTATAATTGTGGTATGTGAACTACTCATATATTGAGTAGAGAGACTAAAAGATGAACTGATTAAAAATAATACTTAGACAGTACAATAAGATATAAATAGAAACAACAAAAAGTTAAAAAGCAGGAGGAGAAAGTTCAAGCACAGAGTTTTTATTTTCTCTTTGCCTGTTTGTTTGTTTATGCAATCAGTGTTGTCATAAGTTTAAAATAATGGTGTATATTAAATTTGAAAAACAGAAAACTCCTAGGGCACATGGTACTATTCTTTGAATACGTAGCTGATAATGTGTCATAGGGAGTAGTTCATTCCTTCCAAAGCTAAGAACAGACCTAGGATCATTAAATCAGTGGATGTTACAATGACCCTAATTGCAGCTCAATAGAATGAAAATCTTTCAAATTATAAAAGCCTAATAATAAATGGGGCTTTTTGTTCTTACTCATTTAACAATTATTTTGAGGGAGGCTACTGTACATCAGGCACTATTCTAGATACTGGGTGTATGTCAGTTTACAAAAGAAAGAAAAATCCCTGCTCTCACAGAACTTACATTCTAATGGGAGAGAGAATTACAAGCTAATAAATAAATCATATGGTATACTAGAATTTAATAAGTGACATGGAGACAACAAAGCTGGGAAGGGAAAAAGAAATGGAGAGTTAGAGATGGACAGCATGGCTTAGTTAGAAGACACCTCACTGAGAAAGTGCAGGGATCCTGAAGCAGGAAGAAGTAAGAGAAGCCAGTGGTGGCTGGAGCATTGGGTGCCAGGGGAATTTAGCAGGCTGTGAGGAAAACGACATTATGGAAGATCCATATAGGTCGTTGTGTGGACTTTGGCTATTAGTTTGAGTGAGACATGGTTGTGGGGGAAGAATTATCCACACATGCAGAATTTTGAAATATGTAATGCTTTTATTATTTACTAAATGTCTGCCTGCAGAAAGAAATGGGGGGGTGGGGATGGGGATCACCAGCAGGGACTAGAGATATACATTTAAAAAGAGGTTAAATATACGTTTGAAAATAAAGGGAGTCACAATTAAGAACAAATGGAAGTGTGACATTCAACCCTAAAAGAATCATGTTAAGAATTATTAATATTTTTGCTACTTGAGTTAACTGAATATATGATATGAATTTCTTTTGCTTATTGAGTAGTTGATTTTGTCATCAAATGGAAAGGCCTCAGAGGGTTTGAGCAGAGAAGTGACGTGATTCTTTTTATACTTAAGCAGATTACTCAGGCAAGGAAAGGCAAGGGAAAGGGAAAAGCTATTGCTGTAATCTTGGAAAAAGATAGTGGCGGCTTGGGCAAAGTTAGTAGCTGTGGAGGTGGTGAGAAGTGGTCAGATTCTGGAGATGTTTGAGAGGTAGAGCCAAGAGAATTTGCACATGGGGTTTGAGAAAAAGGATACAAAGATAATTCAGTTATATATGGCCTAAACAACTAGGAGGATGAAAATAACTGAAGAAGGAAAACCGTAGGAAGATTTGTTTTGGAGGATTGGGTGGGTGGAGATTAGGAATTTATTTTTGAAAATGTTGACTATCTCAGGAGTTAATGAGCTCCCCATTTCTGATGTAGCAGAGGCTAATCAGCCACATACAAGGCTTAAGAGGGGTAATGATTTATGTCAAATTAAACCAGTGATTCCTAAATTTACTGTGTTTCCAAATCACCCAAGGATCTTGATAAAATGTGGATTTTGACTTATGAGGTCTTGTTTGAGGCCTAAAATTTTACATATCTTCTAGGCTTCTGGGTGATTGGGTGTGATACTGTTACTGTGTTATACTGATATGCCACTTCAGAGGCTACACCCTTTGTAGGAGATGATTAAATCCATTTTTTTTACAAACCTTTTAAACGGAGATCATTTAAAAAATATATTTTTAATGAATGTTAACAATTTTTAATGCTAAAAATCAAAACACTATGAAAGGTTCTGTGAGAAACATTAAATATCCTCCATTCTCAGTCTTTCCCACTCTGTATCCGAGTTTGCTCTCGGTGGATTCTTTTTATAGCAACAAAATTTTTGTAAACTTTTAGTTGATAGTGGTTAACTTTTGGAATCTGTGACTGAGAAAATGTAAAATAATAAAACACTTCTGTTAACTAACACCTTATATGAATTTGTACTTTGTTACTCTCAAAAGCATCTGATCCAGTAGAAAACAACAGAACATACATAACATGTTATTTATTCAGTCACTGTGCAATGCGTAGCCCAGGTATGTATTGTCATTGGCCCTCCCTTAACCCTTTACCTTCTTTACTTGCCTCCTCCTTGCCTGATAATCTACCTGGTTTATAACTGCCAGCTCCTGGATAGGATGATCTCTGTTTCCTTTAAACTCAATCTGAGATTCTCCTATTCTGTGATGTGTTCAACCATATCCCTGATTTATACCATAGTCCTGAAGCACTGTCTGACCTGAAGTTGTTTCTTTATCTTACACAACCCCTTCTCCTGAGAAATTTTTCAGGTCCTTGTCTCAAGCCAAAAGAGAAGCAAGAAACAGTTAAGTAAGATGTTATAAAGGCAGATTTTTAAAAATTACCTGTGGTGAAAGTGTTTTTTCATAGGCTGATTAGAGATTATAAACAAACGAGATGAAAATATTTAAATATGTTTATAGCTTAAGCATATTAATAATTTAATAAATTGTCTGATCCAAGTGAAGTGATGTTTACAACTAATTGATCATGACCAGTTACAGATTTCTTCATTTCTTCTCCAATTCCACTGCTTCACTTGACTAGCCTTAAAAAAAAAAGTTAATAAACATAGTTACACTTCTCTTATATAAATGACATATATTTCTTAGAAGCTTTATGTTGTGCAATATGCTGGTGTATCCTCTATACCTTATTAACTATAGTTTGTATGGTTGTTTCTATTAAATAATGAAAACAAGTCTCAGAACCTTGAGCCATGTTATGCTATAATTGCTATATAAGAATTACACTGGATTTATATTATACTTCCTATGTCTTTTCTGAATATCTCATTTCTCTGATTCTGAGTACTATGTGTAAGCAGTTTGACTTGATTTTCATGGTTTTTAATGATTTTCTAAAAATAGCTTTTATTATAAGAAATAGAATAGCCTTATTAGTTATTAATACAATAGGGATCTTTGAGACATTTATGCCCTTCCTTTGCATGCATTCATTGATTAATTCATTTATTAAATATACATTGATTAATATTTGCAGCTATTCAACAGACATTGAGTGCTTATGATGACTAGACACCAATAGTAGATATATATTTTTGACTAGAACATATGGTACTGTATGACTTCACAGAACTCAAGACTTCAACCACATTATCTTACAATTACATTGTAATTTCATTGTAGTTCTGATAGATTCTGTATCATAATAATTGCATGCTTTGTCTACACCACCTCCCAAAATGCCTAGATTGATGAAATAAGTGAAATTAGAAGTTTTGAACTTGCACCCTAAACTTTTTTCATGGTCTCATTTTTATCATTAAGTATCCTTACAACATTCTGTTCTATCTTCCGAAAATTACTGTAAGAAGCAAGAATGATCCCAGAAGTTCCATCTAGATTTGCAATTTTCACACAAAGGAATAGAGAAAAGTGTTCATAAATTTCATTCAAGTTTTTTTCTTTTTAGAAGTAATAAAGAGAATAGAAATATCAGCATTAATTATTCATGAGTATATTTAAGTAAATACATTACCTTTTCAGTACATTTTAATTGGTCTTTTTTGCAAATTCTGTTTATATCCTGTTTTTTAAAATATTGATTCTTTAAAAATTTAGCTTATGATTTAGTCTTCTGATTATGAAATTAAAATAAGAAAAGGTAAAATAACATTTTAAAAATTTATAAATAAATTTTCAAAATACCTTTTTTGAAAATACATCTACCCTTATTTTAATAAACCTATATAACTAAGACATTTACATTTTTTAAAATAAAAAGATAATCGTGTTTATTTTTAAAAAATCAACACCAAAGTGTATGCAATACTCCTCCTTACCAGGGCTTATTCTGAATGGTAACCACCTCCTTACCCTGTGGCCACTGTTAGATCAAAACTCACAGACCGTTTGTCTGTATGCGTGTGTGTCTGTCTGTCTTAAGTAATGGAATTGTACTCTGCATAGTATTCTTTAACTTGCTTGTATTTAAACTCAATAATGTATTGTGGTCATCTTTCAGTGTAATCATATTTAGACTTGCCATCATACTGACCTGTTTTTGAGCTGTTTTAGACAGCAAAGATAAAAAACTTCATGTAAACACTGCTTTCTGTTTTGAACCGAGAAAATATTCATCACTATTAAAGTTCAATTAAAACTTAAAAACTCTTATATACTATATTGTGACTGAGACTTCCCTGACCTCAAACTTTATTATACATTATAAAATGTAAAAGGGAAAAATGTTGTTTTCTTCCGTGAAATAGTTACCAGGGCAATTCCTGAAGAACAAGTATATCAGCACAAATAGGAAATTGAAATTATTATAGCTTATGTGTTCTTTGTTACTATTTGAATTACAAGGGCAAAGTAATTCACAATTCAACACTGGTGTGTGAATTAAAATATCACAGGTGTTTGGGCTTTAACAAACCACTCTTAAACATTGTTTATCAATTCTCTGCTCAACACCTGTCATAGTGTTCAGTTTTTAACATGACAAAATCCCTGTCTTTTAATGCAAAATGTATCTTCCTCTCTGATCTGACCTTATCCTATACTTTAAATATTACCACTAGTTGCTTCTTTACATAAGACACTTGTTCAAGTTAAATATTTTGTCTAATCCAATAATGCTTATTATGCGCCTTTCTGTGGCTCTTGTTTATGTATGCATTTTCAACTTTCTTGAAATAACAGCTAACTTCCAGTTTAGCCTTTCAGGGTTTTTGTTACGAAGAACTTTACATTGATGGGGGTTTGTATCCTTTAAAAATGTTTTTTCTTTGATGTTCAACTCTATTTTTAATTTTTAAAAATCCTTAAGAATCGCATCTATTTTTTAATATCTTACTTAAATCTTGCTCTCTTTTTGAAATTTTTCATAATCATTTTCTTAGAAGTAATGTCTCCTTCCTTTGGCCTTCTACAGCAATGGCTGACCTACCTTTATGCAATTATAATATAATAATAGTAATAGTAGCAGCAGTAGGCTGAGTGCGGTGGCTGATGCCTGTAATCCCAGCACTTTGGGAGGCCAAGGTGGGCGGATCACCTGAGGTCAGGAGTTTGAGACCAGCCTGGACAACATGGTGAAACCCTATTTCTACTAAAAATACAAAAGCTAGCAGGCATGGTGGCTGGCGCCTGTAATTCCAGCTACTTGGGAGGCTGAGACAGGAGAATCGCTTGAATCTGGGAGGTGGAGGTTGCAGTGAGCCGAGATCATGCCACTGCACTCCAGCCTGGGCAACAGAGTGAGACTCTGTCTCAAAAAAAAAAAAAAAAATAGTAGCAGCAGCAGTAGTAGCAGCAGCAGTAATAGCTAACATCTATTGAGTGCTTCCTTTGTGTCAAAGATTCTGTGCATTGCTTTCAATGCAATGCCTACATCTCGGTCGAACCTCATAATAATCTCATGAGTCAGGTATTATGATTATCTGTATTTTAGAAATAAAATATTCAGTCTGTAGACATTCAGTAGCTTCTCCTAGGCCACACGTAATAAGTGACAGAACCAGGACTGTCAGTTCCATTGCTCATGCACTTTACCACTACATCTCGCTGCCTGTATCTGAGTTTCTTATAAGATGTACCAGCTGTAGTTTAACCAAGTTATTTATAACCAGTTTATAGCATGAAGTTTGAAACTTATTTTTGAAGTTTCAAATTTATATTCCATTAAATTTTGTTATTATTTAAATGTTCCAAAAAACTAGTAAGTACCATTTGTAGTGCATTCTCCTTGTGTTCCTTAAAATAGTCTTAGCTAGGATGGACTTAATATTATAACCTTCAAACCACAATTTATAATGAAAACATTTATAATCCCAGTGTTTGAGCTCTTTGGTCCTTGAAGGTACTTGAACATGCAATCCGTTTTTAGAGAATTTTCATCAGAATGTGCTTAATACTGCATTTATTCTACAAATATAGCTCCGTAGCTAATGATTTTGATTGCCATCAAGGTTTTTCTCACATCTCTTATGAGCTCTGAGATGAGTAATGACCAGATAAATATTTACATAGATGTTGTATCTGATTAACAAAGTCAATATATTTTGTGGCTTTTATTTATAGGAGATATTTAAAAGTCATTATAAAACAGAAGTGTTATGAATCTTTTCTCTTTTCTCCTAGTAAAATTTAGTTATTAATCTAGTTGTCTCAAAATTATGAAAGAAAAAGAGATGTTAAAACTTTTGTTAAATATCTCTCTTCATCCCATTGTATACTTACATATCAGTATTTTTATAAATTGTGGTAAAAAATATTGGTTTTATTTTAAAACAATTATGACTATTTTCACATGTATTTTTTATATAGCAAAATTATAGCAAAGTTGACTAAGTATGTTATGAAGGCTTCTAGTAACTTAGATTTTTTTCTTCCCACTAATCTTGTGCAATTGAGAAATACTGTGTTCAAGCTACATATCTGAATATAGAGTTTATAGAATTAGATATATAAATTTGGAAGTCATCTAACAGTATATATCGACCACCTATATCATTGCTCTGTCATATTTTATAAAATATTAACAAAAGCTCTTCATACCTATTCAAATAGATTTTTTAAAATAGTGATTGTAACATAATTTACCTCATACTTTTTTCAAGAGTATTTCATTTGTTATAACAGAACTTTAAAATATTAAAAGCAGAGCTTTTTACTTCGGAGGTATTTTTAATTAAAAAGTTTTTTTTAACTTTCATCTTTAACTTGAGAGAAGTATATTCTTCTTGTAATTGAACATTTGTGAACTTCTGCATATAGGTTTTTGTTCATGCCATGAATATTTCTGGGTTTTCTGAAGTCCCTTCTGGAATTTTATCTGTGACTAATTATTCCATAGCTCCTTTTTAAACATCGTCAATTGTGAGGTTTTTCAACCGTTTTACATTTTTTTGCAGACATTTGCTAATCCTTTTTAGTGCATTCAGTACCAATAGATTTGATTCTGATATGGGTTTTACCTTTTCTCCATAGATAATTTCATTCTCATAAAACATGTCTACAAGCATTATATGAAAACTGCATAGTAATTTTGGCAAACTTTTGAAAGACATCTTTTATAAGTGAGACTTCTGAAAGGTGTACCCTGTTCTGTGGCAGTTTAATCCATGAAATTTTACCTTTAAAGAATTATAAAAGATAGGGAGCTGATTCACTTTTCACCCTTAGAAGACATGTGTTAGTAAAATTCTTCCAGAAGTATATACAGAATTTGTTTTCCATCTGCTTATTGCTTTTTTTGTGAGCAACTTTTGCAACAGTGTTTGCTCTGTTTCTTACTATGAGTCTGATAACACACCCTCAGCCACAGGAAGAGTGTGAAAATATGCTTTATTTTTAACATAGTTGATGAAAAATTAACTTTAATTACAAATATTCACTTTATTTCATTGTATTTTATTGTATTTTTTGTGTTAAATATTTATGCTAACGGCTCAATTTTAATAGCATAAATATTTAACACAAAAATACACACTTCTTCAGCAGAAATTTACTGTTTTATATAACTTAGCAGAAGTTTTTTTAAAATTAATCTAAAATGTATTTTAATTTTTTAAATGCATAATCAATTCACTGAGGGGTGTTTTTTTTTTTTTTTTTGAGATGGAGTCTCACTCCGTCGGCCAGGCTGGAGTGCAGTGGTGCAATCTTGGCTCACTGCAGCCTCCACCTCCCGGGTTCAAGCGATTCTCCTCCCTCAGCCTCCCAGGTAGCTGGGATTACAGGCACGCACAACCACGCCGGCTAATTTTTGTATTTTTAGTAGAGATGGGGTTTTACCATGTTGGCCAAGCTGGCCTCAAACTCCTGACTTCAGGTGATCCGCCCACCTTGGCCTCTTAAAGTGCTAGGATTACAGGCATGAGCCGTCGTACCTGGCCAATTTACTGAGATTTTTAAAATCATAGTTTACTAAAAATTAAGTATCTTATTGAAGGTTTTAAATAAATTGACCTTGAGGAACTACCAAGTGATCCAAATACAGATATTTGCAAGTGACATAATTGTTTCATGCATTAAAATCTTGACAGTAGCTTTAAAAAAATTTTTAAACTCCAAATTCATTTCTCTTGTTATGTATATACTCTTGACTAATTTTTAAATGGTCATTCTGACTTTTCATAGGGTTAATGTTCCCAATATGAAGTAACATTAATGTGACCAATGAAATTCATGATTGAGATTAACTAAATTTTTTGTCTTGTTTTACATATATACTTTAACAGTTGAAAATTGAGGAATATAACCAATAGAAAATCATAGACAAGATTAACATTCTTTTATTGATGAGCTTAACATCATTAACAATTATGTTTGTATGCTTCAACACATTGTGTTTATTTTAAAATAGGAAAACCATTCTTTTTTATGGACATGTTTATAATAGCCTTTCTTTATTCCTGATGAATGTAACTCAAGGTATGGCATCTCTCCTTTATGTATCTTTATGGTTTCTCCTAAAACCTAGCTTATCATCTTTAACACTGAGCTGTATTTTCTAGATGCAGTGTTAAGATTAAATTCTACAAATCCCCACAAAACTGTTTCCTCCTTCCTCCTCCCAACTTTTAATTTCTTCCTAATTATATAAAGGCATTCTCAAAATAACCTTTGTTTTGGTTTTTGGCAAAGGTATGTTTCGTATCTGGTGACATTATGACCCTAATCCTATAATGGTTAGTGTTGGTTTCAAATAATTCCCTTTTAGTAAGTCAGAGAGAGAGAGAGATTGGGATAGTAGGTATTTAGATTAACTTCCCTAAAAGCTTTGTTTGAAAATATTATCGGCAGAGTTTTAGTGCGTCATGGTATTCTGCTGATTTAGTTGAAGGCTTTGCATTTACATTTGGCCCTCACCAAAGTAACTGCATCTTTTGTGGCTTCCTGTAGCAGGATATAGGTTTCCATGAATATGGTTTCTATTTACTGCCAAAAGCTACCTCAACAACAGTGTTGAAAATGACGATAAGTTCTACCATCATAAATTTTTGAAATGTTTTTTAAATGTATTTACTTTTATATTGCCACTTTTATACTTTCTTCTAGAAATTCATGTTAGAAGCTACAGAATAATAGAATGTTTGGGTTCCCATCATAACAGTTTTGTGTTACGAATTTGGAAAATCTATTTTATACTTCTTTCTAATATATTTTGGTTATATTAAGTACACTGGATATATAATATCTTACTATAACCATTCCTGCTGGTGTACTTTCATTGAGGCACTAACATTATCATGTGAAATTATTATCTAAACATCTCTGAGTTTAAAGACAAGTGAGAGAAAGCATAGGGTACCTTTAAAATACATCTTTGGGACTTCTGGAATATGATGGCTGTTCACCATAACCACCAACATATAAGACAATTGTCCAAAATATGGTAAAACATTGTGCTACTGTCTTAAGTGTCTGATGTAAAGGAAGAATTGCATTTTTCTCATTAATAACAAAGATCAAATATTGTAACAAAAGAGTAACCTGCAAATTTATTCCTATAGCTATTCATATAGTGTAACCTGCACATCATCATAAAAGGCTTGAACAGAATGAATGGATGGATAGATTTTTCAAAAAATCTTTGACCAACTTCAAGTGTGAGAAACCTGTAAATGTGAGAAGCAGTGTTGGCTTTGTAGTTACAATTTCAGAATGATCCATTTTACCCTTTGTTGACTAGTGTCCATTTTCAGCCAGCCCCCTCATATCCCCTAAACCAAAATAGAAGCTAACTAAAAAGAAAATTAAGAAGCAGACATCTATTAATTAATTTAATGTGCAGAATTAATAATAAATTACCTCTACACATTGTATAAGAGCACTGCTAAGCCTTGGTAAGATAAAATGCTGTTACCAAAAAAATCCTAATAATTTTTACATGAAAGCAAGTAAATAATTATTTTCCAAAATACTAATTTAAACAATAAGTCTTAAATATATATGCTTACTTTATGTTGTATTGTATTCTGTGTTCACTGAGGTCACTGTCCTAGAATAAACACTATAATTTTGCCTGTTTTGTGTACTAGAAATACTTATCCTGTTTGAAGAACTTCCATCCTCTGTGGTGTAGACAGATAGCTCCTCAATCTGAAACATTTTCCTTGCTCATCATTTCTAACATTGAACTTTGAGCAAAAACCAAATATCTGAAAAGCATTCTACATTGAGAAAGGTAATGAAAAATACAAACATGATCCTAAAAATGGGTAAAAAGTCAGTGCATAGCTAATTTTTTTCTTTTTACTTTTTTCATTTTTTAAAGTGAGTTACAACTTACATATAGGAAAGTATATTTATCATTTGTATACAGTTGAATGAAGTTTTACATATATATAGACATGTTATCACAACCCAGCACCCCAGAAACCTTACTCATTCTCATTCTAGCCTGTATTTGGTAGTGCAAAGATAATCATTATTCTGACCTCTGTAACTATGTATTAGGTTTGACATAACTAACTGTTATTATCAATGTTTACATTGTGAAAACTTTTATCTCAACATAGGTTGTCATCTGTAAATCTACTTGAAATAATTTCTGAGCCAATGTCAGATCATATAATTCAAAATATAAATGATTTTAATCCAAATTTTTTTTTTTTTTTTGAGATGGAGTTTTGCTCTTTTTGCCCAGAGTGGATTGTAATGGCACGATCTTGGCTCACTGCAACCTCTGCCTCCCAGGTTCAAGCAATTCTCCTGCCTCAGACTCCCATGTAGCTGGGATTACAGGCGCACGTCACCATGCCCAGCTAATTTTGTATATTTAGTAGAGACAGGGTTTCACCATATTGGTCAGGCTGGTCTTGAACTCCTCACCTCAGGTGAGCCGCCTGCCTTGGCCTCCCAAAGTGCTGGGATTACAGATGCCAGCCACCGTGCCCGGCCTGATTTTAATCAGAATTTAAAGCACAATTTTAGACTTTAGTTTTAAACTTTAATATCAAATAATATATTATCCACTCTGGTATTTTCCATGTAAATCTCTGAATGCAACCATAAGGAAAAAAATTAAAAATCCATATATGAAGATTAAACATTATAATTTGTAACATCTTCATTCATTAGATAAATTCCTAGCATATACCCTAATAACTGGCTGTAGCATGAGCTTTTGAGCCAATTTTTATCAATTTCACTTAATACCATAGTTATTTAGTGAAAAATGTCATATACATATGTGTGTGGCATTTGTACAACATAGAGTGCATAGCTTCTGTAAAGGAAATAATGTTTTGTATCCTGGGACCCCATTATCCTTTAACTGAATTGACTGTCATCCAAGTATGGGTTTGATAAACTGACACAACAGTGAAAAGAATCCCTGTCCCATGTCAGCTTATCAAACACACTGTGGACAGCATGTCTTTGGCATTAAACGTATTCCCAGTCATTAAAGTTCTGAATAGAAGTCACGAAGCTTATGTTCAGTGAGACACAACCTCAGTGTTTCCAGGTGATTTTAAGAACACCTGATAAAACTGAGGTATAGTACCACTAAACTTTAAGAATTTTCCAAAAACTAGGGAAAAAAAGTAACATGCATAGAGTTACAGAATTGCAGTGTTATTGTTCAGTTCGATGATAGAACTTATATTAATGAGATATACAGAAAAGTAATTAATATCTTGTCCTTCTGGTAAACCATGTCAAATTATGCTGTAAATATATTTATACTGTAGAATAAAACAAAATCAAATATGTTTTGATTTTTTAATCCTTTTTTTCAAATAATAACGTATATCCACCTGGTAAAATTGTCCATCGGTCTGAATCTCTCACTATTTTTTTCCCAATTTCATTTATTTAATTTGAAAATGTCTATCATCAAAAATTTAGCAGCCTTTTTTGGAATAGTGCACTAAAATCATTTGTACATTGTCCAAGTTAAAGTATAGGCATGTTTGAAAAAGATTTTTAAAAATTTATTCTAGTGCTGTAAATATATTTGGGTGAAAAGCTAACTTCTATGGTGATGTAGGTCAAAACGTTTACTTATAATAATACTTCATTTATACATATCTATAATAAAATAGTTAAATCTATAACATTTATAGGTGAATTTGCCTGATTCTATATCATATACAATGCGAAAACATCTTTCAGGTTTGTTCTCCATAGTTTAACCCTCAAAGAAGAAATTACATTATGCAGTTACAGTACCTTATCAGTGGAGCTCGACTTCTACGCTGCAAATGGAAATGTATTGCAACAGTGCTAAACAGAAGTTGCCCTCCTCTTTGGAGAAAATTGCAGTATCCGAGAGCTCTTTTTAACAAGGGACTACTTTTAAATGTGTCTGATCACCTCAAAGGATAAGTAGAGTGTTTCCTGCCAGTAGAATTAGAGGAAGGAAGCACCAGGCCAAAATGTTTGATGTGTGATGTACTGTAATTCTTTTCATGTGTTTGGTGGTGGCTTTTATATGATGATCAGTGTTTTGCTACTATTTGTGACCCTGGTGTGGTCCAGGTCATTAAAGTTCAACCTTCCTTAATGTGTAGGGTCATTAACTATACCTAGCAGCATTATCATAATTAAGGTACTGTTTTCTTTTAAACAACTATGTCTCATTTTCATTAAAATATTTCTTATAATTGGAAAATCGACCTAGTGATTGTGATTCTCATGAAAGAGATTATTCAACATTGGAGACCTGCTAGTACTAGCATTACTGTCGACAGATGCTCTTTAGGTTTCCTCACTTTACCTTTTAGTCCTTGTTTTTAAATCAGCATTTTCTTCCCACAATTACCTGTGGGTATATAAAGTTCAAGATGGAAACTAGCTTTACATGGTAGTTTTCCTGGATGTGAGTCTTAGAGGCAATAAGAATTGACAAAATTGCTGTCAGCAATATTATATACCTTTAATGAAACAAAATGTGATGATTATACATGTTCTTTGTTATTCTGAGATCACATATTCAGATATTCCTTTAAATGTTTAGGTTTTTAAATATTTATTCAGTTTAAAATATGTAAAAGTAGGTTCTTTATTCTTTCATCTTTATCTTTCTATGCCCTCTAAATTTGCTTTTGGGTTTTTTTAAAACTTTTATATCATTTGTTCACCCATTAGTCATTTAGCACTTGACAATTTGACAATGATAGCTCTAAAGGAATATATGCTCTGTTTTGGGATATGTGTGTTTATCTGTGTCTGAGTGTGTGTGTGTTTGAGGGTTGTTTATTTGAAGAGCCAGTTTCATCTTTTCCCGCATGTGAGTATCCAGATATTTTTGGTATTTGCCTTCTGTCTCTTTCAATGCTGATACTGGATATATCATTAATACATTAATTTGAATAAAGCTAAATGCCTAAAAGGATCTTCATGTGATAAAATAAATTGTCTTTCCTCCATGCATAAAGAATCAATTTTATTATCTTACTTATTGATTTCTTTAGAATAACTTGTGAACACCTACCATTCGCTAGCTATTTGCTAGCTGTAAAGCTGCACTGGTGACAAAATTATTCATAATCTTTACCTTCATGAAACATAGTTTAATTGACTTTATCATTATACTTAAAGTATATTAATTGATTTCTTGTAAACATTTTCTCTAGGCAAAGAAATACATGGCACATTTAGATTATAAAGGAAGAACTCACAGAATTTTTTATGTCCTCAGTGTAGCAATGTAGTGCCTGCATTTATTTTATTCCATAAGAAAGTATTTCACCAGTTTTATAAATTAAGCTATTGTCGTCATAGCTTACTCACTTTTCAAGTCATGGCTTATGATATTAATATTTAAGATCTAAATGATGATGATTACATTGTAAGCATAATGAAGAACAATGTGAAGAAAATTTTAAAAATAACTGAGGCCTTTCACCATTAATTTGTAAATAATTGGCCTTTAAAAAATAGGTACAATAATTTTCTGCACATTCTTTTGCATTATCTTGCAGCATATTAAAATATAGATATACAACATGTATAATTCAAAAACATTAATATTTAATAAGAATGATGTATGATTATAATTTTTGTATTTTATATTGTATTTTAATGTAAATGTGATTTATTAATGTCCACAAAATATGAATTGCAGACAGAGTATTTGGAGAAGGAATTATTGATACATAATAAAAATTAGGCCAGTGCCATGGCTCATGCCTGTAATTCCAGCATTTTGGGAGGCCAAGGTGGGAGTATTGTTTGAGGCCAGGGGTTTGATACCAACCTGGTCAGCAAAACAAGACCCTGTCTCTACAAAAAATTAAAACATTAGCCAGGTACACACCTGTAGTTCCAGCTACTTGGGAGGCTGAGGCTGGAGGATCACTTGAGCCCAGGAGTTCAAGATTGCAATGAGCTATGATCATGCCACTGCACTCCAATCTGGGCAACAGACCTCATTTCTTGAGAAAAAGAATTAATTTGATATAATGAATAGATGTATTTAAATAAATTGGTAATGGAAAAGATGCCTGCAAATAAGTATTGATGCTAACTTATTGGAAGTATATTCTGTTTCTTTTTTTCTTTTTTGTACCATAAAACAGAAAAGGACTCATTTATTTCTATAAGCATTTATATATATATATACACACATATTTATATTTATACATTATATTTATATATAGCATTTATATATAAAAATGCTTATAGAAATAAATGAGTTATATAAATATATAAATAAATTATATATATATATATATATATATATATATATATATATATATATATATATATTTTTTTTTTTTTTTTTTTTTTTTTTTTTTTTTTGAGACGGAGTCTCACTTTGTCGCCCAGGCTAGAGTGCAGTGGTGCGATCTCGACTCACTGCAAACTCCGCCTCCTGGGTTCACACCATTCTCCTGCCTCAGCCTCCCAAGTAGCTGGGACTACAGGCACCCGCCACCATACCTGGCTAATTTTTTGTATTTTTAGTAGAGATGGGGTTTCACCATGTTAGCCAGGATGGTCTCGATCTCCTGACCTCATGATCCACCCGCCTCAGCCTCCCAAAAGTGCTGAGATTACAGGCGTGAGCTACTGCGCCCGGCCTAAGCATTTCTATTTTTAAGGAATACTTTACAGAATTAATGAAAAAAGAGATCTAAAATTCATCACCAGCTAAATTGGGAGTCATTTTTGTAGCATCTCTTTCACAGCTAGCTGTTTGACCTCATTGTTCTCAGTTCATAAAGTTTATATTGAATGCTTTTGCCTCAGCACATATGCTAAGGTGTGAAGAATATCCTTTTTCACAAGACTTTCATGTCTCAATTTTATTCATAGAATATTTCCTAGCTATTTCTCCACTTTTGACCATGTCATTTTTAGAACTAAATTTTTGAAACTGAAGAATTTATCAGTAAAATAATATTCTATATTATCTCAGTTTCTTTTGTATTTCTTTTGAAAGATACAAAAACTTTCTTGTTTTTGCATTTCTTTTGTAACCAAAATCTAAAAACTGCATAATTGTTCTGTGGATTTTTATTGTGGTTTCGAGGCCCTATTTCGAATAACTGTACTTTCATGTTTTAAATGTTTGTCTTTGCTATTGCTCGGTGTTTTCTTTTCTATTACAGGGTTATTTTCTTAAAGTGTATAGAGTCATGGTATAGAAGCACAAATACTAAGATTAAATACTTTTTAGTCGTTATTCTGCTTATAAAAACTGCCAAATGTACATTGTGACTTTTTTATATGTTGCCTCAATTCTCCCTATGTGTTTTCTGTTTTAATTATAGCTTAGAAAATCTCTAGGGGTAATATATTTATACCCTATATACTGTATTTTAGTATTACTTATCTGTTTTTAAGATTACCAAAGAATATTGTTTTCTGGTATCAATTAAAACTTATATAAGAATTTATAAACAGAATAGACAATATAGTTTAAATATTTTCATGAAATATTTGGTATTTTCTGACTAAAGTCAACCCTATGTGGCTAAAGCTTTTGATATGGTACTAAATCAACTTTTTTATATTCTTAAGAATAAGCATGGCACATTTTTTTTTAACTTTAAGTTCTGGATTACACGTGCTGGACATGCAGGTTTGTTGTTACATAGGTATACATGTGCCGTGGTGGTTTGCTGCACCTATCAACCTGTCATCTAGGTTTTAAGCTCTGCATGCATTAGGTGTTTGTCCTAATGCTCTTCTTCCCCTTCCCCCTGCACCCGGACAGGCCCCGGTGTGTGATGTTCCCCTCCCTGTGTCCATGTGTTCTCATTGTTCAACTCCCACTGAGTGACAACAAGGCATAGCACATTTATTATTCCCATATTTGTATAACTCTTGCCATGTTAAAACATTCATGCCGAAAGTAAATAAATCTATCTCCATACTTTGGTGGATAAGATGGGGAAAAAGATTTTTACATTCTAATTTTTCCTTAAGAAAAAAATGTATCTTTTTATTAAGAATGCCCTAATGGTGTTTCATTTCCCAAGTGAAATAGGTGGTGATCTGTTCTCAGCTTTATTAATTCCTGAATGCATGGATAAAATATTATACTTGAAGTTCTTATCAGTAATAATATATAATATGTTAAACATAATTATTGCTGGAAATCTGAATAGTGTTTAATCCTAGATGTAATGGAGACCTTTCTAGAACCTCCACTTGCAGGATTAAGTTTCTACAGGGAAAAGTTTTCAAAAGAAGCAAATTCTAATGCCAAACCTTGGAACATAGCTAGCACATTTCTTCAAAGTATGTACCTTCATTATTGTATTTTTAGTAGATATGGGGTTTCACCGTGTTAGCCAGGATGGTCTCCGTCTCCTGACCTCATGATCCGCCCGCCTTGGCCTCCCAAAGTGCTGGGATTACAGACGTGAGCCACCGTGCCTGGCCTAAGCAATAATAAAGGCTTAAGCCCGGCCTTTATTATTGACATGGACATCATCAGAATTTCTTGTCACATCATTGCTCTTTAGAATAATAGAGGGTCCTAATAATATCTATATAATTTATCACATCTTGATTATGGTTAGTGGATAAGGGAGATTTTCTCAGAGAGGTTTCTTGGTGCTATAGTAGCCACTGCAAAACTCAGTGGAAGAGTTGGAAATAGGTGAGACTTTGAAGAATATGTTGAGCTGTGGCAAATAGGCCAGGTAGAGGAAAAGAAGGTGGTCAGAAAATAGAGGCAGAAATAAAGCATGGTACACTTAGAGACATGAGGATGCTTGTTTTTTGTATCAGAGTACTTGTTATTGGGGCATAATGAGAGAGATGTGGGGACAAGTGATTGAGATCAGACTGTGGCAGCTTTGAATTCCTGGTTAAGGAATTTGTGCTTTATTACATAGGTGGATGGAGAGCCCTTAAGTATTTTTGATCAGGTTTGAACCATTTTGGGAGAATTAATTACAGTGCCAAGTACATAGTAAGTGTTTAAAGAGCACAGCCTTTCCAAGTGACCTCAGCCAACATACAGCACTTAACTCCCTCAATTTTATTTGTAAAACAGGGATGATAATACTACCTACCTCATAGGGTTGTTATGAGGATTACATAAATTAATGCATATAAAACATTTAAAACTTGTCTGGTACTTTGTAAGTATTCAGTGCCATCCCAATCAAGCTACCAATGACTTTCTTCACAGAATTGGAAAAAACTACTTTAAATTTCATTTGGAACCAAAAAAGAGCCCGCATTGCCAAGTCAATCCTGAGCCAAAAGAACAAAGCTGGAGGCATCACACTACCTGACTTCAAACTATACTACAAGGCTACAGTAACCAAAGCAGCATGGTACTGGTACCAAAACAGAGATATAGATCAATGGAACAAAACAGGGCCCTCAGAAATAACGCCGCAGATCTACAACTATCTGATCTTTGACAAACCTGAGAAAAACAAGCAATGGGGAAAGGATTCCCTATTTAATAAATGGTGCTGGGAAAACTGGCTAGCCATATGTAGAAAGCTGAAACTCAATCCCTTCCTTACACCTTATACAAAAATCAATTCAAGATGGATTAAAGACTTAAACGTTACACCTAAAACCATAAAAACCCTAGAAGAAAACCTAGGCATTACCATTCAGGACATAGGCATGGGCAAGGACTTCATGTCTAAAACACCAAAAGCAATGGCAACAAAAGCCAAAATTGACAAATGGGATCTAATTAAACTAAAGAGCTTCTGCACAGCAAAAGAAACTACCATCAGAGTGAATAGGCAACCTACAAAATGGGAGAAAATTTTTGCAACCTACTCATCTGACAAAGGGCTAATATCCAGAATCTACAAAGAACTCAAACAAATTTACAAGAAAAAAACAAACAACCCCATCAAAAAGTGGGCAAAGGACATGAACAGACACTTCTCAAAAGAAGACATTTATGCAGCCAAAAAACACATGAAAAAATGCTCACCATCACTGGCCATCAGAGAAATGCAAATCAAAACCACAATGAGATACCATCTCACACTAGTTAGAATGGCAATCATAAAAAAGTCAGGAAACAACAGGTGCTGGAGAGGATGTGGAGAAATAGGAACACTTTTACACTGTTGGTGGGACTGTAAACTAGTTCAACCATTGTGGAAGTCAGTGTGGCGATTCCTCAGGGATCTAGAACTAGAAATACCATTTGACCCAGCCATCCCATTACTGGGTATATACCCAAAGGACTATAAATCATGCTGCTATAAAGACACATGCACACGTATGTTTATTGCGGCACTATTCACAATAGCAAAGACTTGGAACCAACCCAAATGTCCAACAATGCTAGACTGGATTAAGAAAATGTGGCACATATACACCATGGAATACTATGCAGCCATAAAAAATGATGAGTTCACGTCCTTTGTAGGGACATGGATGAAGCTGGAAACCATCATTCTCAGTAGACTATCGCAAGAACAAAAAACCAAACACCGCATGTTCTCACTCATAGGTGGGAACTGAACAATGAGAACACTTGGACACAGGGTGGGGAACATCACACAGCAGGGCCTGTTGTGGGGTGGGGGTCAGGGGGAGGGATAGCATTGGGAGATATACCTAATGCTAGATGATGAGTTAGTGGGTGCAGCGCACCAGCATGGCACATGTATACATATGTAACTAACCTGCACAATGTGCACATGTACCCTAAAACTTAAGGTATAATAATAATAAAAAAAATTCAGAAGTATTTACTGAATTTTATAATTCAGCCGTAATTATTATACTTATTGAATGTTTTTGAAATGATTGCTTAGTGCTTAGTCTGACTATAGTATTTAATATATTGATTGAATTGTGGAAAGAATTCTACCTACCGCTTTTTGCTTATGCAAAATTAAATAAGTAAAATACCACTGATGAAATGAGAAATTGTAATTTTGTATGTGCTGCAAAACAACAACAACAACAATAAACCTTTACAAGCATCCTTATCCCAGCTACACAAGAGGTTTATATCAACTTAAAATCCCCAGATAATTTTCAACTTGTTTCAAGCCCTGCCTAATAATAGGCCATATTAGTAGCTAGCATTTAGATAGCATTTTACAGGTTACAGAGTACTTTTTTATATATTCCCTCCTTTAGATTTCACCAAATCCTTAGGCACTACTCAGTGCTGTAATTCATTTTACAGTGGAGAAAACGAAGCTCAGGGATGCCTAAGATCACACAGCTAGTTTGTGCTCTGAACCACTACACCATAATTCTGTTTGGCCTTTTTATTGAAACAACTATATCAAAACAATATAGAGTACAAGAAAATGCTTTTTCTATGCCCACCACCTTCCTCTGTTCTGTACCTTGCTTTTTAAACTCTGCCATGTAAGACTCATCACTTGGACAAACATAATTTCATTCATAGATTTTTACTGTGATATTCTATTGCATGAATATGCCAAGTTATTATGTCATTCCTTCTGTTGGTGGAGATTTACGTTTTTAATTTTTCTGTATCACTTGTAGTGTTAAAATGAATATTCTTCAACATTCTCCTTGTACGCACATGTAATAGTTTTTCTAGGGCAGTGCCTTCTAGTAGAATGTCCTGTGATAGTGGAAATTTCTGTATCTGCACTAATACAGTAGCCATTATCTACTGTAACTACTGTAACTAATACAGTAGCCGTTAGCCATGTAACTACTACACTATGACTCAAGGAATTAAGGAGCTAAATTTTTTAAATTGTATTTAATTTTAATTAATTTTAAAGAGACATATACAGCTGGTAGCTATTGGGCAGCATAACTCTGGGTTATGTATCTAGGAGTTTAATTGCTAGGTGATAGGTTACATAGCCTCAATGCTGATAGATTTCACGAAATTGTGTCAGATTTATATTCTCAATTGCTGAGTATAAGAGTTTCGTGGCTCTCTGGCAAACAGCCTTAATACTGTTGCATTAGGCACTATACACTTAGGATTATCTTAGTACTAGATATTTGTGGATGATGTTTAAGGAAAGATATTTTCTCTCTACAACTGGAGGTGATAAACTAATGGATGGTACCTAGTATGATTAGATATGCTTTCTAATGTATGGCAATTGAAGGGCATTGTGCTACTGTCAGGAAAATATATTAAATTTTCTAATCAAATGTTAGACTATGTAGCCCTTGTTGCTAACTAGAAGATCATGATTGATACTTTTCCTTAAAGAAACTATCTTTATTCTGATTAATTTGCAAATTAAGTTATTCATATTTTAACATCATACATTAAGAGATTTTATGGACTGTTGCTGTATTTTTAAAAATTCATACCTTTCTTTACAAATAGAGAATTGCTTAATGATTATTGTAAGTTTGAGAATACTAACTTCTGTTCCTATTCTTTCTTCTTGACCGATTTTATAATATTTGTGAGTCGGAAGTAACTCCATACATTAAAAACCATGTTAAATAATGTGACAACATTTTTTTAAAGGGAGTTGATTTGTTATATACCACATCTAAAGGTTTTTTTTTTCCTCCTCAAATTTCCTGTTTTAAATCAATTCTAATCTGTTGCCTTGGAATTAGTCTTTATCATGTTTAATTTGAAGTCTTACAGTTTTTCATCCAACAACATACAAATACATTTAAATAAAGCATAGTTTTACATTTTATTTTGAAGGCTAGTTCTCATATTGTTAGGTACAGAACGTAGGCGACAAGAGGGGACTGAATTTATAGTCAGAAGGTGTGGTTTCCCATTTGGACTATGCTGTTTCTCATCCTCCTTACCTAAATCATCAGCATCTGTAAAATGAAGTCTACCTATAGCACCCTGTGAGTTGTGATTTATCTACATAATATTGAAACCCCTTTGCAAACCATTAAACTGTAATCAAATGTAAAGTGGCATTATTAATATTATTACTATCATTTATGTATTTCTGTATTTTGTATTACAAAGCTCTTCATAATTTGGTAGTAGAATTGGAATGACTGGAAATGAAAGAATGTAATTAAAGAGAAAAAAATTTAAGTGATATAATTAGAGACATAGTAATAAAAATGAATTTGGTTAAGAGATAAAGGGAGATATCTTTGTTAGAATTGTTATTAAAGGTTTCCCAAACAGTTTGGAATTAGTACTTGTTTACGTACAGTTTAATTTAGCCACAATTTACTTTTCATAAATATTTTTCTATGATTTTTTCTTATTATGGAAATTATTTAGAAAATTAAGTAGAACTTGACTTTTAAAAAGTAATGTACTATGAACATTTGGGGACCTTATCTGTGCTCACCTTGGTTCAGATAGCAGAGATACATTGTTCAAAGTTAGAGAGCTGTAATGACCCAAGTATCAGAATGTGGTTTTGAGAATCAATAGGGATGCTAGTTTAGATAAAAAAGGGAAAAGAGGGCATGTTCCTCAGCCTAGTCCAGACCTTCTGAATCATAATGTCTAAAGATGGGAGCTGAATATTTTGAACAAACTCCCTGGGTGATTCTTCTGCACTCTGAAGATTAGTACTCCTGCCCTAATCGTTGGTGATGGAACTCAGCATTTGTTTCAGTCTGACAGACAATTATTATATCCCCTGTCCTATTTACTCTCAAAATTACTGTCACTTATGGAGACTTGGTGATAAATATGTAGACATTTAATTTAATCAAGGCATAAAAGTTTTACTTCTTTTTCATTCCTATTTTCTGCCTTATTTAACATTTTGTGGATCTCAATTGAGCTATAAGTGAATGAATTTCACTTCTTTACAGTGAATTCCCGAGATATGCCTATTCAGCAGTGAGTAGTAAATGGTTCAACATGAGCTGTTCCTTATGTAAACATACAAAAGGCCTGACCCAGACTAAATCAATTTAAAAAGGAAAACATTAAAGCTATGTTTCCTGTTATATACTTAAAGTCTTCTTTGGTTCCTTATGATTACATTATCGACCAACTATTGCAGACTTTATCCTCCTACACCACCTGCTGAATGGTTCAAATGGTATGGGATAAGAGTTTCGGAAGGGCAAAGCAATTACAATTATAACTCCTACATTGTAGCCAATAAAGCAGCTTTTTGTGCTAAGGATAAGGAAGTCATGGGCTTCTTGATTCACCCCCTTTCCTGATTTGAATTGCTACAAGGTTTTAAAGGCTGCAATAAGGAGACAGCAAAGTTCATAGAGCTTTTAGAAGTATGTGAAGTTGAGACCAGAAAATTTAAGTCCTGTTTATGATAGCAAACATTTCTAGGAAACATTTAATTAGTAAATGAAACAACAATATAACGCTTTTTTATTATAAGATGTTTACATTGTATTTTTTAAGGCAGACGTTAACATTAGGCATTCTGGTCCTCACCATAGGACCAGCTATAGTCCTTTACCTATGATTAGCTGCTTAGTAAAGTATCATTCTATTAGAATTCTTTGCTCTAATTATTCTGCAATTGTTGTTTGTGCTAGGAAAACTTGGTGTACTAAATCAAAGTTCTCTTGAATAAAATATACTTTCATTTTTGGCATTGTAATCAGAATGTTTTTCACTCCTACAAGTCTTATTTTTAAGTTATAAAGTTCTTTTCTTAGGGAAGGGAGCTGTAAAATTGTAAAATGATTTTCAGTCTTTGAAAAAATAAATTATTTGTGAATCTTGTGTCTGTAACTATTTACCAAAAACTTTAAAAAAACTCTAGTGAGCCATGAGATGTGAAATATCTTTCAGAAGACATCTTGCCTTAATATTGCTTAATGAAAGTTAATGTACCCCATAAATTTATACATTATGATTTTTCATTAAAAATAAAAATTTTGAAAAGCTAGCATATGGTATTTGAAAACATTTTGAATATGTTTTCTTAATTTCATATTGAAAAAGCAAAAATGCTTTTAATATTTCATAATAACCGAAATTGGTTTTAAGTATGTATAGGACAAAACAGGAGTATATCTTACACATTAAAAAATAGAGATTAGTGACTATTTCAAGTTGAGGGAAAAAATCCTCCTATTTTTTGGAAAATGAAGTAAATCAGTGCATTACTACTGTATTTTCTTATAACGATAAAGAAAAATAAATCTTGGGGATTATGTAATAAGAAAGAAAAATTAAATTTTTATCTGCCTAAAAAAACTATCCTGTATTTGTTTTATTAGAGAAAAATTAAACCAAACTTGTAAATTTTATACATATTAGCTAATTCTTCAAAATATAATATTTTATTAACTCAAACCAATAAGCTAAATGGTCTACCTTTATAATTTGTAATAGAAATTTTCATTTGTACTTGGAAAACTATCTACAGAGGAGATACATTGATGTTTCCTGGTTTTGATAGCTCAGGAGACTAAGATTGTTGAAGAAACTGTGTTTTAAAGATGCAAGAATATTTTTATTTCGCCTAAATTTTCCACAATAAAGTTTTTCTTGGCTTAGAAAGTAAGAGGTCTATTGCATACTAACCAGCATACTGTTAAAACACTGTTAAGTTGATGAAACAGATCAAATTAGAAAATGTGGGTAGAATTCATTGAGTTTGATTTATTAAATTGAGTATCACTGGTGTTCTCTGCTCAGCTGTTGTTTCTTTTTAGAATCCTAGTACGTGCTTTATCCAGCTAAGTCTGTCTTATTCTCACTTTCCAGTCATTTTACTTCTATTTGACATTTTATACAGAGTCTGAGGAAAGATTTCAAAGTAGGGTTTTTTTTCCTGACAATTTTTGAAGTTTTTATGATGTGATGACTTCTGTGCCAGGCTCTCTCTATATTATCTCACTTAATTTTCATAATTAAGACAGAAACCCAGGTTTTTCTCTCCTCTTGGCTATTGTGCTACTACAGAATTTATGCAACCTATTTGGCACGGGATAAAATGCCAGTTTGCAAGGCAAGCCCATCTTGTGGGCTGCACCTCTTCCTCAAACACTGGGCCTCATACAAGTCTCTGATAGTTGGTACAAAACGGCCTGTCTTTGGCTGGAAACCTCCATGCCTTATACCATTGCTTTCTCCCCTGCCTCTCTCCAGGCCCGCTGTTCAGAGCCTTTTCAGGGTTTCTAGATGTGCTACTGCCTCACACCTTTCAGCCTTTGAACCTGCTACTTCCTCTGCTGGAGATTCTTTCTTGTATGAAATGAGATAACTGGGCTTTTTTGAACTTGTTTCTATGTTGCCTTCCTCTTTCCTGGGCCTCCCAAGTCTGGGTCAGGTGTCCCTTCTATGTGCTTCCAATTTTATTTTATACATAACCTTTTGGAGTATTAAGTGTTGTATAATTGCCTCTAAATCCCACATTAGACTGTAAGTGTTATGAGGGCAGGGACCATCCAGGGACCTATTATTCTTAGGGCCTATCACAATACCTGACATACAGTGCCCAATAAATAATGCAAGTCAGGTCACTGGAGGAAGGGCTGTTTTGATAGGAGAATATAATTTTGAAGTCCTGACTAAGGCTATGAGTAGGGAAGAAACTGGTTGCTTTATACCACTTACTACTTTACTAGCAGTTTTATTTTATAACAATATGGTTTTAAAATAGAGTCATTTTCATGTAGAAAAAGAGTTATAGAAGAAGTAATGTTATATTTGGTAGGAGAAATTAGAGGACGCTATATTAATAGAAATATCTTCTAGGGACAGTGACGACTAGGAGAGATTTTTTTTTTTTTTCACAGTAAGCCGTAAAATCTTTGTTGCTATAAATCTTCCTATTCATTTAACTATTTAATCTTCACAACATCCTAGTTATGTTTCCTTTTTTCTTGCGAATAGTATATTTTGCCTTCTATCTTTATCTTTTTTTCCCTTTAATGCTAGAAATTTGTCTATTTTTGGCTTTGTTGATCTTTTTTATTGTGCTCTATATCCTTCCCTCTTTCTTTTAGTTTATTCTACTTTTTATGTTCAGCTTATTGAGACTTTTTTATTTGCTAAAACTAGTATTTTAGACAATAAATTATCCTGTGCCACTTGAACTGCATCCTACAATGTTTAATGCATAACATTTGCTTTTAAGTATTAACTTTTATTATGATTTTTTTGACCAGTGGATGACTCATTTAGAAGTGTGTTTTAAAATTTCTAAACATAAGCAGTTTTGTGAATTCTCTTCTTTAATAAAATATCTAACTGAATTGTATTGTGCTCAGAGGATACAGTCTATATGATACTAATTCACTGAAATGTACTGAGGCTAGCTTTATGGCCTAGCAGGTTGTCGGATTTTATAAATGTTCCTGTGTGCTTGAGAAAAATATGTATTCTCCAGTTGTCAGATACTGTGTTCTGTAAATGTTCACCTCATCACACATATTATGTTTTTCAATTTTTCTGTATTTTTCTTCTTACCTGCTTAGAGGGTTAAAGTTTTCCACCATGGAGGACAGATTTGTCAGTTTCTCCTTGTAGAGCTATCAGTTTTTCTTTTATATGTTTTGAGGCTGTTTTTACAAATAAATTTAGAATTGTCTTAACCTCCAAATGTACTGAATCTTTTGTCTTCAGGCAGTAACTATTTTTAAATAGAGTTAAAGTCTATGTTGTATAATGTAATGTAAATTTAATTACTTAAGTTTTTTGTCAAATGTTTGCTTAGTATATATTTTTGCATATGTTGACTCTTTCTGTGCCCTAAAGTTTTAGGTGTGCCTCATAAAAAACAGAATATTGATTGATTTATTAAATGCAATCTGACAGTTCTTATCTTTTAATGGGAGAGTTTAAATTATTTATATTTATGCTGCTTATTATGTTTGGATTTTTATTTGTATCTTCTTCTTAGGTGCTTTCTACTTGCCCAACTTTGGTTTTTCATTTCTGACATTCTAATTTTTATTTATTTGGAAGTTATGTGTTCCATATCTGTTATTTTAGTGGCTACTCTGGCTATGTTAACATGTGTACTTAACAGAAGTCTGAAGTTAATATCTTTTTCTTCTTCTTCAACAATACAAGAAACTTAGAACATTTTATCTCAAATTATCTGGTCCCCTTATTTATATATTATTATCCAGTGTCTTATTTTTGGCCTGTTTTCTCATCACAATTTAGACATCATTATTATTAATTTAAACATAATATATGTTTAGACTTAGTCATATATTTACCAATGTCTTCCTTATGATTATTTCTTGGGATACTTTGGGCTGCCTGGATTTAGGGCTTGGCATTTTTCAATAATTGTGGAATAATTATAAGACATTATCTCTTCAAATATTGCCTCCTCCTTGTTCTGTCTATTACCTCCCTCAAGCTTTAATTAAGCATTTTTTAGACTTTCTCTCTCTATTCTCCATGAATCTTAACCTTCTTTCATTTATAGTATTTCCTTGTCTCTTTGGATTAAATTCTGGATTTCATTGGACCTTTCTTTTAATTCACTATCACTTTAGCTGGGCTTAATCTGCTTGAGTTTTATTTTTTTTCTCATTTGTAGTTCTACATGGTTCTTTTTAAAGTCTTGTTCCCTGCTCATACTTTGAAGATGCTTTTTTACTTTTTAAATAATTATTTTATATTTTATGTTTGCTAGTCTGTCCATTGTTACTGCTGTTGTGTGAATTGTGAATTTTGTCTGTGAGTGTCTCATTTCACTTGGAACCTGATCTGTGGAAGTTCTTTGAGTTGAAATTGATTTCATCCCAAGAGACTGTGCTTTTACTTTTGCCTTTACATGTCATCTGGCAGCACTGTCTACCTGGAGCAAGACTGTCCAGACTGAATTTTTGTTCATACCATATGTGAGACTCAAACTTCCAAGTCCTGGCTCATGACTGCAAAATCTTGGAACATTGCTTTTTAGTTTGGGTTTTGTGGGTTGGTTGGTTTTTATTTTGTTTTTTTTTTTTTCCCCTTTACCCATTAGTAAGGTAAAGACAGGTAAGTTGATAAATTACCTTGTCCATTTCTACATGAGCATAAGGAGAACTGTTGCTTTAAAAAATATATTTTGAAATATAGATTCATAAAGAATTACAAAAAATATTTGGAGAAGTCCTGTGTGCACTTTACCCAGTTTCCCTCAATGGAAACGTCTTGTATAACTATAGTACAATATCAAGACCAGGAAGTTGACATTAGTACAATCAATACACAGTTGTATTCAGATTCTGCCAATTTTACATGCACTTAGTTGTGTTAATGTATATAGTGCTCTATGTAATTTTGTCACATGTAGATTCATGTAACCACCATCACAATCAAGATACAGAACTGTCCTATCACCACAGAGGTCCGTAGAAGGGCTGTTTCTAATTCACCCTTTCACTACTGGTGACCCTTCGTGATCTCAGCTTTATGTGAATTGTCTTCTATTAAATAGATTCATCATTTGCGTGAGCCCTGAGCTTCATCTCCTCCTGTGCAGTTAACAGAGCAGAAAATCAGTATCTGCAGGATTTAGCAGAAAACCTTAGAGTAAAAGCCAGCTTTGGCAGGTGCTTATTTATCATGGTTCCTGGTTTCACATTATTTGGGAGACTTCCCAGCTTCTGTTATTCTGTTATTGGTGTTGGCTCCAGGATGTGTCTGAAAAAATACTTTAGATTTGTTAAAGCAATTTGTTATGAGAGCCAGGAGGTTCATTCAGAGTTTCTAATATGCCATATTCAGAAATAGGTGATACTAGAAATGTTAAGGAACATTTATCTTTATCGTTTTCGTTGCAGTTCATTCATAAAGTGGATTTTGTTTTATCTTGATACTTGTGCATCTGTGATTAGTTGGTGATTTAAATATGCTGTTCATTCAGAATCATATAAGATAATATACTTCCATAATAGTCATAAAATCTACAAGGTACTTTATGAATAGTTTTTCAATTACACATATATTTTATTTATCTTTATAATAGTCATATCAAAATAGCTAAAGCACAGAGAAGTTAAATAATTTCTGCAAGCTCATGATCATTGGAAAGTCTGAGACTAAAACTCACATAAATCAGCTGCTTATCCTACTTTCCCCAACTGAGATTTGGAAGGTTTTGCAATTAACTTTTAAGTTGGATTTATATACTCAAATATTATAAATTACTCTGAATTTTTTCAAATCAAGTATGTCACATATATGTCAATATATCAAATATATAGTTTAATTTTAAAAGCAAGCAATAAGAAAAAATATAGAAATACTAATCCTAATCCCTAAAAGTTTGAAATTTGAAAATTACCATTTTTGGAAGTATCTGGCTATCACTCAAAATGGAAAGTATTTTTGCATAGGGAAGAAGAACCTGTGGGAAATAATTGATAAATGATGGCAGGAGAAACATAGCTTAATTTAAGTCCAAAAAAAAAATGGGAAATTTCAAGCCTAAAAGCAATGTAAAAGTCTGATGAAACTTGGTGTTTTTGTGATTGTAATCTTGTTAATTATACAGCTTTTCCATGTATCAAGGGAAATAGGAAATCGGTTGTTTACATTGGGATTAGGTTGATTTGTCTTTTAATATAGCACTAATTTTGTTTTCATTTTTTTTCCTTCAAAGGTATTCTTAAAGTATTTTAGTTCACCTTAAAAATATGTTTAGGGAGTTTATTTAAAATGTAGAGAGCATTGGCTGTTTTAAAATAGGTAAAAGTAATGTTTATATGGTGAGTAATAATCTAGGGAAATAGGTTAGGCCATCAACTGCCTCAGATATTTGCTGGCTATCAGAATTTATGTGGCCCTGATTCAAAAGTTTAGTCTTTTAAAGACTATGTGCTCTTATTGCTGTGTACAGATAGGTTCTCCGCCTGAGATTTGTAAAGATTTATGTCAGTACAAATCAGTGAATTGAAACAGCATTTACCTGTTGCTAGATAGTATAGATAGTTCCTGACCTCAAGAATGTGTGGTATATTTGGGAAGACTGATAAGTCAATGTGGTATTATTATATTTACAAGCATAGAGAGACCCTAAGAACAGAGATTTGGGAAAGGGGAGTTTGGAGGAAGGGTGATCAGGAAAAGCTTCATAAAAACAGAGTTAGCTGAGCTGGGCCTTTAAGAATTAACAAAATTACACCAATATTTAAATGAAACTAGAACATTCTTCTACAGAGAGACTCTCAAAATGCCTCTCCTTCATACCCCCACTGTCATTCATTCCTTTTCTCTTTACCTTAAGGCAAATTGAAAGGATTAATGGCCCACTTATGAGCCCTATTTCTCATGCAGTTCTTGAGTTTGTATAAAATTTTAGTTCACCTTTCCTGTAATTTTTCTAAGTTAGAAAGGAGAAAACACAGATCCAGCTCCTACCTTAGGAATCATGAGAATTATCCTCAGTTTCTCTGGCTCCTGCTTTGGCTTGTTGACCAGTGGCTGTTTGTTCCCCTTTTCCCGTGTTCATAACTCTTTCTGACATCTCACTAGCTGAGCCACTTGCTTATTCCACTCAGGTCTGCTCCTTGCTTCTCTCTTCACTTGAATTAATTAATGTCAGCCCTCACCTTGCCTGGCCCAGTCCTGAGCAGCTGGCCCAGACACCCGTTGTCTTGAGTCTGAGCAGTCATTCACTGTCCATTATCATTTAACCAGCCTCTGGGAGTGCTTGTTCTGACCTCCACACCTTCTTAGTCAACCAAGGCATAAACTGAATCAGATTTTGCCTTTTTCTATACTTTTCACACTAGGACCCCCATCACCTCCCAATAATAAGTTTCGTTAGTGTTCAACTGATGTAATTAACTTAATTGTATTTTTTTCTAATGTCTGTAATTGAAGCTTTTAAAAATATTTCTACTAGTAAGGCTATTTTTATTCTCTTTGTTATTTCAACTTTTCTTCTGATAAAAACTTTTATGGGGGCCAAAAGCTATTTTTTCTTTTGATCATCTACTTTAAAACTTTTCTGAACCAACAAAACTTAACATAAGAAAAAAGCCCCAAATTCAGGCAGACTTAAGTTTTCTCTGGCTCTCAAACTTTGTGCTTCCCACCCTACCTTATTGCCTTGCTATTTTACTCTAAAACCTTCATGAAAATTTTTATGTATTTACTTCCTTTAATTTAACTTTACAGATTATTTTATTCATTTACTTAGCAGTGGACCCAATAGGATCAACGTTGTATGTTCCAACTCTATATAGGGCAGTAAACCTCTCTGTTATTCTACATCAGAAACCTTGTCATTTCTCAACAACTACATTTGGGTTATATAAAGAATGAAGAGCAAGGGTTGAAGGGGTGAAATAGATTAAGAAGGCTCCATTACCTTTCCTAACAAGAAATCAAAGCTCAGAAGAAAGTAGACGATTAGCAAGGGAAAGGGTTTTGAGTAAAAAACAAAAAACAAACAAACAAAAAACCCTGTATTTGTGTTGTAGTTTTGTCCCATACTAGTTTTGTAACTTTAGCTGTCTTTCAAACTCTGTGAATTATTTTCTCATTGGTAAAAATGGACATAAAATAGAACCTCAGAGCATCTCAGGGATTGAAATCATGTATGTGAGAGTACTTAGAAAAAGAGTAACGTGCCAGGAATAACATAATAAATCATTATAGTGTAGATTACTGTAAGTGATAAGTTTTGGATATGTTTTCAAGTCATAATATGTACTAACTTTCTGAAACCTTTTTCATAGATGTGCCCCAGTTTATTCATCAGTAATCCAAAGGAAAAAAATGGTATTGACACTATGTTAGTGAACAAAATAAACATAGAATGGTTATTTTATCTGTTTTCTTGTTTTTATTTTTGTTTTTTTCGCTGCCTTTACAGGAGAGCCTTGAACTTAGGAATTCTTCGAGATCCTGGATCAGAAATCGAAGACAGACAATACCAAATAGATCTGCAGTCCATCAATATTGGTACTGCACAGTGGCATCAACTAAAACCAGAGAAGGAAAGTGTCTCAGGAGGGGTGGTAACAGAGACTGAAAGGAATTCTCAAAATCCAGCCCTTGAGTGGAATATGGCCAGCAGGTAGGAAATGATTGAGAAACTTTCTACTCTTTCTAATACTTCATTGCCAGAATAGTTGGTGATACAATCTTTAGCATGTCCAACCAACCTAAGTATTTTGGTATTGCTTCTGCTTTTCATTATAAGCATAAAAAATATTTTGTAATTGTAGCTGATGATTTGGCATGGAAACCTGCTAGTCCTACCAGTGTTACACTGAAATTATTACAAATTTAGGATTATGTTAGCATAGAAAAAAAAAGCTTACTATTTATTGAAAGAATCTACTTCAGGCTAAAGGATACACATTTTCTCTTAAAATCTATTGTATTTGGGGTCAATTGTTTGATGTTTAGACTCTCCTTTTTGCTTATAATAACAAGAAAAGTTAATGAATACTCTGCAAAGTTATGTTTAAGTTAGAGTGTGGGGAAAAACAAGAGTTTCTGGCTCTAGGGTTTTTTCCATCCACTTTAACTAAAAGCAACTATGTTGATAGATCTTTTTAAATTTTTTTTATTTCAATAGTTTTTTGGGTACAGGTAGTTTTGGGTTACATGTATAAGTTATTTAGGGGTGATTTCTGGGATCTTGGTACACCCATCACCTGAGTAGTATACACTGAGTCCAATATGTAGTCTTTTATCCCTCACTCCCCTTCCTCACCACCCCCACCCCTGAGTCCCCAAAGTCCATTATATCATTCTTATGACTTTGCATTCTCATAGCTTACCTCCCACTTATAAGTGAGAATATATGATACTTGGTTTTCCATTCCTGAGTTACTTCCCTTAGAATAATGGCCACCAGTTCCATCTAAGTTGCTGCAAAAGACATTGTTTCATTCTTTTTTATGGCTGAGTAGTAGACCATGGTGTATATATACCACATTTTCTTTATCCACTCATTGGTTGACGGGCACTTCGATTGTTTACACCTCTTTACAATTGCGAATTGTGCTGCTATTAACATGTGTGTGCATGTGTCTTTTTCATATAATGACTTATTTTCCTTTGAAAAGATACCTAGTGGTGAGACTGCTGGATTGAATGGTAGTTCTACTTTTAGTTCTTTAAGAAATCTCGTAGAGAACATTTTTAAAGGAAGTAGTCCTGAATGTGTACTCTTAACGATTTATAGTCACTGCCACCTTTCCCAGGCTACTTGTGGTTCTCATCGGAGAAATAGGTAGAATCATTTGCTAGAAAGGCGGTATTAGGCATTAAAGCTACATACCTTTATATTGTAAAACTAGAGGTCTTTATGATTTTAAGAAAGTATTAATTATTTTTCTTCTGCTTTTCTCTTTATAAAATAGAATCAGTAATACCTGTTGCTTGTAACATACCGTGGTGGTTTATTGATTGAATTTCTTGAAAACATCTTCTGAAGACTTCATTGTATGCCTTTTGCAATTCTGATTGCTTAGGTTCTGCCCTTTTCTACCAAAACTACATTTGTCCATGTCTTGGCAATAATAATAGCAGCAACATTAATAATGGATTATGCAACGCTTATCACTTTACCCAGTTTATTTAACTTAATTTTCACAATAATCCTACCAGGTAATAACTGTTATTTTCCCTAATTATACATGAAGAAACTAAGGCCTACAAAAGATAAATAATGTATCAAAAACCAAACAGTAAAATATAGTTTGTACTCCTTAGGTCTTTATATGTGATCTTCTCTGTACCTGTAACTGTCATAACCCACCCTCTTCACTTGCCTAGCTCCTATCATTTAGCAAGCCTCAGAGTAGACATCATGTTTTCTTTTTATTATTATTATTATGCTTTTAAGTTCTAGGGTACATGTGCACAACGTGCAGGTTTCTTACATATGAATACATGTGCCATGTTGGTGTGCTGCACCCATTAACTCATCATTTACGTTAGGTATTTCTCCTAATGCTATCTCTCCCCCCTACCCCCACCCCACAACAGGCCCCAGTATGTGATGCTCCCCACCCTGTGTCCAAGTGTTCTCATTGTTCAATTCCCACCTATGAGTGAGAACATGCGGTGTTTGGTTTTCTGTCCTTGCAATAGTTTGCTCACAATGATGGTTTCCAGCTTCATCCATGTCCCTACAAAGGACGTGAACTCATCCTTTTTTATGGCTGCATAGTATTCCGTGGGGTATATGTGCCACATTTTCTTAATCCAGTCTATCATTGATGGACATTTGGGTTGGTTCCAAGTCTTTGCTATTGTGAATAGTGCCACAATAAACATACGTGTGCATGTGTCTTTATAGCAGCATGATTTATAATCCTTTGGGTATATACCCAGTAATGGGATGGCTGGATCAAATGGTATTTCTAGTTCTAGATCCTTGAGGAATTGCCACACTGTCTTCCACAATGGTTGAACTAATTTACAGTCCCACCAACAGTGTAAAAGTGTTCCTATTTCTCCACATCCTCTCCAGCACCTGTTGTTTCCTGACTTTTTAATGATTGCCATTCTAACTGGTGTGAGATGGTATCTTATTTTGGTTTTGATTTGCATTTCTCTGATGGCCAGTGATGAGCATTTTTCATGTGTCTGTTGGCTGCATAAATGTCTTCTTTTGAAAAGTGTCTGTTCATATCCTTCACCCACTTTTTGATGGGGTTATTTGATTTTTTGTTGTAAATTTGTTTAAGTTCTTTGTAGATTCTGGATATTAGCCCTTTGTCAGATAGATAGATTGCAAAAATGTTCTCCCATTCTGTAGGTTGCCTCTTCACTCTGATGGTAGTTTCTTTTGCTGTGCAGAAGCTCTTTAGTTTAATTAGATCCCATTTGTCTATTTTCGCTTTTGTTGCCATTGCTTTTGGTGTTTTAGTCATGAAGTCCTTGCCCATGCCTGTGTCCTGAATGGTATTGCCTAGGTTTTCTTCTAGGGTTTTTATGGTTTTAGGTCTAACATTTAAGTCTTTAATCCATCTTGAATTAATTTTTGTATAAGGTGTAAGGAAGGGATTGAGTTTCAGCTTTCTACATATGGCTAGCCAGTTTTCCCAGCACCATTTATTATATAGGAAATCCTTTCCCCATTGCTTGTTTTTGTCAGGTTTGTCAAAGATCAGATGGTTGTAGATACGCGGCATTATTTCTGAGGGCTCTATTCTGTTCCATTGTTCTATATCTCTGTTTTGGTACCAGTACCATGCTGTTTTGGTTACTGTAGCCGTGTAGTATAGTTTGAAGTCAGGTAGCGTGATGCCTCCAGCTTTGTTCTTTTTGCTTAGGATTGACTTGGCAATGTGGGCTCTTTTTTGGTTCCATATGAACTTTAAAGTAGTTTTTTCCAATTCTGTGAAGAAAGTCATTGGTAGCTTGATGGGGATGGCATTGAATCTATAAATTACCTTGGGCAGTATGGCCATTTTCATGATATTGATTCTTCCTATCTGTGAGCATGGAATATTCTTCCATTTCTTTGTGTCCTCTTTTCTTTCATTGAGCAGTCGTCTGTAGTTCTCCTTAAAGAGGTCCTTCCCATCCCTTGTAAGTTGGATTCCTAGGTATTTTATTCTCTTTGAAGCAATTGTGAATGGGAGTTCACTCATGATTTGGCTCTCTGTTTGTCTGTTATTGGTGAATAGGAATGCTTGTGATTTTTACACATTGATTTTGTATCCTGAGATTTTACTGAAGTTGCTTATCAGCTTAAGGAGATTTTGGGCTGAGACGATGGGATTTTCTAAATATAAAATCATGGTAGACGTGTTTTCTAGGAAGCCTTCCCTGAGCCTGTCAGAAGACCAAGTTAAGTCTCATTTGTGTGTGCTCCTATCACATCACTTAACATATTTTATTCTAATTACTTATATAACTACCTCTGGGTCCTGAGGACAGAGATCATCGCCATCATGTTCATTGATTTATCCCTAGAACATAGCACTGCCGTATATAAAATGTATTATTGTAGTCCTTCACTGACAAGTGATTGAATGTGCCCCTGAGAAGGGGTGTAAATTTGGATGAAGAAGCACATACAGCCAGCCAGGGTAAATTTCAGAGAGGAATGCAATAATGGAGTCATCAGCATGCAACTTGCATGGCAGCTGGGAAGTGAATATTTTCATCATAAAGGAGAATCTTGGTGGCACACCACAGCATCAACTACACTAATCATAACCTCTAAATATCACATGATAGCATCCAGCTTCAAGCCTTCCTATTCCTTATCTTTACACAGTTTTCAGATTTAGGAGGTGCCAGCTTATAAAAGTCACAGGTTATTGTGTCTTAAAAATCACAAATTCTATCATAACAAAGAACATGAGCCTTATTTTTCTAGGAAATTTTATGGCCACCTAGCCTTAGTTGTATCTCTCCTATTTGTTCTTTAATTCATTTAACTTATGGTTTGTGTATGTGTGTATGTGTTTTAATAATTTATGGAGATAAATTCACATAACATAAAATTAACCATTTAAGGTGAACATTTAGTGGCATTTAGTACATTTACAATATTGAGCAACTACCACCTCTGTCTAGTTCCAAAACATTTTCTTCACCCCAAAGTAAAATCCGTTGCCTGGTAGGCAGTTTGTCTCTATCTTTCTCCCTCTTTCCAGTTCCTAGCAACCACCAATCTGCCTCTAAATTCACCAATCTGGATTTATCATGTCTGTATGAATTTATGTATTCTGGAGATTTTATATAAATAGAATCATATGATATGTGACCTTTTATATCTGGCCTCTTTCACTTAGCATACTGTTTTGTATATTCATCCAAATTGTAGCATATATCAGTATTTCAATCTTTTTATAGCCGAATAATATTCCACTGTGTGTATGTAAGTGATCTATGATTTATAATGGGTCAATTTAAGATTTTTCAACTTTATGATGATGCAAAAATAATAATGCATTCAGTAGAAACTGTACTTTGCATACCTGTACAGCCATTCCGGTTTTCACTTTCAGTACAGTATTCAATAACTACATGAGATATTCAGTGTTTTGGTATAAGCTAGGCTTTCTGTTAGATGATTTTGCCCAACCAAGGCCAATGTAAGTGTTCTGAACACATTTAAGATAGGCTAGGTTAAGCTATGATGTTTGATTGGTTAAGTGTATTAAATACATTCTTGACTTATGATGCATTCAACTTACAATGAGTTTGTCAGGATGGAACCCCATTATGAGTTGAGGATCATCTGTACACTACAATTTGTCTATCCATTTATCCACTGATGGACATTTGAGCTGTTTCTGCTTTTTGGCTACTGTGAATAATGTTGCTATGGATATTGCTGTACAAGTACCTGTTTTCACATATTTGGGTATACACCTAGAAGTAGAATTACAGGGTCATATGGCAATTTTATGTTCAGCTTTTTGAGAAACTGCCAAACTCTTTTCAACCATAAAATGGCTGAACCATTTTGTATTCCCACCAGCAATGTTTGAGGGTTCGTTTCTCCACATTCTTACTAATACTCACTTTTCTTTCTTTCTTTTGTTTTGTTTGTTTGTTTTTTGGTAAGCTAACACATCATCCTACTGGGTGTGAGGTGGTACATCATTGTGGTTTTCACTTACATCTCTATAATGATTAATGAACTTGAGCAGCTTTTTGTGTGCTTGTTGGCTGTTTGTGTATTTTCTTTGGAGAAAAGCTTATTTGTCTTTTGCCCCCCCCATCCCCACCCCACGCTTTTTTGAGACAGAGTCTTGCTTTGTCACCCAGGTTGGAGTGCAGTGGTATGATCTCAGCCCACTGTAACCTCTGCCTCCTGGGTTCAACCCATTTTCCTGCCTCATCCTCCCAAGTACCTGGGATGACAGGCATCTGCCACTGTGCCCTGCCAATTTTTGTATTTTTAGTAGAGATGGAGTTTCCCCAGGTTGGCCAGGCTGGCCTCGAACTTCTAACCTCAAGCGATCCACCAGCCTTAGCCTCCCAAAGTTCTGGGATTACCAGTGTGAGCCACCGCACCTGGCCTTTTGGCTGTTTTTTAATTGAGTTGCTTGACTTCTTGTTGATGAGTTGTAAGAGTTCTTTATTTATTCTAGATGCTATATCCTTATCAGATATATGATTTAGAAATTTTTTTATAATGGAATTTTTTTGTTTATGGTATGAGGTAAAGGTCCAATTTCATTTTTTAACATATGGGTTTCCGGTTGTGCTGTCATCATTTACTAAAGATACTAGTCTTTCCCCATTGAATGATCCTGTCACCCTCATCAAAAATTGACAGAGACTTTTGATGGCTGTGTGTGGTCAAAAATTAACAGAATTTTGATGGCTCATGCTTGTAATCCTAACATTTTGAGAGGCCAAAGCGGGAGGATCGCTTGAAGCCAGGAGTTTAAGATCAGCCTAGGCAACATAGTGAGACCTTGTCTCAACAACAACAACACAATTTTTTTAATTAGCAGGGCATGGTGGCATGCACCTATGGTCCTAGCTTCTCTTGAGGCTGAAGCAGGAGGATCAGTTAAGCCCAGGAGTTCAAGGCTGCATTGCGCTATGATCATGTCACTTCACCTCCATCCTCGTCAACAGAGCAAAACCCTGTCTCAAATAAATAAATGAGTAATAAAAAACACAGACTTTTGAATGTCTAGTGTATGCCATCAAAGGTCTTTTACACTGGAGAAACAAAATGAAATAATTTCTAATATTATTCTAGTATATGTCCTGTAAGAAGTTCAGCATCCAATCAAAGAAACAGACTTGCTATTTAACTATTAGAATGCAGTGTGAAGAATGCTATGATAGACAAATACAGCATAGTTAGGCTTACAGAAGAAACACATCCAAATCAAGATAAATATATTCCATATACATAGGAGATCTTAGGCACAGGCACATAAGCAAAAAGATAAATTAATGCAAAGTTCACATAGGTACAAAATAGTCAATCATTCATTTCTCTTTTTAAAAGAAAAAAAAGAGAAATGAATGATTGAGTCTATCGGTGGGGTTTCAGAGAAGGTTTCACAGAGTGCATGGCTTCTGAACTTGTTTCCACAGAGTATGGGTGCCTGCAGAGTAGAGGGAGCATTCCGAAGAAGGAAGCAGTAGATCCAGAGGCTAGAAGTATGAAAGTGTGGCATGTTTTATCTGGCACATAATGTCATGCTTGGCACATAACAGATACCAAATAAAGGCTAACTTAATTAATGACAGAGTGATGATTAAGTAGGGCCAACTAATCAAGAGACTGAATGTGAATGTTTATGAAAGATATTCATTCAAATAAAAACAGAAAATTTTAGATCTGTTGTAGCTTAGTTCTGATGATTAATCTTGACAGACGTATAAATAGGACTTTAATATAATTCTGTTTCTGAATAGGTAATATAGATGAAATTCAAAAGATATAATGAAGAGTAATGTGTTTACTTCCCTGACCAATATTAAATGGCAACCTTTATAATGATTTTCATTCATTCCTCTGGGTACATTACTCAAATTTTGTCTTTAATTGTGATGTGCTTCTATGTGTATGTTGTAGGGAGTGGGGAGTAGGGAAGTTAAGTGTAGAGAATCATCAGATTTTAAAACTTGAAGATCTTCTGTTCCTAAAACCTTAATTTTTTTTTATTCCAAAGGAATATATCATGGTTTAATTAAGGCAGCAGAACCAATAGAGTATTACAGAGTAAGAGATTCATTTTAGGCATAAAATCTTACCCAGTTGTAGAAAAAGCTGAGAAGTAAAGGTCCAGAAGAGGGAGTTGAAGGATCAAAGTCACAACCAACCCTCCTGAAGCACTTGACCTGGTTAAAAACTTTGGAGCTTTCAAGAACCTGGGAAACATCCGGCAGCACATCCAACTGGTGGACTGAAACCACCAGAGAGCTGATAGACATTAATGGGAGGCTGTGGCCTCTGCATCTGGGGTAAGGCCGGGAGGCTGGAGTTGCTGTTGTTCAGCAGGGTCAAGAGTCAGGAAGAAGAAGTGATCACAGAGACAGGAAAAGTGAGAACAAGCCAGAATCTGCCAGCACCTTTCCATTGGTCTTTCACTGCATTTAAAACATGAAGACTTGCAAAGAATATTGGCTATTATTTCCCTCCATCTTCCAAATGTTGTTAAGGTTCCTCTTTTGCAAAACTCTAAACTCTGAATTATTCTTAGGAAGTTGTTATAAAACAAAAACTACAGTAAACTAAATTTGAAGTGGTTCTTTGGCTTGTCCAGTGTCACAAAAAATAGAGCTATGTGTAGAACCTTGGTTTCCTTCCTCTTACTAGTCAACTACTTTTCTTCTGCTCAAGGCTCAGACCTCGTAGGCTTGTGCTAAAGTCCATTGTTAGCTAATCACTTTCTTTTTCTTTTTCTCTTAGCAACATTTTTGCTACATCTGGGTTTATTTTATAATCTGAGGAAATGTACTGATGTCTGCCATGTGCAGTTTGCACATTCAAGTGACTTGCTGCTTTATATGGATACTAGTGCTTTAGGGGGAGGTGGAAAGTTTATCTTATGATTACCTGAAAGTACCACTAAGTCTTAATTCTCCAAGTTAATATTGATATAATTTTCTCATGTATAATATTTAAAGATATAATTCTAATAGACTTTGCAAAAGTACACTTAAAAGTAAATAATTTTGTTTTGATCATAATACTTTTATTTCTTCCTATCTCTGACTTGATTTTGTTAGGTAATTTATCTTTTAAACTTCATTGTCAGAGAAATAGTTACAGCATATTTGTTTGTTAAAATATTTTTATATACACATAATAAATTACATGTAATACTCTGTGGGCTTTTTTTTTTTTACACATAAAGAATTTTAAAAATTGTTGTTACTATGTTTGCTTAGCAAGCTGACTTTGAATCTGACATGACATATTCCTAAAGTTCATCAGTCTTATACTTCTCAGGATTGGTAACATTGAATATGGGGAACTATGGCTATGTGTAGGCATTAAAATTCCTAAACCATATATTTCTAGCTTTATTTCTGAGAGATTACGACTATTCTCTGTGTCCTTAGATCTCTTTTATTTTTATTTTTGAGACTATTCCCCAAATGTTCACACCGCACAGGACCCCCAGCATAGTTTGATTAGTGATTAATCAAACATGAGATTTTTTCCAGAATTGCATCTGGAATTGTAGATAGGAATATGGAAAGAAAGAAGTTTTCTTTGTTTTAAATTTTCAACCTGAAAAACATCACTTTTATCTTACTAATTTGTGAGGACGTCAAGCTAAGACCTAAGCAAAATTTGGGCACAGTGGCTCATGCTGGGCACAGTGGTCTCTCACTACTTTGGGAGGCCAAATCTAATTCTCATACTTTGTAGGTTAATGCCTAGATTGACCTAAACCTACTTGAATGATATGATTTTATAATTTCCTTAAACCTTACCATGCCTTTACATGAAAAATGTGAATTTTTCTTCCTGCCTAAAAAGTTCCTGGAAAGTGAGTGGGAAGGCAAAAGGATTCATGTTACAACAGGAGGCAGCAGTTGGTTTTTCATGCTTAGCAGCCAGCAGATATCTTCTTCCTTACATGTTGGCTGAGAGTGTCCTGTGGCAATATAAAAAGATGGTGTAGATATAACAGGGCAGAGATCCTGTCTTGCCTGGTCTTACTCTTCTTTATATCTTAGTGTAGTTACTGACTGATATAGTAGGCACTAAAAAATAAGAAAATGTTTAAATTGTATATAATTATCATGGTAGCATACGATAAAATTTTAAAATCTTCTGTATTTTCAATTACTTTACAGTCATCTTACAGCTAAGATGGATGGATAGATAATGCCTTGATTCATTGAAACCCAACTGACCAAAGCCCTAAATAGCCAGTTTCCCTCCTATGGTGTTTTCTTCTTCTTTTTTTTTTTTTGAGATGGAGTCTCACTCTGTCACTCAGGCTGGAGTGTAGTGGTGCAGTCTCAGCTCACTGCAGTCTCCGCCTCCTGGGTTCAAGCAATTCTCCTGCCTCTCAGCCTCCTGAGTAGCTGGAATTACAGGCATGTGCCGCCACGCCCAGCTGATTTTTGTATTTTTAGTAGAGACGGGGTTCCACCATGTTGGCCAGGCTGGTCTTGAACTCCTGACCTCAGGTGATCCACCAGCCTTGGCCTCCCAAAGTAGTGAGAGGCCACTGTGCCCAGCGTGAGCCACTGTGCCCAGCCATGGTGTTTTCTTTTTAAGAGAAGGGGCCAAACAGGATTATATCAAGAATGTATTTTAAAAGCATTTGTACAACATGTAACTTTTATACATTATCCTGTATAATTCTGTGAGCACTATAACTGGTACAACAGTACATACTATTGAAGTTTACTGGTTTATTTATGAATGACAGGGTCTCACTGTGTCACTTATAGTTCACTGTGTTGTGATCATAGTTCACTGTAACCTCCAACTCCTGGGCTCTAACGATCCTCCTGCCTCATCCTCCCAAAGCACTGGATTATAGGTGTGAGCCACTGTACCCAGCCATATTATTGAAGCTTTAAAAATGAAATTTAAAAAATCTCCTGACCTTCTCTCCCTTAGTATATTCCTATCTAAATCCTCAACACAGTTTCTAATGTTCTCTTCTCTGAGAAACATTCAGCAATACCCCTAGTCGCTCCCTCTTCCATGAAGTTTTTTTTTAAGCTTTTCCTTTGAAAAGTTCTAACAAGTAAAATTAGATGACCAGCAGTTCCAGGTTATAGATATAAACAACTGGAATCAGAGCTATTATCCATTGGACATCTCAGTAAAATTGAATTAAGTTAATATTTTAATTTAGTATGCTCATAAAACTGTCTTCTAGATATTGTAATAAATAGACGTAGCACTTGTGATCTCCATTACAAATATATTAACCTTTGTTTTGTTCTTTTGTTTTGGCAGGAAAGTTTTTGTTGGTGTTTTTTTTTTTTCAAGAATGAGAATATTTTATTTTAACATTATTTAATTTTGCCGAACTAAATTTATACTGATACTTTCTTTAAATGTACCTTAAAAATCATCATTTCAAGCTGTAGTTCTTGTAGCATTGTGCACAAGATGCTTTATATGTCTTTATAGATTCTTTGTGTATGTTCAGCACCTTGAGATAAAAGATTAGGTCCCCTATTGAGTATTTCCACACCTCTCTGTACTTTCCTTATTATTATACTTATCATACCTTATGATTACTTTGTTTAGTTATCTTTCCTGCTAAACTGAATTCCGTGAGAAACAACATTATGTATCCATTTTTGCCATTGTTGTTTCAGCACCTAGCAAAGGACCTGGCACCATAGGGAGCCCTCAATCCATGTTTCTCAATTTCAGAGTAATAAATGCTATGAAAATAATATAACTGGGTAATATAATAAGAGTAATTGGGAAATTTCCTTAGATTGGAGCTCAGGGAAGGCCCCTTCTAATACCTGAATGACAAAAATGAGCTATCTGTTCAAATACACCTGGAGTGTTTCTGCTGAGAGTGTTTTAGGAAGAGCAAAGACACTCGAGTAGGAACAAGTTGAGCACGTTTAAGGGTTCATGCCTGGCTGGGAGGAAAGAAGTAATAGCAGAGGAGTTTTAGGGAGAAAAGGGCTAAATAATGAACGGTTTTGTAAGTCAGAGAGAGTTTGAATTTTATTTTAATTGCATTTGAAAGTCATTGGATAGTGCTCTTGTTGAAAAAAAAGCCTCTAAATGGATATATACCGATAACTATTATTATTATTATTATTATTATTTTTTTTTGAGACGGAGTCTTGCTCTGTCACCCAGGCTGGAGTGCAGTGGTGCAATCTCGTCTCACTGCAGCCTCTGCCTCCCGGGTTCAAGCGATTCTCTTGCCTCAGCCTCCGAAGTAGCTGGGACTACAGGCCCACGCCACCACGCCTGGCTAACTTTTGTATTTTTTGTAGAGATGGGGTTTTACCATGTTGGCCAGACTGATCTTGAACTCCAGGCCTCAGGCAATCCACCCACCTCGGCCTCCCAAAGTGCTAGTATTACAGGTATGAGTCACCATGCCTGGCCAACTATTTCATTTTTTAAGTTCCTATAGGATTTAAATTATTTATCTTTATGCCTCCCATTAATATAAACAGAAGAATATCTAGGAATAGGTTTATGTAACACATAGTTTTCCAGGTAGCAGATTGTTTATAATAAATGTTTGGGAATGTTACTGTTTTCATATTTAGGAATAACTACTGTAAGAGATGGTCTCAGGTGATAACCACAAGTTTTTTTTTGTTTTTTTGTTTTTTTTTTTTGAGATGGAGTCTTGCTCTATCGCCCAGGCTGGAGTGCAGTGGCGCAATTTTGGCTCACTGCAAGCTCTGTCTCCCGGGTTCACGCCATTCTCCTGCCTCAGCCTCCCGAGTAGCTGGGGCTACAGGCGCCCGCCACCACGCCCGGCTAATTTTTTTTGTTGTTGTTGTATTTTTAGTAGAGACGGGGTCTCACCATGTTAGCCAGGATGGTCTCGATCTCCTGACCTCGTGATCCGCCTGCCTCGGCCTCCCAAAGTGCTGGGATTACAGGTGTGAGCCACCACGCCTGGCCGATTACCACAAGTTTTAAGTATCTTCTGCTCTAGCATCTTCCATCTAAAGTTCAGCCATAATGACATACTAAGAAAATCTTTATGTTGCATAAGAATTGCTCTGTGCACCAGCCTGGGCAGCATGGCGAAACCCCGTCTCTACAAAAAATACAAAAATTAGCCGGGTGTGCAGTCCACACACTTATAGCCCTAACTACTTAGGAGGCTGAGGTACTGGGATGACTTGAGCCCAGGAGGCAGAGGTTGCAGTGAGCCAAGATCATGCCACTCCACTCTAGCCTGGGTGACAAAGACAGAGGGAGACCCTTTCTCATACACAAAAGGGAAAAAAAAAAAAAGAAAAAAGAATTGCTCTGTGCACACAGACCATCTAGCATTTCTTATTCTGACTTTTTTGGTGGAATATTTTGGGAACCTTGGTACCACTTTTCCTACTTCTGGTCTTTCATAATATGCAGTTTTTGAAGTGTGATTCTTAAACTCCTTTAGTATTTCCCACAAAGGCATACCAAAATGTATGACAGATGGGCAGAAGAACCTTAGTGTAAATATTCTGAGTCCAAGAAAGATGACCACAGCCTTTCTGACACATGTGTTTTCTTGAGTGCATGTGGCATACACCTGTGCCTTCTTGCTTAGTAACAATTTCAGAGAACTATACTTTTTTTTTGTTTACAATCTATACCTCCCAAAGCTTACTAGAACAGCTTTTGCCAACTCACATGATTATTTTTCTGTTATTTGCTTAGAACCTTAAAATAGTCAATGTTTTGTTATTTTCATCGAGGGTTTAATAAATTTCTATGGACATAATCCTCTATATTACTACATGATAGGTACAGATAATTATACCATTTCTTTGTTTATGTGGACAATATAGACATACATTAAACCATTGTTTTATTGGAGTACATCAGCGAATTATTGATTCTACAGCTCCTATAACCCTATGTGCCTTGGAATGCTGTAATCTGTTTTCTCCAGCTGAATTTAATATCTTTTCATCATCATGGGTGATGAGCAGTTTCACCAAGATATGTCTGCTTGTGGATTTCCTTGTATTTGTCTGAACCAGGACACACTGTGCTTCCTGAGTCTATGAATTCTTATATTTCATCATTTCTGGGAAAATCCTCAGCTATTTTTTCTTTAGTATTTTCTCTTTTCCTTTCTTTCTGTTCTCTCATTTTGGAATTCTAGTTATATATGTTGGACTCATCTCTCCATGTCTCTTCGTTTTCCTTTTAAACTTTGCATTTTAAAATTTATTTTAGTACATTCTGGAATTTTCTCAAATCTATATTCTAGTCTTAAGATATATCTAAATGCTATTTATCCCACCTATTATGTCTTTAACTTTAGTAACTGTATTTTTTATTTTTGGAAATTCTCTTTGGTTGTTTTTGAAACCTGATTTGCCCTTTTGAATAGTGCCTTGCTTTTTTTCTTATGTTTTTTTAATTCTGTATGTTTTTAGTAATTTTAAGCAAAATTTTTATTGTAATTTAGTATCTATTAAAATTTTATTATCAAAAGTTCTTGATAATGCTTTTGAAAATGGGATCTAATTTTCCTCTTGCTAATAAGGATTTTTATGTATATATAAAATAGTCTGTATTAGAAGCTTATCTTCAATGATCTTTTTCCCTTGAGTATCCTTTTTGTCATTGAGGACATGTTTTCTAGAGAGGTTTTGCATCTGTTTCTGACAGATGCCCCAGGGTTATCAAAATTCTGGTGCTACTGCTGTATAAATAACAGAAGGGGTATTTGAGGACCACCCAGGTAATATAAGTTAGAGCCACTTAATACATGTAGGATATTTCTCATTATTTTTAATTTTCCAGGGAGATATTTGTTTTTTCAACAAGCTCTCTTGCCAAGACAGGCAAACTTTCTTATTCTTTCCTGTTTCTGATGGGTTGATGTTTTTCTGGCCCTTCAGGGGCCCCAGATCTAGGTAGGCAGCTCATTTAAAAATCCTTGCCTTATCTCAAATACCTGTTAAACTCTGTTCCCTTGATTCATTAAGAGTGCTGACCCTCTCAATTTAATGACCCTAAGGTCATTAACAACCTCAGTTAATACTTTGTGTTTTAGTTCCTTCTTTTGAATTTTGAAACTTAGACTGTTATATGGTAAAATATTGACAGAATTTAATTCTTAATTGTAGTTATTCAGTGTTTCTTTTCTGTTTTTCTTTTGAATTTATTCCTGAAAATATTTGAATCTGTAAAGATTTTCAATGATTTTTAAAAATATTTACCATTACCTCAAATATTTACCAGAGATATCATAAAACTTAATACTATATACCAGAAAAATAATAGTTTTATAAGACTACTGACTTATTTATATTTTGTTACTACTTCTAAGGTCAAAGGTCTTTCATATTTTGTGTTACTGATTTAATTTATCACATGATGGAGAGAAATGTATAATATGGACAAGTACCCTTTTTTTCATTGCCCTTGGTTGTTAGTGTTTGCTCTTATTTGGTTCCCTGCCAACTTTTCCATTTTAAGGTATTTTTAATACATCATATATTTTAGCACTCCCCTATGAGAGCACATCAGATGTTATATGTTTCTCACATTGGTCATTTTATGGAATTTGAGCTATTAGGCTATAATTATGATGTCTCTCAGGATCTCAACCCTTCCTCTGTAGTCACAGATTTTAATACTTCTTCCGGTTACTCTCTACTCACCAGATCTCTTAATTCTTTAGAATTGACTTTCTTGAAATCCAATACTTATGTGTCATAGAACCAGATGATCCAATTTGCTTTTTTGGCAGACACCATATAGAGCTCTGCTCATTGCAAGTTTAACAAAAGACCAGAGTATTCTCTGGACTACTCTGATAAAAACAAAAAATGGTGTAGAAAGACTTGAATTTTAACTAGGCTTTTTCATGAGATAATTTATGCCAATTCTCTGATTTGAACTTTATCATTTTATGATATAAGGGAATAATAAGGGCATATTTAAAAGGAATATTAAGTTAATAGCTTGAAGGGAAATTTGAGGTATGGCTTGCTAACGAAACATAAATGTATTATTAGTTGATAAAATGAAAACTAAGAATATACGCAGTGGACTTGAAGATCTATACCAGCACAAACTTTGCTTTCTCAATAATGTTTTCCAGTTTCATCTTTTACCATGTACTTCCTTTGAAATTAATAATTTTTTTATTATTATACTTTAAGTTCTAGGGTAGATGTGCACAACGTGCAGGTTTGTTACATATGTATACATGTGCCATGTTGGTTTGCTGCACCCATTAACTCATCATTTACATTGGGTATATCTCCTAATGCTTTCCCTCCCCCCACCCCACAACAGGCCCTGCTGTGTGATGTTCCCCACCCTGTGTCCAAGTGTTCTCATTGTTCAATTCCCACCTATGAGTGAGAACATTCGGTGTTTGGTTTTTTGTTCTTGCAATAGTTTGCTGAGAATGATGGTTTCCAGCTTCATCCATGTCCCTACAAAGGACGTGAACTCATCATTTTTATGGCTGCATAGTATTCCATGGTGTATATGTGCCACATTTTCTTAATCTAGTCTATCATTGATGGATATTTGGGTTGGTTCCAAGTCTTTGCTATTGTGAATAGTGCCGCAGTAAACATACGTGTGCATGTGTCTTTATAGCAGCATGATTTATAATCCTTTGGGTATATACCCAGTAATGGGATGGCTGGGTCAAATGGTATTTCTAGTTCTAGATCCTTGAGGAATCGCCACACTGTCTTCCACAATGGTTGAACTAATTTACAGTCCCACCAACAGTGTAAAAGTGTTCCTATTTCTCCACATCCTCTCCAGCACCTGTTGTTTCCTGACTTTTTAATGATTGCCATTCTAACTGGTGTGAGATGGTATCTCATTGTGGTTTTGTTTTGCATTTCTCTGATGACCAGTGATGATGAGCATTTTTTCACATGTTTTTTGGCTGCATAAATGTCTTCTTTTGAGAAGTGTCTGTTCATATCTTTTGCCCACTTTTTGATGGGGTTGCTTTTTTCTTGTAAATTTGTTTGAGTTCTTTGTAGATTCTGCATATTAGCCCTTTGTCAGATGAGTAGCTTGCAAAAATTTTCTCCCATTCTGTAGGTTGCCTGTTCACTCTGATAGTAGTTTCTTTTGCAGTGCAGAAGCTCTTTAGTTTAATTAGATCCCATTTGTCAATTTTGGCTTTTGTTGCCATTGCTTTTGTTGTTTTAGACATGAAGTCCTTGCCCATGCCTATGTCCTGAAAGGTATTGCCTAGGTTTTCTTCTAGGGTTTTTATGGTTTTAGGTCTAACATTTAAGTCTTTAATCCATCTTGAATTAATTTTTGTATAAGGTGTAAGGAAGGGATTGAGTTTCAGCTTTCTACATATGGCTAGCCAGTTTTCCCAGCACCATTTATTAAAAAGGGAATACTTTCCCCATTTCTTGTTTTTGTCAGGTTTGTCAAAGATCAGATGGTTGTAGATACACTGCATTATTTCTGAGGGCTCTGTTCTGTTCCATTGGTCTATATCTCTGTTTTGGTACCAGTACCATGCTGTTTTGGTTACTATAGCCTTGTAGTATAGTTTGAAGTCAGGTAGCGTGATGCCTCCAGCTTTGTTCTTTTTGCTTAGGATTGTCTTGGCAATGAGGGCTCTTTTTTGGTTCCATATGAACTTTAAAGTAGTTTTTTCCAATTCTGTGAAGAAAGTCATTGGTAGCTTGATGGGGATGGCATTGAATCTATAAATTACCTTGGGCAGTATGGCCATTTTCATGATATTGATTCTTCCTATCCATGAGCATGGAATGTCCTTCCATTTGTTTATATCCTCTTTTCTTTCGTTGAGCAGTGGTTTGTAGTTCTCCTTGAAGAGGTCCTTCCCATCCCTTGTAAGTTGTATTCCTAGGTATTTTTTTCTCTTTGAAGCAATTGTGAATGGGAGTTCACTCATGATTTGGCTCTCTGTTTGTCTGTTATTTGTGGATAAGAATGCTTGTGATTTTTGCACATTGATTTTGTATCCTGAGACTTTGCTGAAGTTGCTTATCAGCTTAAGGAAATTTTGGGCTGAGAGGATGGGGTTTTCTAAATATACAATCATGTCGTCTGCAAACGGGGACAATATGACTTCCTCTTTTCCTAATTGAATATCCTTTATTTCTTTCTCCTGCCTGATTGCCCTGGCCAGAACTTCCAACACTATGTTGAATAGGAGTGGTGAGAGAGGGCATTCCCTGTCTTGTGCCAGTTTTCAAAGGGAATGCTTCCAGTTTTTGCCCATTCAGTATGATATTGGCTTGGGTTTGTCATAAATAGCCCTTATTATTTTGAGAAATGTCCCATCAATACCTAATTTATTGAGAGTTTTTAGCATGAAGCGTTGTTGAATTTTGTCAAAGGCCTTTTCTGCATCTATTGAGATAATCACGTGGTCTTTGTCTTTGGTTCTGTTTATATGCTGGATTGTGAAATTATTAATAATTTTAAATTTCAGGTAAAAATATTCTGCTAAATAACTGATGAAAGCTGGGAATACATAAAGAAGAACTAAAATAGAGGCCAAAAGCTGTTTTGGTGTCAACTTGCCCTCCAGGTCCAATTCTGGAACCTTTGTTCTCATTGTGTAGCCTTAGCCCAGTACTTGAACTTCATTTCCTTACAGATAATAATGGGGCTATTAACAGTCCCTACTTTACATACAGGATTGTTTTCAGGAAGCATTTAATATCTCACACAAAAACCTTAACAGCTGGACATGGTGGCTCAACACTTGTAATCCCAGCACTTTGAGAGTCCTAGGCAGGAGAATTGCTTGAGCCTAGGAGTTCAAGACCAGCCTGGGCAACGTGAGGAGACTCTGTCTCTAGAAAAAATAAAAATAAATTAGCCAGGCATGGTGGTACATTCCTGTGGTCCCAGCTACTCAGGAGGCCAAGGTGGGAGGATCACTTGCGCCCAGGAGATTGAGGCTACAGTGAGCCATGATTGCACCACTGCACTCCAGCCTAGGTGACAGAGCAAGACCTTGTCTTAAAAAAAAATGAATTAACATTGTTCTTAGACCTTAAAAAGAAAAGAATTCAAAGACTAAAAGGATATGCTTATGACCCTAATGAGGTCAGCAAGACAGCAGTTATCAAATAGAAGGTCAGATATTAAAAATAGGAAATGAAAAATTATTCCAAAAAATAGTAAGATTATTGGTGGTAACAAAAGTGATATGAAACTATTTGCAAGAACAAAAAGGAGTAAAAATTTAAAAATTAATTTGTTAAAAAGTCCTGGGATGATACTAATATGAAATTGCTTAATTACACCTTAATTTCTCAAGATGTTTTCATCTTTTGTAAATCTTATGGAATTGAAGTTAAGAAACGATGACTGTAAAATATGCAAATAGGCACTCTCAAAATAATAATGTAATTTTGCCATACATGTTTGTAGTACAAAGACTTGTACAAATTTAATGAAAATTGTCTTTGAAAATAATGAAATGGCTAATAATCTTTTACTCTATCTTTTAGCATACGGCGGCATCAAGAAAGGAGAGCAATTTTGACCCCCGTTTTGACAGATTTTTCTGTCCGAATAACTGGAGCACCTGCTGTCATTTTCACCAAAGTAGTTTCTCCAGAAAATTTGCATACTGAGGTTAGAACATAATTTTGATTTTATTTTAGTCTAAATAATGGAATTGCTCCTCTTTGTATGTTAGGGATTGCCACAGTTTCAGCCCATAGGACTTCAAATTAGCTCATTAATAATAATGGCTACTATCATAGCTAACATTTATGGAGCACTTTGTAGTACTCTTCAGTTATTGCTTTCCTTGTAATAACTCATTTAGTCCTCATAATAATCTTATTTGCTACTCCTCATATCCGTATTTTGTAGATGACAAAACTGAGGCATAGAGGAGCTAACCAAGCTACCCAGATTGTTATGCATACCTTAGTTGCCTCATATATAGCTACTCTTGTTGCCCTCTAGATTGTCATAAGGTTCAAACTGATCAATAGAAGAAATAATTATAAGAGGAATCTGAGAAGCTAAAGTTCTATAAAAATGAAAATTATCCTTGTTTTTATATTATTAGCTGCTAATCCTACCAATTGCATTCATACTATTTAACCTACTAGTATAAGATCAATTATTTGCAAGTTTTCACAGGATGTATGCCACCAATAAAGCCAAGTTATTTTTAGTACAAATTTTTGTGCTCTTGGGTAATGTTACGGTGACTATTTTTTTTTAATCCTGAATTGGTATACTTTTTTCCCTTTTTGTCAATACTTGAGGAATAGAATAAGAATTCTAACTAGAGTGAATGAATACAGAGAACTTGTGGAGGAAAAAATTGTTTAACCAAAAAAAAAAGGATAATTATTTCAGACATGCTGTTCTTCATGGCTTTATTAAAAGCTGCTCTAAGCTGTCTCATTTGCATTTGGACTAGTCATAGTCTCCTTAAATCCATTCCTCTGGATGATACTATAAGGGGAAGATCTGTTGGACATTTCCAAGCATTTGAACATTGTCCACATGCACATCATGACAAGAGGCAGGACTTATTAAGTGAAACTATTGTATTGGTTTTTTGTTTTGTTCTGTTTTCCTTGTCTGAACGGTTTTCCAGTGATAAATGTTCAAGTGACTAGGTTTTGCAGAACAGCACCAATTAAGTTATGGACATCTACCCAATGCTGCCAAGATTTTAGCAGTTTAAAGAAGTGAAATTAATTAGTCTAGCTGTCTTTAGCTTCAACACTCCGTTTTCTTATAAATCATTTAGAGTATATCCTTTGGAGAATATTCATACTGTGGCTCTTAGCAATTAATTGCCTGCCTAAAATTGTCTGTTTACATCTGTCTGCCCAACTAGATTATAACCTCCTCAAGAGCAGGTTGCCCTTCAAGGCCGACATTATTCTTTGTGATATTCATAGGACTCTACTATCGTACCTAGTACTTAGGAAATGCTCAGTAAATATTAGTTGGTTTGAATTCATGAACAAGATTATGCTACACAATTATATTGTTGCTACATATTGAAAACAATAATAATAGTTGGAGTTATGGAAAAGTCAAATAGGTATGAAAAGGTGAAGACTTCTTATTGTTAGTTGTGTATATCTAGCACAAGGCCCAACACACAGCAGGCCCTCATAAATATGAAATTCATCTGTTAAATTGTGTCAAGTGGCTGTGCTCACCATTTTTGCTCTTCTCCTTAATGTATGAACTTGAGTCCTAGGAAATGTCACCAAAGTAGTGAAGGTCAAATAAGTAAGAATGATAAATTATCATCTGAAAGCTATCATGTTTCTTTATCTGTATTCTACCGTTTTTGCTTCAGGAGATTTTAGTGTGTGGCCATTCCTTAGAAGTGAATATAACCACAAACCTGGACTTCTTCCTAAGTGTGGCTCAAGTTCAACTCTTACATCAGTTAATAGTAGCAAATATGACTGGACTGGAACCATCAAACAAGGCTGCAGAGGTAACTGTTACCTGATTTTGATCAGGCTTACTGCATTTGTTCCAACTTTACATTCACAGTAGGAAAACTATAATTAAGCTGACTGCTTTCTGCTTAATTATTCTGTGTTTAACTTTATTCAAAATATAGTCATAAGTCATTTTGGATTGATATTCTTTATTTTAGAAATTTGTTTGGTCTCTATTCCTCTTATTTATCATGTACCTTTGCAAAATTGCTGTGGACTGACCTCAGAGGAACCTCTGTTATATACATAACTTTATTAGCCTGCTGAAGTTCTAAAGTATGATGCGAGAATCCTGGTATAGCTTTCATTTACTCGGATACATTACAGTAATAAGGCCTCTTTTGGAAGTGAACTTTCTAAGAGTACTATGGGAATATCTTCAATAAATAACTTGTAAAGCATTTGTTTCCCATGCTCAGTGGGAAATGAATGGACACAATCATAAAAGTTGAATGCCTGCCTAGAATTTTAATTTTGATACAGTGTTCATTGGAAGCCTGTATTGTAACCACAAAGTATGTCAGCAAGAAACAAAGAAAGCTATTTGTTAGATTCTTCTCAAGATATATTTTCTTTGCATTTTGTTTCCACATTTCTCTAACATTCTGTACTTAGAATAAATATTTTATAAAAACTCAGGTGAACAAACTGTTTATATATGAAAAAGATGTTGCTTTTATTTTTGTCATGAGTTGTAAAGAAAGCTTTAAGTTCTGTTTAGTAAGAAGGTAGGAAATGAAGAGGAATTTAGGTCTCAAGTCAGCACTGTTTCCATTCTGCCACAGATTATGTATTATAACTGTGACATTATTCTTTCAGTCTTCTTTATTTTTAAAAAAATTATTTTAAAATGATAAATCTTTTATCTTTTGTAAATGATTTTCTAATGTAATCATCCTTTACTAGCCATGATATCTATTTATTCAATATCTATTGTAAAAGGACTTTAGAACTACATATTGTCCAAAATATTGAGTTTTTAAATATACATTAGGGAATCCATAAAAATGTAATTATATGACATCAAAATAAGCAAATTAAAAAATATTTCCCCATGCATTTTCGATGAGGCCTCTGAAGCAAGTTGAGTTGGATAAAAGTAAATTACATTCCTATATTATTTGTGCCAATTTTATAAATGTCTCCTGTCAAAGAAATCTAACTCTCAGATCACTGATTGTTTTAGGATTCACATAACTTAGCAAATTGGTTATTAACTATTTATCTACATACTTTTAATGCCTCTTAGGGGGATCAATTTCAGTAAATAAAGGGATACTCGGAGTTACTAACTATCCTTCCCTGAATGTTGAATCATTACTGACAATTCCGTAAACTATATAGGCATTGTTTTCTTCTGCTTTAAAAAGGTATCTGTGGCTATGTGTTTCTTCTTAGAGATCATATTACAAGTACAGATGACATGAACATTTTTAAATGGTTAAAATGGTAAATTTTATGTTATGTATATATATCACAATTAAAAAATACAGGCTATATAATGAGAAAGGACTGTTTGGACCTTTTCCCAACCCTGGTGGGACATATCTGTAAAACTTTCCGTATTTTAGAAAAGACCTACAGTGCACTGGAAGAATATGATTCAATTTTTAAATTATTAGCAGAACTCATATCTGCTAGTCTATGAATATAAAGACATTTTAGTTACATAGAATACTCCATAATAAGTCAAAGGTATATTTTGAAAGGGCTAGTTGATTGCCTTTAGTGTGGTTTCACAACAACACTACCAGAATTTTTTTTTCTTTTTTTTTGAGATGGAGTCTTGCACTGTCGCCTGGGCTGGAGTGCAGTAGTGCGATCTCAGCCCACTGTAACTTCCACCTCTCAGGTTCAAACAATTCTCCTGCCTCAGTATCCCACGTAGCTGGGATTACAGGTGCCTGCCACCATGCCCAGCTAATTTTTTTGTATTTTTAGTAGAGACGGGGTTTCACCATGTTGGCCAGGCTGGTCTCCAACTCGTGACCTCGTGATCTGCCCTCCTTGGCCTCCCAAAGTGCTGGGATTACAGGCGTGAGCCACCGCGCCTGGCCTTTCTTTCTTTCTTTCTTTTTTTTTTAACACGGAGTCTCACTCTGTTGCCCAGACTAGAGTGCCATCTCAGCTCACTGCAATCTCCACCTCCTGGGTTCAAGCAATTCTCCTGCCTCAGCGTCCCGGGTTGCTGGGATTACAGGTGCATGTCACCATACCCAGCTAATTTTTGTATTTTTAGTAGAGACGTGATTTCACAATGTCAGCCAGGCTTGTCTTGAACTCCCGACCTCAGGTGATCTGGCCCCCTCAGCCTCCCAAAGTGCTGAGATTACAGGCGTGAGCTACTGTGCCTAGCCAACAATTTTTTTAAAAATTCCTTTTGAGAACAAAAGAAAAATAGGAAAATTAAACCTGGCTAAGTTATTGGGAAAATGGAGGAAGATATACATGTTAGTATATATAATATAATCCTGATATTATAAACAACTACTATTTCATAGGAATTATGGATTAATAATAAGAATCCCATTTATCAGGTTTTCTAGAAGGCACCCTGTGAATTATAGACCAGTAAATGTCAAATCTGTTCTAAGTCCACCATCTGATACTATGTTGATGCAACATAGTTCTATAAGAAGAAATTATGTATATTTAATTATGTATAATTAATATATATAACATTAAATATATATATATATATTTCTTTTCTTTTCTTTTCTTTTCTTTTGTTTAGTAGAGATGAGGTTTCACCATATTGCCCAGGCTGGTGTTGAACTCCTGGCCTCAAGGGATCCATCTGCCTTGGCCTCCCAAACTGCTGGGATTACAGGTGTGAGCCACCACACCTGGCCTAATGTAGTATATTTTTTGAAGGTGTTAACATTTTCAGACAACCTTTGGCAATATTTATTTGAAAGATTAATTTTGGCTGGGTGCCTAGTGGCTCACACCTGTAAGTCCAACACTGGGAGGCTGAGGTGGGCGGATTGCTTGAGCCCAGGAGTTCACAATCAGCCTGGGCAGGATAGTGAGTCCCCATTTCAACAAAAAAAAATTAAAAATTAGTTGCATGTGGTGGTGTGTGCCTGTAGTCCCAGCTACTCGGGAGGCTGAGGTGGGAGGATCACTTGAGCCCCAGAGGTCAAGGCTGAAGTGAGGTGTGATGGTGCCACTCCACTCCAGCATGGGTGATAGAGCAAGAGACCCTGTCTCAAAAAAATAAAAGGAAGATTAAAAATTATTCAAGAATAATATCACTTGGGAGGCCAAGGTGCGGGCAGATCACTTGAGCTTAGGAGTTCAAGACCAGCCTGGGCAACATGGCAAAACTGCATCTCTACAAAACACACACACACACACACACACACACACACACACACACACACACACAAATTAGGCAGGCATGGTGGCATGTGCCTTTAGTCTCTGCTACTTGCAGGGCTGAGGCAGGAGGATCACTTGAACCTGGGAGGTCGAGGCTGCAGTGAGCCAAGATCACACCATTGCACTCCAACCAGGTAACAAAGTGAGACCCTGTCTCAAAAAAAAAAAAGTATAATATGATAGGGGGATTATGTATTAGTGGAGGAAACATCTATTCAATAAACAAAGGGGAAAAATGCACATATCTTTGAAACTAGAAGTGAAAACCGTAAAGTAATCTGAGGATTCTTGCCAGAACCAATATTTAATATTAATTTTAATTAAAAAGACAACTAACACATAATGAAATTTACCAGTTCACAGCCAAAATGACTGGATGATGGATTAGGAAAATTGTCTCCCACATTAAACAAAAATTTTCCAATATTTTTGCTCTGAAAAATGTGTTTTAGATGGGGTGAGGCCACTAGACCAATGGGCCTGTATTCATACTATTAGATTTTCACTGTCCCCTTCAAGTACTATAATTTCCATGATTTCTAGCTCCCAGAATATTTGGTTTCTGCCTTTAAATGAACCTTATTTCTCTATACATACAGGTTGAGTCCCCTATCTGAAAACTCAAAATTTGAAATGCTTCCCTGAGCATTTTCTTTGAGAGTCATGTCACGTTAATACTAAAAAAATTTCAGATTTTGGAGCATTTTGGATTTTGAATTTTCCAATTAAGGATACTCAACCTGCGTTATGACAGGCTGAGAAATTACATAAAAGAAACAAATTTAATATTCAAAAATCAAAATGCATTCCATATTACAAAGTACATTTCCTTCCTTATCTAGCTCGCTGCGATAGTTCACCATCCCATTCTATATTTCATGTTTCCGTGACATCTGGCTCTAGAGGACTAGTACAACAGGCACGTTATTTGGGATTCTTACATGTTAGTTCCTTGCCTTTTACATGAGGTGAGAGTCAACCTTTTGGATACCTTAACAGCCAAAGCCAAATTTACAATTCTAAGTTTACTCCCAAAACAGAGCTCCACTACTCAGCCTTGATTTCTTAACCAGTGTTTAACAGGACTGTGGTTGACACAATTGGTTTACCCTTCAGAAGGTTCTTTACCTTCTTACAAGATAGTCTTAGTCTCATAAAGGCCCAATTATATAATCATGGGCATTAGTTTATTTATTATAATATGGTTTTATTTTTATCAAATTAGTAAGTGAATTTTAACAACCAAATTTTGCTAATGAAATACATCAAAGTAGCATCAATCCCTGATACCCTCACCTCATTCTGCCCAACAGTCAGCCACTCTTTATAAGCTGTTTCTTCAAGTATTTATTTCCATATTTCTAAATAACCTGAATGGCCTATCATATCTTGATTCCCTATTACCGTATTCACTTGCTATTTGTTGTTAATAAGGGTTCTATCTCTTCTGCACTTCCTTTCTACACTTCCATCTTCCCAGTATTCTTATATCATATTCTTTTTTGTCAATCTTAATTGTCTTCATTATAAAGATGATATAAATATTGTTCATTGCTTAGTGAATTAATGTAGTGTGATAATATTTCTTGTCATTTTACTATTGAAGTTACTCATTGCCACATTTTCTTTTTTTTCTTTTTTCTTTTTTTGAGATGGAGTCTCGCTCTGTCTCCCAGGCAGGAGTGCAGTGGCGCAATCTCGGCTCACTGCAAGCTCCGCCTCCTGTGTTCACGCCATTCTCCTGCCTCAGCCTCCCGAGTAGCTGGGACTAGAGGCGCCCGCCACCACGCCCGGCTAATTTTTTGTATTTTTAGGAGAGACGGGGTTTCACCGTGTTAGCCAGGATGGTCTCGATCTCCTGACCTGGTGATCCGCCTGCCTTGGCCTCCCAAAGTTCTGGGATTACAGGCGTGAGCCACTGCGCCTGGCCACTCATTGCTACATTTTCTATTTACTCAGTTTTTTAAAAATCTCTGTCTTCCCTCTCACTAACGCACACCCCATTCCCATCAGTGGCTCTACCATAATTCCTCGCAATTTAATTTTTCACACTGTAAAACTTATCGAATAGCATCACCTCTGCTTTTCCCCCCAGAGCCATTTTTCCTGAAGTTCTTTTTCTGCCTTCTCTGTTCTGGGACTGTTAGTTCTCTAGACCTGCGGCACACTTGGCATAAAACAGCCAGATGAGAGAAGATTGTGATTTGAGGTTGGTGTAAAGAATGTTAGAGAAAAATCTAGGGAACAATAAAATAATGTGTTCTTCTATTAATATAAATTAGTAAATTGACCAATATCTTTATTCTTTCATTCTAAAATATTAAGTATTATTATTTACTACATTAAAAAGTATAATAGTATAGAAAAATGTTGTCTGGCTAATATCTACTTGGATATTTAAAGTTTTTTATGAAATAGAAAATAATGCATTGGGCTTTTTTGCTATGAACTGTCATTGAGCTTATGCCATGTGAAGTGATGGTAGAGGTTGTTTGGGGTGGTATTTTACTGTTTTAACTTAGAAATAATCAGTTTTGTAGTTGTGCTTCATTTTAGGCATAGAAATTCTTGTCTTTTAGTAGAAAGTGAAAAATTCTCCAAGACATTCTTGACCAAACTAAGGATTGTCAGAAATAATTAGAAATAGGAACTTGAAGGTAAAGAAGAAGGAAAGGGACTTTAATTGTGTGGTTGCGTAATAACAGATGTCTTCTGGAATAGAATTTCAGGTAAGATGAGGGATATAGAGGAAATGAATAACCAAAATGCATGTGGGTAAAGGGGGGTTTGAGAGAGGAAACTGAGACTGGCATGAAGGAGTATGTCGATTTTCTGGTCGGTCTTGCTGCTTACTCTCTTGAGGTAGTCATGAATGGAAAAAGCCAGATCAGAGGCTACATATTTCTGTATTTAGGAAAGGAGATGGGAATTTTGGACGATATGCATAGGGTGACCTCCTATTGGTGTTGCTATGCTGAGTATTTTGTTTCCTTTCAGAGGCACCTGGATAGACCACTTGTAACCAGGCAATAAACACAGACTCCAGTAAAATATGGATTCAAGCAGAGCCTTAAAAGGACAAGAGGGGCTGTGACGGAATACCTCAAATTTCTTAAAATCTAGGCCTGGAAAAGATATTAAGTATTTTACTGCCTATCTTCTCCAAGGGAAGGATTTCTTAGGTACATTGAACTCTCACATCTGTCACAATTTTAGTTAGGCCTTGTCAACGTTAAAATTAGTGTAATTTTCTCCTGATAAACAAGCTTGTGCTGAGACAGGAAAACACCACAGTTGCCTCAAAGTAGATGTAAGACATCAAGAAGACAATAAAATTTTAAAATTTTCAGCCCCCATGATGTTTATCCCTATAGATTTCTTTGCCAGAAATCCAGTAAATGCGTTAAGTTTTCCTCAGGCTCCAGTAAACTGTCTACGCTAGTCTTATTAGGCATTGTTCATTGAGAGCTTACTATATGCCAGATACACTGGCTACAGTCTGACAGAGGTTTGAAAAATAAGTACACTATGGTCTCTGCCCTCTAGGCTTTTATAATCTGGTTGGGAAGTAAAGCATAGACAAATGGAATGATAACTAAGAACTCAGAGCAGTATATGAAAAGTGTTAAATATACTCTATGGAAAATTAGACTTATGAGTCCAGGGAAGAAAGAGAAGGCTTTAGGCCAGGTGATCAATGATCTAGCTTCATGGAGAAGTGGAATACATAGAAAAGAGTAGCCTATTTATTTATTCAATAAATATTGAATGCCTCCTATGCGTCAAATACTATTATGGATACTAGGGTGACAGCATTAAACAAAAGAGGTAATATTTCTGCTTTCATGTCTAATGCACATATATTTAGTAGGGAAGACAGACAATAATAAATATTTGGAACTACCTCAAAATATAAATACACCTACTCGTGTGCAGAGATTATATAGCTTTACATTTTCTGTAACTGACTTAATTTTTCTTACAAGCCTAAACTTCATTTAGATTAAGGATGTTGGTTGTTAGAGAAGAGAAGCAGTAAGGGAGTATACATTAAATTTGCCATCAATAAAAAATAGTTTCAACATGGAGAAATAGCATGAATAAAGACGTGGAGGTTTCTAAGCATTAGGATTTTTTGGTAGGACAGTGAAAAAAATTAATCTTTCTAGAGTGAAGGAACTGTGCAGGGAAATAATGGAAGATACACTAAGAAGTGTATATTTTATCACGAGCAGTTGGGAACCAAAGTTTATAGACTTGAATGAATGGTATGACATAGAAGAAATGGTATTTTAATGAAATTTGTTATGCTTAGTCTTTTTTGGCAAAGGATTTGAAGTGGCATTCAATAAAACATAAAAAATGAAAACTGCAGACTAATACCTCTGGAGAATATGGATGCAACAATCCTCAACAAAATGCTAGCAAACTGAATCCAGCAACATAGAATGAATTATACACTATGGCCACATGGGATTACCCAGAAATGCAAGGTTGGTTTAATATCTGAAAATCAATTAACGTAAAGCACTATATCGGTAGAATTTTTTAAGTCATATGATTATCTCAATAAGTGAAAAAAATTTTTAGACAAAATCCAATACCCTTTCATAATAAAAACATGCAAAAAACTAGGAATAGAAGGGAGCTTACTCAACTTGATAAATCACAGTTATGAAAAACTCACAATTATCATCATAGTTGATGATAAAAGACTAGATACTTTCCCCCTGAAATCAACAATAAGACAAGAATGTCTGCTTACATCACTTCTATTTAACATTGTACTGGAAGTTCTAGTTGGAGTAGTTAATTTCACCCAGTATGCTTCCAATCCCTTACTATGTTTAACTTTATAAGCAAAAACTGATCATATGGAGGTCCTCTTACAGAATGAGAGACTCTTAGAACTGTCAGGTACTTCAGAAATTGTGTTATTTAATTGATTCATTATCATTCATTAGCCCACATGAGAGTGAAACTCTACTTAGCCTCCTGCTGCCCTCTGTGAGCCTTCTTGCACTCCCCACTCCTCTTTTCAGTGGACACAACCAGAAAACCTCAAGTATCCTCAGAGTTTGACAGAAACGGGAGAGGGTATAAGCTTGATGCCATATTAAGCTGTTTTCCATTGGATGAGGAAAGCATAGCTTCCTGTTTGTTAAAACAGGATTTCTGTTTTCTTAAAACAGTATAGGTTCCTGATTCTTAAATTTCTTCCTGATAACTTCTTCTCTTAAATCCACATGATTTTTCTGATGGAATCCTTGCTAGAAAGCCAAGTTAAGGCCTCAGAGCTGTTCATTTATTTGCCATCCACCCTTCAGAAAATTCTTAGACTGGGTCAGTCAGCAGTCTATATCTATGCACTTAACTCACTGTCCAGGGCACCCAATCATTTATAGAAGAGGAAGATTCAACATAGTAATGTCTAATACCTGAGTCATCCCGTCTTCCCAACTAGTCTAGTCCTTCTTAATGAGTCTTACTGTCTGTCCCCCTATTTTTCTGTTATGGCCTGACTTTTAATATAAGGCTGATTCTGAATCAGATTAATCAAATGCATGTTAAATTTGAGTGGTGGTTTTGTGGGGAGAGGGAAAAGATGGGCCAGTAAACCCTAAAACACAGAGCAATTATTTTGCACATCTTTGAAAGTGCTTTACAACAAATGAAGAAACAGTCTATGCTCATGGATGGGAAGAATCAATATTGTGAAAGTGGCCATACTGTCCAAAGTAATTAATAGATTGAATGCTATTCCCATTAAACTACCATTGACACTCTTCCCAGAATTAGAAAAGAAAACTATTTTTTTTATACTTTAAGTTCTAGGGTACATGTGCACAACATGCAGGTTTCTTACATATGTATACATGTGCCGTGTTGGTTTGCTGCACGCATTAACTCGTCATTTACGTTAGGTATTACTCCTAATGCTATCCCTCCCCCATCCCCCCATGACAGGCCCCGGTGTGTGATGTTCCCTGCCCTGTGTCCAAGTGTTCTCATTGTTCAGTTCCCACCTATGAGTGAGAACATGCAGTGTTTGGTTTTCTGTCCTTCCAATAGTTTGCTCAGAATGATGGTTTCCAGCTTCATCCATGTTGCTACAAAGGACATGAACTCATCCTTTTTCACAGCTGCATAGTATTCCATGGTGTATATATGCCACATTTTCTTAATCCGATCTATCACTGATGGACATTTGGGTTGGTTCCAAGTCTTTGCTATTGTGAATAGTGCCACAATAAACATATGTGTGCATGTGTCTTTATAGCAGCATGATTTATAATCCTATGGGTATATACCCAGTAATGGGATGGCTGGGTCAAATGGTATTTCTAGTTCTAGATCCTTGAGGAATCGCCACACTGTCTTCCACAATGGTTCAACTAGTTTATACTCCCACCAACAGTGTAAAAGTGTTCCTATTTCTCCACATCCTCCCCAGCACCTGTTGTTTCCTGACTTTTAAATGATCTCCATTCCAACTGGCATGAGATGGTATCTCATTGTGGTTTTGATTTGCATTTCTTTGATGACCAGTGATGATGAGCATTTTTTCATGTGTCTGTTGGCTGCATAAATGTCTTCTTTTAAAGTGTCTATTCATATCCTTTGCCCACTTTTTGATGTGGTTGTTTGATTTTTTCTTGTAAATTTGTTTAAGTTCTTTGTAGATTTTGGATATTAGCCCTTTGTCAGATGGGTAGATTGCAAAAATTTTCTCCCATTCTGTAGGTTGCCTGTTCACTCTGATGGTAGTTTCTTTTGCTGTGCAGAAGCCCTTTAGTTTAATTAGATCCCATTTGTCTATTCTGGCTTTTGTTGTCATTGCTTTTGGTGTTTTAGACATGAAGTCCTTGCCCATGCCTATGTCCTGAATGGTAATGCCTAGGTTTTCTTCTAGGGTTTTCATGGTTTTAGGTCTAACGTTTAAGTCTTTAATCCATCTTGAATTAATTTTTGTATAAGGTGTAAGGAAGGGATCTAGTTTCAGCTTTCTACATATGGTTAGCCAGTTTTCCCAGCACCATTTATTAAAAAGGGAATCCTTTCCCCATTTCTTGTTTTTGTCAGGTTTGTCAAAGATCAGATGGTTGTAGGTGTGTGGTGTTATTTCTGAGGGCTCTTTTCTGTTCCATTGGACTATCTGTTTTGGTACCAGTACCATGCTGTTTTGGTTACTGTAGCCTTGTAGTATAGTTTGAAGTCAGGTAGCACGATGCCTCCAGCTTTGTTCTTTTTGCTTAGGATTGTCTTGGCAATGAGGGCTCTTTTTTGGTTCCATATGAACTTTAAAGTAGTTTTTTCCAATTCTGTGAAGAAAGTCATTGGTAGCTTGATGGGGATGTCATTGAATCTACAAATTACTTTGGACAGTATGGCCATTTTCACAATATTGATTCTTCTATCCATGAGCATGGAATGTTCTTCCATTTGTTTGTGTCCTCTTTTATTTTGCTTAGCAGTGGTTTGTAGTTCTGCTTGAAGAGGTCCTTCAGATCCTTTGTATGTTGTATTCCTAGGTATTTTATTCTCTTTGTAGCAACTGTGAATGGGAGTTCACTCATGATTTGGCACTCTGTTTGTTAATATTGTATAGGAATGCTTGTGATTTTTGCACATTGATTTTGTATCCTGAGACTTTGCTGAAGTTGCTTATCAGCTTAAGGAGATTTTGGGCTGAGACGATGGGGTTTTCTAAATATACAGTCATGTCATCTGCAAACAGGGACAATTTGACTTCCTCACTTCCTGATTGAATGCCCTTTATTTCTTTCTCTTGCCTGATTGCCTTGGCCAGAACTTCCAACACTATGTTGAATAGGAGTGGTGAGAGAGGGCATCCTTGTCTTGTGCTGGTTTTCAAAGGAAATGCTTCCAGTTTTTGCCCATTCAGTGTTTATCATAAATAGCTCTTATTATTTTGAGATACATTCCATCAATACCTAGTTTCTTGAGAGTGTTTAGCATGAAGGGCTGTTGAATTTTGTTGAAGACCTTTTCTGCATCTATGGAGATAATCATGTGGTTTTTGTCATTGGTTCTGTTTATGTGATGGATTATGTTTATTGATTTGCATATGTTGAACCAGCCTTGCATCCCAGGGATGAAGCAGACTTGATCATGGTGGATAAACTTTTTGATGTGCTGCTGGATTTGATTTTCCAGTATTTTTTTATTATTATTATACTTTAAGTTTTAGGGTACATGTGCACAACGTGCAGGTTTGTTACATGTGTATATATGTGCCATGTTGGTGTGCTGCACCCATTAACTCGTCATTTAGCATTAGGTATATCTCCTAATGCTATCCCTCCCCGCTCCCCCAACCCCACAACAGTCCCCAGTGTGTGATGTTCCCCTTCCTGTGTCCATGTGTTCTCATTGTTCAGTTCCCACCTATGAGTGAGAACATGCGGTGTTTGGTTTTTTGTCCTTGCGATAGTTTTCTGAGAATGATGGTTTCCAGTTTCATCCATGTCCCTACAAAGGACATGAACTCATCTTTTTTTATGGCTGCATAGGATTCCATGGTGTATATGTGCCACATTTTCTTAATCCAGTCTATCGTTTTTGGACATTTCGGTTGGTTCCAAGTCTTTGCTATTGCGAATAGTGCCGCTATAAACATACATGTGCCTGTGTCTTTATAGCAGCATGATTTATAATCCTTTGGGTATATACCCAGTAATGGGATGGCTGGGTCAAATGGTATTGAGGATTTTCGCATCAATGTTCATCAGGGATATTGGTCTAATATTCTCTTTTTTTATTGTGTCTCTGCCAGGCTTTGGTATCAGGATGATGTTGGCCTCATAAAATGAGTTAGGGAGGATTCCCTCTTTTTCTATTGATTGGAATAGTTTCAGAAGGAATGTTCCCAGCTCCTCTTTCTACCTCTGATAGAATTCGGCTGTGAATCCGTCTGGTCCTGGACTTTTTTTGGTTGGTAGGCTATTAATTACTGCCTCAATTTCAGAGCCTGTTATTGGTCTATTCAGAGATTCAGCTTCTTCCTGGTTTAGTCTTGGAAGAGTGTATAAGTCCAGGAATTTATCCATTTCTTCTAGATCTCCTAGTTCATTTGCATAGAGGTGTTTATAGTATGCTGTCATGGTGGTTTCTATTTCTGTGGGATCAGTGGTGATATCACCTTTATCATTTTTTTATTGCATCTATTTGATTCTTCTCTCTTTTCTTTATTAGTCTTGCTAGCAGTCTATCAATTTTGTTGATCTTTTCAAAAAACTAGCTTCTGGATTCATTGATTTTTTGAAGGGTTTTTTGTGTCTCTGTCTCTTTCAGTTCTGCTCTGATCTTAGTTGTTTCTTGCCTTCTGGTAGCTTTTGAATTTGTTTGCTCTTGCTTCTCTAATTCTTTTAATTGTCATGTTAGGGTGTCAATTTTAGATCTTTCCTGATTTCTCTTGTGGGCATTTAGTGCTATAAATTTCCGTCTACACACTGCTTTAAATGTGTCCCAGAGATTCTGGTACATTGTGTCTTTGTTCTCATTGGTTTCAAAGAACATCTTTATTTCTGCCTTCATTTCGTTATTTACCAAGTAGTCATTCAGGAGCAAGTTGTTCAGTTTCCATGTAGTTCTGTGGTTTTGAGTGAGTTTCTTAATCCTGAGTTCTAATTTGATTGCACTGTGGTCTGAGAAACAGTTTGTTGTGATTTCTGTTCTTTTACATTTGCTGAGGGGTGCTTTACTTCCAATTATGTGGTTAATTTTAGAATAAGTGTGATGTGATGCTGAGAATAATGTATATTCGGTTGATTTGGGGTGAGGAGTTACGTAGATGTCTATTAGGTCTGCTTGTTGCAGAGCTGAGTTCTGGTCCTGGATATCCTCGTTAACCTTCTGTCTCATTGATCTCTCTAATATTGATAGTGGGGTGTTAAAGTCTCCCATTGTTATTGTGTGGGAGTCTAAGTCTCTTTGTATGTCTCTGAGGACTTGCTTTATGAATCTGGGTGCTCATGTGTTGGGTGTATATATATTTAGTATAGTTAGCTCTTCTTGTTGAATTGATCCCTTTACCATTATGTAATGGCCTTCTTTGTCTCTTTTGATCTTTGTTGGTTTAAAGTCTGTTTTATCAGAGACTAGGATTGCAACCGCTCCTTTTTTTTTTTTTTTTTTTTGCTTTCCATTTGCTTGGTAGATCTTCCTCCATCCCTTTATTTTGAGTCTATGTGTGTCTCTGCATTTGAGATGGGTCTCCTGATGAATCCAGCACATTGACGGGTCTTGACTCTTTATCCAATTTGCCAGTTTGTGTCTTTTAATTGGGGCATTTAGCCCATTTACATTTAAGGTTAATATTGTTATGTGTGAATTTGATCCTGTCATTATGATGTTTACTGGTTATTTTGCCCGTTAAATGATGCAGTTTCTTCATAGCATCGATGGTCTTTACTATTTGGCATGTTTTCATGGTGGCTGGTACCAGTTGTTCCTTTCCATGTTTCGTGCTTCCTTCAGGAGCTCTTGTCAGGCAGATGTGGTGGTGACAAAATCTCTCAGCATTTGCTTGTCTGTAAAGGATTTTATTTCTCCTTCACTTATGAAGCTTAGTTTGGCTGGATATGAAATTCTGGGTTGAAAATTCTTTTCTTTAAGAATGTTGAATATTGGCCCCCACTCTCTTCTGACTTGCAGGGTTTCTGCCAAGAGATCAGCTGTTAGTCTGATGGGCTTCGCTTTGTGGGTAACCCGACCTTTCTTTCTGGCTGCCCTCAGCATTTTTTCCTTCATTTCAACCTTAATGAATCTCACAATTATGTTTCTTGGGGTTGCTCTTCTCGAGGAGTATCTTTGTGGTGTTCTCTATATTTCCTGAATTTGAATGTTGGCCTGCCTTGCTAGGTTGGGGAAGTTCTCCTGGATAATATCCTGAAGAGTGTTTTCCAGCTTGGTTCCATTCTCGTCATTTTCAGGTACACCAATCAAACATAGATTTGGTCTTTTCACGTAGTCCCATATTTCTTGGAGGCTTTTTTCTTTTCTTTTCTCTTTTTTCTCTATCTTCAATCACTGATACCTTTTCTTCCACTTGATTGAATCAGCTACTGAAGCTTGTGCATGTGTCACGTAGCTCTCATGCCATGGTTTTCAGCTCCATCAGGTCATTTAAGGTCTTCTCTACACTGTTTATTCTAGTTAGCCATTCATCTAATCTTTTTTCAAGGTTTTTAGCTTCCTTGCGATGCATTCGAACATCCTCCCGTAGCTTGGAGATGTTTGTCATTACCAGCTTTCTGAAGCCTACTTCTGTCAGCTCGTCAAAGTCATTCTCTGTCCTGCTTTGTTCCATTGCTGGTGAGGAGCTACGATCCTTTGGAGTAGAACGGGCGCTCTGGTTTTTAGAAATTTCAGCTTTTCTGCTCTGGTTTCTCCCCATCTTTGTGGTTTTATCTACCTTTGGTCTTTGATGCTGGCGACCTACAGATGGGGTTTTGGTATGGATGTCCTTTTTGTTGACGTTGTTGCTATTCCTTTCTGTTTGTTAGAAAAAAACTTTTTAAAAATTCAAATGGAACCAAAACAGAGCCTGAATAGCCAAGATAATTCTAAGCAAAAAGAGCAAAGCTGGAGGCATCACACTACCAGACTTCAAACTATGCTATAAGGCTACAGTAACCAAAACAGCATGGTACTGATACAAAAACAGATACATAGACCAATGAAACAGAATAGAGAACTGAGAAATAAGACTGCACACCTACAACCATCTGGTCTTTGACAAACCTGACAACAACAAGCAATAGGGAAAGGACTCTCTGTTTAATAAATGGTGCTGGGAGTGCTGGCTAGCCATATGCAGAAAATTGAAACTGTACCCCTTCCTTACACCATATGCAAAAGTTAACTCAAGATGGATTAAAGACTAAAATGTAAAACCCCAAACTGTAAAAACCCTAGAAGAAAATCTAGGCAGTACCATTCAGGACATAGGCATGGGCAAAGATTTCATGACGAAGATGCCGAAAGTAACCCAACAAAAGCAAAAATTGACAAATGGGATCTAATTAAACTAAGGAACTTCTGCACAGCAATAGAAACTATCATCAGAGTGAACAGACAACCTACAAAATGGGAGAAAAATTTTGCAAACTAACCATCTGACAAAGGTCTAATATCCAGAGTCTACAAGGAACTTAACCAAATTTACAAGAAAAAAAACAACCCCATTAAAAAGTGGGCCAAAGACGTGGACAGATACTTCTCAAAATAAGACATACATGTGGTCAAGGAACATGAAAAAAAGCTCAGGATCACTGATCATTAGAGAAAGGCAAATCAAAACCACAATGAGATACCATCTCACACCAGTCAGAATGGCTATTCTTAAAAAGTCAAAAAACAACAGATGCTTGCAAGGTTATGGAGAAAAACGGAATGCTTTTACACTGTTGAGTGGGAGTATAAATTCAACCATTGTGTGAGACAGTGTGGTGATTCTTCAAAGACCTAGAGGCAGAAACACCATTTGACCCAGCAATTGCATTACTGGTTATATACCCAAAGGAATATAAATCCTTCTGTTATAAAGATACATGCACGTATATGTTCATTGCAGCACTATTCACAATAGCAAAGACATGGAATCAACCTAAATGCCCATCAGTGATAGACTGGATAAAGAAAATGTGGTAAGTATACACCATGGAATAGTGTGCAGCCATAAAAAGGAACAAGATCGTGTACTGTGCAGGGACATGGATGGAGTTTAAAGCCATTATGCTCAGCAAACTAATACAAGAATAGAAAACCAAACACCACATGTTCTCACTTATCAGTGGGAGCTGAATGATGAGAACACATGGACACAGGTTGGGGAACAACACACACTGAGGTCCATGGGTGGAGGGGTGAGGGAGGGGTGGAGAGATGGAGAATATCAGGAAGAATAGCTAATGGATGCTGCACCTAATACCTAGGTGATGGGATGATCTGTGCAGGAAACCACCATGGCACAGATTTACCTATGTGACAAACCTGCACATCCTGCACATGTACCACTGAACTTAAACGTTAAAGGAAAAAAAAATGCTTTTCTTTTGCATCAGGGGAGTTAAGAGAGAATGGAGAGAATTGTTGCAGATAAGGTCTGTTTGTTGATTTTTCTCAGGATATGAGTCTCGGGGGACATGTAAGAAAGAAAACATAGTGGTCAAGAACTTGAGCTTTGTTGTTGGAGTCCGGCAATAAATCCCATCTCCTGTGTTTACTTTCTGTGTGGCCTTGGACATGTTACTTTAATTCATGTGAGCTTCAATTTAATCATCTGCAAAATTGAGATAATAATAGTCTTCCCCAATGGGGTTGTTGTAGAGATTAATTGGGAAGCTGTTTCTTAAGCATTTTCCATAGTGATTGTTATATAATAAGAACTCAATAAAAGCCATCACCATCATTGTCATCTCATCTAGAGATCGTTAATTTTCATCTCTTTTTCTATCTACTACATTATATCTTGCCCAAGATCCTTCTCCTGTTTGCTTGATTATAGAGCATATATGACTATTGCTTAATGTTTTTGAGCTTGATTGGATAAAAGAATGATGTAATATTATGCTCCAATGTCCTATTTATCATCTGGCAGGCTTTGAAAGGGTGTCTGTTCCATAGACTTCTGTCCAGTTGATAACACAGTTTGCTCCAGCAGCTTATTCCTCAGGTAAATGAGATCTTGCTGAAACTACAGTTGATAGTGAGATGCTTCTGTAAGCACTGGGGTTTTTTTCAGGTGGCAGACTAACAGAAGGATGTGTGTATCCCACTGCTTTGCTCTGCTCACCTTGCTCTTTTCACTCAGGATTCACTGTTGACTTTTCTCAGCCATAGGAAAGGTTTACATAACCAATCTTCATGAAATCAGTTAGGACTGTTATTAATGGGTCACTGTCAAATTAATTATTGCTGAAATTTTAGCTCTTTGCAATAGATGAAGCAACTGTTAAAGCTGCATTGAAAGACACTTGCATTTTCTCCTCAAAGATTCATTATTCCCAGTGTTTCTCTTCATAAGCTCTGTATGGTTAGTGACCCATATATGACCCTCTAAAATTGTTAAGAGCTTCAAAAGTCAATCCTATATTGAGTGCCCTATATTTTTTTGAACTATTTGTTGGGGGTTACATATAGATGAAAAATGTTAAACTTTCATTAATATAAAAATGTATGACAAAGCAACAGCAATCAAGACAATATGATACTGGCATAAGGATAGACATATGGATCAATGAAATAGAATTGAGAGTTCAGGTACTAACTCTCCTGTTTATAGTCAATTGATTTTTGACAAGGTAGTCTAGATCATTCAGTGGAGGAAAGAATAGTATTTTCAAGGAATAATGCTAGGATGACTGGATATTCCCATGCAAAAGAATGAAGGAAAATGCCTAAATCATATCATATGTAACTCAAAATGGATCAAAGACCTAAATATAAAGAGCTAAAACTATAAAAATCCTTGAAGAAACTATAGGTGAAAATGTTCATGATGTTTGATTAAGCAGTGTTTTTTTAGATATGACACCAAATCACAAAAACTAAAAAGAAAAAGAATAGATAAATGGAACTTTAAAAACCCTGAAGCTTTTATGCTTCAAAGGACATCACCCAGAAAGTGAAAAGACAACCCATAGAATCAGAGAAAATATTTGCTAATCATATATTTGCAGAATGGGAGAAAATATTTGCTAATCATATATTTGATAAGGGACTTCTATCTAGACTGTAAAAAGGACTCTTATAACTCAGGAATAAAAATGCAAATAACCCAATTTTTAAATGGGCTCAAAGAATCTTAATAAACATTTCCCCAAAGATGTTGTAGAAATAACCAATAAGCACATGAAAAGTTTCTCAGTATTATGAACCATCTAGGAAATGCAAATCAAAGCCACAAGAAAACACCACACTGACTAGGATGGCTACAGTCAAAAAAAGTCAAATAATAACAAGTTTCGACAAGAATGTGGAAAAATTGGAACCCTCTTACACTGGACCAGAATGTTTACCTACATAACCTACTGCTCCAGTGACATTTGGGGCACATTTGCAAAATTCTGAGAGTTGAATAGATCAGCATTTGACAACTACTGCACTAAAGTATCTTCTCTGAAAAGAATTTTGCTGTAAGTTCTTTTTTTTTTAAACAGAAACTATCATGTTTTGGGTTACATAGCTCCCCAACTGGAGCCTAGAGTAGCTAAGACGTGGTACTTCTGATTAAAGACAGATACATACGCTTAGGAAACCAGATGGAAATGGACAAGTTAGCAGAGAAGTTTATTGTGAAAATAAGGGTTAGAACATTTCACTTGGAGACTGTTTTAGCTGCATGTCACAGACACTCAAAATAGATATGAGTTTCTTTTTCTCAGGTAACAGTCCTTAGGTCAGTAGTCTAAGACTGGTATAGTGGCTCTGCTCCCTAAGGTCAATCAGAGACCCTGTCTCCTCTCTTGTTGTTAATTTATCATCTCTGAGGTATCTCACTGGCTTGGTCCAAGATGGCTTACCATGTCTGTGTTATAAGCAGCAGATTAGAGCATAGGGGAAATGAAACAGAAAGTAGGGACCCCTCCCTACAAGGACAAACTCTGACGTTGCGTGTAGCAGTTATGCTCACATTCCATTGGTCAGAATTTAGCCATGTCGTCACACCCAGCTCCAAGTGAGGCTGAGAAATGTAGTCTTTTTTCTTTTATTCTGCCTGTATAATTGCAGAATAGAAATATAGTATTTTACATGTGCCCTGCTAAAAATTGTTTTTCTGCTGTGTGCCCTGCTAAAAATTATTCTACTATGAAAGTAGGTGACAACAGATATTGGAGTACAACCAGCATCCGTAGCTAGAGAGTCTTCAGGGTTACCTGGTAGGCAGTCATGATATTCCTCAGAAAGCAGCTTTGGTTCTTCCTCAATACTTCGAACATATCCTCAAATAGATCCTAAAGTTCTATATCATATAATATGTCAGAAATAGTGTTAGCTTGCAAATTGTTCAGTACGTCTATAGTGACAAATATTGTCTTTTCCTATTGGTTCTACCCCTCTTCATCTGACGATGAACTCCCTTTTCTTTAGGTAAACAATAGTTTCCTATTCCATTGTGGTTTTGATGGGGCTTCCCATTATAGGGTCGCCCTGTGACACTGGCCTGGCCAATTGTTGTACTCCATCCTCCTGACATTTACTGGGTGATCTGATCACAGGGCCCAGACAAGGATAGTGTTTCATATGAAGACAGTGAGAAAGGTAAACTGTCTTTCCTGTAGTTAAATAAGTTTAGGTATAATACTGAAGCTTTCATTGTTCATGCTCCATCCTTCTTTACCACTGTCGTATGAAGAAAACCTGTCAGTGTTAGAGAGAGAAAAAGAGAGAAGGAGCCAAATGAACAGAAATAAGCAAACTTGAGAGACAAAGTCTTGATGACATCATCTGATTCCCTTGACACAGTTCTGGTCAATGAGGTGTAAAGAGAAGTGTTCTACAGATTTCTGGGAAAGTCTTTACTTTCTTTCTCCTCCTCCTCCTTGGAATAACAGTGATGGAAGTGACCAGCCACTTGTGACCATGTGATGACAAACAAGAGGAGAAAACACAGTAAGGATAACAAAGTGGACAGAGAAAATGGTCCTAAGATATCAGTGACATCATGCAGCTACTGCACCAGCCCTAACTTTAGGTTATGTGAGCAAAATAAACCTAAACAGTTAAGTCGTTGGTATTTGGCTCACTATTACATAAAGCCAAGCACAATCCTTACTGATCAGATGTTCTTACAGTATTCTAAGTCTGAGATGATAAAACCCAGGGAAAATACTGAGCACACAATGGACTTCAATGCTGAATAAATACTTGCTGAGTGAATTAATAAATGGATTCCTGAATTCATAGTAATTCTCATTTCTGTTCCTAGAAGTAGAAAAAATAAGATGTATACAACATATACTTCAAAAGAATTGGAAGAAATTGTTGGCTAACTCCATGTTTGAGGGAGACAGATAGGTTAAGTACATACCATGGAGTGCTTTGAATATCAGATTGAAATGTTTTGCTTAAGTCAGTGAGCAATAGAGAGAAGTTGGTGTTTGTGCAGCTAGACAATGACTTAAACAGGTGTGCCTGAAAGTTCAGATCCGTTTTAGTCTGAAGCTCTCAGTTGTGCTCCCACATCGATAATAGTCATCTGTAATTATGTGATCTTCAAACATAAATATTATAGTTACATTTTACCTGTTGTATTATAATGAGGACCTATTATCTCATTATTTAGTAAGGAAATATCTGTACTATGTAGTATCACCCATTGTTTTCAGAAGCTACAATTGTTATTGATTATATAGAAGGGCGAGAGTGCTGAGATTGCCCTGGGTTACGTTCATTTGGCTGCAGTAATTATTCATTTATTCCTGAATAGCAAGTAATCATCTTATTAAGTCTACTTACAGAGGTAGTGTATGTAAAGACTAACACATGCTCATTTTCAAATCAGTGATTCAGAATAAATAAAACTTTTGTAGGAAAATATAAACCATGTTTTTAGGGGCAAAGAATAGAACCACATCATTGGAGATCTGATGTGGGAGTTCTTTGATCTCTGCACTACATATCCTGGAGAAGAAAATAAAGACAACTTATAACACTAATTGAGCATTCCTTCCTTTGCCTTCTCCCCTTCCTCCTCCTCCTCCACTTAACCACTTGGTTTTAGGCACTTCCTTAGCCCTCCCTTCCCTTCAGTCCCCAGTGTAGATCCACTTGGTAACCTGTCCATGAATGTTTGGTGCCTGTTCTTATGCTGTCTTTGATAGTTAAAAATTATGATTTTTTAAAGTAAAATCTCATTTGCAAAAAAAAAATTACTTTAGCCAACATAAAATATACAGTACTTAGTTCACCATTTCTAAACATTTCTAAAGTAGTGGTTATTTCTATCCAATGTAAAGTTTCCCTTTCCCCAGACTTTTTGCCATTATTTATTGTATTTGACTTCTCTACAACTATCTAAAGAATAAAGAACTACATAAAACACTATATTCAACTCTCTATGAAGCATGATAAATTTACATTTTTTAAAATATTGTACTCAAGCTGGTAAGAACAGGTAAAACTCCCTTTGCTCCAGCTACATCTCCATCTCAGTCAGCCCCTGTCCTCTCAAGGTTACTATTAATATCTGCCTTCCTGTCTCCCCGGGCCTCTCCCATCTACTCCTCTGTAATTTCCATTTCTTCCCATTCATGCTAAATTATGTCATCTCTCTGACCCTGAATTTTCTCTTGAATAATTGTTTTTTCCTCACCTACTGTTCTCTGATTTCTAATGCTTTTAATACCATGTACTTGTGACACACAAAAATATTTGTGCAGAAGGAGGAAAGTCCTAGGAAAATCGGTTCTAACTAATTTATGATCTTTTCCAAGTAAAAATGTGACAAATGAGCAGGCTGTTCAAAATAATTAAGGGTCCGTGGTTTGCTTGGTTTCCTATCTGAGTTTGTACTTTTCTAACAAGCAACTTCTGGGCTTTTGGTTACTATTACATAAAGGAATAGACTTTTAAGAAAAATTAACATTAGAGCCATGGAAGTGTATATAATTCTCATCTAAGATTTCAGACATTTTTAGATTGCTTATTTCTAGAACTTTGGCTCTTCCTCAAAGGTTTTCCACAGCAAATGACTTAAAATCCTCTCAGATAATAGAGGAATAAAAAATAAACACCATGGCTTAAACCCCGTAATCTTCCTTCTACATTTTTTAAGATTCTCGGACTTTAGCAAATGCCACAGGTGGCCCCTCACCATTCTTTCTGAAGACTGGCCCATTTAGTAGTGTACCTTTGAGAGACAAAAAATACACTGGGGAGATGGAAGGCTTTGATGATGCTGGTGGTTACCCAAATGTATACATTTGTCCATGCCCATTCAACTGTACATTTTTAAAGGGTGAATTTTATTGTTTACAAATTATACTTCAGTAAACCTAGCTTTAAAAATTGTTGGGCTACTCAGTGCAGCTTTTGTCAGAATGTGTATTACTTAGGCAACTACCCAGGATCCATAACACCATAACACCAGCTAACATATTGGGAACTCACCCTGTGTGAGACAGTAGTCTAAGTGTTTTATATAGGTTAACTCCTTTAATCTTCATAATCACTCTCTGAATTTGGGGTTACTTTTCAGATTGGATAGATATGGAAACAAAGTCTCAAGGAAGTCCTGTAACTTGTACCTAGCTAATAATTATCAAAGCCAGGTGGGCAGGCACACTCTCTCACATACACACCCCACTTGAGAATATATTGGTTAGAAGCACTACAGTTTAGTGACCTAACCGGTATGGATGTGGGTGTTCTTAGGGTCAGTTAAGCAAAAATGAGGCTTTACAAGGCCTTAATTGTCCTTGTATATAATTTGCATTTTATTGAATTGCAATGGTAAGCCATTGAAGAGTCAAAAACAAGAGAATGACATGATCAGATTCACATTTGGAATAGTGGCAGGTGGACTAGGCAGGGAGACCCAGCATGGTAATCTCCTGTAGTAATTCAGATAACGAAAGCATAAATTGAAGCACTCATTTGGGGAAGAGAGGAGAAAAACCAGTAATGGGCTAACTTTGCATTTGCCTGAGAGGCAGTGTCTCAGCACATGTATTGAAGCAGAGCGAGTGCTGGAGAGCTTTCTTTCTCCAGCTGTTCCAAATTGGATAACAAAAGGCAATGACTCTTCTGTTTACATGTTTGCTTGTAGGCATCAGCTATTCCTAAACTGGAAGGCCCCTGATTGGCATCTCCCTGCACTTTGCAACTTTATTGAACTCTTAACCAGCTCACTGTTTCCTTTATACCCTAAATAAAAATGTTAGACTGGACTATTGTCTTTTTAAAGTTTCAAGGAGAAGCTTTTTATTTGTTTTACTGGTTTCCTTTTTTTAATTTTTTTTATTATACTTTAAGTTCTGGGATACATGTGCAGAACGTACAGGTTTGTAACATAGGTATACACGTACCATGGTGGTTTGCTGCACCCATCAACCCATCATCTACATTATGTATTTCTCCTAATGCTATACCTCCCCTAGCCCCTGACCCCCCAACAGGCTCCAGTGTGTGATGTTCCCTTCCCCGTGTCCATGTGTTCTCCTTGTTCAACTCCTACCTATGAGTGAGAACATGTGGTGTTTGGTTTTCTGTTCTTGTGTTAGTTTGCTGAGAATGATAGTTTCCACCTTCGTTCATGTCCCTGCAAAGGGCATGAACTCATCATTTTTTATGACTGCATAGTATTCCATGGTGTATATGTGCCACATTTTCTTTATCCAGTCTGTCATTGATGGGCATTCAGGTTGGTTCCAAGTCTTTGCTATTGTGAATAGTGCTGCAATAAACATACGTGTGCATGTGTCTTTATAGTAGAATGATTTATAATCCTTTGGGTATATCCCCAGTAATGGGATTGCTGGGTCAAATGGTATTTCTGGTTCTAGATCCTTGAAAAATTGCCACACTGTCTTCCACAATGGTTGAACTAATTTACACTCCCACCAACAGTGTAAAATTGTTTCTATTTCTCCACATCCTCCACACCGTCTGTTGTTTCTTGACTTTTTAATGATCACCATTCTAACTGGCCTGAGATGATATCTCATTGTGGTTTTGATTTGCATTTCTTTAATCACCAGTGATGATGAGCTTTTCTTCATATGTTTGTTGGCTGCATAAACGTCTTCTTTTGAAAAGTGTCTGTTCATATCCTTCGCCCACTTTTTGATGGGGTTGTTTCTTTCTTGTAAATTTGTTTAAGTTCTTTGTAGATTCTAGATATTAGCACTTTGTCAGATGGGTAGATTGCAAGAAATTTCTTCTATTCTGTAGGTTGCCTGTTCACTCTGATGATAGTTTCTTTTGCTGTGCAGAAGCTCTTTAGTTTATTTAGATCCCACATTTGTCAATTTTGGCTTTTGTTGCCATTGCTTTTGGTGTTTTAGTCATGAAGTCTTTGCCCATGCCTATGTCCTGAATGGTATTGCCTAGGTTTTCTTGTAGGGTTTTTATAGTTTTAGTTCTAAAATTTAAGTCTTTAATCCACCTTGAGTTAATTTTTGTATGAGGTGTAAGGAAGGGGTCCAGTTCAGTTTTCTGCATGTGGCTAGCCAGTTTTCCCAACACCATTTATTAAATAGGGAATCCTTTCTCCATTGCTTGTTTTTGTCAGGTTTGTCAAAGATCAGATGGTTGTAGATGGGTGGTGTTATTTCTGAGACCTCTTTTCTGTTCCATTGGTCTATATATCAATTTTGGTACCAGTACCATGCTGTTTAGGTTACTGTAGCCTTGTAGTACAGTTTGAAGTCAGGTAACGTGATGCCTCCAGCTTTCTTTTGCTTAGGATTGTCTTGGCTATGCAGGCTCTTTTTTGGCTCTCACCACTCCTATTCAACATAGTATTGGAAGTTCTGGCCAGGGCAATCAGGCAAGAGAAAGAAATAAAGGGTGTTCAAAGAGGAAGAGAGGAAGTCAAATTGTCTCTGTTTGCAGATGACATGATTGTATATTTAGAAAACCCCATTGTCTCAGCCCAAAATCTCCTTAAGCTGATAAGCAACTTCAGCAAAGTCTCAGGATACAAAATCAATGTGCAAAAATCACAAGCATTCCTATACACCAATAATAGACAAACAGCCAAATCATGAGTGAACTCCCATTCACAGTTGCTACAAAGAGAATAAAATACCTAGGAATCCAACTTATAAGGGATGTGAAGGACCTCTTCAAGGAGAACTACAAACCACTGCTCAAGGAAATAAGAGAGGACACAAACAAATGGAAAAACATTCCATGTTCATGGATAGGAAGCATCAATATCGTGAAAATGGCCATACTGCCCAAAGTAATTTATAGATTCAATGCTATCCCCATCAAGCTACCATTGACTTTCTTCACAGAATTACTGGTTTTATTTCCAAATATGAAAAAAGACAAGCATGTTGAAATGTCAGTGGGAAGAATCCAATTGAAAGAGAGATTGGAATTTATTGGAATGAGAAGGAAAAAATGATACAACGACATTCCTAAATTAGTGGAGAATTGTATGTCCCTAAAAAAGGCAGAGAGGTTAACATTAGGATGCAGGATATTTCTTCTAACATAACCGAAAGTAAGAGGGAAGATCACCACAGATGCAAGTGCAGCACTTCCCTCTTATCTGTGGGTGATACATTCCAAGACCCCCAGTGGATGCCTGAAACTATACATAGTACCAAACCCTGTTTATCCTATGTTTTTCCTGCACATACATATCTATGATAAAGTTTAACTTATAAATTAGTCACAGTGAGAGATTAACAGTAACTAATAATAACTAATAAGATAGAACAATTATAACAATGAGCCAGCATCATCATAATGCTTGTCCTTTAGGGCCATTATTAAAATAAGGGTTACTTGAACACAGCACTGTAGTACAGGAACAGTTGATCTGATCATCAAGATGGCTACTCAGTGAATAATGGGCGGGTCATATATACCACATAGATACACTGGACAAAGGGATGATTCACGACCCAGGCTGGATGGAGCTGGAAGGTGTGGGAGACTTCATCACACTACTAAGAATGGCATACAATTTAAAACTTACGGACTCTTTATTTCTGGAATTTTCCATTTAATATTTTCAAAACCATAGAAAGTAAAACCATGGATGAGAGAGGACAATGGTAGATTCACAGGTTTTGTTAATAGGTATTTGAAACATGCCCATTTGATGATTTTTTCCTCTGTGAACTAAGATGTAAGGCCATCTATTAAGGAATAAGTAGGGCTTACAGGTTTGAGATGGGTGGCAGGAACCTGCTTATTCTATTTAAATTTTAACTTTTAGCCTAGTAAATATAAATCAAAATCTAGAAAAATACTTACAAATAATGGTGAAATATAAAGATTTCTAAAATTTAAGACTGGAGGCATAAAAACACAATGTAAATTCAGGCCACAAGGACTGAACCTCAAATTTGGCTCTAAACTTCTTGGCAGCCCAAAAAAGAGGTAGATTCAGTTACTAATAAATCGCTTAAGAGTTTACTAATTTTTGGAATGTAGCTCTTTTAAAATTTTTAATATTAGAATGGTCTTAGATTTACAGAAAAGTTATGGAAATGGTATAGAAAGTTGCCTTATATACTGTACCCAGTTTCCCTTCTTGTCAACATTCTACAATAATATGGTACATTTTCACAACTAATGAACCAACAGTGATACATTATTATTAATTGCAGTTCATATTTTATTTGCATGTTCTCAATTTTTGCTAAAGACACTTTACTAACATCCTTTTTCTGTTCCAGGATCATCCTGGATACCACATTACGTTTGGTTATGTCTCCATAGGTTCCTCTAGAATACGACAGTTTCTCATAGTTTCCTTGGTGTTTTTTTTTTTTTTTTTTTTTTGAGACAGAGTCTTGCTCTGTCGCCCAGGCTGGAGTGCAGTGGCATGATCCCAGCTCACTGCAAGCTCCGCCTCCCGGGTTCACGCCATTCTCCTGCCTCAGCCTCCTGAGTAGCTGGGACTACAGGCGCCTGCCACTGCGCCCGGCTAATTTTTTTTTGTATTTTTAGTAGAGATGGGGTTTCACAGTGGTCTCGATCTCCTGACCTAGTGATCCACCCGCCTCGGCCCCCCAAAGTGCTGGGATTACAGGTTCCTTGGTTTTGATGAGCTTGACGGTTTTTAGCAGTACTGCTCAGATATTTTGTAGAATGTCTTTTAATTTGGATTTGTCTGATGTTAAGGGAGGAGTATCTACATAAATCACATGGAATTCTTCTGTTCAAGGGATTTGTCTATTCTCCTTCATATAGGATACGTGTTATAAATAAAACATTTTATTGAAAGATGTGTCTTTAACTCTCAAAAACATTTAAAAATCGGTTAATAGTACAGATTGCAACTGTAATTAATTCCTTCTATGCCAGGCATTTCTAAGTCTTTCAGAGCTTTAGTCTTTTCATTTGCAATATGTGAGATTTGCACTATGTTATTTGGCCTTCACCTCCCTTACTAGTCTTTCATTAGTGATGTTGATGACCTGAGGGAAAACCCATGACTGACCTCCAGTGGTAATATGTGCTGTGGTCCAAGAAATAAATGCCTATTTGTTGACTTGAGATGAGTTGGAGCAACTAGGTAGTTAAGAAAAAGTAGCACAGATAGACTGCTTCTAATTGTTGATAGTTCATGAAAAGTTTCAATTGTCTATGAAACGACTAGAGAAGTTTCTTTCTAGAAGTAACCCATAAATGTCTCTTTCTTCTAATTTTGTGAAATTTGAGCCATTTGGTAAAAAAAAATGAGTCTAAACACTCTATTCTTCAATCTATAGATAACTCTAATCCTAGATATAATCATTTCATAAATGTTTCTCCTGCTTAATTTATCTCCTCAACATTTTAGAAGAGTTTTGGCAGTCATTAATTTTAGTTCTAAAATATTTTCTGAAATTAACTTCCCATCATTCTAGTTTTTTCCTCAGGCATCTCTCTTTTCATGGAGCCATATTCACATAAATTCTAAGATCTTTCCCTTTCAATAGCCTTGGAAGATATTTGTGAATCTTTGGAATGTGGGTGTCTCTCTATCTGTGATAATTCCTCTAATATTGCTTTTAGCATTCTCCAGGGCAGGTGGGTGGATCTAGGTTCTCTGGGGCCTGAAGTTGGTCCTTTTTAAAAAGAATACAAATTATAATTACAAAATTAGGTTCAGGGTCATAAAATGGCCTGTGCAAGTAAGAGGCCTTGGAGCTGAAACTTTTTTTGTTTGTTTGCTTGTTTGTTTGCTTGTTTTGAGACAAGGTCCCACTGTATCACCCAGGCTAGAGTGCAGTGGTGCAATCTTGGCTCACTACAACCTCTGCCTCCCAGATTCAAGGGATCCTCCCACCTCAGCCTCCTGAGCAGCTGGGACTACAGGCGCATGCCACCAAACCTGGCTAATTTTTGTATTATTTTTTTTTTCGGTAGATACGGGGTTTTGCCATGTTGCCCAGGCTGGTCTCAAAACTCCTGGGCTCGAGTGATCCACCTGCCTTGGCTTCCCAAAATGCTGGGATTATAGGCATGTCCAGCAGCCCGGGCTGAAACTTTTTTAATATTTTGGTAAATCTTCCTCAAACAGCCTCAGGTGAAAACTGACATTACTATTATATTCGTGTTCTCTTGCTGCTATAGAAATTATCACAAACTTAGTGGTTTGGAACAGCACAAATTTATCTTTCAGTTCTTTCAGCAGTCTGACACAGATGTCTCACTGGACTGGAATCTGGATATCAAGCCAGATGTCAGTCCCATGTGCTCTGGAGGCTAAGGCTGAAGGATCACTTAAGCTCAGGAATTCAAGAGCAGCCCAGACAACATAGCAAGACTCAGTTTCAAAAAAAAAAAAAAAAGAAAAAAGAAAAAGAAAAAGAAAAAAAAGATGTCAGCATGGCTTTGTTTGCTTCAGGAGGGCCATAGGGGAGAATCCATTTCCTTGCCTTTTGTTTTCTTTTTCTTTTTCTTTTCTTTTTTTTTTTTTTTTTGAGACGGAGTTTCACTCTTGTTTCCCAGGCTGGAGTGCAGTGACGTGATCTCAGCCACTGCAACCTCCGCCTCCCAGATTCAAGCGATTCTCCTGCCTCATCCTCCGAAGTAGTGGGATTACAGGCATGCGCAATCACGCCCAGCTAATTTTGTATTTTCTAGAGGCTTCCTGCATTATATGGCTTATGGTATTCTTCCTTCATCTTCGATGCCAACAGTGGCAGGTCAGGTTCCTATATTGTATTAAATATGTCTCTGACTGCTCTTCCATCATTACATGTCTCTTTAAGCACAGGAAGGAACAGTTCTCAGCTTTTAAAGACTTGTGGTTAGATTGGACCTACTTGGATAATTAAGGATAATCTCCCCATTTCAAGATCTATAACCTTAATCACTCTGCAGAGTTCCTGCTGCCATGTAACCAACAAACCTTCAATTTGTAAAAAACACAGTATCTGTGAAGCACAATAAAGCCAAATGCAATAAAAAGAGGCCTGTTTATGTTAGTAAAAATGAAAGAGAAAGTATATAACCTTCCCTCTTTTCCAAGAGAACATTAAACAAAATTATAAAATCTTTGTGAATACCCAACATTGTAACTATTTCCGGAGCTCCTTGATGAAAATTGTTTCATTTCATTGGTCTAGAGAGATAATCTGGATAGATGGAGCCCAAGATTAATGACCAATGGTAGTTTATCTTATGCATCTAAGATACCATGTGTATTTTAAAAGAAAACTTTAGTCTCTTAACTCCTCTCCCACACGTAAGAAATGTGGTAGTTTCATACACTGTTGGGCCTAGACCTGTTTCAGATTGTCCCAGGTATTTCCCTCACTCCCATTACCCTATGATTCTTTTCAGTTAAGTGTCTTTAAGAGATGGAAGCTCAAAAGTTAATAAGAGAAAGTCTATTGAATTATATATAGGTCTAGTAGCAGGTCATATACAATTTGTATTATCGATTTTCTCACATAAAAGAACTCTAGAACAATGGTTCTCAAATTGTTTAGTTTCAGAATTCCTTTACAGTCTAAAAACTTGAGGACCACAGGGAACTTTTATTTATGTGGGTTGGCTATAACTCATTACTGTTTATTAGCTATAACCTAATATTTACCATATAAAAATTAAAATGGGACATTTAAAAATATTAATTCATTTAATAAATATTAATAAAAATGCCTTAGATGTAAACATAAATAACAGTCATATTTCCAAATTATAACAATTATATTTTTCAAAACAAAAACAATCACTGGCATTTTCTCAAATTTGTGTGAATTTCTTTAATGTATGCCTTAATGAAAGACAGCTAGATTCCTTTATTTGCTTCAGTCTGTTGTAATATTTGTTTTGGTTGAAGCATATGGAGAAAATACAACCTTACATAGATATGTAGTTAGAAGAGAGAGTATTTTAATAACCTTAAAGATAATTGTGGATATTCTTCCTTGATAATGCATTAAAACTCAACCAGTGGTAGTATATTTTTTAATCTACTTTTTTTTTTTTTTTTGAGACAGGGTTTCACTTTGTTGCCCAGGCTGGAGTGCAGTGGTATGATCGTGGCTCACTGTAACTTCGATCACCCATGCTCAAGCCATCCTCCTACCTCAGCATCCCTAGTAACTGGGACCACAGAGACATGCCACCATGCCCAGCTAATTTTTTTTTTTTGTAGTGACAGAGTCTTACTCTCTTGCTCAGTCTAGTCTTGAACTCCTGGGCTCAAGTGATTCTCCTGCCTCCTCCCAAAGTGCTAGAATTATGGGGGTAAGCCACTGCATCTGGCCTATCCACATTATTGACTGAATTTGTTAAACAGCTTTGTTGAAATACAATTCACACATCATACAATGTGCACATTTAAAATGTACAGCTGTATGACCTTTATTATATTCAAAGTTATTTAGTCATCACCACAATTTTGGAATAATTTTAACAACACATTCAATTTTATAATTTTTTTCACACCAAAAAGAAACCTCATAACTACCCCCAATTTCCCCATCTCCTCCACTGCTAGGCAACCACTAACATACCTTGTTTCTCTATCTATTTGCCTATTCTGGGCATTTGATGTAAATGGGGTCATATAATATGTGGTCCTTTGTGGCTGGCTTCATTCACCTAGTGTAATGTCTATATTATTCCTCTACGTTTTAGCCTGTATCAGTATTTACTTTTATTGTTGAGTAATATTTTATTGTATAGATATATACCATAGGTGTTTTTTAAAAATATATATATATTTATTAGGTGATGGACTTTTGGGTTGTTTCCACCTTTTGGCTATTATGAATAGAGTTGCTATGAACATTCATGTGCATGTTTTTGTGTAGACATGTGATTTCATTTGCCGTAGGAATATACTTAGAAATAAAATTGCTAGATCACATGGGAAGTCCTTGTTTAACCATGGTAGTTTCTTAAAGGTTAGTTGCAAAGTGAAATCGGAAACCATGACAACAGACTTTTCTTATTCTGTTATGTTATAGTTCATTGGTTTCTCTTGACTTAGAATGAATCTTTCACCCATGCACGATTTTGTAACATTATATATTAGTCATAATAGTCATTTGGAAAATATTTGTTTAGTTAGTTATGCAGATCTTCCAAAAGTTTATACATTTTATTACACAATATCAAAATTCACATTGGTTAATATTACCACTGATTTCATCAGAAAAACCTAAATATTGGGAATTTTATCAGGTTCATAATGACTCATTTTAGTTTTCAAAAATGCTAATTTTTGCTTAAAAGCTTAAATTTTATCATTGGCAACAAACGCTATCTATAGTTTTCCTTGAAGTAACAGGCCCGCTTTGTTCATTGTAGAGAAAATGTTTGTGAAGTACCCAATTTGGAGGAACTGTAGTTTTGTCAGTTCCTCAAACAAAAATGCTTTTCCATAAAGAAATCAGTTAGTACAGCTTGCAGTTTAGTTGCACATCTGCTTTTCCTTGAGGCTATCATTTTGTGGTATGCAGCAAAAATGTCTTATGTGTACTTCCTATTTCATTGAACTGAATATTAAAAAGATGTTTATTAATGGGTCAGGATTTAATAAGATGAATAATTTTTGCTGTTTCATTAAGAACATCCTTAAATGAAACTTACTTAGTTTGCTTCTTACCGCAAGTGTATGGTCAGAAGGATTCAGCAAGAAATAGCTGTTTTCATGCTACTGCCTGGATTCATGCTAAGGCACTCAGTATTGCTCTTGCACCATCAGTGCACATGTCAACAGGGTGAAAAACACAAGCAGTGCCTTAGAATTATTATGAAATTAGTTTTGATGTTAAACGGTCCTTAATAGGGTCTCTGGGACCTCGGGGGATCTGTGGACCATGCTTTCACAAATGCTCCTCTCACACACCCAACTTTCTGTCCCTGTTTCTTTTTTTCTAAAACTAATATTTCCAGAAATGTTAAGATTAATGGAAAGTCATTTGTCATTTTGAGTAGAAACAAATATATTTTTGTTATCTTGGAATATGCTGTTGTTTTGATCATATTTCTCCTGTTTAATTCCTCAAGGATCTAGAACCAGAAATACCATTTGACCCACCAATCCCATTACTGGGCAAATACCCAAAGGATTATAAATCATCCTACTATAAAGACACATGCACACATATGTTCATTGCAGCACTATTCACAATAGCAAAGACTTGGAACCAACCCAAATGCCCATCAATGATAGACCTGATAAAGAAAACGTGGCACATGTACACCATGGAATACTACGCAGTCATAAAAAATGAGTTCATGTCCTTTGCGGGGACATGGATGAAGCTGGAAACCATCATTCTCAGCAAACTAACACAGGAACAGAAAACCAGACACTGCATGTTCTCAGTCATAAGTGGGAGTTGAACAATGAGAACACATGGACTCGGGGAGGGGAACATCACACACCAGGGCCTGTCAGGGGGTGGGGGGCTAGGGGAGGGATAGCATTAGGAGAAATACCTAATGTAGATGATGGGTTGATGGGTGCAGCAAACCACCATGTCACATGTATACCTATATAACAAACCTGCACGTTCTGCACATGTATCCCAGAACTTAAAGTATAATAAAAAAAAGTTTCATGATCTAAAGAAATTCAGAAAATAAACAATATTAAAATGAGGAAACATTGGAAATTAGTTTTTTACTTATTTGCCTAATATTGAGTAGTGAATTTTCTTATTCTAATCTGGAAACCAAGACTTTTATCAGCTATTTTACTAGAAAATCTATGTGAGATATTGTAACTTAGAAAAAGTCCAAAGCAAGGCTTAATTTGTCTGTCATATTGAATAATCTTCAAATAATCTTTTAGTCTTCAAAAATGGTTATAGAAAAACTGTTAGATTTGAGAAATTGGATATGAATTATGCTGACATTCTAACATTCTCAAGTTAAATTCCCCTAAGCAGTGTTTTATGGGAAATGAATTCATTTGAACAACTTAAAGAAATATTTTAAGAATGAGATGTGCCTTTAGTTATAAAACCTCTTACTGCTGCAAACATATGTAAGAATTTTGCAGTAGGTTGAATGAATTAGCTATATAAAAGTCTGCAAGTAAACTTCCTTCCTATAGAAAATATAATAGACAGGAAATAAATTAAGTAGAGATATTTAGCTGGTTGAAATCAGATTCATTTTTGTCAGTGCTTTATTTGTGATATATTTTTGATAGGAATTTTCAGAAGACTTAAAGTACATATTTATACTTTTGTACTTTAAAATAATCACATTATTAATAGTGATGAAAATAGCAATAGATAATACTTATTGACTGCTTGCCAAGTACTACCTGTTTTTTTTATATGCATTATCTCATTATCTCATTTAATTCTCAAATAGCTAAATGAGGACTGTTCTTACCGGGAACAAATAAACCAAAAAACATACAAACAAAAAAAAACTCAAAGCTTTGGATGTGGCAATCATTGACATACTTATTTGTTATGGGAGTAATTTCACTACCCTAAAACAGCATTTTTACACTCTAAGCAGTCTTCTGTTTGATAACAAGGATTGTTTTGTGGTAGATGTTTTGCTTTTTGCTCTCTTTTAACACTAGTAAAATAGACTGGAAAGTCTTTTAGCCTTTCTATAAACTTTAAAACATTGTTTTCTTTCCAGAAATACTGTTCTGATAGACTGGGTTTGATTGAATTTTTCTGTAAAGAAATACAGATAAAGGATAAGATGTGATATCTAAAAATTTTAGGACTCTGAGGACTAAAAATGATAAAGATGAAAATGATGACATTTATTGTATACTTATTATTAGCTAAGTATGGTAAATACTGAGTATTAGCCCTCTCTATAACTCCATGAAATATAGGTACTATTCTTATTCCCACTTTTCAAAAGGGGGAACTGAGACACAGAAAATTTTAAGTTATTTTCCAAAGGTCCTGTTATTGGTAAGTGATACAGCCATGATTTCAACCCAGATTTTATGTCTAAAGTACGGCTGTGTTTCTGCCATTAGACTAGCAATCTGGATTCCTAATCCTGGCTTTAGAGACTGTGTTCTTGTGCAACTTTCCTAAACTCTTTAAACTTCACTCTCCTCATCTATCAAATGAGAATAAGAGTAGCAGTGCTTAACGTTATGAGCATCACAGATCCCTGTGGGGTGTGTTGTGAGAATAAAAAAGAAAGTAAAAGTATTCAGCACAATTCTTGGTACACAAAAGTACTCAGTAAATGGAAATATCTATGGTGGTGAAATAAAGTCTCTCTTATTGAGTGTATTTCCAGCCATGTGGTCCTTACTACTATGCCACAATACTAAATATTCTGCTGACTTCCTGCCTTCTATTTTAAGCCAGTCTAATATACACAGCAGCCAGAGTAATTATCCTAAGGTTTATTTAGGGTCATTTCAGTCCTTTCTTCAAAAACCTTCATTGCTTCCCTTTGCCTGCTGAACTAAATAAGAACTCAGCCTGCTACTGAAGCCTCCAATTTATCTTTCTTGCTTTATTCTTTCTCACAGAAACCTGTGTAGTTCTCATTTGGAGTGGGAATACAGTTGTTTGGAAATGTTTTAGAACGTCAGCATTACTAAAGGTCTACACTCAGCATTTAGAGGATTAGGACCAGGGACACTCCATATTATTCTGTGAGTGTGACAATCTCAGACATGAATAGTCTCAGACAAATGTGGATAGTCAACTTTTTCCACTTCCTACTCTGACCCCCCTCCCTATTTTCCTACTATCATTCCTTTACTCCTGCTATCTATTTGACTATTTCTATCTCTCTTTCTAATTCTGTGGCAGCTGTCATCTTATCTAGCCTTCAAGGCCAAGCTTAAATGATCATTTGTATTTCTGGATTCCTCCAGTTTCTATGTGAAACCACCCTTGTATCTTTTTTAAAAAAATCTTAGATAGCTTTACCCTTTATACTTGTTTATAATTATAATTATTTTTCATGAAGAAGACAATTGACTACCATGAAATCTTTTTTAAAGACAAGTTCAAAGTCTGATTCATCTTTAGTGTCTCAAAATGTGACTATGTTGTTATACCTTTTAGGTCTTTCTGGAGGGTAGACAGCCTGTTTTACATTCTTTGGGCATAAATACTCTGCCTTATGTATCTCAGCATTGCTGATGCCTCACATAGTACCAGGCCAGTGACCAATGATAAATTCTTGTTTTCTAAATCAATTCCTGTAAGTAGACTGAAAGTTTCTTGAAGGCAGTTAAAACAATATTTATTATTTGGTGGTTCACCTATCAACATTCTTATTTGCCCATCTATCCATTCACCTGTCCCTTACTTCATTCAGAAAGACTATGAAAGAGCTGGCAAGAGCAGCGACTATACTTCCCTGTGTATATGAAACAATAGATAGCACGATTTCTTTTATTTACTAGGTGCTTAATATGTTTTGTTGTGTGGACTTGTTAGTAGCCTGGAGCATAAAGGAAAGGTGAAAATGTTTTCATTTCTTCTGTTGTTCAGTGGTAAATTACCATAAATGTCAAAGCACCCGGGACCTGAATGACAGGTTATAGAAATGTAAAATTGGATAAATATGGTTTCTTTTAACGTGGTGACATGCTATCAACAATATATATACTCTGAACAGACCATTTAAAAATAGAAGAAGAAGAAGAAGTCTTGCTATGTTACCCAGGCTGCAGTACAGTGACTATTCATAGGCGCAGTCCCATTACTGCTCAGCACAGGAGTTTTGACCTGCTCCATTTCCAACCTGGGCTGGTCACTCCCTCCTTAGGCAACCTGTTGGTCTCCTGATTCCAGGAGGTCACCATATTGATGCTGAACTTAGTGTAGACACCCAACTGGCATAGTGCACTACAGCCCAGAACTCCTGGGCTCAAGCCATCCTCCTGCCTTAGCTTCCCAAGTACCTAGACTACAGACGCACACCATAGGAACCTCTTAGTACTTGTCTAGTTTATACCCCTCAGTTAAATAAACAATAAGAAATTAAATGACAAATTCAAGGGCAAACACAGATTTACATTCAGAGATTACTGGCAGATTATGTAGGCTACTGTGATTTCACTAGAGAAAAATAACTCCCTAAAATAGTTTTTATTTTAAATTTTATACACACACACACACACACACATATATATATATATGTATTTTTGAGATGGAGTTTCGCTCTTGTTGCACAGGCTGGAGTGCAATGGCGCAGTCTCAGCTCACCACAACCTCCGCCTCCCGGGTTCAAGCGATTCTCCTGCCTCAGACTCCCAAGTAGCTGGGATTACAGGCATATGCCACCACACCCGGCTAATTTTGTATTTTTAAGAGAGATGGGGTTTCTGCATGTTTGGTCAGGCTGGTCTCGAATGCCCAACCTCAAGTGATCCGCCCACCTCGGCCTCCCAAAGTGCTGGGATTACAGGCCTGAGCCACTGCGCCTGGCCTAAATTACAATTATTTTAAAAGTGTTTCAGTATAAGAAGGAAGTCTAGGATTATTTTAACCTGAGTATTTCATGGGATTTAGGCTTAATCCGGGTCATTTAGAAATAGTCCTACGTTATTTAATGATTTAAAACAGAACTTTATGCTTTCATTATTTGGATTAAATAAACTTCTATTATTTTTTCTTATCCTGAAGCAATAATCTAGAGAAAAAAGCAGATGCCTTTACCAAGTTTCATGTTAAAAAATTTACTTGCCAGCCAGATGCGGTGGCTCACGCCTGTAATCCCAGCACTTTGGGAGCCTAAGGCAGGTGGGTCACCTGAGGTTGGGAGTTCGAGACCAGCCTGACCAACATGGAGAAACCCCGTCTCTACTAAAAATACACAATTAGCCAGGCGTGGCGGCACATGCCTGTAATCCCAGCTACTTGGGAGGCTGAGGCTGGAGAATCACTTGAACCCAGGAGGCGGAGGCTGCGGTGAGCCGAGATTGCGCCATTGCACTCCAGCCTGGGGAACAACAGTGAAACTCCGTCTCAAAAAAAAAAAAAAAAAAAAAAAATTTACTTGCCAAAATAAGTACCAGGAAGTTTTCATGTCTTCTAAAATTTGCCTTTGTTTCAATGTAATAATTACTCATGTGTTATTATTATAAGTAATATTATTAGCCGTCTTCTAAATGAGGTAGTACAGTATAGTGCAAAAACCATAGAATGGTCAGAAAAGCTGTTTTCTAATCCTGGCGCTACCACTTACTGGCTTTGAAAGACAGCAAATTCTGTGATTCCTCTGAGCCTGTTTCCCAGTCTATAAATTTGGGATAGTACTCCTTAATCCTTAATCTTATTGTGAGGCCTTGCTGAAATTATGCTCATTGAAAACAAACACTTAAGCTTGGCATTTAGTAGACACTCCTCAAAAGTTGTAGTAGTTATCACTGCTAGAATCTGCTACCATAGATTAATTTGTAAGTTTTTAAAAACTCTTTATTCCCTTGATAAGGAAAAGTGTATGCTTAAATATGTTTTGGCAGTTTATAATGGATCACTGTCTAGATTTCTTTTGGATTCTCCATTAATCTGAACTAAAAATCAGATAAATTTCTGTAAAATTTGTTTTGCCACACCTGATGGAATCATGGTCAAGTCACTTTACCTCTCTGGGCCTGTTTCCTGCTGGCAAGGGGAGTTGTGACGTGTGAATGTTAAAGCCCCTTTCAGTTCGAGAATTCAGTGATTATTTTTGGAATATTATTATTATAATGATTCATTCTAAAAGTCCAACTTTCTTTCAAACGTTTATTGTCTTTTTTTATGCGATGCTAGTATATATGTATATTATAGGCAATATATACATAGACATAAATATATATATGTAGGTAGGTGTTTTCTAAACCTAGTCTATGATGATAATCATCAGGAGTGCTCATTAAAATGAGTTAAAAATCTCCTCTACAGATTCAGTAGGTCTGGAGAAGGCCCCAGGAATTTGTAGTTTGATGAGCATACCACATGATTATTATTATCACCAAGTTTAAAACTGCTGTATTCTTTTACTCTGTTTTAGCTAAAAATTAATTTGGACTTTACCATTTTGGCAGGGAGAGGGAGAAGAAGAGCCTATATCTTGAGATGCTGAGGTCCAGTCTCTGGACATTTATTTCATGCAACAAATATTTATTGTATGTTTACTATGCCAGATAATAAAGGAATTTACTACCTAGATGGATAATTTTTTAAAAAAAATCTCACGAGATAATGAGTAATAGATGTATAAAGAAAGGACTGAAGAGCAGAGAGAAGGAAATGATCAGTTCTGCCTATAGGGGTGAAGGAGAGGTATCTCAAGACGTTTAAGAGGAAGTAACACTTAGGGTGAACTTTGAAAGATAAATAGGCATTTCACCAGCAGAAAATATGGAGAAAGGGAAATGATGTTAACAAGAAAGTATAAGAATGCCAGATATGGCCGGGCGCAGTGGCTCATGCCTGTAATCCCAGCACTTTGGGAGGCAGAGGTGGGCAGATCACGAGGTCAGGAGATTGAGACCATCCTGGCCAACATGGTGAAACCCCGTCTCTACTAAAAATACAAAATTAGCTGGACGTGGTGGCGGGTGCCTGTAATCCCAGCTACTCAGGAGTCTGAGGCAGGGGAATCACTTGAACCCGGGAGGCCGAAGTTGCGGTGAGCCGAGATTGCACCAGAAATCCTGTCTGTAAATAAATACACCAGATATAAATCTGTCTCTAGACAAAAGAATGAAGAAAACTGGGAATAATAACTATAAAGGACTTTTTCCCCCACATTACAAAAATGTATTTGAAATAATTGACTGAAGTGACAATAATATATTGGGGGTTAATAACATATATGAAAGCAAAATGTCTGACAATAGTACAAAAGCTGAGTGAGGAGAAACGGAGATGTATAGTTGTAAGGTTCTTAGACTATATGTAAAGTGGTAGCATATTACATGAAGGCAGATTATAAGTTAAATTTTAAAAATATCAGCACAGATACACATATACACAAAAATTGAAAAGTCATAAGATTTGACAATTCAGATGAGTAAATTTGGGAGCTAAGAATTGCATCTCTCCTGTACCTCAAAAATAATTTCTCACATAGATGATCTATTTTAAGCCTAAAAATGAAGGTTGATTGTGTGAAACATATGCAAATAATATTACTTTGAAATAGTAAAACCTAGGTTTTGGGTTATTTGTTTGGGGTTTTTTTGTTTGTTTGTATTTTGTTTGTTTTTGAGACGGAGACAGGCTCTGTCGCCCAGGCTACAGTGCAGTGGTTCCATCTTGGCTCACTGCAACCTCTGTCTCCCGGGTTCAAGCAATTCTCCTGCCTCAGGTTCCTAGTAGCTGGGATATGGGCACGCATCACCACGCCCAGCAAATTTCTGTATTTTTAGTAGAGATGGGGTTTCACCAGGTTGGCCAGGCTGGTCTCGAACTCCTGACCTCGGGTGATCCACTCTCCTCTGCCTCCCAAATTGCTGAGACTACAGGCGTGAGCCACCACACCTAGCTGTTTTTGTTTTTCTGTTGTTTGTTTGTTTTTTGTTTTAACACATAACTTGCTTTGGACAGAATTAAGTGTAACTCCTGTAAGGAACAAGAAAACAATATAAGCCTATACTTACACATCCATTACACTGAAAGATTTCTAAACAATTTTTCCACCCTAATTTATGCTAGGCTTTGTTGTTTTAAGATGGCAAAGTGTATAAATGGTGCCAGTCCCTGCTCAGGCAAAATTTTGAAGTAGAAGAAATGTGTTGTCCATTCCCTGTCCACTCCTCTTTGTATTGGTTATCAACCTCATACCCAGCCCTTGCAGCTCACTCATGATCTCTCAGCTGTTAATTTTTTTTTCTGATACTCTGTTCCCAGAAAAATGTACCCATCTTGGTAAGCAGTACTTTCCTTTCTATTGTGATAAATATTAACAATGACATAACCTCATGGAGAACTGCAGTTTGCTCCGTCAGTACCATGCTCCAAACAACTGGGAAGGGTGAGAGAAAAAGGGCAAATGATGTACTTTTCCTCTGTGTGATATTGTGACAATTTTCTAGCATGTTTCTTATATAATAGTGACTGATAAAAAGCCTTGATACCAGTAAGCAGTAGCAAATGTACTATTAATGTATTTCCTTTATAATAATTCTTCATGTGTATATTTCAAAAAAAAAAAAAAAAAAATTCTGTCAATTGTTTCTCAGAGCAATCCCAGGAGTTTTCAGGTTTAGAAACCGAATCACAGAAAGTTGAAATGACAAAGGTAATCAAGTAAAGCCTGAACTAGAACCTAGGTCTGCTGAATCCTAGTTAATTGCATTCTCAAAAGCACAAGGAAAAATACTGGAATTGAGTGACAAAGTGGTTGTCTGCATGTTTGGGACTGCTGGCAAGAACTCATCTAGACTTTTTACAGCTTGAATAGAATTCATTACTATATGATCTTTGATGGAAATGTTAGAATTGTTCACAAGGGAAAGTCTAAAAATTCTGTCCGTGAGCAACCTCAGAAAACTGCCGATGCTGCTAAACTTAACTCTGAGAATGGAATTCCACAGATTATCTGGTATTTTCTGCAGCCTGCCCAACTCAATAAACCCTTCATTCGCCTCTGAATATAATCCTTTGACCTCGTTCTCTTTTAGTTATTTGTTTTTTCATTAAAGTGTTATTCTTTTAGTGGCTTTTTTAATCAGCTTTGATGCCTATGGCTACAAATAACAGAAAACCTAGAGTATTGTACAGGAAGGAAATGTCTCAGCTCTCTTAGCTCTTGTAAAACCCAGAGGTGACTCCAGAATGATCTCAGTCGAATACAGCTTCTTTTCTCCTAACTCTCTCTGCTCTGCTGTCCTTGATATGTTGGTTTCATCCTAGGCTGCTTTCCTCATGGTGGTGTTATGGCTATAATAGTTCCTATGTACATGTCTGCACTTCACGGTGGCCAAGTTGTTTCCCAAAGCTACCTTATAAGCATGAGGAAGCTTCCTTCCCAGAAGCCTTGAGAAAACCTCTTCCCATGTTTTATTAGACCAAATTATATCTCATGCCATTCCTGAACCAAGCCCTGTGATTTAAGCAGTGCCATATCTGAATGGCTTAGGCTTGAGTTTCTGAACCAAAGGAAAGGAAGATCACCCTTAGACCCATTCCACCCCTGGATCCTGGAGGTTGCTGTGTATTTCCCTGAGACACATGGGCTGGGAGAAGGGGGTGCTGTGAAAAATTAGATTTCTCTTAGGATAGGGGAAAGTGGAATGTATGGTGAGTAGGTAATGATTAATGTCTGCATCAATTGTCTTGTTTTTTCCTCATCTGGCTTTTAGAATCATGTAGAATAGTTAAAATAGTGTAAATTTTGATGTAAGACTAGCTTTTAGAGACCTCTTCTGGCACTTGGCCAGGTTCCTTAACTGCTCTTCTATGCCTCAGTTTCCCCACAATTTTATAATGATTAAAAATAATGTAGTCTGGCCAGGTATGGGAGTTTGCATCTGCAATCCCAGTACTTTGGTAGGCCAAGACAGGAGGATTGCTTAAGTTCCGGAGTTTGAGACCAGCCTGGGCAATATAGTGAAACCTTGTCTCTACAAAAAATTTAAAAATTACCGGGTGTGGTGGTGGATGCCTATAGTCTTAGCTACTTTGGAGGCTGAGGTGGAAGAATCACTTGAGCTTGGGAAGTGGAGGTTGTATGCAGTGTGCTGAGATTGTGCCACTAAACTCCAGCCTGGGTGACAGAGCAAGACCCTGTCTCAAAATGATGATGATAATAATAATAATAATAATAATAATAATAATGTAGGCAAGGAACTTAGCACATAGTATATATTTCAATAAGTAAATATAGCTGTTATTAATGGTTTTTTTTTACTTTTGAAATTATAAACAATAAGTGAAAGTTCCTTTTTCTCCTGCTGAGGCCTGTGCTATCCCCAAATAGTTATTATTAAAATTAGTAGACAAGAAACTGTTCATTAGAGAATGTAGGTAGGATGCTTACCATAAAATTCTTTCAAGTTTTTCTGTGTTTGAAAATTTTCGTGATGACATTGAAAAAAATAAGTTTACAAGAATGATAGTGTTGCAATAAAAACCACTGAGGGTGACTCAAGAGAACTAGAAACCAAAATTCTTCTTAAGACAGCAGTAAGTTTAACCCAGTTCAGGTGAATTGCTGGAATGATGTTTTCCTCTTATGTCCCAAGCATTCCATTTCTTTATGAGGAAATACGCAGTCTAAAATACTGGGTTTCCTGCATTGAAACTCCTTGGCCTTAACTTTTGTGTGGGCAGCCTACAGCACCAAAGTATAATGAAATATGTATGAGATCTCACTAAAAGAGCTCTGGAGTTAGCCACTGAGAAATAAAGGGTGGGAGGGAAAGCTGTGCATAGAAGGAGAACCAGGAAAATGACCTTTATTGAGTTCCCATTATGTATGTGCCAAAGGCTCTGTGGTTATAAGGATAAATAAAATACTTTCCCAACCTCAAGAGAGCTCACACCTTAGATCAGAAGACACCCCTCTCAGTAAATAATTATGGCATATGATAAGAAGTGCCATGTGTCAGCTGGGTACAGTGGCTTACACCTGTAATCCCAGCACTTTGGGAGGCTGAGGCAGGTGGATCACCTGAGGTCAGGAGTTTGAGACCAGCCTGGCTAACCTAGTGAAACCCTGTCTCTACTAAAAAAAAAAAATATACAAAATACAAAATTAGCCATGTGTGGTGGTATGCACCTGTAATCCCACTACTTAGGAGGCTCAGGCAGGAGATTCGCTTGAACCTGGGAGGCGGAGTTTGCAGTGAACTGAGACTGTGCTGCTGCACTCCAGCCTGGGCATCAAAAGCAAAACTCCATCTCAAAAAAAAAAAAAAAAAAAAAAAAGTGCCATGTGTCTGAGAGCATACTGGAGAAAGAAAAACTAGAGGATCTTCATAAATCTTGCAGACTCCTTTAGTTAGGGTTAGGAAGAAGTTGTTAAAGATTGAGATTATTTCCCACAGAATTTTGTTGTTGGTTTAAGAGCACAAGTCACTGTTCTGCTGCTGACTTACTAAGATTTAACAGGAAACTTAGACTCCACCTTTTGCCTTTGTCAGCAAAATCCCCCAGTCTCTCTGTATATGGAGATATAATTGAGAAAGATTACTTGCATTCCCTTCTCTTCTCCATAAATAAGGATGAAGGGCTATCAAGGTCAGACCAAAATTTTTACAAAGTAAATTGACAATAGTTAGGACAAGATCTTGATATTAATCCCCATTGCCGTCTCTTTTCCCTCCCCTGCTATATATAATCTTCTTGTCCCCAGCAGGTTATCTGTTAAGAGTCTGCTCTGTTTTGACCCTAGCACTTTGGAATCAGCCCAGTTGACTTTTTTATAACATGTAATATAGCCCACTCTTCACTGCTTAATTGCTTTATCATGCTAACTCCTATTACTTTACCAGGGCCTTTTTCCCCTTTCATTTTAGTGATTGTCTTGTTGCAGAATTCGCTATAACAGAATCTGACTTATGTAAGATAAGTTATTTTTGTAACCCTTGTCTAGAAAGCTCTTAGAAAGGCATGGGCAGAAAGACTGAAGAAACCCCAAGAAAACTTATCAGGAGTTTTTTGCTAGTTTGAGATTCCTCAAAAGACTCTTATCTACATTCATTCCTTTTTTTGTTTGTTTGTTTTTTGTTTTGTTTCTTTTTTTTTTTTTTTTTTTTTTTTGAGACAGAGTCTCGCTCTGTCACCCAGCACCCAGGCTGCAGTGCAGTAGCACAATCTCGACTCACTGCAACCTCCGCCTCCCAGGTTCAAGCGATTCTCCTGTCTCACGCTCCCGAGTAGCTGGGACTACAGGCACTCACCACCACGCCGGGCTTTTTTGTATTTTTAGTAGAGACGGGGTTTCACCATGTTGGTCAGGCTGGTCTCAAACATTCATTCCATTTTGTAAGATGGTAGGATATATCAATGAATGAATGAGCAAAACAATTAAAAAGTCTTGTGCAAATTTTTTGCAAGGCTAGAGACAAGATTAGTAGCTGCTAACATTGGTATAGCTCTTTACAATCCATGAAATTTTTTCACTTACATCATTTAATGTAATCTCACACCATCCCTGTAAAGTAGGTATTTTCTCCAGTTTATGTTGTCAGTGAGATCTGCAGAGATTACGGTCCCATAACAGGGAAGTGGAAGAGCCAAGGTTTCGCCTCCAGGTCTTCTGACACTGATTACAGAGATATTTTATTCTTGAATCTAGGGGACAAGAAGTTATGAGCATATTTCTTTTTGGTAAGTGGAAAGCAAGCAGGAATTTTCCTTAATGCTTAATTAGTAGACTAGAATTTCCAACTACCCCAGTGAGAGAAGTAGTATCCTGTAATGGATACAAGGTATTTTATATGAGATATGCAACACAATTTTAGATTGCCTAAAAAACAAAAGGGCACAGATTGATTTTTAATCTACAGATAATTTTATAATGAGGAGAATTAACTGAAATTTTATTGCAAAGATTATGGCAGTTCACTGTATGCAGTTAGCATGTTCAGAATGGAACTCCTGATTTTTCCCTTTCTCCAATCCTACCGCATCCATAGTCTTTCTCATATTAGTCATATACAACACCCTTTTCCAGTTGCTAAGGCCAAATATGAGTTTATACTCACCTCCTGTTTCTTTCTTAGACGTTGTATCTAATCTGTCAGGAGATCTTCTTGGCTCTAACTTCAAAATATATCCAGAATTTGACTTCTTATCACTACCTTCACTGTTTGTCTCTCTTCCAAGTTACCATCATCTCTCACCTAGATTACTAAGGTAGCCTCATAATTCATCTCCTTTTTGTACCCTATTCTCAACACAGCAGCCAGAGTGATCCTTTTAAAACCTAAGTCAAGTGAGTCTCTTGTCCCCTCAAAAGCTTTCTTCAAGGAGTCCTGCTTCTTTTAGAGAAAAGCCAGTGTTGACAATGATGGCTTTCAAGGCCCTATGAGATCTAACCCCTCCATCAGTCTCTGACCTCCTCTTCTACTATGCTGTCCATCACACTGACCTCCTTGCTGTTCCTTGAGCATGTCTTTTGTGATTCCTGCCACCAGACCTTTGCAAAGGTGCTTTCCCAGCAGCTTGAGTCTTTACTCAATGTCTCCTCCTTGATGAGGCCTACCATGACTTCCCTATTTAAAACTACAGTCTTCCTGTAGAACCCTTCCTGATCTCCTTTACTCTGCTCTTGTCTTTCTCATACCATGTATAATCTACTAACATACTGCATATTATTTACTTATTTGTGACATTTCCCTACCTCCTCGTAATATAGGCTCCACAAGGAGAGTTTTTTTGTTGTTGTTGTTGTTTTTTGTTTTTACTGGTATCTACCCAGTGCCTTAAATTACTGGGCACATAGTAGGGGCTCACTACTAATTTGTTGAATAAGTAAATGATGGATATAATTAATGAATCACCGCAAAGAAGTTACAGTTTTATTGAGGAGGTAATATTATGCTGCTTCTGGTAGCAGTTGACCAATACAGAGCCTTATGTGGTAAAACTACAGATAGAAGTGGTAGAAGTGGGAGATAATTGAAGCCACTGGAAAGGGTATATTCAATCACTTCTTGGCCTTTTGGCTGAGATCAAGTGTAGGGAAAATGAAAGTTTCACTGGCTTTGGTAGGTTAGTTTGCCAGCATTGCTTATATACTTTCCCTCAGCTTTTTGAAAATCAGATACTCTCCACATGCAGAGATAATGGTACTCATTTATCATCATAAGAACATGCACTTGTTCTTTTGCAATAGTAATGTGAAAGGGGCTCACATTTGCAAGGTTGTTAGAGTTAAAGGTAAAGGCTATGTCTATGAAACATACATATATATATATATTTTTTTTTTTTTTTTTTTTTTTTTCTGTGTGAACCCAATTTAACTGACCCAATAGCAAATGAACTAACTTGCCTAGATAATTCATTATGTGGGTAGATGGGATACAGAGATTGGAAAATGTCATTGGTGGGTTATGTATGTCAGTTGGTAGCCAGTATAGGTTTGATTTTTTCTGATGCTCTGGCCAGCCCAGTTCTTTTGGTTTAAAGTACCATTTTTTCTTTTGATGTAGTAAGAACATTTTTCTGTATAAAATAGTCCATTCCTTGGAATGGAAATGGCATTAGATCTTTGTAACTTAGGTAGTTTTTAGCACTGGATTGTTTAGTTTGTAAAAATATTTGATTTAGACTGAGCTTGTGGCCTGATGATGTTTAGAAGAGCGCCAAAGTGTAACTCATAGAAGATGCCAGTAAAAACCATAGTTGGAAGAGGTGAATAATGGTTGCATCATTTTCCTGGTAGGTGTAGCCAGGCCTAAAAATCCATCCCTGCTATTTATAAAATGTGTTCCTAAGGATAAAGTCAGCTGCTATATTGTGAACTACATTATCAAAATAAAATATATGCCAGTGCCTTGAGTCACTGTCCCACTGTCTTTACAGTGTTAAGGAAGCTATATTTCATCATTGTGTTTTATTGCAGTAATATTTACCCCCACTTTTAATGAACATTTTTGTTCCAGTGAAAACCTTGAACATACCAGGTTTTTCATTGTGATTTAACTCTTTCTTTTCTACCATTCTGACTGCAAGTGTCTCTTTGAACTGATATTTGTGTTGTCCTTGTCCTTATTTTGCTTTTTTTTTTTTTTTTCCCCCTTCCTGAGATGGAGTTTTGCTCTTGTTGCCCAGGCTGGGGTGCAATGGCACAATCTCAGCTCACCACAACGTCCGCCTCCCAGGTTCAAGTGATTCTCCTGCCTCAGCCTCCCGAGTAGCTGGGATTACAAGCATGCGCCACCATGCCCGGCTAATTTTTGTTTGTTTGTTTTTTAGTAGAGACGGAGTTTCTCCATGTTGGTCAGGCTGGTCTCGAACTCCCAACCTCAGGTGATCCACCCGCCTCAGCCTCCCAAAGTGCTGGGATTAAAGCCTGAGAACACACAAACAGAAAAGGCTGGGAGGAAGTTAGATATAACATGCAGGAGGTCCACAGTTTTAGACCAGAACTTCTGCTAGGGTAACTATGTATATTATCATCTAAACAGGAAAATTTTTAGAATAAAATAAATTATTACTAAGTAAGTCAAGACAATACTCATGAAATAGGATTGTTTCAGGCCATCCAAGACATGTGGTCATTTATTTAAAAGTGGGATGGGTGGGAAACTGCTATTTACTTAACCTCAAACTCTTCACTTTCCCAAAGGCCTTTGTAAAATATCAAAGGGGGATAGAAAAGCAGTGGAGAAAATTTAAAAAAATTTCATCCTTCAAAAAGATCAGCAACCAAGCACTTTGAGAGGCTGAGGTGGGAGGATTACGTGAGTCCAGGAGTTCAAGACCAGCCTGGGTAACATAGTGAGAACCTGTTTCCTATATGTTAATAATAATAAACAATAGACCAGGCACAATGGCTCACACCTGTAATCCTAACACTTTGGGAAGCTGAGGCGGGCGATCACATAAGCCTAAAAGTTCAAGACCAGCCTGGACAACATAATGAAACCCTGTCTCTACAAAAAATTAGCGAAGTATAGTGGCACACGCCTATAGTCGCAGCTACCTGGGAGGCTGAGGTGGGAGGATCACCTGAGCCCAGGAAGCCGAGGCTGCAGTGAGCTATGGTCACGCCACTGTACTCCAGCCTGGGCAATAAAATAAGTTCCTTAAAACAACAATAACAACAACAACAACAAAAAAAACCCAGCAACATTGACAACTCTTAGCTAGTCTGTTTATGAAAAAGAAGACTACAGTACTAAAATCTGGAATGAAAGAGGTGACAGTAATACTGACTTTACAGAAATAAACAGAATTAGAGGAAACCACATACCGTATGCAAAAATTAACACAAAATGAATCAGACCTAAATGTAAGAACTAAAATTATAAAACTCTTAGAAGAAAACATAGGAGTAATTTTTTGTGATCTTAGATGAAATGAAAACATATGTCCAACACAATAACTTGTACATGTGATAGCAACATTATTTGTAGTAGCTAAAAGGCAGAAGCAACCTGTATCCATCAACTAATGAATAGATAAATAAAAGTGTAGTGCACCATGCAGTAGAATATTACTTGACCACAAAAAAGCAATAAGGTACATGTTATAACATGGATGAGCCCTGTAAACATTGTACAAAGGGAAAGAAGCTAGTCATTAAAGACTATATACTATATGGCTGCATTTATTTGAATTGTCTACAATAAGCAAGGCCATAGAGACAAAAAGTAGATTTCTGGTTACCTCAGGGTCACAGGAAGTAGGGGAGGTGGAGTAGTAGGGGAAGTGCCTGCTAATGGGTATGGGGTTTCTTTGGAAGGGGTGATAAAATGTTCTAAAATTGATTGTAGTGATGGTTGTATAACTCTAAATATACAAAAAGCACATTTATATATCCACTTTAAGTAGATGAATTATTATCTCAAAGCATATATTGAAAAATTATATCAAGGGTAACAAGTTTGCGAGGATGCGGAGAAAAAGGAACTCTTATGCGTTGTTGGTGGGAATGTAAATGCATCCAGCCATTATGGAAAAAAGTATGGAAGTTCCTAAAATAAACTAAAAATAGAACTATCATGTGATCCATTTCTGAGTATATACCCAAAGGAACTGAAATCAATATGCCAAAGAAATATCTGCACTCCCATATTCATTGCTGCATTATTCACAATAGCTAGGAGTCAACCTAAGTGTTTATCAACAGATGAATGGATAAAGAAAATGTGGTATATGTCAACAATGGAATACTATTCAGCCTTAAAAAGGGGAAAATTCTGTCTTTTGTGATAACATGGATGAATCTTGAGGACATTATGCTAAGTGAAATAAGTCAGGCACAGACAAATACTGCTCGATCTCACATGTGAAATCTAAAAAAGTTGAACTCACAGAAGTAGAAAGTAGAATGATTGATTACCCCAGGCTAGAGGGTAGGGGAAAGGAGGGGATGGGGAGTTGTTGATCAAAGAGTACAGACTTTCAGATAGACAAGAGGCATAAGTTTTGAGAATCTATTGGATAACAGGGTGACTGTGGTCAATAATAATGTATTATATATTTCAAAATAACTAAGAGACTAAATTTCAAATGTATCACCATAAAAAAATAGGTACTCCAGCCTGGGCAACAGAGCCAGACCCTGTCTCAAAAAAAAGATAAATAAGCAAGATGATAAGATGGTGGATATGTTAATTAGCTTGATTTAATCATGCCACATTTTATTTTATTTTTATTTTATTTATTTATTTATTTGAGGTGGAATCTCGCTCTGTCTCCCAGGCTAGAGGGCAGTGGTGCAATCTCAGCTCACTGCAACCTCCACCTCCCAAGTAGCTGAGATTACAGGGGCACACCACCACGCCCAGCTAATTTTTGTATTTTTGGTAGAGATGGGGTTTCACCATGTTGGCCAGGCTGGCCTTGAACTCCTGACCTCATGTGATCTGCCTGCCTCAGCCTCCCCAAGTGCTGGGATTACAGGTGTGAGCCACCATGCCTGACCTAATTATGCCACATTTTGTACAAATATCAAAACGTCACACTGTACCTCATAAATGTATATAGTTATGATTTGTCAATCAAAAATAATACTAATTTAAAAATTACATCAAGGGGCAGTTGACCTGTAGCATGGGCTGTGTTGCCCTCAAATTACATGCACACATATGCATTATACAGTTGTTCTGTGGCAACTTTGCTTTTATATGTTTTACAGATTGTGCATCCCCTCTCTCCTACGCACCCCTCAACCACTGTTCCATTAACCCATAAGACGTTCTTTGAAGAAAGTGTACTGTGGCAGAAAAGTAGTTTGAAAATCTCTGGAAACAATGAGATCCAGAACCTCCTCCAGCTCTAACAAGTCATGATTCTGATGCATTGAATTTAGAATATGAACTTGGCCTAGATTACTCCATTTTAACTCCGTGTCGACTAAAGGAAAGCTGTGAACAAAGTCAGTTTTTTCCCACATAGCTGCACACAGGTGTGACTTAGTGGAAACTGTGGAACTCAGCCAGATCTTTAGCTCCCTAGTGCAGTGCTCTATCTCCAAGCCCTACTTCCTGTTCTTGAATTCAGTGATTTGCTAAAATAGAGACACCTGGTTCCAGCACCTTGCAAATGGATTTTTCCTTTCAGCATTTTAAAGTACATTCATGTATTGATGAAGAGCTTTCTCTGGAAAGCCATCTGTCTGAAATCTGCAGGAAAAAAAAAATCTCCCTAGCTGTCTTAGATATTCATAATGGTATGTGTTGCTTCACTCCTCTACTCCTGCCTCCTGTTCCCTTTTCCTCATGTTTTCATTCATTTTACAAAACAAATATTTATGAAGCACCTAGTATGTGCCCAACACTACATATGTAGCAGTGGACAAGACTAATTAGTCCCTACAATTAAGGATATTGCCATCTAGTAAGGAAACATGTGGACAACCACAACAACAAAAACTTTAAAGATTTTTGAGTCATGGTTAAGAGCTATGAAAGAAATAAGGTTCCGAGACAAACTATGTAGGATGTGATTTTAAAATGAACTCCAGAGTTATATTGCCAGTGTTCAAATTCCAGTTTCACCATTTACTAGCTATGTGTTTTTTTTTTTTTAAGGGGGCAGACAGGATCTCGCTTTGTCACCTAGGCTGGAGTGCAGTGGCGTGATCATGGTTCACTGCAACCTTAGACTCCTAAGCTCAAGCTATCCTCCCAAGTAGCTGGGATTACAAGCATGCATCTCCATGCCAGCTAATTTTTTTTATTTTTTGTAGTGACGGGATCATGCTATGTTGTACAGGCTGATCTCAAACTCCTGGCTCAGGAAGTCCTCCCATGTCAGCCTCCCAAAGATCTGGTATTATAGGCATGAGCCACTATGCCCAGCCTAGCTGTATGATTTTGAGCAAGTTGCTTAACTTCTCTGGGCCTCAATCTTTTTGCCTTAAAATGGGGATAATAATAGAAACTTCTTTAGTAGAGTTGTTCTGAGGATTAAATGAGTTGATGTACATGGTGCACATAGAAAAGTTCCTGGAGCATACTGTGCATCCAGTAAGTGTTACCTATATGTTGGCATTGTTGCTTTAAAGAATATCAGGGAATCAACTAATTAGGTTAGCATTGTTATCATCTTAATCACCATCATCATTGCCATCTACAGATACTTATCTTGCCACATTTATGTGCATTGTGCCCAAGATTTACAGAAGTGGATATAACATGCTCTTGGACTCAAGAAGCTTACAATATAGAGTGTAAGGATTAAAAGAAAATTGCAGTATATATACTAAGTGCTAGATAAGTGATAGAGACAGCTTGTTCTACAGCATTGTAGGGAAGAGAGCAGTTATTGTGGGCTCATAAAGAGAAGGCCTCTCGGAGGAAAATGGACTCTTATGAGGGAGAGCATTCTAGGCTGAAAGAACAGCACAAGTGAGGATTTGGACATAGGAAGGTGAATGTGAAGTTCCAGAATGGAGACTTTGAATAGAGGAGCAGTGAGGTGTGGGTTAAAGAGGAGGCCCCAGCATTCTGGTTAAAATTATTTAGTAAACAGTAATCTGCCATGTCCAGATTCTGAGGTGGAGTAATCAAATAAGATTTCTCTAATTCACCTGAGGCCTACTAGTTTACATATTGCCTTATTTCAGGTTCCCATAATTGTCATCTAGTTGATTGCTTTCCAACTGGTGTTGCTACCTGCAGTCTCTAGTCACCTACTCCCCTCTGCACATTTTTATCGCATTAATTTTTCTCAAACATCCTTTTGTCACTGACTTGCTTGAAAAGTTCTTAGAGTTCTCCATTGTGCATAGCGGTGTTTCTGAAACATTAACGTGCATAAGAATTACTGGGAGTTCATTGTAGGTGCAGATCACTAAGTCCCACCTTCAGGTCACATGCTTATGACATGGTGCCTGAGAATCTCTATTTAAACAAGTGCCCTAAATGATTCTGATTCAGGTGCTCAAGAGTCACTGCTTTGAAGACAGGCCTAAAATGAGGAGTGCAAGTCTCTTAACCTGCCACCCAGAGTCTTGCTTTATCCTGCCTTTTCAACCACATCTTCTGTTGTTCTGATTAATAAACCTTTTATTTGAGCCAAATGGGACATTTTCTTTTCCATACACTTACTTTTTCCTTACAGTTATGCTCTTTTTTCATCTTTTGTGTCTTTTTTGTGTGTTTCCCTAAGCCTCATTGTCTCTACTGCCATTTCAACAAGTCCAAATCCTGGCTTCTTTCTGTCCTGGTTTAGGTATGTCCAGAAAGCATCTTTAGTAAATGAGTACATCTCTAACCTAGAAGGTAGGCTCCAATTTTAACTCATCCTTTTATCTACTCCCCTACCCAGGAATCTAATGAGCACCTTGCAAATGATTCCCTTCATTTGTCCCTCCCTCCCTCCCTCCCTCCTTCTTTCCTTCCTTCCTTCCGTAAAGATTTACTGAGCACCTACTGCTTACCAATGAACTGTTCTAGGTGCTAGGTGATAATGTAGGGGAAAAAAAACCCTCTCAAATTCTGTTTTCATGGACCTTACATTCTCATTGGGCAACTGTTTATAAGTAAATATTGAAAGTGTTCTGAGAGTAATCTGGCAGTGCTATATGGGATATATTAGGAATGGGAGAGACCTGTGAAAGAAATTAACTAAGGAACTCTTGCAAGTGGCCTTTAGACAGTGGAAAGGGTCAGTGAGAAAGTAAAAAGGAAACAGCAAGAGTAATTAGTGAAATGAAGGAATGACCAATAGTATTTGATGGGGGCCACAAAAGTTTATTTAATAGTTGAGCTTTTGAGAAGAAAAAAATGTAAAATGGATAGGTGATGTTTTTGGTAAAAGACATTAAAAATGTTATGATGCATTAGATATGTTGTTTATGATGTTGATAATGGGGCATCCAAATGCTTAGTAGCAATTAGAAATACAGAGGTATTATAAGAGGCCAGGCCTCTCTCTCCTTTTCCCCTTCTCCAATTTATCTCAAAAATCTTATGTCTGTCTTGTTGTTCCAGGTCCAAAATTTCTTCCCAAGAATTTGTGTCTCATTCAATTGGTTTTTCTGGGAATCATGGCATGACTTCATGTCTTAGCCCCATTTCTCTGATTGCCAAATGTTTGTCTATAAAGAGGACTAGGTCCAACCCTAGAACATTGTCTCTAATCATAGCCTTCCTTTGAATGGTTCTCGGCTGATTAATGGTTTGGCTTGTGGGAGGAACTAGGAAGACAACATAATTGAACTAGAGATTCCTTTAAAATTGGGTACAGTCGTGAGTGTCATGCCCCTATGGGAATATCACTGTGGTCATTTATGATTCTTAGCAAAATAGGCAAAGTTTGGAAAAGCAAATTGTAAAAGCTTTGGCATAACACATAGACAGGTTGGAAAGCTGCTTGTAATCATCTGGAAAATCATTTTTTTCCATTCTTGCAGTTGCTCTGACTAAAAAAAACTCAAATTGTTCCTGACTCCTGTCTTTCTCTCATAATACTAAACATCCAGTCTATCAGCAAATATGGTGTGTGTGTGGGTGTGTGTTTTATATATACATATATATATTTTATTGGCTGGCTTCCCCCTAGAACGTAAACTTCATGAAGGTAAAAGCTTGGTTTTTTTATATCCTTAGCTAGTGCCTAGAACATAGTAGATGCTCAATAGCAATTTGATGAATGAATGAATGATGTGAAATTAAATTTTATTTCACATTTTGCTAATTAGTTTTGACATTAGCTCTATCTTCAAGAAGCTTGGGAAATATTTTATCCCAATAAATTATTCTAGCTAAAGCCCAGCAGCACAATATTATTTGGTAATATTATTAACCAAATAATATTATCTTAGTGTAAGAAAAAGTAGAAACTTTATTTCTTAACTAGAGAAATGTCAGAAAGTTTTGAAGTCTAAGAACACTCTTTAATGGTGCTAATTTGGTAATAGTGTTGTGAATGTGATATTCTAAAATTTAGCCTTAAAAGACATCCTAATAAGATCAGCTGGTAATCATACACCAGGTATGATTAAAATTTACTTTTTAATTCATAGTTTTTAAAGAAAGTTTTCTTAGCAGTTTGGAGACTGGATTACTACTTTAATGTTTGAAAAGATGATGCTTGATATTTGAGAGGAAGAATGTCTTCTTTTTAACCTTTAAACTTTATTCAAGCAGTTCCATATGACCAAAAATATCCAAGCTTAATGTATACATTAGATTACCTTCATTAATATACAGAAAGTTGCTTTCTTAGAACAGCAAGAATGACTTGTGACATATCAGCATATTAAAATTTACTGGTGCTATGGGGCTAGCTGACCAGAGATATTGTTAGGAATTTTTACCTGATTTAGAGAATACTTTGAATTTCCAAGGATTGAAGGAAGAGGTTATGATCAAAGCATTTGTGTGGAAGGTCATTTTGGTGTAGTGATTATTTTTATGGAGTAGCAGAGAAGAACAAAGTATTTGTAATGGAAAAGAAGAATTGGCTGCAGGGCATAAACAAATATTTCTCTCTAACATCTTAGCCATTGCATTTCAAGTCTGTTGCATCATTACTTTTTAAGGTATTGATAACATATGACAGAGAGAGAATATATGGCTTTAGTTCAGTTTAAATATGATCTATACAAAGTAAAGGGTGGCTAATACAAGTTTGCAAATGACTTTCCATTCTGTTGGGTCTTGATGGATTTCCATAAAATTAGTTAGGTAGTAGAGAATATTGAGACTTGGGTTTACTTTGAAGAGAATCTAGCATTAATTACACCAGGTTTTTTAAATTAAATAGAATAAGTAATAATGAAAATCAAGTCAAATATTTCTATCTGGCAATGAAAACCAGCTACTGGATGAAGTTAATTGCTTGACCATTGTCATCACTTTCTCAACTTGTACTGAATATTGGGGGTAAATTAGTTTTAAAAGCATGTCTTTTTCTTGCTTCATTTCCATGAATCCTACATAATTTCTTTAAAGGGATATGTATGATTTAGGGGATAAAGTAATCAAATAAGGATTTGTATGTATTTCATCAATAGAAATTTCTCCAAGTTCAACTATAGTTTTCTTATCAAAAAATTACATTCACAGTTGCAAGGCAGAGGCCCACTGGAATAGTTAATAAGCACAGTCGACTTCTATATTGCTGCAGAAACTAAATACAAACTTTTCTGTGACTTACATATAGGCTCGGTAAACTTTCATCTGCTTCAGGGTCAGGGCTGATTCAATCTTAAAGCAAGTTTATGAGAGTGGCTGATGTGATACAGTTGTTTCTGGTAAAATCAGACTAGCTCTAAGGAGCCAATCTAAGTCAGTCTCTGAGTCAAATTCTATGAAAAACAGACTCCAACTCAGACACAATTGTAAACCCTAATATAATGAGGACTTGCAGCTGATTTAATCCTATTGAAAATCTTTAAGCAGCTATGGGACAAAATGGTTTCCACATTGACATCAGTGGAATGAACCTTGGATTTCATCAGTCTGAAGAGTAGTTACCCTGTACACACAGTAGCCACTTTGTAAGAATTAACATCATGGCCATTTCAAAGCAGGTTGTTGTTTCTTATGTAGAGGCATCTGTTTTGATTAAGGTCCAAGTTGCCAGAATGTGTCAGGTGTGTGTGTGTGTGTGTGTGTGTGTGTGTGTGCGTGTTTTAACTGAATTCATTACAAAAAGCAAACAAGTCAAACTTAAACTCAGAGCCTAGTATAAATCAATTAGATCCAGTCTCCTTGAACAAAAATGACCAACCTATTCCTATTCACTATATATGTGAGCAACATAGAGAAAGAACGGAACAGAGAATGAGAACTGTTTTTGAGTTAAACTATATGCAAAGTTTTGCCTGGAACTAATTATTTTTTTCATGAACTTAGAAGTCCCTGAAAATAAGCTTATGCTGTGAAATCATATATGTATAAAGGGACAAACACACACAAAAGTCTAAAGGTCAACACTGCAGATAAAATCTCAACAGGAAGGTTTTGAACTTACCTATGTGCCCATGTTGGTAGGTGGATACATATACTTTTTTTTTAGTTTATCATATTGAAATAGGCACTGATAATGATCTAGGTGTTATAGTCAGTTTAGCACTAGTCTTAGTTCCTTTTCATAATTTACAACTTAAATTAGAACAATAGACCAAACACAGACTGCAGTAAAACACAACCTTGACTGAACTATCTGCATGCTGCTTTTATTGCAGTTAGCACTTAGCAGGCAGTAGTGGCCTCATACTGTTACTTCAAAGAGCCGGAAAAGTAACTTCATGAAAGGGAAAACTTGAAACTGTAGTACTCTTTATCTTTCTGTCTGTTAAGCAGTGATGGGTATCATTAGTTCTGCTCTTTTGCATAATTACTGCAGTATTGTGAAAAACATTTTTGCCATTCAACTGGGAACAATTATATTATTTGAGATCTTGTATAGCATTTAGTTTTAGAGAAATAAAAGATAAAAAGCCCTTGTTTTCTAGCTCTGGGTATCTGTAGTAAGGTAGTGCATACAGTGCTTGTTCAAGTTTGTTTATTTTTTTCATTAAAAATAACATTAATTGGTGACACTAAAGGAGACATTTCATATTGAAGTCAATTCTTTTTGATGTGTTTTTGTTTAATGTGCTTGCTAAGATAAATTTCATCTAGCACATCACTGAGTTGAGATGGTAATTCATTAATAAAATGATAAAGGTTTATGAACCATAATATGGACATCATTGAAATTTTGAGACTTAAAAATATATTCTTATTGTTGTCTAGATTAAATTAATACAATTTTCTATTTATATAAAGCTTCCAGTGTAGATTATCTCTGTTAAAAGCATGCGACAGCCTCTCCCAACCACCCCACCCTACCTCATCCCACAAACTTCTAAAGCATAGAGCTAGAAGTATGTTTGCAAATGTTTACACAATGAGGTGCATAACTTTTTCAAGTTTGTAAAAATTCTCCTTTGTAATCTCAGTATGTGAAACCATTAAAATACTGTAACTTTTTTTACTGTATTTGTTAGATAAGATGTTAACTTTTTGGAAAATACTACTACATTATAGCAAGGGCGGTAAAATTAGGATGAAGATCACAGTTATATATAGATGTGATTGTCACTTTGATTCTGTGGTTTTACACTTGACTTTTTATAATTTATAAGATATGAAATATAATCTCATAATTGGCAAAATATATTTTGATCAAGGAAAAGGTATGACTGTTGCCTGTTGGAAATATTACTTCAGCACGGCTATTATATTACCATAATTATGATAGGAAGTTAGAAGAAATTTTGGATATGCATATGTTTGGTATATAGTAAGTTTTCTTACAAAGACAAAAAGATTAAAACACATAATTTTAATTAAAAGCCTGGAATAGATGCTGAATTTCCTTTTCTTGTCAGCCATCAAAACAAAAATTGTATTTGTTTTTGTCCTTAATAATTCTCAAAAGGTTGGTTTCCACAGGTTTTTCTTTAAAATTTTAAGCATCCATTTATTTGCAACATTTTTATTAATGAGCTGACATTTGAATATGTTCATAAAAATGTTGATATGGCTGAACAAGAAGTTTCAATCAAGCTTCCCCAAAATGCTACTGAAGAACATCTAATTAATATAACCCAAAATTAGTTTAATGCATTCCTTGGTATTGTTGCATTATTCAAATGTGGTTTTATTTACTACTCCTGAGACACTATGCCTCTTAACCAAACTCCAGAGTGAGCTGGTAAACTTACCTATCTTAATACATTGAAAAGAGGAATTAGCTACAGTTGGTTAGCTACCAGTACGGCTTTCAGCACCTTCTCCATGGTGGCTAGTATCTGTACCGTATACAGCTGTGAAAGGATGGGAAAATGCGCTGAAATGATCTAAGAAGTAAACTATCAACTTGACATGTTTTCCTAGCTATTGAAAACTGTCTCATATTGAAACCCGTTGATAGTGAAACTGTAGAATTCCACTGATTTAAGTACCATCTGGTTGTGCTCAAGGCTTTAAAGCTGTTATCTCTGCATAAAATTTCAGAGTCCTATACTTTTTTCTTCACCAAACTATCCATTTTTAAGCCACAAATATTTTTCCAGCTCTCTCAGATTTTATCTAAAAGTATATTTTAACAGCATTTAAATAGTTCTTAAACAATAACAATTTATCTTGATAGATGGCATGCTGTATTTTTTCATTTTATTTTAATTAGCCATTGTGGAACTAAATTCCCTTTTGTTTTAGTCTTTTGAATATTAATTATCATTATCATGCCAGATATCTTAAAGGTTATTTTACCAATACAGTTCCATTTAACATAACCCATATGGAATCAATATCCCAGTTTCCTAAAGTGAATGCTTGGAAAATCTTACATTCATATGTTAAGAGTACACATCCTTTCCTCATTAGTTGGAAAGTACAGGGATTTTGGCACAGGTTCTGTGTGGAAGCATTGTGCAGCTTTTATATGGATTTTGTTTTTAGCCTTTGATGACACTGTTTAGAATAGGAAGTATCTAATAAGTAAAGCATTTTGTCTCAAGTGCTGCCAGTGTGTTTAATATATGCCTGGAGGTCTGAAACATTATCTTCTTCGATACAGTAATATGCATTTAATTCTCTGAAAGCAGAAGGTCGAACTTTTGAAAGGGACGCAAAGTACATTTTCAAACAGAATAATTCAAAACATATGGAACAGAGGACCGAAGTAATGTACAGTTGGTTTTTATGGCTTAATCATGATCATGTTAATGCACACCAGTAGCTAATTAAAGAAAACTTTTATTGTTCATCTTAAATAAGTTAGGTAAAGAGTGGGAGAGCTGATGTAACAGCACTGCCCAGAGATACATGTTTCTGCTGCACCAACAGCAAGCAGATACTGCTATTTTTGACAACTTAAATTATTAGTCCCCTTGGACAATAATAAAGCACAAGTTACTTTCAGAGTTATTATATTGTGAACTCTTCGTTTTCCACAAAGGAATAGTAAATTGATGCCCAAGTTTAGGGCCCAGCACACATAATTAATTATAAAACTTTTCTTAATAGTGGACCAGATACCCTTCAATATAGTAAATCTGCAGTGGACTGGTGACAAACCAGTGGATTTTTAAATATGTCTCAAAATCATCAGCTTGTTTACTTCAGTGCTACAGATAGTTTAGAGGCTTAAAAAAAATGGAGGAAATCCTGGCTTTTAACCCAGTTTTAGGAATTTAGTTTTCTAGTACTGGGTAAGTTGTACTTTTTCTTTTCCTTCCAATGAAAGCCAGAGTCTTTCATCTCTAGGTCATTGGTTCAAATTCCATTCTGCTCAGTAGTGATTAGAATTAGTTACCATCTGACTTCTGTTCAGTAACCTTTGTGACCTGAGCTGATAGCTGCCATCCTGCCACTGCTGGTTATTTATAGCTCAAGATCACACCACTTGACATTTGCTGGAGACTAATGTAGCAGTCTCAGCACATAATATAGGCTGGATGCTAAATTTCTTTACCTTTCTCTACAGGTGGTTTGTTGTTTTATGTTAACACCTATGGGAACACTTAATCCACTTTAAAGAGGGAGAGAGTAGATTTTAAGTATAAATCTGTAAATCAGAAGTAAAAAATGCTCTATGCATAGAAACTATAGTTTCATTTAGTTAATTGTGGTTGACTTTCCTGAGTCAAAGAATGAAAATAGCTTATAAAGCTTGAGTTCTTGATTGGAGTTTGCCATGGAACTCAACCTAAAGGATTTTTTAGTTATACTGTATTTAGATATTTAGTTTGTAATGCCTCAAAATATGCTTGATTTCACATTTGACTGCTTAAGTACTTGATTTCATCACTTTTCACATGTTATGTGAGAATTCCTAGTTGGTAATATATTTGGAGGTTTATTTGAAATTTTCATAATAAGGATAACTAAAATGAAACTTATTTTGATAACAATTATCTTTATCTTACTGAATTTTTAAATATGTTCATACATTTATTCAGTCAGCACACAATTATTAAGCTTTATTATGTGATAAGCACTATAGTATGTTCTAGGAAAACTAACATGATGTTTCCTCTTACCCAAAGCCTGCTAGCTGTCTGACCTTGGAACTATTGATCAATCTCTATAAAACTCAATTTTCTCAGCTGTAAAATGGAGATAGTAGTACTCCTCCTCAAAGAATTATAATGTTAGCTTATGTAATGTGCTAACAGTGTCTGGCAAATAATAAACATACTCAGTGGTATTTTATTTTTTCTTCAATTGCTCACAATCCCTGAGACAGAATATAGTGTGAAAATTGCTATAATATTAGTTTGTTATAAAAGCATAGCAGTGGGAAGGACTAGCACCACCTGGAAGGGTTGCTGAAGTCTTCACAAAGAAGGTGAATTTTTTAACTTACCCTTTTTAGAGTGCCTACTGTGTTTGTTCAATATGTTAATTAATTTTATGCTGCAGCAACCCTATGAGTTAGGTATTAATGTCCCAATGTGAGGACACAGACGGAAGAGATAGGATTCTTTGAAGTATGATCAGCCCACAAGGTAGAGTATGCAGATCAGGAAAGACACTATGAATGACTATGTCTGGGGAAGACCTTAAGGAGTACAGTATTGAGAATTCTCCATTTACATTTCTTTATATCGTAACAATCATGTAACTCTAGTCTGCTGGGCAATTTTTTCATTTAATGTTGTATCAAAGATAAACATATCAAACATTCGTGGATTCTCTTCAGTGTGCTAGGCACTGCCCTGCTCTTCAGTGATATATAGAAGCAGAATTGTATACTCCATTCCCTCTAACAGTTCTTCACCTGGTAAAAGAGACAAACACATAACAGCTGCCCATTGTTGGATATTTACTGTAAGGCAGGCACTGTGCTGTTCATTCAGTCATTGCAGTAACTCTCTGAAGTAGGAGTTATTATCCTCATTTTACAAATGATATTATATAGCCTTAGATTTGTAATTTGTTCAGAGTCATACAATTAGAGAGTGTTGGACTTGATCCCACATCTGTGTGACTACAAAGCCTATATGTTGTCTTAACACTGTCTGATACTGTCACCACAAAACATTTTAGTAAAATATATCATATAATAGAAGTATAAGTGAACTACTAAGATCACCAAGAAGGAAAAGAGTGAGAGAACAGTTCTTGGACAAATGTCACTTATCTTGATGGATAACTAAATGTTCATCGGCTACAGCAAGCTCAGAGGGGCACTCCAAGAAAGGAAAGAGCACAGTATAGACTGCATAGTTTGAAAGAATATGGTGTCTTCAAAGGACAGAAACAAGTCCTTTTTGTTTCAAATAGCTAATGCTGGATTTCTCTAACAATGTGACTTTCTCAACAACTATAAAAACCAATTAACAAGAAATATTCTTAAAAGAATTTTAATGAGGATTACCTCACTTTCTTGACTTATTTATTCTTACATAAGTTGTTATATATATATAAGTTATTGCATATATATATATTATTATATATAAAAATATGTTTTTTTTTACCAATCAAATTAAGGAGTTTTTAAAATAATAAGCAGCTTTGGGAGGCTGAGGCAGGAGGATTGCTTGAGGCCAGGAGTTTGAGACCAGGTTGGGCTACACTATGAGACCTCATTTCTACAAAAAATGTAAAAATAAGCTAGCCATGGTGGTGCATGCCTGTAATCCTAGCTCCTCCGAAGGCTGAAATGGGAGGCTTCCTTGAGCCACCACTGAGGGGTTGTAGGCTGCAGTGAGCTATGATCACACCACTGCACTCCAACCTGGGCAACAGAACAAGACTCTCTCTTTAAAAATAGTAATAATAATAATAATAATAATAATAATAATAATAATAATAAGAAGAAGAAGAAGAAGAAGAAGAGAAAAGAAAAGAAAAGAAAAGAAAAGAAAAGAAAAGAAAAGAAAAGAAAAGAAAAGAAAAGAAGAAGAAGCAATACCCAGTTACCCAGTACTTTGGGAGACATTTTTTATCGCTGATAGTAATGTAACTTAGTGCAGCCTTTTTGGATAGATGTTTGACAATATTCAGTAACTTTAAACTTTTTCGTACCATTTGCCTAATAATTCCACTTTTTAAAAATATTTTTGTTTTTGTTTTTGTTTTTGAGATAGGGTCTCACTCTGTCACCCAGGCTGGAGTGTGGTGGCATGATCTCGGTTCGCTGCAAACACCACCTCCCAGGCTCAAGCCATCAGCTTCCTAAGTAGCTGGGACCACAGGGGCACACCACCAGGCCTGGCTAATTCTTCATATTTTTTGTAGAGATAAGGTTTTGTCATGTTGCCCAGCCTGGTCTCGAACCCCTGGTCTCAAGCAGTCTTCCCACCTCAGCCTCCCAAAGTGCTGGGATTACCAGTGTGAATCACTGCACCTGGCCTAATAATTTCACTTCTAGGAGCCTGTCTGTCCTGAGAAAATATTACTAGGTGTTTGTCAGCACTAATTGAAAACTTGAATATCCAGTTATATGGGAATGGTAGAACAAATTGTTTCTAACACTAAATGAAATGTTATGCAGCTTTAAAAATTATATTTATGAAGAGTACATTAGCATGTCAACATTTGAGTTATCAATTTGTCCCTATGGTATCATTACAACCATAAAGGGATACAAGTGAAGCAAACCTGTGCATAGGTAGGAAACAAAGACTGAAAGGAAGAGCCATGAAATATTACTATTGGTTATGTTTGGTGATAAGATGGGGTGGGGTAGTTTTTTTTACTCTTATGGATTTTTTATGGTTACCTTAATAATTCTGTTGAAAAAGCAAGTAAAATATCTAGGTGCAGAATAGCAAGTTGCAGACTGATGGTTAGGCAGTCTAAGAAAGAGGAACTGATGTTCTTGGAGCCAAATGATTATAACTCTTGCTGCCACCAAGTTGCTCTTTGTTCTATACATGGGGAGTCATTGGTGGAAAATTTTGAGAACTAGTAGCCTTTATTGCACAAAGGAATAATCTACCCTCAAGGGTTTAAATTACTTAATAACTGACTTGATTTTACTTTATCACTTATATTTGTCCTTGTTTTAAGTCCTATTGTAGTAGGAGAAAATAAACATCTTTTGAAATGGCATGCATTTATTTTAGTGTACTTTTCTTTGTCCTTCATAATTTAGGACTACTGATTTTTCCCTTTCTTACTGTCCAAAAACCTATAAATCAGTTTTATAAGAAAGGTAAGGAGTATAGCATAAACTACTTCTACGTAAAATGTAATTTCAACCACCAGTAATCATGATTTTGCAGACAGTTTATTATATTGCTTGAGAAATCACTATAAAAGTATGTATTAAAATAATTCTTTAAAGAGACATTTTAAAAGATATATGCTATTCTGTATTAATGCAAAGAAAGAAGATCTGACATTCAAAAATATATTTTAATGATGGAAATGAACATTAGATGCTTTTTCTCAAGTATTTCCTTGGCATTTTTAGGTGATTTTAGGGGTCTGGTGTAGAAAATGGGCACCTATTCTATTTTTCTGATTACTGTTTTAAGTTATACTAGACTCATTTTTAAAATTTTCTCTTTGACAACATGTTTATATAACATTGTTTATATGACACTTGGCATGTAACTAGTTTGAAATATTTTATTACTTTTTTCTTACAGATCTCTAAACAAGAACAGAAAAAAGTGGATATATTTGATGGAGGCATGGCTGAAACCTCATCTCGCTACAGTGGTGCTCAGGATAGTGGAATTGGCAGTGACAGTGTTAAAATCAGAATAGTGCAAATAGAGCAGCACAGTGGTGCCAGTCAGCATCGCATTGCCCGTCCCTCACGCCAGTCATCAATTGTAAAAAATCTAAATTTTATTCCCTTTGACATATTTATTACTGCAAGTAGAATCTCACTAATGACCTATTCCTGTATGGCCTTATCCAAATCGAAATCACAAGAACAGAAGAATAATGAAAAAACAGACAAGAGTTCATTAAATCTCCCAGAAGTTGATTCAGATGTTGCTAAGCCCAACCAGGCATGTATTTCCACGGTGACAGCAGAAGATCTCTTAAGGAGCAGCATTTCTTTTCCTTCAGGGAAAAAAATAGGGGTCCTCTCTCTTGAAAGTCTTCATGCATCCACAAGGTCATCTGCTAGACAAGCACTTGGTATAACTATTGTTCGGCAGCCTGGTCGAAGAGGAACTGGTGACTTACAGCTAGAGCCTTTTCTGTACTTTATTGTGTCCCAGCCTTCCTTGCTTCTGAGTTGTCACCACAGAAAGCAGCGAGTGGAAGTATCCATTTTTGATGCTGTGCTTAAAGGGGTGGCCTCTGATTACAAATGTATAGGTAAGAACCTTCAAACTTACTGGAGTGCTAATAATTACTATCTAATAAGTTGTATTCCCATAGTTTCCAGATTGATTAAACAGAAACAGCTGGCAGACAAAAGTCTTTTCTCTACAGAATATGGAAAGTTCATGTTCCACAGCTGAATCCTGTTTAAGTAAATGTTTGAAATGTATTGAGGTTTAGCTTAGTATTCTTACTATGCCTCTGAATATTCATTCTTTTTCCAGGAACTGAATGAATCAGGAACTCTTTCTTGACTATAGAGATGCTTAACAGTTTCCAGTGTTTGGAAAGCATAGCTCGTTTTCATATTAATGGCCCATAGGTATGCTTTCCATGTTAATGCTTCTATTCAGATTAAAAAAGAAAAGCCTTAGAAGATGAAGTTTGTTTTTGGTATTCTTTTGATGTAATCATCTTCATGCAATAGCATCGTATTAAATGTAATTGAGAAGGTTTATTAATAAAGATTATTTAAAGATTTTTGTACATCTACAGAAAATATATTGATGTTGGCTAATTTGCTCTTGCTGCCCAACCCATCCCTTCCTTATTCTAATTATAATAATTATATGAAACTTCCGAAGCTTTTTGCCTGTTGAGACTAGGAAAGTGAGCAGGGTTCAGATTTAAGACATACAAGTTATTAAGTAACAAGGGCCAGTGGAGTCAAGCAAGGTGACAGTATACCCTTTCCCTGAGTTAATGTAGATTTGGAGATTTGGCCAAAAAAAACTGGAGAGGGTAGCTGGGTCACCTAAGATTCAGTATTCAAAGAGGGCTCTAGCAAGCTCAGGAATAGTTCAGGCATTTTATTGCTTTCAGCTGGTCCCATCCAGTAGGTGGAAGCCAGCAGTGAGGCATTCAGACAATGTATCTAATCTGGAATTCAGGTTTGTTCATTCTTGCCATTAAGAAGGACCATTTTGCACAGCAGGATCCTGAAAGGTAGATGGCAGGTGTGGGAATCAGGATTCAGCCTGAGGAAATAGGATCAAAGGAGCTCTAGGCCAGGGTTTAGTGCAAGTCCCCTGCTTTAAGAAAGGGGTAACTAGCCAGTTGCTGAGGAGTAACCTAGGGTTACCCCCAGGCTGCTTGCTGGCCCTCTCTCCTGTGCAGCTCATAATGGGTCAAAAGAGCTGATTGTTAGACTCAGGAACTTTGCAAGACAGTTGTTAAACTACTAGTAGCTTAAATTGGCCATGGTGAAAGTATTTATGCCGCAGATGCTTGCAAACTCAATCATATCAGCTCTCCTACACCAAGAGCCATTTGTTAAACCCTTACCAGCAACAACTGCCTCTCTTTCTCAAATATATTCTCATTTACTGGGTGCCTGTGATATAACAGGTACTTCAGGGGCAATGAAAATGTGGGAGATGCTGGTATAGTGGAACATGTTATGTGATTCAAGAACTCATGCCTATATACCTGATACCTGCTTGCAAGTCTGCTTGGCGTTAGCCAAAACTTAAGTGCAGGATTAGGAGATGAATTCTTAATTCTCAGCCCTTCATTAAGTTCACTCAGCTACAGTCGCTCTATAGGTGGGTGGCCCGTACTAAAAATCATCAGGAGAGGCAGAGGAAAGTAGGAGGGGGAAAGGGGCCGAGAGGAACAGCTATGACCTCTTCCTAAATTTGTAGATATGCAGAGATCACAGAAGCCTCATTTTGCTTACTTCAAGCCCAACCTAAGGATACTCTGTATATAACCTCAACCTTTGAAATTGTTAAACTGAGGCAAGCCAGGGACCACAGTAATAGAAAAGAACTGCCAATGATGGACTTGTTTCCACTTTCTGAAATTGTAAGAGAAGATTGGCTTCAGTCTGTTTTATTGATATACTCCCAAATCATGTGTTTATACATTTTCATCTAAGTCTGTATTCAGCAAAGTTATAAGAGCTCATACCAAAGATAGGCATTTGAATTATAATCAATTCCTAGGTTAAAATAATAGAACACTTGTTTAAAGCGGGGAAAAAACCTTGTATGTAAACTGACGTGGAACCCAATTTTGGTACATGAAGCTAGAGTGGTGGTCATGGGCTAGATTTAATATAGGGGTGGGGGGTAAATGTAGGAGGAAAAAGGCTCACATACTTTCTAAGGAGCATTTTCTGCATAATATTCTCATGGATGCCTTTCCCTACACAGAATGCATCTACTTGAACATTTATATTATCTCAGTAGTATGACTCCTGGTTAGTAATAAGCAAAAGTTATCAATATGCATGATAATATTTCTTAAAAATGAACTTAGTGATCTAGGGAAATTTTTTTCAGAAGACCCAAAAGGAGGCAAGTAATTAAAATACAATGGCTAAAAATAAAATTCAACTAGCATTTATTGAGTGATCACCCTGTGCCAGGCATTGTCCTAACTGCTTTAACGCATTATCTCATTTCATGCTAATGACAACTCTATGGGAAATGTTCTATCTTAGAGATTAGGAAACTAAGGTTTAGAGAAGTTAAGTAACTTCCCCAAGGTCACAGACCTAGCAATAAACAGAGCTACAATTCAAAGCTAAGAAGTGTTGGACTCCTGAGTCTAGACTCTCAACCTCTATGGGTCCCCTGAAAAGAAGGATCTGAATTGGAGGTTCTCTCAGTCAGCCTCTATTGTCCCACTTCAGACCATGCAAAAGATTCCTGTCTAAGTTTTAACTGATGAATTTTTATGTTAACTGTGTCTGTGATGTGATTACACAGTACTCAGGTATGGAAAACCTGGGTTCAAATTCTGTCACTTATATGTATACCTATATCATTATGCACTTATGGAAATGAAAAGAGATAATTCATGAATAATTCTAAAGTACTTAGCATTGAGCCAGCAGGCCTAGGCCCTCAAAAATGTGTGCTGGTACTATTTTAGCTGTCAATATCATATAGTGAAAAGAATACTTAACTAGGAGGCAGAAAACCTGGGATTTTTATTCATGGCCCTGCCATCAATTAGTAAAGTGATCTTAGGCAGTTTACTCTTTGACTTTCTGTTTTCTTATCTGTAAAATGTGATGATTATAATAGATATCAACAAAGTCCATTCCAGTTCTGAAGTTTCATCATTCTGTAATTTGGAATTCTGTAATTTGGCTTTGGCTTCATGGAGTTGACATCTGTAAGGCTCTGCAGTATCAGGTAGAAATTTATTTTGATTTGTTTTGAAGATGCAGATTTCCTTTGATATTCTAGTGGAGCTCTAATTAGTTTATTCAGAGTTTTAAATATATAAGTTTTATTAAATGTTAATGAAATTATTTTTCAAAAACTGATCTGGAAATGTGTTTTATATTTGTCCACTTGAATGAATTGTCTAAGTCCCATTACCAATTTGGCTATCCAGAAACACTTTATGTAGTACTTTCTTTCCTGAAAAAAGCACTGTTCCATAACTGGTGTTTTCTGGAAGCCCCAAGATAGTAACCTTAAGGATAAGAAAAAAGAGAAAAATATAAATGGCTATAATGCTAACTTTCATGGGGAGGGAAGCAGAGAGAGCAGTAAGTTGGGGGTGGCTAGCTCCATTTCTGCATTCTAAAGTGAAGGAGTCATTGCAGTGTCTTTAAATTGGAGGGACTAAAAGAGATATTACCATGAAGCTAATGTTCTAAGAAAGGTCCAGGAAAAGTTAAAGGCATCATAAGTTAAAAGTGAAAGAAGTAACATGTCATGTGTTTCCACAGTGTTCATATGTTTTCTCTGGATATTAAAATTCTTTTTGGGTGGGCACAGTGTCTCACATTTGTAATCTCAGCACTTTGGGAGGCCAAAGTGGGTGGATCACTTGAGCTAAGGAGTCCAAGACTAGCCTAGACAACATAGTGAGACCCCATCTCTACAAAAAATTACAAAAAATTGTAATTGCCACCAGTTGCAGTGGCATGCACCTGTAGTCTGAGCTATTGAGAAGGCTGAGGTGGGAGGATCACCTGAGCCTGGGAAGTCAAGGCTGCAGTAAACCGAGATTGCATCACTGTACTGCAGCCTGGATGACAGATTGAGACCCTGTCTCAAACACAAAATAATTTATTCTTTTCTATAAGGTAACTCCAGTGGCAACTGGCCAATAGCAATTTTTGCACATATGTATGATTGTATGATTTGGTTTGGATGTTTATCCCCTCCAAATCTCATCTTGAAATGTGACTCTCAGTGTTGAAGGTAAGGCCTAGTGGGAAGTGTTTAGATTATAGGGGCAGATTCCTCATGAATGGTTTAGTACCATCCTTTTAGTGATAAGTAAGTTCTTGCTCTGGGTTCATGAAAGTTGTGGTTGTTTAAAGAATGTGGCGCCTCCCCACTACCTTGCTCCCTCTCTCCCCATGTGATGCGCTGGCTTTCCCCTTTGCTTTCTGCCGTGATCATAGCTTCCTGAGACCTCACTAGAAGCCAAGCAGATGTTAGTGCAGTGTACCGCCTGCAGAGCCATAATCCAAATATATCTTTTTTCTTTGTAAATTACTGTCTCAGGTATTCCTTTATATAATGCAAAAATAGCCTAACATAACACGCATCTCAATAATTGCCCCATTGTCACATTTCAAAAATACCTGTGAGGTTGTTATAGAGATATTGGCTTTCTGGGTTGTTTTGTTTTGAGAGGACAATAACATTTGATTATTAAAAAAAAATCCTAGCACAATGTGGCTTGTCATTGTTTATTGTTTTCTATACAAGTCATAAACCATTATTATATGTGCTCATGTTCCTTTATATAGAAATCATATAAAAAAAGGATTTTGTTTTACTCTTTAAAAAGTTTTCATGGCTGGGCGTGATTGGCTCACTTCTGTAATTCCAGCACATTGGGAGGCCGAGGTGGGCAGATCATCTGAGGTCAGGAGTTCAAGACCAGCCTGGCCAACATGGTTAAACCCCGTCTCTACAAAAATACAAAAATTAGCTGGGCATGATGGTGGGTGCCTGTAATCCCAGGTACTCAGGAGGCTGAGGCGGAAGAATCACTTAAAAAGGAAGAATCACTTGAACCTGGGAGGCAGAGGTTGCAGTGAGCCGAGATCACACCATTGCACTCCAGCCTGGGCGAGAGAGCAAGACTGTAAAAAAAAAAAAAAAAAGGTTTAATAATTTTCAGAAAAGGTAAAATCATAGTTCTTATGTAACTATAAAAAGAATATATGTCAAAGGTTTTATTTAACTAATAATTTATTTATCTCATTAATTTGTAAGAATATCACAAAAAAATTCAGGCACAGGGGACCTACACAGATAACGCTGGTTATCTCAAGAGATTTTTATTCTATAATTCATAAGGGTCTTAAAAATTGTCACTCGATCATGGGCATTATTCATTATTAAAGTATGGCTCTGGGTGATGCTTCTAGAAAGATGGAAATACTTTTGACATTAAATTATGAAGATTTGGTTTAATTTGACATATTCAGGCAACTATAATGAAGAGCCCAAAAGTGAATATTGAAAATCCTTTGAGTGTTGTAGGAATACAGTGTAATATACCAAGGTGACTACTTTAATCAGTCTGGCTTTTAAAATTACATCTTCCCTCCTGTCTTATACAATCAGCTTGACTTATTACTTCAGAAGAACATCTTATTCCTATTGTGCTTTCATTTATACAGCAGACATATTTTGGGAATATTCATTCATTCGCTGAATGTGAGCACTTGCTGTTTATCAGACATGGGCAAGACTCTGAGAAACCAGTAATAAGACTCAGTTTCTGCCTTCAGGCACCTTGCTTCATGTGATAACCATACTTATTAAGATTAATTTTGAAGGTTTAGCAGAATAAAGATCTTCATGCCATGGAGGGTTGTGAAACACTTACATTAATTAAATAAAGCCTATGACCTTTATTTAAGTTCCAGAGAAGCAATTTAGAAAAGCTAGTATCAGTTGTATGTGATGGCTTAAGAAAAACTGTTTAGATACATCTTTAAAGTTATTGATTTTTTATTAGTTGTATATTCAGCTTTAGCTGTGATTCAGAATATTTTTAAATATTTTACTTTATGAATTTGCCTTTTGGCTATATTTCTTTGTAATATATTTTAGTGGTTGCTCTGGGGTTTCCAGTATGCATGTCTAATCATTCACACTCTATTTAGAGGTAATATTTCATCACTTAAAGGAAGATGGGAGAGCTTTACAACTACATAGGTTCCTTTACTGTCTTCCATTTATAATTGTCATAAATATTACATCTATATATTCAAAACCCTACCAGATAAGATTTTAATCTTTGTTTCAGTAATCTTATATATTTTAAAGAACTGAAGAGGGGGAAAGTGGTCTTTTGTATTCCCAGCCATTTACCATGTTCAGTGCTCCTTTATCCCCAGAGCTCCAGGTTTCCCTCTGGTAGATTTTTCTTCAGCATTAGGAACCTCCTTTTGCATTTCTTTTAGAGCAGAGCTGCTAGCAATAAATACTGTTTTCCTTCATCTGCGAGTACCTTTTTTTTTTTTCTCTCATTCCTGAAGGATATTTTTGCTGGATGTAAAATTCTGGGTTGACATGTCTTCTAGCACTTTAGAGATAGTATTTCATGTTCTTCTGTCCCCTGTGGTTTCTGATGAGGAATCCATGTTCATTCCAATTACTGTTTCCATATTTGTAATGTGTTGTTTTTCTCTAGCTGTTTTCAAGACACCTGCTTATCTTTAGTTTTCTGTAGGTTGATTATTGTGTGTCTGGACTTGGTTTCTTTGATTCTATCCTGTGTGGGGTTCTCTGATCTTCTTGACTGTAAATTTATGGGTATATTGTTTTGGTTTTGTTTATCAAATTTGAGAACTTTTGGCCCTTTTTTCTTCAAATAGTCTTTCTGCACCAATCTCTTTCTCTTCTCCTTTTGGAATTCAAGTGTTAAGCTTTTTAATATTGTCCTACAAATCTCTAAGACTCTCATTTTTTTTTCCCCACTCTTCAGATTGGATAATTTCTATTAAATTTTTCACTTCTAAAATTTCCATTTGGTTCTTTTTTGTAGTTCTTATTTATCTGTTAAGAACTTATATTTCAATTCATTTCAGGTGTGTTTACCTTTACCTCATGAAATACAGTTGTAACAGCTGCTTAAAGTCTTAAATGCCTGTGTCACTGCCACCACTGTAACAGTCCCCTCTACATACACACACACACACACACACACACAGACACACACACACATTGGATATTGGGTCCACCCTCAGGGCAAAGCCAGGAGAGAGAGAAAAAAAAAGAAAAGAAAAAGCAACAAGATTTCCCCTACACTCTTAAAACCACAGGGGACTTAATTTCCAGACAATATTCCTGTTGGAGCTTTGGATGTGTCCTTACCTTCACTGTGCACCACAATATAGGGCTCACTCTCGAGTTAAACTTATAAAAGAAGACACAAAACAACATGAACTGGGAAATTCATCACAACGTCGGTTATAGCCACAAATTGGACTTTCCTCTCCAATCTGCATTGGTCTGATTTACTTTTCAGAATTCTCAGGTATTTATTTGCTTTTTGTGTCTTTTACAAGGTTTTTAATTGTAAGCAGCATGAGAGTTAGGCTGCAGTGAGGTTATTCCAGTCTGGGCTGGCACCAGAAATCCTGCCATTTAAAAATAATAATAATGTTTTCTAGTCCATTAGCCAGGACTTGGTTTTCTGGGAAACTTAATAGGGGATTTCCTCTAAAAGTGATACTTTTATATCTTTACATCTTGAGCACAGATCAGCTACATATAGCCTAATCAGTAATTACTGCTCCCAAGGAGTTGTCAGCATTAACTTGATTCTTCCCGTGTCACCAATAAGCACACACTCAGAGGGCAGCAATGGTGTTCTCTCTCTGCATTCCTCAGGGCTTTCCTTTCATATACTATCAAATCAAGTTAGCAGGGGAAAATGCTGTGAGATTCATTGCCCTTCTTGTCAACCTGCCTTCCCCAGCACATGTGACTGATATATACAATTTTAAAATATATATGTATAGTTAAATATATGTGTATACTCTGTAGTGATGTCCCTTATCCATAGGGAACATGTTTCAAGATCCCCAGTGGGGCCTCAAATTGTGGATAGTACTGACCCTTATATGTACTGTTTTTTCCTACACATACATACCTATGATAAAGTTTGATTTATACATTTGGCACAATGAGAGATTGACAACAATAATAAATAACAAAATAATACAATTACAACAATATACTGTAATAAAAGTTATGTGAATGTGGTCTCTCTTTCTCTCTCAAAATATATTTTCAGACCACAGGTAATTGCAGGTAACTGAAACCACAGATAAGGGCAGGGGATTACTGTATAAAATTGGCCCTCAGTATTCATGGGTTCCACATCTGTGGATTCAACCAACCATAGATCAAAAGTATTCCAAACAAAATTGCATCTTTACAGGACATGTACAGACTTTTTTTCTTATTATCCTCTAAACAATACAGCATAACAACTATTTACATAGCACTTATATTGTATTAGGTATTATAAGTATTCTCGAGATGATTTAAAGTATACAGTAGGATATAAATAGGCTATAATGCAAATACCAGGTCATTTTATATCAGGGACTGGGATATCTGTGGAATATGGTATCCACAGGAGGTCTTGGAACCAGTCCCCTGTGAACAACAAGGGATGACTTTAAACATATACATTTAAAAACGTATTTGAGATACTTCCCAGGATAAATAAGTGGAATCTATACCTACATCTAAATCTGTTTTACAAAGCTAAAGCAAAATTAAAAGTATGATAATTATAATTTTGAAAGTCCTATTAATAGAGTATAATTCATATTCTGCATAATTTACTGGTCCTAAATTATGCTGACTGTATCTTTAAGCTATACATAGCAATATGCTTTTCATCCTTAATTTAAAAACATTGTTTAAAAACTAAATTATCAACTTGAATTTTTAATGAATATTAATATTAATAATCTACTTCAAATGATTTTCCAAGTAGATAGTAAGTCTTTGAGTTAACTTCTTTTTAGAAATATTAGACTAATGTGGCAATAGGCTTTTCCATGCCCTTCCCACCTGGAGCAACCTCTAACAGAAATGAGATCTTCTGCCAGCACCTTTATACATAGCAGCTGTATTATTGGCAGTTCTCATTTAAATAAAGATGTATGTAGTTGTTTTTAGCATAATCGTATTAGTTGTGTTTATAAATATTTAAAAATTGGTATTTGTTTTGTTTAAGGTAATGGAGTCCAGATTTGAAATTGCCTCATGTCTTGACTATGCAGCCCAAGGCAGCCTCAAAAAGTCATTTTTCTTCTTGTTTGTTTGGGGCTTTTTTGTTTGTTTTTGAAGAAATGGCTGTGCCATCTGGTCAAATGTGAAGGGATTGAACAGTTCTGAGGGAATTTAACTAACTCCTTAGTGCAATATCTTGTTACCCATTAATGTGTGCTAGGACCTAACAAAGAAACCAACTGAAAACATTTACTTCTGCCATCTTGCAACTTATTTACCTGATTGTATCTTTTCAAACATCAACTAGACTAAAATACAGAAGTTAAAGTTTATTTGAATGTATCATACTGAAAAAGTAGGTCATAGCACACTTCTGTGTAGGATACTGTAATGTTTAAGATAGGTTATCTAATATGGGACAATTTCTGCATTTTGAAGTTTTATAAATGCCAAAGGTCTAATGAAGGGTCAAACTTGAAATATGGAGTCCTATGAGAGCTCAGGATTAGACCTCTCGGTACTAAGTTTTAATCCTGATTCTACTCCTTACAGCTGTGTGACCTTAGGCAAGTTATTTAACCTGTTTATGCCTCAGTTTCCTTGTCTATGATATGAGAATAATACTGGTAGCAGCCTCCTAGTGTTGCTATTAGGATTAAACAATGTATGCGAAGTTCTTAGCTAAGTGTATGGCACAAGGCTCAATGACTATTAATAAATATTGTTGCTTTTGTCATCATTGTTAATATCTTTAAGTGTTTTTTTAAAGTAGTGGTTGTAAATGGTAAAATAATGCATATCATTTCAATGTAATTCTAGCTATTGTGGTTTGAAAATTTTCAGTTACAGTAATTGAGGGTTTTTTTTTTATCCTTTCATGAATAGGACTGTAGAAATGTGCCAAAGACATTTGAGTAAACGAACAGTTGAAAAATCATAAAATGGCTTCTTACACCTCATAAATCATATCTTGATTTCATTTAGTTATTGTGACTTTAAGAAAAAGATTGAATTATATGCCTCTTTAGAATTAAGGTTTTTGTTAATATCCCTGGAAAGGCTTAGAATTAACCTGTGACTTTAATGTCATAATGATCACACTCTGAACATTTATCTGGAAATTTAGCTGCTGTGAACATTGCTTGCTGGCTAATAATATGAAATAAAATTATTACTTTGACAGGAATTAGCAAGAAAGTAGATCTCTTAAATGAGAGGCATTCTAGTGTATCACTCAGAGAGAAAGGTGATGAGAAGGTTAAATAAGAAATGACCCAACCAGCTGAGGGAAATAATATTATATGAGGAAGGGTATTAGAACAGAAATCAGAAATCTTGACTTTTAGCCTTGGTTCTAATGCCAAAGCTCTTTCATGCAAACAGCTAAATTTCTTGGTGCTTTAGTTTTCTAATCTCTAAAATGGTTTGATAATATCTGCTGTTAGTCAATTAATGGTTAAATCTGAGTTTCAAGTGAGGTGATATTTATGAAATTAAGTGGAAATATGAAACATTATTCAAACATAAGTTGGGACTTCAGTGATTATTAGTATTAAAAGGGAAACTTTCATTTTTAGACACGAGGAAAAGATTAGTGCCCTGGCCTTTGTGACTCCCATTGTAATCATCAACATTTACTTAAAACAAATGAAAATGGGGGGAATCATTTAAAGGCAGTGATTAGCTTTAATGTTACAAAACCCAACTTTGCTTAGAGCAGAAAAGAGGTTTACAGTTGGGATTAAGTTGATCTTCCTTGGATATGTGACTTCATTTTTTTTTTTTTTTTTCACTGAATAGCACCTTGTGCTTACTTGTGCTGAATTTTAATCAAATGTTGGCCACATTAGAATTTAATATGAAACAACCAAATTTTAATAAGAAAGAGATCAAGGACAACACAGAGCAGCACATAAAATGAATTAAAAGGAATTAATTGAATTGATATTTCACATATTATCTGCTGGTTATACTTAATATTCATTAAGTATAAAGAATACACTTCCTTCTAGCAAGATATGAAAGACTTGGTTCTAAAAGTAAGAGCAAGTGGACATTGATGGTCAAACATTCCAGCAGCCAATTTAATCCCTTCCTTTTCCTGTTACTATGGACTGCAGACCTGGGGTTTCAAACCAGGAAATCTCTTGCCCTTCCCATCACATCTTACGAGGTGCAGAGTAGGTACAGAATCGCAGAGCATGTGAAATACTGCTTATAGAGTTAGCCAAAGGTCTGGATATCCACAGGGAGATGGTGGCACTTACCTTGCATCCAGAGCAATTTGGAACTGGTTTCTTGGTTGATTTTTGCTGTCCTGACATTGGATGATGATGATGATTATTATTATTATTATTATTATATATATTTTTTTGGGACAGAGTCTTGCTCTGTCACCCAGGCTGGAGTGCAGTGGCGCGATCTCGGCTCACTGCAAGCTCTGCCTCCCGGGTTCACACCATTCTCCTGCCTCAGCCTCCCTAGTAGCTGGGACTATAGGCGCCCGCCACCACGCCCGGCTAATTTTTTGTATTTTTAGTAGAGACGGGGTTTCACTGTGTTAGCAAGGATGATCTCGATCTCCTGACCTTGTGATCCGCCCGCCTCGGCCTTCCAAAGTGCTGGGATTACAGGCGTGAGCCACCACGCCCGGCTGACACTGAATTATTATGATGTTTAATGGATCTAGATTCCTTCACAATTTAACTTGCAGGCTTTATAGAGCCTTCATGGACTACTTTTGCTTTTGTGGCTACATAAGAAAAAGAACAAATTAGCCATTTAAACTATAGATCAAAAAGTAAATATAGAAAATATATTTTCTCCAAGTAAGTATAGAAAAATGTATGAAACTCAGTAAGCTTGTAGCTTGCCTTTTACATGTCCAGTGGTCAAGAAGTGACTGTTCTGATAGTGACCTCTTATTGCAGAGGATTACACTTGAAGCCGTTGAGCATAGCCAAAACCATTCACAACTTTGGCCTCTGGCAGAGGCTGCTTGGGAGCTTTAATAACATCAATTTCATAGATAGCCACAAATAAATGTATCATACTACAAATAAATGTAGCATGATAGGAATTTCCAAAATGCTGTCCTTTAAATTCTCTGTAAGTTCTATTAAGAAACACCTTTATTTGTTCTTGGCTGGGGATAAAAGGATTAAGCCAAAAAAAAAAAAAACTGTCTAGGAACAACTTGTCTCAATGAATTGGGACACAGGAAGGGAGAGTAAGGAATCTCTAAGCACTCACCTGCTACCCTAACTCCTCTTTAGGTGTTTCCTCCTACCCTACTCTAGCTAGCTGCTTGATCATCCTTGAAACAGAAAACTCTTTGAAATAGAAGTTCTGATGTTCACTTGTAAATTATTTTGAAGTCTCATTTCAGTCCCTTCTTTGAATAAAAGTTGATACACCCAGACACCTTTGGAAAAGGAATCAGCACTCTAACTTCTAGTTTAGAAAATGGAAAGCAGTCTATTTTGGCTTGCAGATTATTTACTTCCTTGATACAACACTGAATACATAACGAAGTCCAATTACACTGGATACTTCTAAGTGCTATCTACCAGAGACAAAGAGTTTTGATACTTTTTACAATATGAATAAAGAGCACTGAATCTTAAAAAGCCAAGTGTCATAAAAATCTGTTTATTTCAAAGTAAAATATCTATTATAAAAGGGACCAGAGTGAGACTTTTAGATCAACATCATTTTCCTCTTTATTCTCCCTTCTCTTCTTCGTGTCCATAAACTGCTGTTGTGTTAAGTGCTCTCTTGGCTGTGGTAGGTGCTGCTATTTCGCATTTCACTGGTAGGAAGGCATAGGGAGTCCCGAGGAGGTGGGTTAGGATTGTAGATGGAATCAGTGGGCCCGGTTAGTGATTTGAAGTGACAGCCAGTCTTTGCCTGCTTCCTAGCCTTCCAAACCAAGGTGTCTCCATCCTTCCCATCCTCTGCCCCAGCTGGCCTTGTCAGATGCTTTTCCTCACTGTACTGTCTCCTCCCTGCTTTCAGGTGCTGTTAGGTTCCAAGCATAAAAGGTTAAAAAGAAGAAGAAGAAAAGAAGTGAATTCAATTTCAGAGTTTCATTTTGAGTTGGCTGCACTGAATCATGTTGTATTTTACACAATTCAAGTAGTAACCAAAGACATACTTAACTCTATGAATGTTTGCTAAGGGTTAAAAGAAATAGTGAGCAGCACTTCAAAAGACCACTTTTATCAGATTTACTGGAAGCCCTGCCAAACAATTAAGTGAAATGAAGGGTTTTTTCTGAAGAAGAGCAAACCTACAAACAAAACGAATGCAGTCTTAATCAAGTCTTCATGAAAGTCTTGATTCATCTGGGAACTGAGTTGGGGCTTTCTGAATCTTCTCTTTAGGTATTCCTTATGACATAATATGATGAAATTTGGAGCAGAGGATTGGGATTTTTTGGTTTTGTTTTTCTTTGAGACCTGGTCAACCCAGAAGAAAAACAATTATTACAGCTTTGTCAATACAAATGCCTTATGAAAGTGAAATCGAACTCACTCTGAACCAAATTTATGGCTGTGGGCAGTTTGTCATTTATTCTGACACATTTCCTACCTTCTGTTACTCCTCATAAGATAAGACTTTCTCCTGTTTCTTTGGCATAGGGACAGGAGCGTAAATGTGCTCATCAACATCAGCAGGAATTTATTATTTTTGAGAGATTCCTATGACTTGAATACATCCAGAAGAGGTCTGAAAGAGCTTCCAATATGAAATAGTTATCTGTTTGTCACTCCATTTATATTACATTCATAGGCTCCTTTAATCTTAGTTTATCTGGTACATTCCCCAGTGTGTTGACCCTGAAGAATGTGTAATATGAATCCTATATTGTAGACCTGATGATGGAATTAAGGAGAAGTTAAACTGAGGACAGGACAGGAAGACTAGGAGTCATGCCCCTCATTTTCTAGCCATTAGAGCATAAGGGACTAAAGGGTGACTTTTGAACTTGAGCCGTTTCTCTGGGATTCTGACACACCTTTCTGCTACTACAGCTGCTTTCAGAGTTTCATTTTGAGCTGGCTGCACTGACTCATGTTATATTTTCTATGATTTAAATGATAAACAAAGGCATACTTACCTCTATCAATGTTAATGACTACAGGCATATGCGAAGTAGAGAGTTTAGCAAAAACTGGGAAAAGGGCCACCAGCCCTATCCTGCATTCAATTTTCATTAACCATGCAACCTGTATTTTTCTGGATGTTCCTAATTTCAGTTATTCTGTTTTATCAACCCTGTAAATTCAGGCATACTTTAAAAACCCGTTATATTAATATTTTGTTGGGAAATAGTCATTTTGGATTCCTTGGATGGATTTCCTAGACTTTTACAGTTGCTTTAATTTCTAACTTCTCCTGTGCTTTCTACTATGGCCAGTTGGTTTATTGTGTCTCCTATTAAGTCATCTCCCCCTGTAATTGCCCAGAGTAGACTCCTAAGCTTGGTGCCAGATGGTCAGGTCCTCTAACTTGTGCCAAAAGAGAGGCAACTGCACAAAACCCACTTCACTTACCTTGAAAACTCTTATCTACATTATCAGACTTTGCTATTCCCCCAGTTTATACCTTGAGAGGAGGGCATCAAATACCCACTAAGTGTTTTTTCTTTTTCCCTTTAATTTTTATAAATGCTTGGTAAATAGTGCTATTTTGTCTTTAAGTCCTGAATAACTTATAAGTCAGCATATGTTTAGGATCATCCTAGAGGTGATCATTCAGCAGTACTTTAAAAATTGTGTGTGTGTGTGTGTGTGTGTGTATGCAGATAGATTTTTTACATTTGAATTTACTGAATCTGTGTCCTATTTCATTGTTTTATTCACTGATCAATATATTTTTAAGCTCTTCTCTTTTAGTATATGAGAGTCACACCATTCTCGTTATCAGTAGCATAGTATTCTATGCAGTATTTATGGTGCATTCATAGTTTATTTTATATTTATCTATAGATAGATATTTAGTTTAAATTTTCCCAAATTGTTAATATTTCAAATGATGTTGCAGTCAACTTCTTTGGACATTTACTTATATATTCTTAAGTGTTTCTTTAAGGTACAGTACTAAAGACGGCCTTCCTGATTCCAAGGACATGTACATTTATAATTTTGATAAACTTTCATTGTCAGGCTTCTCCTCTGCTCATGCAAAAATACTGCATGTACACCCTTATCAACCATCCATGGGGGAATTTGTTTCTTCTCCTTCTCCCCCAATATAAGATATTATCAATTTTTTAAATTTATGCTAATCTATGGAAGAAAAATTGTATTTCTTGTTTTAATTTATATATCCCTGATTAAGAATGAAGCTGAGCAGAGTTTTCCTATTTTTCATAAAGCAGTGCTCTCCAGGAGGATTCAACAGCTAAAGGTAAAACCAAAAGCTTAAAAATGCTTTAAGAAACTATAGGAACATATATAATTACCTAGGAATAAATTCATAAAGTAAAAGTTAACAGATTTTTTTTACCATATGTGTTTAAAAAGTATGCGTGCAAAAAGCATCAGAATACAGTTAAATGACTGCCTCTTCACGTGAGGAAGGCTTTGCTAAATAAGGCAAACAAAACACTAATACTCAGAATATATAAGGAGCTCCTACAAATCAGTAAGAAAAAGAACTCAAGAGAAAAATGTGTAAATAAATTCTTTGTAGTTGAGGAATCCTGAATGGCCAATGAATGAAAATGCTTAACCTGCTTGCTTTTTTTCCCCTGTTAACAATATAAAATAACTGTCTTATGTCAACCATATAGATCTTCTTGATTCTCTTAAACAATTATACAGATTATTTATTTATTTATTTATTTAAACATTAATCTGTTGCTGGATATGTAGGTTGTTTTCTATTTTTGCTATGATAATTCTCCAGTATGTTTATTTACACACTTACCTGACTTCTTATTTGGATTAAATTCCTACACATTAATTTCCTAGGTCAAGTGACATACACATTTAAAATCAGTTATGTATTATAAAATACTCTCCAGAAAGGAATTAATGAGAGTGGACCTCTCATCACAAACTACCAATACAGGCATTATCGGGTGTTGTTTTTTTTGTTCTTGTTGTTGTTGTTTTTGTTTTTGTTTTTATTTGAGACAGGATCACACTCTGTAGCTCAGGCTGGCGTGCAGTGGCACAATCACGGCTCACTGCAGCCTTAACCTCCCAGGCTCAGGTGATCCTCCCACATTATCCTCTCAAGTAGCTGCTACTATGGGGACTACAGGCATGGCAGGTGCCACCACGCCCAGCTAAATTTTTTTGTATTTTTTTTGTAGAGCTGGGGTTTCACCATGTCACCCAGGCTGATCTCAAACTCCTGGGTTCAAGCAATATGCTCACCTCGGCCTTCCAAAGTGCTAGGATTGCAGACCCGTTGTCAGTTTTTTTAGTCTTAGCCTATCTGATAGGTGAAAATTTCTATCTTATTTGAAGATTTGTTTCTTTAATTATTAAGATTTAGTATATTTTAATGTTTGTATTTTTAAAATGTTTATATGCCATTTGCTTTTATTGTTTTGTTTAGTAATTTTCATTTATTGCTTATTCTATCCTCCACTGGTTTTTCTGTTGGTACCTATATTGAATATGTGAACTCTTTATATATTAATGGTATCCCTTTTCTTTTACTGTCACATATGTTACAATTTCATCTTTTCTGTCATTTGACTTTTTATTCTGTTCATGGTGTTCTTTCACAAAAGTTTTGTGTGGTCATATATGTCAGCCCTTATGTTTTTTAGTTTTGGTGTCTTATTGTTATTATTGTTGATATACAATAGGATAGTTAATGCACGTTACCTCAGTATACATTATTTTGCTACTTGGAATCTATTTCTAGAAAAATGTAGAAAGTTGATTAAATATGCCACAAGGATAACCATTCTCAGCGCCATGTAAGTTTGAATATGCAGTTACTCTAACTTGTTTTACTTATCCTAAGTCTTACTTGTCAGTTTTTTATACATCATATTAACATTTCTACATCAATTTAATCATCTCTGTTCATTATTTTGTTATTTATATCACTTAAGATCTGTGTTTTCTCTATTAGATCACTGTTTTATCTCCACATTGTATTCTCTTCAAAATGAAGAGTTATGTCTCCTTGTTTAGATCTATCACGGTACCACTTACCTGATAATAACCACTTTTGATGATAGCTGTGGTGGTGGGACCCAAAATAGATGCCCAGGTCCTAGCAGGTTACATAGTTCCTACAAACTGGTTGTAGATCCTACCAGCAACAGACTTTTTAATCATCCTTTCACCAGACTTGACCATTATATTTAAAAGAGAGAATAGTACAGTGTTACTATGAAATGGATCTACTATGCATATTCTCACTGCTTTAAAAATCACTGATGATATAAAAAGAGAAGACTGCACTAGCTTAGTGTTTGATCTTGACCATATAGATCTAACGTCATGATCAATTGCTTTCAGCATTTTCTTTGAAATCACATAAGGTTCATATGTGCCAAATTTCATAAGGATCACATGATAAGGTCAAGAAATACAAATTCCAAGGCAGAATTTATATGCCCACTTCACATATGACAGCAATACTAAATAACCATATGTTGAATATAATACACTGTATGTAAATACTATTCTTGAAAGCAATCCAATCAATAAAACCTAAAATAAATAATACTTTAATAACACATTTCAAATAGACTGAAAATGGAATAGATGGACTCTATGGCAAGAACATCCCTATAAAACTGACATTCAGAGGCCATTAAAACACAGAGAGTAAAACAATCATGAAACTAAAGAAAAACTGTGAATATTTAGAAGTTTTTTAAAGCCTACTACACTGTATGCCAAGATACAGCAGTCGTTTTTATTTAAAGAGCTATTTCAATAAAAGCTGTGGATTCCTAAGTATTAAAAAGCAAATTAAGTTTACCACAACCAATAGCCAAAAATACTTTTTAAAAAATATACAATATTACCCAGAAAATTTTAAAAATACATAGTATTAAACAGAAAAAAAGTCTAAACAGAAAAAAAGTCAAAACAGAAAAAGCTCATTTTCATTATAATTAGGATTATTAAGAGACTGACCAATTTTATCAATTTAAAGAAGGTTGCAGGAAAGCTACTGAGGTTAACTTCAAAGATCTAGAAGTAAAAAGTGATTGTAATGTCAGTAAAACTCTTAAAACAGATCAAATAGCCCCTAAGTAGTACTAATCTACTGTATCTTTGAAAATGTATATGCTTTTTTTTAAAGCTGACAAGATTGTCCTTTTTTCTTTGTTTTTAATATCACATTTTAAAAAATATCCAACCATTAAACTGTAAACAGCAGCTCAGAATACATAAACTTTACCTTCCCTCATTTGTGATATGAATTCAGATTTGAACATTTTTTTCCTCTTTGTTCTGGAAAACATGGTTTTGTCATCCCACATTGTACAGTGATAGTTTATCTTTTTCAGCGCGAGTGCTTGTTTACTGTATGTGCACAAACAAATGAAACAATGAAGCTTGCAAACAGTTATTTAACCAGTTTTTCTCTCATTTATTAACTCAAACTCATATATCAAAATGAGATATTTGTGATGTAACTGATGTTTTTAATTTCAATTTTGTCACTTTAGATCCTGGGAAGACTCTGCCTGAAGCCCTTGATTATTGCACTGTTTGGCTACAGACAGTGCCTGGAGAAATAGACAGCAAAAGTGGTATTCCACCTTCCTTTATAACACTACAGATTAAAGACTTTCTGAATGGACCAGGTAAGAAAGTCATAAAATTTACATGTGTGTACATTTTTTATGTGAATATATTAGCATGTATATAGGATCTGTTAGTAATCTTGACATTCCGTGCAAAAAATGAATAGTTCATTTTTTCCCAGAGGTGTATGCTTTTCAGGCTGCCCATTTTAGAGATCAAAAGGCAAATATAAATATGCATTAAGAATTACCTTCAGTCTGACAAAAAGGTAGTTATCAATTAAAGAATAGTTGACTGGAAGCCAAAGCCCCAATATTTTATTTCTACCTTTCCTATTAATTAACTGTATGATCTTAGGTGATTGATCTAATCTTCTATACTTCAGTTTTCTTACCTGTATATGAAGAGGATAGACTAGATGGATGAATGGATAGGAAACATGATATATATATACATAAGATAGTATACATAGATAGATTAGATTTGATAGTTAAATGTACCTGTTTCACATGCTTAGCAAAGTGCTTGAAACATAGTAATTACTCAGTTTTAGATAGATACAGATATCAAAAATTTTTGAGAGCTAATTATGTCCCAGGCACTATGCATTTTAGGAGTATGTACTATAGTTATTCTTATTTTATGAATAAGGAAGCTAAGACTTAGAAAAGTGAAGTAAATTGCCTAAGGTCATAGTGACAGAGGAGCCATTCAAACCTAAGTCTTTATGACTCCAAAGACCAGAGCTTAACTTCTGTACTACACTAATTTGGGCATAACTAAAGTTTTTTTCTTTATTCCTCGATCTTCCTCCTCTGTCTTTTCTTCCTTCATCTCATGTTCTTCCCCCTCTTCTGTTATTTCTCCCTCACTTCCGTATAGTCTTAGCTATTTATTTAACAAAAATTATTACATTTCACTTTTTGTTTTGTTATTTTGTAGTTACAGTGCTTCAGAGTGTTACCCATGGAATGAGTATTAGTTTCTTCCTTAAGAATTTTATTTAATTTTATTTATTTATTTATTTATTTTTTGAGACCATCTTGCTCTGTTACCCAAGCCAAAGTACAGTCGTGCAATCATAGCTCCCTGTAGCCTCAATCTCCTGGGCTCCAGCAATTCTCCTGCTTCAGCCTCCCAAGTAGCTGGGACTACAGGTGTGTGCCACCACGCCCAACTAGTTTTTTTTATTTTTAGTAGAGATGAGGTCTCGCTATGTTGCCCAGGCTGGTCCTGAACTCCTAAACTCAAGCAATCCGCCTGCCTCAGCTTCCTAACGTGCTGGGATTACAGGTGTGAACCACTGCTCCTGGCCATTAAGAATTTAAAATAGGCTGGGCATGGTGGCTCACACCTGTAATCCCAGCATTTTGGGAGGCTAAGATAGGCAGATCACTTGAGACCAAGAATTCCACACCAGCCTAGCCAACATGGTGAAACCCTGTCTCTACTAAAAATAACAATAAAAATAAAAAATTAGCTGGCCATGGTGGCACGTACCTGTAGTTCCAGCTACTCTGGAGGCTGAGGCACAAGAATTGCTTGAACTGGGAGGCAAAGGTTGCAGTGAGATGAGATCACGCCACTGCGCTCCAGCTTGGGCAACAGAGCAAGACTCTGTCTCAAAAAAAAAGAAAAGAATTTAAAGCAATGATTTTACAACTGTCTTAAGATCTCTAGCAATACCCCGCAAGGCATGAATTTTAAGGAAGGAAAAATATTTATATATAGACTTTGTTGAGTACATGTGTTGTGGCGTGCTAGTGTACTTATGATCCATACTACAGATGGAGAAAGCCAGTCATGGATTAAACAGAGACTGAAACCATCTCCACTGACTTTGTCACTGGGGACGAATTCTTCTTCAGCATGTTTTTCTAGTGCTGGGATTGTAAAGGTGTAGAAGTATGAAGAACTATTTCTAATCTTGATAAACTCTAGATATGGTTTTAAATATATGAAGGAAAGCAAGAAACTGAAGGATAAGCAAGTCATTAAAGTGTAGGAAGAAGCCTTTGGAGTGAGGTAATAGACTGAAGAAGGTGAGTGCTAGTATTTGGTTAGTAAGCATGAAGTACCATATTTCATTCCATCTAAGCCACTAGCAATTGTAAAAAAACATTCTATATGCCACTAAAAATGAAAAAAACATATGCTCTTTACACTGTGATACAGGGCCTTTTTATTACATCAGTTTGAAGACACTTCCTGATTTCAGAGTTGTTCACACATGAAAGACTGAACACAATAGAATAGATGCAATAGGGTAAGAACACGTAATTAGTTCATGGAAGAGTGACAGGGGAAACTTGGATTTACTTATTTCTCAGTTTTAGTTTCACATTCGTTTTGTTTTTAGGCACACTTTGCTCATTTTGGCTAGAAAATTATCTTGTAGTTTACATTTGATTGATTTGTTTGTAAAACAATGGAATTTGAAAGTTGATGGTAAATTAGATACAATATTTTCAAGGCAACCAAATCAATTGAATTTTAAGAGAAATGCCAATGAATAAATGAAAAATTATGTATTTACAATTCTGGCATTTAACATGACTCAGTATTAGAAATGTGATTTTTTTTTTTTTTTTTGAGATGGAGTCTCATTCTATCACCCAGGCTGGAGTGCAGTGGTGTGATCTTGGCTCACTGCAACCTCTGTCTCCCAGGTTCAAGCGATTCTCCTGCCTCAGCCTCCTGAGTAGCTGGGACTACAGGCACGCACCATCACACCCGGCTAATTTTTGTATTTTTAGTAGAGGTTGGGTTTCAACATACTGGCCAGGCTGGTCTCTAACTCCTGACCACATGATCCGCCCACCTTGGCCTCCCAAAGTGCTGGGATTACAGGCATGAGCCACCGTGCCCAGCCAGAAATGTACTTTTTTTTTTTTTTAATCATACTTTAAGTTTTAGGGTACATTTGCACAACATGCAGGTTTGTTACATATGTATACATGTGCCGTGTTGGTGTGCTGCACCCATTAACTCGTCATTTAACATTAGATATATCTCCTAATGCTATCCCTCCCCCTGACCCCCACCCCACAACAGTCCCCGGTGTGTGATGTTCCCCTTCCTGTGTCTATGTGTTCTCACTGTTCAATTCCCACCTGTGAGTGAGAACATGCGGTGTTTGGGTTTTTCTCCTTGTGATAGTTTGCTGAGAATGATGTTTTCCAGTTTCATCCTTGTCCCTACAAAGGACATGAACTCATCCTTTTTTATGGCTGCATAGTATTCCATGGTGTATATGTGCCACATTTTCTTAATCCAGTCTATCGTTGTTGGACATTCAGGTTGGTTTCAAGTCTTTGCTATTGTGAATAGTGCCGCAATAAACATACGTGTGCATGTGTCTTTATAGCAGCATGATTTATAATCCTTTGGGTATATACCCAGTAATGGGATGGCTGGGTCAAATGGTATTTCTAGTTCTAGATCCCTGAGAAATCGCCACACTGACTTCCACAATGGTTTAACTAGTTTACAGTCCTGCCAACAGTGTAAAACTGTTCCTATTTCTCCACATCCTCTCCAGCACCTGTTGTTTCTTGACTTTTTAATGATCACCATTCTAACTGGTGTGGGATGGTATCTCATTGCGGTTTTGATTTGCATTTCTCTGATGGCCAATGATGATGAGCATTTTTTCATGTGTTTTTTGGCTACATAAATGTCTTCTTTTGAGAAGTGTCTGTTCATATCCTTCGCCCACTGTTTGATGGGGTTGTTTGTTTTTTTCTTATAAATTTGTTTGAGTTCATTGTAGATTCTGGATATTAGCCCTTTGTCAGATGAGTAGGTTGCAAAAATTTTCTCCCATTCTGTAGGTTGCCTGTTCACTCTGATGGTAGTTTCTTTTGTTGTGCAGAAGCTCTTTAGTTTAATTAGATCCCATTTGTCAATTTTGGCTTTTGTTGCCATTGCTTTTGGTGTTTTAGACATGAAGTCCTTGCCCATGCCTATGTCCTGAATGGTATTGCCTAGGTTTTCTTCTAGGGTTTTTATGGTTTTAGATCTAACATTTAAGTCTTTAATCCATCTTGAATTAATTTTTGTATAAGGTGTAAGGAAGGGATTGAGTTTCAGCTTTCCACATATGGCTAGCCAGTTTTCCCAGCACCATTTATTAAATAGGGAATCCTTTCCCCATTGCTTGTTTTTGTCAGGTTTTTCAAAGATCAGATAGTTGTAGATATGCAGCATTATTTCTGAGGGCTCTGTTCTGTTCCATTGGTCTATAGCTCTGTTTTGGTACCAGTACCATGCTGTTTTGGTTACTATAGCCTTGTAGTATAGTTTGAAGTCAGGTAGCGTGATGCCTCCAGCTTCGTTCTTTTGGCTTAGGATTGACTTGGCGATGCGGGCTCTTTTTTGGTTCCATATGAACTTTAAAGTAGTTTTTTCCAATTCTGTGAGGAAAGTCATTGGTAGCTTGATGGGGATGGCATTAAATCTATAAATTACCTTGGGCAGTATGGCCATTTTCACGATATTGATTCTTCCTACCCATGAGCATGGAATGTTCTTCCATTTGTTTGTATCCTCTTTTATTTCATTGAGCAGTGGTTTGTAGTTCTCCTTGAAGAGGTCCTTCACATCCCTTTAAGTTGGATTCCTAGGTATTTTATTCTCTTTGAAGCAATTGTGAATGGGAGTTCACTCATGATTTGGCTGTCTGTTATTGGTGTATAAGAATGCTTGTGATTTTTGCACATTGATTTTGTATCCTGAAACTTTGCTGAAGTTGCTTATCAGCTTGAGGAGATTCACAGCCGAATTCTACCAGAGGTACAAGGAGGAGCTGGTACCATTCCTTCTGAAACTATTCCAATCAGTAGAAAAACAGGGAATCCTCCGTAACTCATTTTATGAGGCCAGCATCATCCTGATACCAAAGCCTGGCAGAGACACAACCAAAAGAGAGAATTTTACACCAATATCCTTGATGAACATCGATGCAAAAATCCTCAATAAAATACTGGCAAACCGAATCCAGCAGCACATCAAAAAGCTTATCCACCATGATCAAGTGGGCTTCATCCCTGGGATGCAAGGTTGGTTCAACATACACAAATCAATAAATGTTATCCAGCATATAAACAGAACCAAAGACAAAAACCACATGATTATCTCAATAGATGCAGAAAAGGCCTTTGACAAAATTCAACAACCCTTCATGCTAAAAACTCTCAATAAATTAGGTATTGATGGGTCATATCTCAAAATAATAAGAGCTATCTATGATAAATCCACAGCCAATATCATACTGAATGGGCAAAAACTGGAAGCATTCCCTTTGAAAACGGACACAAGACACGGATGCCCCCTCTTACCACTCCTATTCAACATAGTGTTGGAAGTTCTGGCCAGGGCAATCAGGCAGGAGAAGGAAATAAAGGGTATTCAATTAGGAAAAGAGGAAGTCAAATTGTCCCTGTTTGCAGATGACATGATTGTATATCTAGAAAACCCCATCGTCTCAGCCCAGAAATGTACTTTTTACAGGAGCTGTACTTTTGTGTTTCTTAAGATACTTTTCAAAGTTAGGAATTAAATATATATAATTTCTGATTTTATGTCCATGCTGTAATAGTGATAATATATTTAGAGATTTAAACTTTTAAGTAAATGAATTGAAATAGTTATTTTACAGCAGCACTTCTCAAACTTGATTTTGCATTTGAAGCTTCCCTGGGGAGTTTGTTAAAATGCAAATGGTGATTTAATAGTTCTAGAAGGTAGGGCTTGAAAGTCATGTCTAAAAAGCTCCCAGATGAAGTAGATGCTGTTGGTCTGGGACTGTACTTTTTGTAGCAAGTTTTATATGGCTCTTATCAAACTTCTTTTTAAAAAATTATACATGACTTATCATATATGATTTTTGTTTTTAGTATCAGTCACAGTCTTTGAGAGCCAAACCACAGATATTTTGGGGAACAGGACAGGGTAATGATAAAGAAAGATGAATGGTTTTTAGAATGGTGCTTTGATTATGGAAAATCAAATATAATATCCAATGAATGATTTAAGTTCTTCAAAGTCTAAAACATTTTAAACAAAAGTACTTTTTTTATTTGAGAGAAGATTAGTTTAAATGATATATCAGCTGTGTGTGACTTCTTCTAAAACACTAACCTAACAGCCTGTAACTGTTCCAGAATTTACTAGCTTAGACAAAAATTTTCCTACTGTAAGCAATTTGTGATTTAGAGTAGATAAGTAGATGTTATTTCATAGAGTAATTATATTGTCTCACTACACAGCCAGATTGGCATGCTACTACATTAATTTAGGAATCAAATGGCTATAGAAGATAGTGAGACTTGCATACCACTAATTAAATGGGAATAACAGGACACATTAAAACAGCTTTTACCATACGAATGTATTATTTTATAGATTTTGGCAACTCAAGGAAATTTTATTTTTTCCAGCTCTTAGGGAATAGGATACTAAGAGGAATGTCATTTATGTTGAGATTGGGCAAACAAATTTCAGCTTTATAATGTTCCCAATAACATTCCCTTTCCTTGAAGAAAAAGCATTACAAAAAAATAATAAAAGCACTACAAGTAATACTTTTTGTTTTTAGGTAATGACATTGTGTTATCATTAGAAATCTTTAGCTATTATTATGTTTTAATCTGTATGCATACCTATTTAAGTATCATTCCAGAGAATGTCTTGAACTATATTAGTAATTTCCACCTATTTTTTTTCTTGTTCTTTAATGAAGGGTATAGTAACAATGAAAGTTATGACCCTGAATTAACCAGGCATGGTGATATGTGCCTGTAGTCCTTGCTACTCAGAGAGCCGAGGTGGGAGGATTGCTTGAGCCCATGAGGTCAAGGCTGAAGTGAGCTATGATCATGCTACTGCACTCCAGTTTGGGCAACAGAGTAAGACCCTGTCTCAAAAAAAAAAAAAAAAAGTTGCAACCCTTAAAGGTAGAGGGAATACTGATTATAACTGCCTAACCTTAAGCTTTCTTCAAAAAGATGTAAACTTCACAGCTTTTGAAATTTAGCCTTTTAGATGTATTTTGCAGGGATTATTTTCTCTAAACAAGGTGATACAAATGCTGCTCTTTAGCATTTGTTTTTAGAAAAATAATGTAGAGTTCTTGAGTATTCCCCTATTTCTTCTGTTCACCTAATGGTACCTTAATAGAGCAAATGGTAGGTCCCAACTTCTACATCAAAAACTCTTTCAAAGCTCTCCCAACCCCCCACCTTTTCCCCTTGTACCCATTAGCAAGGTCAGTGGCTTGGAGAAACCTGGAAAACAGCAGCTACCAGAAACCCACTAGAATAATATCTCCAGCAGGTGATAGATTAGTTGGAACAAATTGGAACCATTGCAGTTCGGCAATCCTGGTTTCTTTCAAGCTGTTTTTAAAATGTCGTCATTTTAATACACAATCTAAACCCTGCGGAACAGTCCACAGCAGGTTAATTTGAATCATATGATGTGTCACTGCCCTCAGCTGACATGAGCTCTATTCCATGTGTGAAGCCATAATAAATCCATTCCCAACCAAGGAAAATTCCCCGTGAGAAGGTGAACTAATCCAGGCCTCACACTGGCATGCTAGCCCTCCATAATTGAAAGCAGGGCCACCTGTTCCCAGCACAGTTAGCCTATAGAAAAAAATTAGCATTAGATCAGATACGTCTTATATTGAAAAATCAATCATACTTCTTGCAAATTCAAATTCATCTGTGAAGTGTTTGGTATGACATCATACAGAAATGTAGGAATGTGCCCACTTGATCCCATTTTAAAAGTTTTTTTAACCATAGGATTCCTTAACTTTGAAATGCAATTTTTTTTTAATTTAATGAGAGCTGACACATGAGAAGAAGAACTGGAAATGGTGCAGATTTTTCTAATTAACTCAGGGTTATTTGCAAAAACATTTGAGCTCTCTGGTATTTTTTTCATTGTTCTTTCACGAATTTTTGAGCCACTGTCATTGTAGCCATGAAATGACATTTAAATGACAACAAAGAACAAAAATGCCACATTGGGAAAACATTCCCAAGTCATTTATGTTTTATTATAAATTAATGCTTAGCATGTCACATTCATCATATAATTTAAATAACATGGTTATATCAAACACAAGACAATGAATGCAATTTCACATTTCTTTTAGTGTAGTATATATGGTGTCTATATTTGAAATGCATGGCCACTGGTCTTTTTCTCCTAATAGAATCACTTCTTTAGTCTCACCCTGTTTAACTCATTCATTAATTTACCTGTCTAGTTGTCAGTGTTTCTGATTTCATTCTGGCTTCTGATTGGTTTCATCTCTGGTTTTATTTGATTTTGATTTTAAGAATCTGTTGACTTGAACTGGTTATAATCCTGTTTTGAATACAGTTTTCTCCTTATATTGTATGGATTAATGTAACTATTTTATAGGTTACAATGATTTTCATTTCTACTTTAAAATAATTCCTAAACATCCTTAAATGATTGCATTTCCACAAACCTTTCTGATTTGAATGAATATTTGTACTTAAATGCTATAAAATAGTAAAAGAGTTCTTAGGTACAGTAACACAGCATTCAAATAGGTTTGTTTATATGAATATAAAGTAGAAATTTTAAGTTGTTTACCCCCAAATAGATGTATTTTTTGAGTGCTTTTGCCTTTCTTGGTTAACCCTGCTTTTATGTTATTACTGAATTTATTACTCAGTGGGGATTAACTCAGACATATCTGAAGGTAACTGATTCAGGAGGATTGAGATACCTGGAAAAGATTAATCAAATAGTGTCTCGATTTTTCTGGAGTAGAAAATGAGGAATAAATAATGTGATTTTTTAATCTTTAAAATTTTTTTCAATTGCAAATTTCAAATGGATTTTTGGTTACCTATTTCAAGCTTTATTGAGGTATAATTGACAAAAATTACAAACATTTAAGGTGTACAGTGTGGTGTTTTGATAAATGTGTCATTGAGAAATGGTTACCATATTCAAGCTAATTAATATATTTATCACCTCACATAGTTACAACTTTTTATTTGTGGTGAGAACCCATAAGATCTCCTCTTTTACCAAGTTGTAAGTATATAATACAGTAGTATTTATTAATTTTAGTCATAATGCTGTAGATTAGATCTCCAGAGCTTATACATCCTGCAAAACTGAAACTTTGTACCCATTCACCAACCTCTCCATATTGTCCCTTCCCCTAGCCCCTGGCAACAAACATTCTAATGTCTCCTTTTATAAGTTTGACATTTTTACGTTCCATATATAAGTGAAATCATGCAGTTTTTGTCTATTTCTGTTTGGTTTATTTCATTTAGCATAATATCTTCAAGTTCATCCATGTTGTCTCAAACGGCAGGATTTCAATCTTTTTAAGGAGTGAATGCTATTCTATTGTAAATATCTACCACATTTTCATCCTCTGTTCATCCACTGATGAATACTTAGGTTGATTCTACATCTTGACTATTATGAATTGTGCTGCAGTAAACATAGGAGTGCAAATATATCTCTTCGGCACACTGGTTTCATTTCCTTTGGATCTATACCCATTAGTGGGATTACTGGATCATATGGTAGTTATATTTTTAATTGATTGAGGAATCTCCATATTGTTTTCCATAATGGCTGTACCAATCTATATTCCCACCAACAATGTGCAAGGATTTCCTTTTCTCCACATCCTTGCCAACACTTGTTATGTTTTGTCTTTTTGATAATAGCCATTCTAGCAGGAATGATGTGGTCTTTCATGATTTTGATTTGTATTTCTCTGATGGTTAGTTATATTGAGCCCTTTTTCATATACCTGTTGGCCATTTGTATGTCCTCTTTTGAGAAATGTCTATTTAGGTCTTTTTCCTATTTTTAAAATTTGGTTCTTTGTCTTCTTGCTATTGTGTTGTTTGAATTTCTCATATATTTTAGACATTAACCTCTTATATAGTTTACAGATATTTTCTCCCATTCTGTAGGTTATCTCTTCATACTATTGGTTGTTTTCTTTGCTAGGCAGAAGCTTCTTAGCTTGTTGTAATCCTATTTTTGCTTTTGTTGCTGGTGCTTTTCAGATAATATCCAGAAAATCACCGTCCAGACCAATATCATAGAGCTTTTCCCCTGTGTTTTCTTCTAGTAGTTTCGTAGTTTTTGGTCTTACTACATTTAAGTCTTCAATCTATTTTGAAGCTTTTGGGTTTGTTTGTTTGTGTTTTTTGATTTTTGAGTGACGGAGTCTCACTCTGTTACCTAGGCTGGAGTGCGGTGGTGTGATCATGGCTCACTGCATCCTCTAACTCCTAGTGTCAAGGGATCCTCCTGCCTCAGCCCCCCAAGTTTAGTTGACTTTTGTACATAGTGAGAGATAAGGATCTACTTTCATTCTTCTGCATGGGCTAGCTAGCTTTCCCAACAGCATTTATTGAAGAGACCATCCTTTCCCCATTTTGTGTTCTTGACACCTTTGTTGAGAACTAATTAGCTAATACATGGATTTCTTTCTGGGTTCTCTATTCTGTTCCATTGGTTTGTGTGCCTATTTTTATGCCAGTACTATACTGTTTTGGTTATAGTTTTATAGTATATTTTTTGAAGTCAGACAGTGTGATGCTTCTAGCTTTGTTCCTTTTGCTCAAGATTGCTTTGGTTATTCAGGGTCTTTTATGGTTCCACATAAATTTCAGGATTGCTTTTTCTATTTCTGTGAAGAATGTTTTTGATACTTTGATAGCAGTTTCATTGAATCTGTAGATCAATAGCATGGGCACATCAATAGCATGAGTAGGATGGACATTTTAATAATATTAATTCTTCCAGTTCATGAACACAGGATATCTTTCCATTGATCACCGTTTTATAGTTTTCAGTGTACAGATTTTTCACATCCTTGGTTAAATGTATTCCTAAGTATTTAATAATTTTTTTAGCTATTATGAAATGAGATTGTTTTCTTAGTTTCTTCTTCAGATAGCTCTCTGTTAGTGTATAGAAATGCTATAGGTTTTTGTATGCTGATTTTTAATCACGCAAATTCACTGAATTCTAACAGTTTTTAGAATGTATTAATTCTAACAGTTTTCTGGTCAAGTTTTTAAGGTTTTCTATATATAAGAAAACCTTAAATGTTATAAGGTTATCTGTGGAGACAATTTAAATTCACCTTTTCCTATTTGGATTCCTTTTATTTCTTTCTCTTACCTAATTGCTTTGTCTAGGATTTCCAATACTATGTGGAATAAGAGTGGTGAGAATGGCCATTCTTGTAGGGTTCTAGATTTTAGAGAAAAAGCTTTCAACTTTTCCCTGTTCAATATGATGTGACCTGTGAATTTGTCACATATGGCCTTTATTGTGTTGTGGTATGTTCCTTCTATACCTAATTTTTTGAGAGTTCTTATCACGAAGGGATTTTGAATTTTGTCAAATGCTTTTTCTGCACCTGTTGAAATGATCATATGGTTTTTGTCCTACATTCTGTTAATGTGATGTATCACATTTATTGATCTGCATATGTTGATCATACCTGTGATGACACCCGCTTGATCACGAGTAGATTTTTAATGTATTTTAAATTCCGTCTACTACTATTTTGTTGAGGGTTTTTACATCTATGTTCATCCTGGATATTGGCCTGAAGTTTTCTTTTTTTAGCATGTCTTTGTCTGGTTTTCATATCAGGCTAATACTGGCTTATAGAATAAATTTGGAAATATTTCCCTCTCTTCAGTTTTTTGGAAGAGTTTGAGAAGAATTGGTGGTATTAGATATTTAAGTACTGAGTAGAATTCAGTGGTGAAGTCATTGGACCCTGGGCATTTTTTTGATGGGAGATTTTTTATTACTGATTCTATCTCCATACTCATTATTGGTTTGTTCAGGTTTTCTGTTTCTTCATTATCTATTCTTGGTACATTGTATGTGTCCCGGAATTTATCCATTAGGTTATTCAATTTGTTGGCATATAATTGTTCATGTTATTCCCTAAGGATTCTTTGTATCAGTTGTAATGTCTCCTTTTCCATCTCTGATTTTATTTATTTGAGTCTTCTCTTTTTTGTTCTTAGTCTAGCTAAAGGTTTGCCTGTTTTTTCAAAAGACTGGTTCTTTGTTTCTCTGATCTTTTCTATTATTTTTGTAGTCTCTATTTCATTTATTTCTGCTCTGATCTTTATTTTATTTCCCTCCTTCTACTAATTTGGGGCTTTGTTTGTTCTTGTTTTTCTAGTTCCTTGTGTTGTAATGTGAGATTGTTTATTTTAGCTCTTTCTTCATTTATACTGTAGGTATTTACTGCTGGAAAATTCCCCTCTTAGAACTGCTTTTGCTATATCCTTTAGGTTTAGGTATATGGAAACACCATTTCATTTGTCTCAAGAAATTTTTAAATTTTTCTTTTAATTTCTTCATTGATTCATTGATCATTCAGGAGCATGTTATTTAATTTCCATAAACTTGTGAATTTTCTGAAATTCTTCCTGTTATTGGTTGCTAGTTTTATACCATTGTTTTCAGAAAAGATACTTACTATGATTGCAGTCTTCTTAAATTTGTTAAGACTTGTGATCTGTCTTGGAGGATGTTCCATGTGCAATTAAGCAGAATGTGAATTCTGCAGCTTTTGGATGGAACATTCTGTATATGTTTGTCAGGTTCAAATGTTCTAGATTGCAGTTTAAGTCTGATGTTTCCTGTTTAATTTTCTGTCTGGATGGTCTACCCATTGCTGAAAGTAAAGTGTTAAAGTCCTCCACTATTATTAAATTGCAGTCTATCTCTCCCTTTAGATCTAGTAATATTTGCTTTATATATTTAGATGCTGCAGTGTTAGGTACCTATATACTACAATGTTATGCCGTCTTGCTGAACTAATGCCTTTGTCATTATATAGGACTTGCATTATCTCTTTTTACAGTTTTCACTTAAAGTATGATATAAGTATAGCTACTTTTACTATTTTTGGGTTTCCATTTGCATGGAATATCTTTTTTCATTCCTTCACTTTTAACCTATGTGTGTTCTTATAAGTGAATTGAGTCTCTTGTAAGCAGCATATAGTTGGGTGTGTTTTTATAATCTATTAATTTGCTCTTTCTTTTCATTGGTGAACGTAAGCCATTTACATTCAAGGTAGTTATTGAAAGGTAAGGACTAAGTACTGCCATTTTGTCAATTGTCTTCTGGTTGTCTTATGGACTCTTTGTTTCTTCCTCTCGCTGTCTTTCTTTGTGGTTAAGTAAGTTTTCTCTATTGGTATATTTTGATTTCTTGCTTTTTAATTTTTTGTGTATCTGCATGGTTATCATGAGGCATATCAAAAAATCTTATAGTTATAACAGGTTATTTTAAGCTAATAACAATTTATCTTTGATCATGTACACAAAAAACCTCTACTCTTATACTCCACTACCTCCCTCCACATTTTGAATGTTATTTAAAAATTTACATATTTGTATATTGTATATTCCTTAACAAATTAGTGTCATTAATATTTTTATCTTTGAACCTTTACACTAAAGATATAATTTACACACCACCATTACAATATTAGAATAGTCTGCATTTGATGGTATATTTTTACCAGTGAGTTTTATACTTTCAGATGTTGTTGCGTTATTATCATCCTTTTCTTTCAGCTTGAAAAAAACTCCTTAGCATTTATTGTAATGCAGGTCTGGTGGTGATTAACTCCCTCAGCTTTTGTTTGTCCAGGAAAGTTTTTATCTCTCTTTCATTAAAGGGCAGCTTTGCTAGATACAGTATTCTTGGTTTGCAGGTTAGTTAATTAGTTTGTTTTCCAGCTCTTTGAATATATCATCCCACTCTCCTCTGGCCTGTAAGATTTATTCTCTGTTGAGAAGTGTGCTGCTCAGTGTATTAGAATATCCTTCTATATTCTTTGCTTCTTTCTTCTTGCTGCTTTCAGGATCCTGTCTTTGTCTTTGATCTTTGATAGTTTGATTGTAATATGTCTTTGGGTAATCTTATTTGGATTGAATCTGATTGAAGACCTTTGAGCTTCTTGTACCTGAATATTTATATATTTCTCCAGGTTTGGAAAGGGTTCTGCTGTTCTTTATTTACATATGCTTTCTACCCCTTTATCTATCTCTATTCTCTCTTGAATACCAGTGACCAAGAATTTACCCTTTTGATGCTGTCCCATGAATCCTGTAAGCTTTCTTCGTTCCTTTACTGTGTATTTTTTGCCTGTATATTTTCAAATAATCTGCCTTTGAGTTCATAGATTGTTTCTTCTGCTTGATCAATTCTGCTGTTGATATTCTCTTTTTTATCTTTCATTTAGCTCATTGTATTTTTCAGCTGTGGGATTTCTGGGGGTTTTTCAAATTATTCTTTCAATCTCTTAAATTTCTCATTCTGGTCATTTATTGTTTTTCTTATGTTGTTGAATTGTTTATCTGTTTTCCTGAGGCTTATTGAGTTTCCTTAAAGCAATTATTTTGAATTACTTGTCAAGCAGTTCATATATCTCTATTTTTCAGGGGTCGGTCACTAGCACTCTATTTTGTTTGGTGATGTCATGTTTCTAGTTTTGTTTTTTTTTATTCTTGTGGTCATGCATCAATGTCTGGATATTGAAGAAGTAGGTTCTTATTCCAGTCTTTGCAGTCTGGCTTTGTCTGAGAATGCCCTTCAACAGTAAGCCTGTCTAGAACTTTTTGGTCATGTTGTCTGGCATTGTCCCTAAGTCCATGATTGCCACAGCCATCAAAGCTCTAGAGGGCACCCTACACCCAGGCCTGCCACACCAGCCCAACACCAGGATGGAATCCCGTGGCCACCAAGGTTGGCACAGTGCTGGGGCATACTCAAAGCCCATGGCCATTCAGGTTTGTCTGAAACCAAAGGCCTTGTAGACAGCTGGTAGTGATTCAGGCCAGTGATCAAGTCTATTTCATAGGGGCTATGGGATCCTGCCTAGCACTGGGACAGGTCAAGAGGCTCAGTACATGGGTACTGACCTAAATAAGGGGCTACAAGAGTCTGCCTGATGCTAGATTTTACTATGGCAGGCCCAGTGGTGGAGACCAAGACAAAGTCTTACATTCACTTCCTTCTAGTTCCCCCAAGCAGACGGTGTCTCTCTGAATTTGCTACTTGGGGATAGGGGAGAGTTGACACAGAGAATGTCCTTCCTACTCTCTTAAGTACATCTTTTCATATTATTATGATATAACAAGGTACTGTGATCGCTCACCTCATTTCTTTAGCTCTTGTGAAGGTATTTTCTTGTGTGAATAGTTGTTCAACATGATGTTGCTATGAGGGGATGATCGCTGAAGAGTCCTATTCCACCATCTTGCTCCACCCTCATAATATGATTTTTAAATGCAAGAAGATTCAAAGCAAAATAAAATATTTTAAGAAGCTAATTTTGGGCTGGGTGCAGAGGCTCACACCTGTAATCCCAGCACTTTGGGAGGCTGCCGTGGGTGGATCACCTGAGGTCAGGAGTTCAAGACCAGCCTGGCCAACATGGCAAAACCCCATCTCTACTAAAATGGACGTGATGGTGCATGCCTGTAATACCAGCTACTTGGGAGGCTAAGGCAGAAGAATCGCTTGAACCCAGGAGGCAGAAGGTGCAATGAGCCGAGATCGTGTCATTGCACTTCAGCCTGGGCAACAAGAACGAAACTCCATCTCAAAAAAGAAAAAAAGAAGCAGCTAATTTTAATAATTTATTTCTGTTCATCTTACCCAAAATATCATTTTTAAATCATATTTAATCCTCTGCCCCTTCTCTCTTGCCAGAAATTGGGCTAAGGCCTATACCTTAATCATGAGAGTCCTGCCTCTATCTTAATTCAATTTTACAGCCATGCTAGCAGGCTATCTTCTACATTTAAGAAATGTAAACTAGTTAATGAAACTGTAAGGACCTTGACTTTTACATTTCCTGAATTTTATGGGTTCCAATTTCCAGTGTCAGTGCTATATTATCATAGTTTGTTTTCTCTGTGATTTATCAAAATGAAACAGTAAACTTGATGTCAGAATGTCAACTACGGAATGGACCAAGAATTTTAAAATAGGGAAAAGCCTTCCATTATTTCAACTTTTGTTTTTCAACTATAACTTTTATTTTAGGAAGAAATGAGAAAAATTACCTAGCTGAAAATGGTGCCCTCAAGGGTTTACACCTCTGAACTACTTGGCTAAGTAATAGACCTCAAAGAGTCATAGAGGCTGGTTGTGCAGTTGGCAGGGAGGTAGGGGGCCAGTACTAGGTCTCATGCAGAGAAGTCAGTAGAGTCGCAGTCATTTAGATTTTTTTTTATTTCTTCATCTAGCCTAATTCTGTTAGAATTATTTCTTCTACAGAAAAGAGTGAGAGTAATTGGGAAATGTCTTCCTAGGAACATGGAGTAAGCCAAGTTAGAAGAGATAAAGAACATTTTCTGGCTTATCCTAACTCTAACTTTCCAACTTTCTGCCTGCAGTTTTTTTCCTTACTCTCCAGCCCCATGCCTTTCCATTGACACAGTCTTGAGCCTTCCTTTCTTATCCCTGTACAATAGTCTCTTTTATGCCAACAACTCCCAAATGCAGCTCTTTTGACTTAATATCTAACTCTAAGACTATTTCTACATATAGGTATTAGGTATACTTTGTTATTTAAACATGTTCACAGTAAATTAAGCCATTTTCTCTCTTCTCTCTCCTTGCTCACTTCTTCCTTTATCATAGTCTTCAAACTTTTTTTTACAACTGCTGATGATAGGAAAAATTTTCTGGTCATGTCCTCTCACAATTTACTACCATCTTCAGGCCATTCTTATTTTTATTTCAAGTCCTTCTACTTTTTTCTTTGAAATAGTCCTCAATTATGCCTGCTACTTCTCTGGTGTAGGCTTAATCCTTGATTACTTCCTCATTCTGTTTACTGGTAGCACTAACTTCAGATTCTCTTATTTACTCAATAATGCTGTCTTCTATGCCCTTACTAGATTTGCCTCCCCTGCCAAATTTATTTGAATCTTAACTACCCCCTTCCTCAGTTGATCCAGTCAAAACTCTCCTCAGCCCCCAACCCTTTGTGCACCTGTTCACTGTATTTCTTACATATAAATTGCTTATTTGGCTTAATCTGATTCTGTTTTTTTTTTTTAAGAAAAACTGTTTTGCAAGAGGTTTTGTATTGCTCTATCAGGAGGCATATAATGTCCAAAGGTCTCTCTTTTTGTGATGCTAGCACCCATTGGTGCTCAATGCCTACATTTATTGGAGGTTGTAAATAGTAATATTCTAATTCTAGCATTCCTTTTCCATATGTTAGCTGGCATACTTCTTTGAAGAGAAGCATTCCCCAACCTACTATTTGAGTATTCAGTAGTATTGCTCATTCAAAAAAGCAGGATAAATGCTTAATTCTTTCCCTTTATTTACCCCTTTTCAAAAATGAGTTCATTCTCTAGCATATTCCAATGGTGGCCAGTTAGTTGATGTTGTTTGATATTATTTTGAACTCATTATTTTTAATAATTCTCAAGTTGTCTCACCATTGGCAGTGAGAATCTCTATAAACTGGCTTCTCTATGTTTTAAACCTTGCTGTTTTCTTAGTCTGCAATTCTTACACCCTTTTTCTTTGCCCACTCTAATTCTCAGCTGCCATTAGGTTAGCCTAAGTCTTGTTTTCTTCTGGAATAGTTTCCCTTTCATTTCCATTCATGCTGATCTCTCCTTTTTCATAAGCAGATTAGTAATACCATTTTCACTAAATTTATCTCAAAACCACTTTTGGCTGTTTCTAAAAATCATGTGTGTCATCAAGGATGAGTATATGCCATCATTGAAATAGTAAAACAAACAAAGGATGACATAGGCACCAAAAAAGATACAAAATTGTTGGAGTAGTGGAATATAGTTATCCCTTATGGTTATTACTAAGAGGGAGGGAAACTTATTTTGATGAGTTTAGTTCAGTACATTTACTTTAGAAATTGGTGCAATTACCCTATAATTAGAACTTTTGTGTTGTGATTTGGGGAGGATTATGAAATTTAGAAAGTCAATGTTTGATCATAAAAATACGTTTCTGAGTAATTTTGCTAGTAGTGATGATGTCCAGATCCCAGTGATAAGTATCATGAACTGCTGCTGACTTATTCAGGTCAAGAACCTTTCATTTCATGTCTCTGAGCTTCCTCATAGCACATAAGACAGCATGTAGCCTGTTCCACTTTGTATACCATCATTAATTAAAGCACACGTCTGCCATCACTGAGGTCTTTACACTTCACACCTTCAATGAAAGCACATTAATCTCATTGTCATGGACAGCTTTCCAGGTTTTCTAGCTCTTATACCTGTGAATACTCCGTCTCCCTTGTCCACTGTCATCATGAATACCTTTACTTGAACACTATAACAAAAACCTGAATTTCAATTGCTGAATAAGAGAAAAAAATATTATGACCTAGTAATAATTTTTTACCAGAGTTATTATAATACATAAGGTCAACCTTGATTATGGGTTTGTTAGTTCTGTGTTTTGCATTTACTAAGATGGTGAATAAAAACATCATTTCTGTGTCTGTACATAGCCACCCGTGTATGCACTGAATGTTTTCTTGTAAGTCTTGCTTGTCTAAAAAATTTTTTATCTTTTGCAAATAAAATTCCACAGGAAGAAACACTTAACAAAGAAGTTTTCTTTCATAAATGTTATGATTTGAGTATAACAAGCCATATTGAATTCATTGGGTTTTTGGTAATAGATTTCATAATACATCATAAATGTAAGTAATATGATGACTAATGGGTCAAGTAAAGTTGGAACATTTTAAATGAGAAAAGAGCTGGAACAGTTCTCAGGAAACTTTTCCAGTTGATGTTTGGTCCCCCACAAGGTGTGCATTAACATAAACTTATGGGAATCACCTCTGGGGCTTGAATTCCCTCTCTGATTTCATTATTACAATGTGATACTTTTCCTTTCACTATTAAGTCATCCTCTAAGATGATAGGAGCATAAAATAAGTATAATTTATTTGCATTTGTCTAATCTTTTAACTCAATAGTCATTCCATCATTCTGTTTCCTGGTAGCTGTTCAGAAAGTTTTGAATGGTAATTAGGATCTAATAATTGGCAGGCATGGGTTTACTTAAAGATACAGAATATGTTCTGAAAATGGTGAGAAATTAGATCTGGCAGAGACATAGATGACTCAGCTGGGAGATTCTCTATTACTGCATATTCCTAAAATCAAAACTTTGAAAATAATCCATTTATTAAAGTTCAATGAGGATTATAACACAATTCTAAACTCTTAAACATAAGTATCTGATAATAATTGGAATAAAATTTATAGTAACAGTCTGTGCCTGGTTCCCTATCCAGTTATATTTCCAGTTCCTGTAAAACATTATTCTTTATAGCTCCCCCTGTGTCTCTGTTGAATAAAACTGTCCTAGTCCATTTCTTTAATGTTGTATCTTAATGATCAGATTAATATTTTTATCAATTTTTTAAAAGTATCAAAAAACAAAATGTGGCTTGCTCAATTTTTACTTTTATTTTTTAAGTTAAAAAATACCAGACACTATTTTTGCATATTTTTTTCTATTTGTAAAAATAATCTTCCTGTCATTATCAGACTGAAAATATTTGCAATGAAGACTAATTTTCTACCAAAAAACTGGCTAGATCAAGGATGTGAAAGTTCAGAGAAACATGTTGATGTACTTTATACAACAATAAACAGTGCTGTTTCACTTGTGATGGTTCTCATTCTGGTGCGTGCCTCCTGTCTTTTGGTGGACCTGGTACTTTTGAAAGGAATACCTGGTATTACAATATAGCCTAATTTCAACTGCTTTTTTGGTTCTTGGCCTATCATCTTTTCCAACTTGCCCAACTGGGACTGCCCTAGCCACTCTGTTCACACATTGCACAGAATATGTTTTGCAAGAAATGTGGCTCAGCACTGTCTCTATGTGGTCCAGTCCCTCCAGGGTGAGGGACTTTGTGGCCTACTAACGTACGTCTTGTACAGAGGTTGCACTGTATGCCCTGTATGGAAACAAATATACAAAAAACATTTGAAAAGTGAATTACTTAAATGTCTTAAATAGCAATTTGTTTCTTATTAAACCTTAACAGAATCATGTGAGTCTAGGAGTTTGAGTCTGCAGTGAGCTAGGATAGTGCCACCACACTCCAGCCTAGGCAACAGACCAAGACCCTGTCTTGAAAAATAAATAAATAAGTTAACATAGCAACTGTTTGGGAATACATATAGCTCTGCTAGATTTTCAAACGTTCTAAAAACTTTCATCAACTGCTGCTCAGTGACTGAGAGGTTGCATTTGTAATCCTTAATTACTAAATTTAAGGTAATCAAAAGAATTAAATTTTGATACATAAATAACACTTTTGACATAACCTTATAGGAAAGATAGATCAAGTGACCAAGTGTCCAAATAAGTAACTCCCTTACCAATCCACTGGTCTGAGAAAGGGTCGTCCAGAAACCAGCACCACAAAAAGTTAACATTAAAAATTCACTGTTCAAATTCACAAAACAAAATAAATCTATAAAAGATTTAAATAATTAAACTTTTCAAATGATGTTTTTTAAATCAGCCTGCAGCATTTTTATGCTGCTGAAGTTATTAAAGTTTAAAATCACACTGAGACTTTTGGGACAAACTATGAGAGACAGAGATCCAAGATTGCTTCAGATTTTTCCTAAAATATTTAGTGCTGTCCAAGCATGGTGGCTCACACTTTAATCCCAGCAATTTGGGAGGCCAAGACGGGTGGATTGCTTGAGACCAGGAGTTTGAGACCAACCTAACCAACATGGCAAAACCCCATTCTACTAAAGATACAAAAAAATTAGCCAGGCATGGTGGTGCATGCATGTAATCCCAGCTTCTGAGATTTAAAAATTAGGCTATCTAAAAATTAGATTATTTTCTCATTGCTGAGTTATAATACTTTTTTATATTTTTTTGATACAAGTCTTTTGTCAGATAAGTAATTTGCAGATATTTTCTCCCAGTACATAGCTTCTCTTTTCATTCTCTTAACACTACCCTTTACAGAGGAAAAGTTTTTAATCTGATGAAGACCAACTTATAAATTTTTAAAATATGCCTTTTTGGTATCATGTATAAGAGACTCAGTACAGAGTTTCTCTGTACTGAGCTGCCTGGAGATGGGGCTAGGGAAGGTAACATCAGCATTGTGGTGGCCACTGTGCTGAGTCATACCTGAAGCCAGCACAGCACTGGGCCTCACCCAAGGCCCGTGATAACCCCTGCCTGGCTATCCGCCTGTGTTCACTCAAGGTCCTAGGGCTCTATAACCTGCCAGGCTTGTGTCCCTCCCTATAGGACACTGAAATTTCTCCAGTCCCAGGTACGTCCAGAGATGCTGTCCAGGAGCCAGGGCCTGGAGTCAGAAACCTTAGGAATCTACTTGGTGCTCCATTCTACTGAGAATGAGCTGACACCCAAGCCACAACTCTAGGACTTGAAGATTTTCTCCTATGTTTTCTTCTTTGAAGACCTTCTAATTTTACATTTTATATTTAAATCCAGGATTCATTTTGAGTTAATTTTTATATACAGTATGAAGTTGAGTTTAAGGTACTTTTTTTTGTATACAGATATTCAACACCATCTGTAAACTACCTTTCTCCATTGAACTGTCTTTGCACCTATTTTAAAAATCAACTAATAATTCTTTGGACCCTATTTCTGGACTCTGTTCTGTTCCACTGAGGTACATATACCCTCTCCAAAACTATACTGTCTTGATCTTAATAGCTGATAGTAAGTCTTAAAATCAGGTAGTTTGAGTCCTCCAATGTTGTTATTCTTTCTCAAAAATGTTTTGGTTATTCTTGTTCCTTTGCTTTACTATGTAAATTTTAGAATCAGCTTTTCTATATTTAAAATAAATATTTCTGGGATTATTGGAATTCTGTGAAATCTACAGATCTGGGAGAAACTGATATATTTACTATGTTGTCTGCCTTCGAATTCATGAATATGGTATGTGTATGGTATGTCTCTCTATTTATGTTGGTCTTTTAAAATTTATTGTCAGCATTTTGTAGTTTTCAGCATACAGATCCTATGACCATTTGATTAGATTTATACCTGTGTTCCTTTTATTTGGATATGTTATAAATACTATCTTTTATTTTAAGGCTTTTTTGTTTTCCACCTGCATATTGTTAGTTTATAGAAACTCAATTGATTTTTGTGTGATGATCTTGTATTCTAAAACTTTGCCAAACTCACTTATTAATTCTGGGAGCTTTTCCGTAGATTCTTATTGGGTTTTCAACATGGACAATTACGTCATCTGCAAATGGGCATCGTTTTCTTTGTTATTTATGCCCTTTTATCTTGCCTTGTTGCACTGTCTATGATTTCCAATACTATGTTGAGTATGAATAATAAGAAGGGACATCCTTGCCTTGTTTCTGTTCTTAGGGGGAAAGCATTCATTTCTTCATAATTATGATGTTAGCTGTAGGCTTTTCATATATAGCCTTCATCAGGTTAAGTTTCCCTCTACCAATAGTTTGCCTAGAGTTATTATAAATGGATATTGAATTTTTCAAAAATGTTTTCTGCATCAATTGATAGTATCTTTGTTATTGTTGTAAACTGTTAATATTTTTACATTGATTGATCAAGGCTTATAGTCCTAGGACAACCCCTGTTTTAGTTGTGGTACATCATTAGTTCTGTATGCTGATGGATTTGATTTGCTACATTTTTTGAGGATTTTTATGTCTCTTCTTGAGGAATATCCATGTATATTGTTTTTTATACTTTCTCCATCTACTTTTAGTATCGGTAATGATGGTCTCATAAAATGAATTAAGAAGTATTCTCTCCTCTTCTATTTCCTGGAGGACAGGGGAATGAAGAAAAGAAAGAAGGAAAACAATAGATTTCCCTAGTCCCTCTGAGCATTAAGAGACTCCTTCACACTCCTTGAAGCCAGAAATAGAGGGCTTCTCCTTGAACTCTCTCTATCTCCACATGATATCCACTTCTGGGCTTTGGGCTGCCATTAGTCTAGGATAAGGGGGTAGGGGAGGAAAAATTAGAAACTCATCACCATTTTGGTAGTATTTTGAATTCTAGTCTTCTTCCTTAGTCTACCTGTTACCATATACTTTTCAAAATTCTCAAATAGCTGCTCTGTGTAGGTTTTATAGCTGGTTTATTGCCAGATTTTGTAACTGCATTCAGTGGAAGAGACAGGTTCCATCATTCCTAGAACTCTGAAATAATTTTTAAAAAGAAAGAGTAGGCAACTGACATCATTAGATGTTTATTTGGTTTTTGGGTTTTTTGTTTGTTTGTTTTTTGTTTTGAGACAGAGTCTTGCTCTGTCGCCCAGGCTGGAGTGCAGTGGCACGATCTTGGCTTACTGCAACCTTCACCTCCCAGGTTCAAGCAATTCTCTGCCTCAGCCTCCCAAGTAGCTGGGATTACAGGCACCTGCCACCAACCTGGCTAATTTTTTGTATTTTTAGTAGAGATGGGGTTTCCCCATCTTGGCCAGGCTGGTCTTGAACTCCTGACTTTGTGATCCACCCGCCTTGGCCTACCAAAGGGCTGGGATTACAGGTATGAGCCACCGCGCCTGGCCCCATTAGATGTTTTTAAGATATATTAGATATTTTTCCTTTCAGGAAAGAGATAAACAAAACTTCAATAAATATACCTAGGTCTTGAAACTTCATTTTAATTGCTTTTGAAACTGGAAATGCCATGTGGGCAATATGCATATGGAATTTGTATTAGTTTTCTATTGATGCATAACAAATTACGACAAATGTAGCAACACAAATTTATCATCTCACAATTCTATGGTTAGAAGTCTAGGTGAGTTCAGCTGGTTCTCTGTTCAGGGTCTCACAAAGCCAAAATCAGACTGTTAGTTGGCCTGGGTTCTAATCTGGGGGCTCCTGGAAAGAATCTACTTTCAAACTTATTCCAGTTATTCACATAATCTAGTTCCTTGTGGCTTTAATATTGAGGTCTCCAGTTCCTTATTAGCTGTTGTCCAAGGGTTGCCTTAAGCCCTAGGGACCACCCATTCATTCTCATTGTCTCCTCTGATTGTGTATTTTCAAACTCACTAATTCTTTCTTCAGCTTGATCAATTCTGCTGTTAAGAGACTCTGATGCATTCTTCAGTATATCAGTTGCATTTTTCAACTCCAGAATTTTTGCTTATTTTAAATTATTTCAATCTCTTTGTTACATTTATCTGACAGGATTCTGAATTCCTTCTCTGCATTGTTTTGAATTTTGCTGAATTTCCTCAAAAGAACTATTTTGAATTCTCTGTCTGAAAGAAAGGTCACATATCTCTATCTCTCCAGGATTAGTCTCTGGTACCTTAGTTTGTTTGGTGAGGTCATGTTTGCCTGGATGGTTTTCATGCTTGTGGATGTTCATCAGTGTCTGGGCATTGGATAGTTAGGTGTTTATTATAGTCTTCATGGTCTGGGCTTGTTTGTACCTGTCTTTCTTAGGAAGGCTTTCCAGGTATACGAAGAGACTTGGGTGTTGTGATCTAAGTTTTTGGTCACTGCAGCCATATCTGCATTAGGGGGCACCCAAAGCCCAGTAACTGTGTGGCTCTTGCAGACTCACAGTGGTGCCACCTTGATGGTCTTGGATAAGATCCAGAAGAATTCTTTGGATTACCAGGCAGAGACTCTTGTTTTCTTCCTTTGCTTTCTCCCAAACAAATAGAGTCTCTCTGTACTGAGCTGCCTGGAGCTGGGGCTAAGGAAGGTAACACAAGCACCGTGGCCACCACAATGCTGGTGGCCACTGTGCTGAGTCATACCCGAAGCCAACACAGCACTGGGCCTCACCCAAGGCTCATGATAACCCCTGCCTGGCTATCCGCCTGTGTTCACTCAAGGTCCTAGGGCTCTATAACCTGCCAGGCTTGTGTCCTTCCCTACAGGGCAGTGAAATTTCTCTTGTCCCAGGTACATCCAGAGATGCTGTCCAGGAGCCAGGGCCTGGAGTCAGAAACCTTAGGAATCTACTTGGTGCTCCATTCTACTGAGAATGAGCTGGCACCCAAGCCACACACAAGAAAAAGTCCTTCCCACTCCTCCCTCCACTTTCCACAAGCAGTGGAGTCTCTCCCCATGGCCACCACCATCCCAGGCCTGCAGCGAGTGCTACGTGGCTACCACAGATGTTCCCACAAGGTCCAAGGGCTCTTCAGTCAACTTGTGGTGAATGCTGCCAGGCCTGAGACTCTCCTCAAGGCAATGAGCTCCCCTCTGGCCCAGGGCAGCCCAGAAATGAAATGCCATCCAAGAACCAAGGCCTGGAATTGGGAATCCCAAGAACCCACTTGGTGCTCTTTCCCACTGTGGGCTAGCTGGTACCTAAGCTGCAAGACAAACTACCCTTCACTTTTCTATCTCCTTTTCTCAAGCAGGAATCCCTCCCTATAGCCATCACAGCTGGGAATGTGCTGGGTCACAGCTCAAACCAGCATATCTTTGAGTGTCTCACCCAGGGCCCATGGTGAGTATTGCCTGGGTGCTACTGCTAATTATTTAAGGCCTAATGGCTCTTCAGTCAGCAGGTGATGAATCCTGCAAGGACTGGGTCCTTCTCATCAAGGCACGGTTCCCTTCTGGCCCAAGGTGTGTCTACAAATGTCATTTGGGAGCTAGGGACTAGAATGGAGGCCTCAGGACTCTGCCTGGTGCCTTATCCTGCTGTGGCTGAGCTGGTATCCAAGCTGCAAGACAAAGTCCCCTTTACTCTCCCTCTCCTCTCCCAGAGCTGCGAGCTGTGCTGCCTGGATTGGAGGAGGGGTGGCACAAGCACTCCCTTAGCTGCCCCATCTGGTGTCTGACTGGATTGCATGCCCCCCAAGTTCACTGGCTCCTAGCCCAGCACAGAACCAGGACTTAACCCAGAATTGCAGTTCTTGTGGCCTAGACTGCCTTTCAGGTTTATTTAGGACCCCAGAGCACTTTAGCCTGCAGTGGCAAGGCTTGCCAGAACTCAGGTTCTGCCCACAGGATGGTTCTCCTGTGGCTAGGGATGGTCTAAATACTCCCTCTGTGGGTACCAGCTGAGCTCTGCCTGGTATTGATTTCCACTGTAACAGGGCAGCATGAGTTCCAATGCCAAGTCCCACAATCACTACTCTCTCCCGCCCACAAATGCACAGATTCTCTCTCTGTGCCACACAGCCACCCTTGCGGAGATGGAATAGGGTTGGCATCCACAGTTCAAGACTGTCTTTCCTACCGTCTTCAGTACCTCTTTCAGTGATACAAAGTTAAAAACAGGTACGGTGATTGCTTACCTGACTTTTGGTTCTTGTTAAGTTCCTTTTTTTTTTATGGATAATTGTTCATTTTGGTGTTGCTGTGAGCAGGGTGATTGGTGGAGGCTTCTATCCAGCTGTCTTGCTCTGCCTCCCTCTTGGCCTAGCCTTGTGAATGAACTTCTTGGAGAAAATGCTGAAGCAGTATCCCAATGATTAAACTGGCAAAGAAAGGGTACATTAGATAAAGGGAACAATATGAACAAGGCCTAGTGATATAACAGCATGGGTTGGGGGAAGTGGGCTCTGCAAACTCAGATATTATAAGGAAAGGCAAGAACTCTTTCTTGCTTCCTTGCTTGCTTTTTTTTTTTTTTTTTTTTATCTGAGGAGCTTGTTCTTTTGTTTCTTAGGTAAGGAGGAGGCAATAAAGAGTTTTAAACAGGAGTGAGCCACTCAGAATTGCATTTAAAACAAATTATTTGGAAATCACTCTGTGGAGACTAGATTAAATCTAAAGACAATTGGTCTAGACAGGGGAACCATTTAGGAGGCTTTATAATAACTGAACGATATCAAAAACATGGTGGAGGAAAATAGGGACTGGATGGAATGCTGGAGAGAAGGGGATTGGAATCAAGCAATGTTTTGGAACTAAAATTGACAGAACTTAATCAGTTTTTGGCTTGGGACCAGATAAAGAGGGAATGAAATGAGGAGTCAAAAAGTCAGATTTCTGACTAAAGCCACTTGGTGGATTATAGAACCATTAACTAAGACAGGGAATACAGCATGTCTGAGAGGAGTTAATGGATTGCTTGGATAAATTAATTTGACGAGCCTGTGAGAGTTCAGGAGAAAATGGCGACAGACTTGCATTCACTCATATTTTCTTCATTACATCATTAAACATTGTGGGGCCATAGGCTTTTGGCCCCCTAAAGGTTATCTGAAAATCACTGACATGTGGCAGATTGATTAATAGAAAAGCCATACAAATGTATGTAATGTATATACATGGGAGCCTTCAGCGTGAACATCCAGCATCCCAACAAGGTACAGAAGCTTATATATCATCTCGAGGTCACAGAAAGAATGAGGCTTGGATCCTGGTAAAACAGGTTATGGGAAGGGATAGAACAGAAATTCTATTGAGGGGCAATAAATGATTACTAGGGAGAATGACTGGATCAGAGAGCAGAGAATAACTTGTAAATAGTTATCTTTGTAACTTAAATGACCTTGGGATAGTCACTATCTTGAAAAAGGGACTGTTCAGGTGTGGTTACATTTTTGGTCTTCTTTCCGGTAAAGAATAATGAGATAATAAAGAGGGGAACAAGAACAATTGTTCTCCTTGGTGGGGCGGTTTCATCTTTATATAGATAGCAGAAATGTCTCTTCTAGTACTTGTTAATCTCTAAGAGTTTTTAATTTAAAATACTCATCACAACTGGGAACCATATTTTGAAATGAAATATTTTTACCTCCTTCAGCATTCAGTTAGTACTTCCTGTAGATCAAACAGTAGTTTAGGTATTTAGAATATTAAAATATAGGACAGTCCAGGAGCTCACAGCTCACTGAACTATGACAGATACCTAAGTAGGTAACTACAAAAATAATATCAGTAGGTGCCTGGTAATGGCAAAATGCACAGGATATTCCAAAAGTAATGATGAGAGGCACCTCACTCATCAACAAGGGTCAAGAAGGGTGTGCTGGCCAAAGTGATCCAAAGTCTGAGTCTCAAAAAAAAAGTTAGCGCTTGGCACAGTGGTGCACACCTGTAGTCCCAGCTACTTAGGAGGCTGAGGCGGGAGGATCACTTGAGCCTGGGAGTTTGAGGCCAACCTGGGCAACATAATGGGATCCAATCTATTGAAAAAAGAGAAAGACAAGTTAAGCAAGCAGCCAGAGTTATAAATAGTTTTTTTCTGTGTCCCTGGGACCACAATGGTGCCTGAGATATGAGGGTAGCAATCAGCAGCTTTAGTATTTACCTCTCTATGGATGCTTTGCCAGTCTGCAGTCAGGGAAAATGGATCCCTTAGGTTCAGCAGTTGGTTTATGTGGATATTTGGGCAACCTCCTGGGTAGGTTACTAAATTGTTTCTACAGAATGAGTACTTCTGACCCTTCTTTAGTTTTCATTTTATACACCCAAGAAAAAGACAGTTTCAGGATCGAACATCTGAGTCTTCTTTCTACTTTAGCTTTGTTTTGTTTTTGTTCTAATGATCATCTGTTAAAATTGCACCTTTTTTTTATTGTTGTTAAAGGTATTATTTTCTGTGAGGTCATAGAATTTGGAAGCCCACATACAGGGATGCAGAGGCAAATGTGTGAGTCATTTTAGCCATCCAATTTATCTAAAATATTTTTCCCACCAGCCTCTTCCAGTACCCCAAATTCTACAAGTCAAAAATAAAAATAATGCCTTTCAACAAATGTTGCTGACATAACTAGATATCCACACATAAAAGAATGAAGTTGAACCCCTACCTCATACAGTATACACACAGCACTAATTCAGGAAAGATCGTAGACTTACATTTAAGAGATAAAACTGTAAAACTCTTAAAAGAAGACATAGGTGTAAATCTTTGTGACTTTGGGTTAAACAATGGTTTCTTGGTATGACACCAAAAGCACAAGCAAAATAACAAACATATTGGACTTTGCAAAAATTAAACTGTTTTGTGCTGCAAAAAAGTGAAGATAATCCACAGAATGGGAGAAAATATTTGCAAATCATATATCTGATACAATATTTGCAAAGTATATATCTGATATGATATATCTGATATTTGCAAATCATGTATCTATATATATCAAATATAATAATCTTATATTTTATATCCAAAATATAAAAAGAACTCCTACAATTCAATAATAAAAGGACAAATAACCAAATTTAAAAATGAGCAAAGGGTTTGAATAGATATTTCTCCAAGAATATATACAGTCAATAAGCACATGAAAAAATGCTGAACATCATTAGTAATTAGGGAAATACAAATCAAAATCACAATGGGATAGTCCTTCACGCTCACTAGGATAACTGCAGTCAAATATGTCTTAGCAGTTCCACTGCTACGTACATATTTCAGAAAATTAAAAAGCAAATTTGCACACACATATTCATAGCAGCATTATTCATCATCACCAAAAACTGGAAACAACCCAAATGTTTATTAACTGATAATGGATAAGCAGAATGTGATATATGCTTATGTTGTAATACTGTTCAGCCACAAAATGGAATGAAGTATTGATACATGTTTCAACATGGATGAACCTTGGAAGCATTATGCTATATGAAGGAAACCGGGTACAAAAATCACATATTATATGATTCCATTTCTATGAAATGTCCTGAATAGGCAAATCTATAGAGACAGAAAGAAAATTAGTGGTTTCTTGGGGCTGGAGGGGAGCATGAGTGAGGAGTGACTGCTCAGTAGTATGGGATACTGTGTGTGTGTGTGTGTGTGTGTGTGTTGATTATGATGTTCTGGGATTAGACAGTGGTGATGGTTGCACAAACTTGTGTATACTAAAAACAATAAATTGTATGCTATTGAAAGGTAATTTTTGTGGCATGTGAGTTATATGTCAATAAGGTGTTTTAAAAAATAATTCCTTTACATTAAGGTGTTTTTCCTGTTTAAAAACATGGGGAGAAAGGAACATTTTAGTATTGTGCACGGGTGACTCAAGTTTCTGACCCTTTCCAATGCACAACTAGCTGTAAACAAGACTCAGAGTTTTGTTAGGCCTGATAAGAAAATACAGTGTCAGCCGCTGCAAAATCATGCCAAAATGTAAAGACCATCGAGACTAGGAAGAAACTGCATCAACTAACGAGCAAAATCACCAGCTAACATCATAATGACAGGATCAAATTCACACATAACAATATTAACTTTAAATGTAAATGGACTAAATGCTCCAATTAAAAGACACAGACTGGCAAGTTGGATAAAGAGTCAAGACCCATCAGTGTGCTGTATTCAGGAAACCCATCTCACATGCAGAGACACACATAGGCTCAAAATAAAAGGATGGAGGAAGATCTACCAAGCAAATGGAAAACAAAAAAAGGCAGGGGTTGCAATCCTAGTCTCTGATAAAACAGACTTTAAACCAACAAAGATCAAAAGAGACAAAGAAGGCCATTACAGAATGGTAAAGGGATCAATTCAACAAGAGGAGCTAACTACCCTAAATATATATGCACCCAATACAGGAGCACCCAGATTCATAAAGCAAGTCCTGAGTGACCTACAAAGAGACTTAGACTCCCACACATTAATAATGGGAGACTTTAACACCCCACTGTCAACATTAGACAGATCAACGAGACAGAAAGTCAACAAGGATACCCAGGAATTGAACTCAGCTGTGCACCAAGCGGACCTAATAGACATCTACAGAACTCTCCACCCCAAATCAACAGAATATACATTTTTTTCAGCACCACACCACACCTATTCCAAAATTGACCACATAGTTGGAAGTAAAACTCTCCTCAGCAAATGTAAAAGAACAGAAATTATAACAAACTATCTCTCAGACCACAGTGCAATCAAACTAGAACTCAGGATTAAGAATCTCACTCAAAGCCGCTCAACTACATGGAAACTGAACAACCTGCTCCTGAATGACTACTGGGTACATAACGAAATGAAGGCAGAAATAAAGATGTTCTTTGAAACCAGTGAGAACAAAGACACAACATACCAGAATCTCTGGGACGCATTCAAAGCAGTGTGTAGAGGGAAATTTATAGCACTAAATGCCCACAAGAGAAAGCAGGAAAGATCCAAAATTGACACCCTAACATCACAATTAAAAGAACTAGAAAAGCAAGAGCAAACACATTCAAAAGCTAGCAGAAGGCAAGAAATAACTAAAATCAGAGCAGAACTGAAGGAAATAGAGAAACAAAAAAACCCTTCAAAAAATCAATGAATCCAGGAGCTGGTTTTTTGAAAGGATCAACAAAATTGATAGACCGCTAGCAAGACTTATAAAGAAAAAAAGAGAGAAGAATCAAATAGACACAATAAAAAATGATAAAGGGGATATCACCACCGATCCCACAGAAATACAAACTACCATCAGAGAATACTACAAACACCTCTACACAAATAAACTAGAAAATCTAGAAGAAATGGATACATTCCTTGACACATACACTCTCCCAAGACTAAACCAGGAAGAAGTTGAATCTCTGAATAGACCAATAACAGGCTCTGAAATTGTGGCAATAATCAATAGTTTACCAACCAAAAAGAGTCCAGGACCAGATGGATTCACAGCCGAATTCTACCAGAGGTACAAGGAGGAACTGGTACCATTCCTTCTGAAACTATTCCAATCAATAGAAAAACAGGGAATCCTCCCTATCTCATTTTATGAGGCCAACATCATTCTGATACCAAAGCCGGGCAGAGACACAACCAAAAAAGAGAATTTTAGACCAATATCCTTGATGAACATTGATGCAAAAATCCTCAGTAAAATACTGGCAAACCGAATCCAGCAGCACATCAAAAAGCTTATCCACCATGATCAAGTGGGCATCATCCCTGGGATGCAAGGCTGGTTCAATATATGCAAATCAATAAATGTAATCCAGCATATAAACAGAGCCAAAGACAAAAACCACATGATTATCTCAATAGATGCAGAAAAAGCCTTTGACAAAATTCAACAACCCTTCATGCTAAAAACTCTCAATAAATTAGGTATTGATGGGACGTATTTCAAAATAATAAGAGCTATCTATGACAAACCCACAGCCAATATCATACTGAATGGGCAAAAACTGGAAGCATTCCCTTTGAAAACTGGCACAAGACAGGGATGCCCTCTCTCACCGCTCCTATTCAACATAGTGTTGGAAGTTCTGGCCAGGGCAATCAGGCAGGAGAAGGAAATAAAAGGTATTCAATTAGGAAAAGAGGAAGTCAAATTGTCCCTGTTTGCAGACGACATGATTGTTTATCTAGAAAACCCCATCGTCTCAGCCCCAAATCTCCTTAAGCTGATAAGCAACTTCAGCAAAGTCTCAGGATACAAAATGAATGTACAAAAATCACAAGCATTCTTATACACCAACAACAGACAAACAGAGAGCCAAATCATGAGTGAACTCCCATTCACAATTGCTTCAAAGAGAATAAAATACCTAGGAATCCAACTTACAAGGGATGTGAAGGACCTCTTCAAGGAGAACTACAAACCACTGCTCAATGAAATAAAAGAGGATACAAACAAATGGAAGAACATTCCATGCTCATGGGTAGGAAGAATCAATATTGTGAAAATGGCCATACTGCCCAAGGTAATTTACAGATTCAATGCCATCCCCATCAAGCTACCAATGACTTTCTTCACAGAATTGGAAAAAACTACTTTAAAGTTCATATGGAACCAAAAAAGAGCCCGCATCGCCAAGTCAATCCTAAGCCAAAAGAACAAAGCTGGAGGCATCACACTACCTGACTTCAAACTATACTACAAGGCTACAGTAACCAAAACAGCATGGTACTGGTACCAAAACAGAGATATAGATCAATGGAACAGAACAGAGCCCTCAGAAATAACGCCGCATACCTACAACTATCTGATCTTTGACAAACCTGAGAAAAACAAGCAATGGGGAAAGGATTCCCTATTTAATAAATGGTGCTGGGAAAACTGGCTAGCCATATGTAGAAAGCTGAAACTGGATCCCTTCCTTACACCTTATACAAAAATCAATTCAAGATGGATTAAAGATTTAAACGTTAGACCTAAAACCATAAAAACCCTAGAAGAAAACCTAGGCATTACCATTCAGGACATAGGCGTGGGCAAGGACTTCATGTCCAAAACACCAAAAGCAATGGCAACAAAAGCCAAAATTGACAAATGGGATCTAATTAAACTAAAGAGCTTCTGCACAGCAAAAGAAACCACCATCAGAGTGAACAGGCAACCTACAACATGGGAGAAAATTTTCACCACCTACTCATCTGACAAAGGGCTAATATCCAGAATCTACAATGAATTCAAACAAATTTACAAGAAAAAAACAAACAACCCCATCAAAAAGTGGGCAAAGGACATGAACAGACACTTCTCAAAAGAAGACACTTATGCAGCCAAAAAACACATGAAAAAATGCTCATCATCACTGGCCATCAGAGAAATGCAAATCAAAACCACTATGAGATATCATCTCACACCAGTTAGAATGGCAATCATTAAAAAGTCAGGAAACAACAGGTGCTGGAGAGGATGTGGAGAAATAGGAACACTTTTACACTGTTGGTGGGACTGTAAACTAGTTCAACCATTGTGGAAGTCAGTGTGGCGATTCCTCAGGGATCTAAAACTAGAAATACCATTTGACCCAGCCATCCCATTACTGGGTATATACCCAAAGGATTATAAATCATGCTGCTATAAAGACACATGCACACGTATGTTTATTGCGGCATTATTCACAATAGCAAAGACTTGGAACCAACCCAAATGTCCAACAACGATAGACTGGATTAAGAAAATGTGGCACATATACACCATGGAATACTATGCAGCCATAAAAAATGATGAGTTCATGTCCTTTGTAGGGACATGGATGAAACTGGAAAACATCATTCTCAGTAAACTATCGCAAGAACAAAAAACCAAACACCGCATATTCTCACTCATAGGTGGGAATTGAACAATGAGATCACATGGACACAGGAAGGGGAATATCACACTCTGGGGACTGTGGTGGGGTGGGGGGAGGGGGGAGGGATAGCACTGGGAGATATACCTAATGCTAGATGACGAGTTAGTGGGTGCAGCGCACCAGCATGGCACATGTATACATATGTAACTAACCTGCACAATGTGCACATGTACCCTAAAACTTAAAGTATAATAAAAAAAAAAAAAACTCCATACCAAGAAAAAAAAAAAAAGAAAATACAGTGTCCCCACATGAAGGAAGGAACACTTACAAGGGATGGGACCCTGAGAGAGCCTGGGTATCCAGGAGCGAAGCCAAAGATCCTGATGTCTGAGGAAGGTGAGAAGGGGCCCTGCTCATGAAGATGTAGAATATTAAGTATGAGTGAATGCTGTAATCAATCATGAAGCCTTGATGAGAACTTCTGGGTAGTCCACCCAGAAGTCCAACTGCTGCTTGTCTCACCTGTGCCAACATCCTGGGGTTGAGGAGTGGAGCAAATGTTCCATTTGGCTGTTGCACTCCGGTCCACCCCGTGTACCCTTCCTTCAGAGGCGATCGCCATGGCTGTTAGGCCTTGAGGCAGAAGTGCCCACGCACGGTGGCGAGAGTGCCATGGACCTCTGCCACAGTGGATTTTATGGTTGCGGGACCTCGGTGCCTTCCTGTGCACAGCTGGCACTCTTCACGCCGTGTCTCTGATGACTTGGTAGTAGAGAAGTCCCTCAAGTCCTTCAAGGACAAGAACAAGAAGCTTGAGGAAGGCGGCCAAGTGTACACCCCCACCCCACAGAGGTGGTGGTGAATAAGTCGCTCGGGCAGAGGGAGCTGGATGAGCTGAAGCGCTACTGCCTTGGCTTCTGCCTGCTGTGGATCCATGCCAAGATCGTGGTGCTCATGCTGTGGCACATCCTTGACAGCCACACCCTGACCAGGCAAAGCGCAGGCAGTTTCTCCGGATCCGCGCCGACCTCCTCCGCTTGGTGCCGTTCCTTGTGTTCGTGGTTGTCCAGTTCATGGAATTCCTGCCGCCCGTGACCATGAAGCTCTTCCCCAGCATGCCAGCATCCACGTTTGAGACCCAGTCCATCAAGGAGGAGAGCCTGAAGGAGCTTCGGGTCAACCTGGAGCTGGCAGAGTTCCTCCAGGACACCATCGAGGAGAGGACCTTGAAGAACATAGCAGCCAAGGGCAGTGCCACCAGACTTCTCCGTTTTCCCAGAAGATCCGGGGGATGGGGGAGAGACCCAGCAATGAGGAAATCATGCGTTTTTCCAAATTATTTGAGAATGAGCTGACCCTGGACAACCTGTCACGGCCGCAGCTGGTGGCGCCGTGCAAGCTGCTGGAGCTGCAGTCCATCGGCATCAACAACTTCTGCGGTTCCAGCTCACCATGTGACTGCGCTCCATAAAGGCCAATGATAAGCTGATTGCTGAGGAGGGGTGGACAACCTGAACGTCAAGGGGCTGCAGCCGGCGTGTGGGAAGTGAGGTATGTGGGCCCTCCGCCTCAGCTGAAGCAGTGTCTGGACCTGCACCTGCATCAGGAGATTCCCATATCGCTACTCATCCTGTCCCAGACGATGTACCTCCCAGAAACTCTTGCCAGCTGACCAGCTCAAGTCCATACTGCAGACTCTCCCAGAGATTGTGGCAAAGGAAGAGCAGGTGAAAGTGGCTGAGGTGGAGGGTGGGCAAGTGCACAAGGTAAAGCTGGAGGTCACGCTGCAGGAGGAGGCAGCCATCCAGCAGGAGCACCACAAGGAGCTGCAGAAGCGCTCGGAGTTGGAGAAGGATGTCGCGCCCGAAGGTGTGGAAGCCACCCCTCGAAGGCCAGGGGCCTAACCTCAGCCAGAAGTGCCTGAAGCAGTCCTGTGGTCAGAGACCCTGAAGGACACTGCCCCCTGCTAGAGAGCTTGAAGGAGAAGGAGATAACTAAGGAGGAAATCGACATCCTCAGCGATGCCTGCTCTAAGCTGAAGGAGCAGAAGTCGCTCACCAAAGAGAAGGAGGAGCTGGAGCTGCTGAAGGAGGACGTGCAGGACTACAGCGAGAACATGCAAGAGATCAAGAAGGAACTCTCAAAGACTGGTAGGTGAAGAAAAATATGTGAAAGCATCTAAAGCCACCAAGAGACTGACAGAGGGTGCAGCAGATGATCGGGCAGATCGAGGGCTTGATCTCACACCTGGAGATGGACCAGGGCCTGCAAGCTGGGCCTGGCCTAGGGCGCGCCCGTAGGGGAGAACATCATCAGTGTCACTGAGCTCATCAGCACCATGAAGCAAGTCAGGCACATTCCAGAAAGCAAGCTCACCAGCCTGGCCTCAGCACTGGATGAAGACAAGAATGGCAAGGTCAACATCAATGACCTCATCAATGTGATTGAGTTGGTGGACAAAGATGTTCATGCCTCCACCAGCCAGGTGGCCAAGATTGTAGCGACCTTGGAGAAAGAAGAGAAGATGGAGGAGAAGACTGAGAAGGAGGCCGCAGAGGTGAAGAGCTAGAGCTGCTGGCCTAGCCACCTGTCCTCCTGCTGCCCCACTGCCCTGGCGAGGGCCGTGAGAGCAATTGCTTTGAGGTGATTCTCAGTGGCTCATCTAATACATTGGCTGGAATGAATCAGAGACTTCCATAATCAAGTAAATTTTAATTTTCATCATTCCATGGATATTCACTTAGTCTGGAATCCCAGAACCCCTCCACAGAATTGTGTTGGAACCACACTGTGGTGTGGTGCAGCTGCTGCAGCTGCCTGACTCCAGAGGCCACTGGGCCAGGCTAGGGCAGGAAGGTGCCCCCTTGTGTGTGTCCTCCCATCTCGGCTGCCCTGCCCCCAGGGAAGAGAATGAGGACCACGCGGACTCTGCCCACACAGAGCTGTCAGCTGCGCCCACCCTCAGAGGTTCATGAGACACAGCCCAGCCTCCTCGGGGCTGAAGATGCCTCTGTTCATCTGTGAATCTTGATTTCTAGATATTGGTGTCAATAGATCTCTCTTCCTGCACACACAGAAAAATAATATTACATATGATTTATAACTTAATAATAATATGCCTAATAACTTTGCTAGTCCTAGCTTCATTTGGGATTATGTCTTCTGTTACATCCTCAGGGTGTCATGAAATGAGCACTTGTTAGGGTCAGTTAAGCTCAAACATTTGTTGAATGCATGCATATGTAAGACACATTGTGCTAAGCACTGGGTTTTAAAGATGTGTGACATGCTCTGTCTTGATGCTTATAGTCTTATGTCTTATTAATAATAGAAATAGAGTGATTTTAGGTGAAATAAGAAGGTTAAAAACAATACAGCTAGTTTTCATGTCAGGTAAGTAAGAGACAAATAAGGACAACATGTGGTATATGGTACATATAAAATGGACTACAGATTTAAAGAAATCTCAGTCTACCAATGTTACATTGGGCAAGGTATTTGAACTTTTATCAATGCAGAGTGTAGGGAAAGGTACAGGGACTCTTCTGGTTTGCAACAGGTCATAAGGGGGAAACAGACATTTTCTGCATGAACAATTAGAGAATTGTAGGGATACTTGGATAAATATTTATTAGTAATACCATTATTTGTGTCAAACATGGTTCTGGGTAGTAAGGAAAGTCTTTTTTTTTTTTTTTTTTTTTTTTGAAGAAAGGCCAGTTTCATATAGGTAACAAACTGGAAAACCTGCTTCATTTTGCCTTGGACTATAAGGGGCAGAGTGGAAATTGACAGCCTTGATATCCTTGTGTGGCCCTCGATGTATCAGGGCCACACATGTCACAAGGATTGGCCAGGAATGTAGGCATGTAAGTAGTCCAGGGAGAGTGCTCCTTCAAGTAACAACATGGAAAGAATCGTTAAGTGATGAGTAAGAGATATATCATGTTCAGGCATCCTAATGAGTCCATAATATGGATCTTGGGACACTTTTATGTAGGAGCTTGTCAGAGAAGTAAAGGCTTGTATTCAGTAAGAAAGCTTCAATAATTGTTTTCTCTTTTTTACTTCTATAGCGGATGTCAATTTGGATATATCAAAGCCTTTGAAAGCAAACCTGAGTTTCACCAAACTGGATCAGATAAACCTTTTTTTAAAGAAGATAAAAAATGCACACAGTTTGGCACATAGTGAAGAGACTTCAGCCATGTCCAACACCATGGTGAATAAGGATGATCTTCCAGTCTCCAAATATTACCGTGGAAAGTTGTCTAAACCCAAAATTCATGGTGATGGAGTGCAAAAGATTTCAGCTCAAGAAAACATGTGGAGAGCTGTTTCCTGCTTTCAAAAAATTTCTGTTCAAACTACTCAGATTGTGATCTCCATGGAAACTGTACCCCATACCAGCAAACCATGCCTGTTAGCATCTCTCTCAAACCTCAATGGAAGCCTTAGTGTCAAGGCAACACAAAAAGTACCTGGTAAGTCACAGAAAAGGGGAGGGGGGAGACAGAACAAGTAAGATGATTTGTTAACATCTGAAAATGCATCATTTTGAAGATTTATATTATGTAGAAGTTAAAAGTTGTAAAGGCCATTAGAGATGAGGACATTTCTGGTTTGTGACCTTATTTTTAGAGATAATTTTAGAACAAATCCTTTAAGTAATGTCTAAACAGAAATGTTCCTGTCCTCTTGAGGCATGTTCTTCCAGGTATCTAAAACTGTTAATTCCTAAATTCCTTTTTACCTAAAACAGCTATAGTGGAACAACAGTATATCAAGTTTTATGAACCATAAGAAGAGTGTTTCTCAAAGTGTGATCTCTGGACTAGCAGCATCAGCATCACCTGGGAAATTGTTACAAATGCAAATTCTCAGACCCCACCCATGACCTACTAAATGCAAAACTCTGGGCATGGAGCCCAGCAATCTGTGCTTCAACAAGCCCTATAGGTGATTCTGATGCACAGCATTAAGTCACTGGTAACCATTTACTTAAAAAAGAAAAGTTGGTGTTGTGGCAGATATGCTACACAAAGTGTAACAGAAGCCAAGGTTCAACTTTGCAAGAATGCTGTTGAGGCATTTTATCAGGCAGCAACACCTGGCAACGAAAAGCTGTGCTTCTGTGCCTAGCCTAGCAAAGTGGGGTACAGACTCTGCAAAGTGACTGCCATTGATGGGAGGATATGTGAGAAATCAACTGGCAGTGACATCTACATTTTCCACTTCTGTTACCATGACTAAATTGTTATATACTTTTTCAAAAAGCATGGGAAGTGTGGGCAGAAGGATTGTGAGGAGGGGAAGAGGAAAGGCAAGACACAGGTGGGAAATAGCAGTTTTCAATCACAGAAACTGCTACTGTAAAATTTCAGGGCACAGGGCCAGAAATTTGGCTCTGAAAGTAAATGTAGCAAAAGGGAACCATGTATTTTCCCTCTTTAATTTGTGGGGGGAAATTGGGGATTGGGGATAGTGCAGGGGATAAAGCAAATCCTTATATGCAACTTAGTTGCTTATCAAAAAGTAATTAAATTGCAGCTGTAGACTTACTGTAACTTAGTTCCACATAGCCAGGTTGGGCACAGTAGTTAAAACAGAAAGGAAAAGTTTTATAGTTGAGAAGCCTGAATTTTAGGCCAAAACATAGATGATTTATTTCTTTCTCACTAGAAATATTCGTGACCAAGCCAACTAAAAGTTCTGTATTTTGTTTAATTGTCTTAAAAGTTACAAGTGAAAAAGGTAAGTAAAGTTCATGGGTCATGAAAGACTATGAAATACTGGAGACTACAGTATCTGATTTATCCACAAATAAATTGCAACCCAGACAACACTAGGTCTGTTCCCATGCCTTTCCAGTTGTACCTCAATCATAGCAGGGAAAGGTTAAGACTCAAACAAAATGGAAGAATTTAAACGTACTATACTCACTTTTAGGTGCTTTTCTTTTTTCATCCTCATTGCTTTTTTTATTCATTAGTTACTCATATTTTATCCATGTTTAATGATGTCTGTCTTTGGGAAACACCTCTAAAATATTAAAAATCCTTCTCTCACTAAGCTGTGCAAGTTAGTAAACTCTAGTTTTGGAACTTGTTTTTTCCCCCTGTATGTAAGAAAAACTATATACCCCTAATCCTTTTACAATGCTGTTCTTAAATCTAGTTAAACACAAAAACAGCAACTATAGCTTTGACTAAACATACTTTATACAACTCTAACATGTAGTGTCCAGCAAATGTTTTAAAATAATTATTTGCATCAAGTCAAATCAGAGTTGAGATTAGCTACTTAATAGTAACAATTTTGTTATGAGACTATAATGAACACCAAAATCTATTTTTAGTACAGTTTTTTCTTTATGCATACTCAAACAGTTTAGGATGATAACAAGGTTAGCAAAATAATAAACTGTAATTACATGAAATAAGATTTATTAACTTCTAGTTATAAGGACTGATTTCTTGGAAAATTGTGATTAAGAGATTGCCACATATTTTTTTCAAAAAAATTGATTTTAACTGTATTTTTAAAATAAAACATAACTTAAGTTTTGAATGTTAATTTCATTGTGTAGTTGAATGTCTTAAAAATTCATGCTTTGCAATTTGGATAAAATACATGCAAACATATATTCAAAGTATAATTTTGATAAGTGGTAAAAACTATCCACCACCACCAAAAAGCAAATATACTCACATAAAAGCCTCCTACCAGTAGTCATATTTCTTTTTGTAGTTTTCAAGTAACATTGTTCTACATTCAACTGAAATTTTTTATACTTTAGTATATCTTTGAGCTCAATGGAGTTGATGTCAGATTTTTATAGTTTGAATCTAATACAGAAATACTTAACTGTGTCTTTGATTTTACAGTTTATATAACTGTTGTGACCATCTGCAGCAGCTGCACTTTTCAGAATTATTTGCTGAACCAAATTGAGCACAGTGACAAAAGTAGTCATCTCAGATGTACTATTAAACGAAAGAAAAAGGAGCATTGCCTTGGTACAGTACAGCCATCTGCTGTACAGATGTTATTGTATAGAATGACTTCAGATAAAATAATTGTAGAAAATTTTCATTAAAACCTCAACAATTTGCACTTGTTTATGTGAATCTGCATAACTCCCCAATGAGAGAACACACTTGGGGTTTCTTCGGTTCTCACTCACTTTCTCTTTGATCCTTTTTGATGTGCTGATTTTAATAAACACAGTCAAAAACACTGTGCAAAAACATCATGGAAAAAACTACAAAGGAACAATTATAGCAGCAGAAACTACTCTAATCCCTAACTTATGCAAGCTATTTTTAGTGAAGTATTTTTTTAACACTCTTTATGTGACAATGTTATATAAACAGGGTAAAACGGTCCTTTCCAGATGAGTTTTAATTTAGGAGCCGAAATAGATTTGTAATGCTAGAGGAATCTTATGTGCTAAGTAATATTTAGAGAAACACCATTGAGAATGTGTTTTAGATATGTTTCTTTGTCAAAGGTACAAAAATATTTGATTTCACCTAATGATTATATGTTTTTATCATCTAAACTGTCATAAGCTTACAGGAAGTGTATGTGGAAAGGAAATAATATGATCAAAAGTGGTAAGTTAATTTTCTCCCCCGGGCATTCCGAATACATTTAAATCTGTGCTTTCAGATTTATTTACTGATTTATAAAACTAAATATTTATAAATTATTGACTGAAGCAGTTAAAGGAATTCCTCTTATTATCATTTGGAATGAAACGAAATGGTTAAATATTTTCTACTTTACCAAAAATATCTACCAGTTCTTCTTAGCCTCCTATGTTATTCTTTAACCCTAAACTATGGGAGTTTCATAGGATTTGATTTTTTTTTAATTCCACTCTGCAGATACTGGTATAGCAGTGACTTAGAATAAACTAACTCCCATTTCTGTTAGAATACTTATGTTCTCTCATGAATCTTTGGTAAAATGACCCAAAACTTCTGATTTCAGTAGAGGTAATGCTTGTATTTTTAAGGTTGGTGTATAATATTGCTGAAAATCCTATGATTATATTAAAAGTACATCTCCTTTAGAAATTATATCATATATTTTAAAATATTTTAAGGCAGATAATATTTATTTTGCTATTCATTGAACCCATCCCATTCTATAGTATTTTCTGAAAACAAAACAACAGAAAAAAAGCCTTTCCCTTACGTGTATATACAACGCAATCATTTTTGCCATTTGAAATATGTAGCTTTGGAGAAACCAAAAGTATATAGCTATAAATTGCGAACTTGCAGTGTAGCACTTTCCAGAGGCAGGGTGGAGAGTGAGCTACAGACTTTAGCTCCCCTTGTCTGAGTAAATTATGGCTCTGTTTGGGCGGCACTCCTTAGATTTCGACAAACGAGCACACAGTTGAGAGCTGTGAAATAGCTGAACTTTAGGCTGCCTTGCTCTTTCTCGGGGCACTTAGATTGGCAGCCTCCATATATGTAGATAAGGAAAAGGAAAATAGAATATGAGCAAGTTAGGTGCCACAAAAGATTGGGGGAAGAACCTTAATGAGGTCATCTTGGTTGGCATTTTAGTCAGAATAGGGAAGAAGTTAGAAGGATCCCCTGTCCATAAGGACTTGGGTGACTTTTTACCCAAGCCAAAACCAGTGAGTTGAACTCCTTCTAGTCAAAGGACTATGGTTTATGTAACTTTCACTACCCCAGGCTCTGTCATCCAGATGTACTTATCTTTTTGAATAAACAAAAGTAGAGAGAGAAAGCATAACCACATTATTTTTCACATATACAAAATGCCTTTTCTCATGTTCACTGAATTCAGGACCAATAAAATGTAAAGAACCTAAAGTTCCTTTTCATGTATTGAAAAGTGAAACCAGGTCATTAATTGATAAAAAGTGGAGCTCCAACTTTTCATTCTATAGTTAACTGGGTCTCCCAGGGAAAATCTTATAAGGCATTGTCATAAGCTTTGGATGCTGCAGAGATGCGAGTTAGCCTAAGGGGAAATAAAATAGTAAATTAGATATGACTACCTAAAATAATATGTTGCAATAACCAGCCAATTACAGCACCCCAAAGACTTTTGTTACTTTTAGCAAGAAATAGCATCTCTGTCTAATGCCTGAACAATAGGAAATGAGTTCTTTGACAGTTAAAGCCAGAGGACAAACTTAACTTTTAAGCAGCCACTGAGGATTGAAGTGGAAGTACAGCTTGTAGACAGCTATACAAATCACTAACAAACCTTAATGAATATTGGGTGTGGGCATCAGGGTCCTGTCATTTTTGACACTATGTCCCAAGTAGCTTAAACCCAACACTTAAGGAAAGGTGGAGACCTCATTGGGTCTGTAACATCTGGGTTTTTATTTGTCATTTTGGCATACCCCACAAGCGCAAAAGAAAGAGTAAAAGGGGATTATCTTGACAATGAAATGAGTTACTGAATCTTGTGATAATGAAAAGCAGAAGAATTCTAATGCCTTTCTATAGTCCCTGAGGTAGAGGTGCGTTTATGGTTTAGCAGAAGTAAAATGTAGAGGGGAAGAACAGATGGCCTACCGTCCGTGAAACATGACACCTCCCCTCCCAGGACTGAGTACCACTATTAATCCTGGTCAGATTCCCTCCTATTACTTTATAACAAGGTTCAAAGTTGCTACTGATAAACTGGCATGTACTTCTTTTTTCACCCTTAGATTACCTGTAGATTACTGATAATTTTTGACTATGATATATCTCTGTATATCCTGGTGAACCTTGAGGCATTCGACAAAAAGTAGAACAGGAATTTCTAAAAATTGGCTGGGAAATAAGAAGAACAAGTAAAATTATCTTAACTTTTTTCAAAAAATGTCCCATATTATGTTTTCTAATATGACGAGAATAAAAACCATAAATGTATGAGATACTGTAATTCTCCTGTCCTCTTAGAAATTATATGAAATGGAGAAGACATCTCAACATACAAATTATATTCTCCTTGCTGTAACTGTTATATGATTAGATACACTAATCATTATTAATTACCACTACCTTAGAAAAGATTTTTTTGACACCCTCAAGAAAGGAGATTAAAAATTATGACTGTTTGACATTTAAAAAAAAGCACTAGGAGGTATGTGCTGCTCAGCCGTGTTTACATAGTCATGTATTGTTTTGTTTAACCAAATTATGTAAATACAGTATTCTACATCTTTTATTTTGAGGTATATATTCATTGTCCTGTGATAAATAGCTTGTGCATTTTTAAAATGTTGTTTATGTACATTTTTGTTTTAGTGCTGTGTGGTTGCTATAGCTGTTTTGGATTCCAAAGGGAAGCCTTTAAAATACATAGGAGAATAACTTCAGAGATATGGAAGATATCCACTGGGTTGAGTTTCTGATGTATGTATTTCAAAGCTGCATAAAAATAAAAATTATCTAATAAGCAACAAACTTAGGATATCAGAGCGATCTCATGTGCTGTGGTGTAGTGAACATGATGTACCTGCCCAGCCTTTCGTAGAGGGAGATGAGCTCATTTCAGAGAGATAACCATCTCTGACTTTTTCTTCTGATTCATCACTGACCTGAACTCGATTTGAACCTTGTTAGACAAAAAACAAGCAGAATTCCTGGCCTAAACTATAAAATATAATTAAGCCCTTTTGAAATGATGTGTAAAAGAACATTGCTGTACCCCCACTTATAACCACCACCACCACCACCGCAACCAATAAAGTTAAATCAAGCACTGCCTGTAATGGATTAAAATAATAAATGTTCCTGGATTTCAGTGTTTGAAGTACTTGAAGAAAACAGGCTCCCAGCAGCCGGGGTAGCTGAATGCAAGAGAGACATTTATTAATGACGAGTTCAAGGATTTGGCCTGTTTAAGATCATTACTTTCTGTTTACCGTGTGTTACACATCCCTTGTATTTTTACACAGCCCACATGTGTCCACATGCAATAATGAGAAGCTTTTTTCCCAACAAAGGAATTAATTGTGTAAATATGGTTCTCTTGGGGAATATGAAGTCTTCATAAGACTCTGAGCCCTTCTAATGAGAAATCCAGTGTAGTCATTATAGTCTTCCATGTAAATCCACCTTCAGATCTTATCTTTAACCAAATTAGTCATTTCTGGTTATTGGTTTTAGTTACCAAATTCCAAATTTAATCTAGACTGTTTGCTAGAAAACTGCTGGCCTCAGGGTATTTGTTTTAGAATTGTGTGCCATTACATTGGACACATAATTCCAGCCCTAATAATTAAGTACTAGAGACTTTTTTCTTAATAGCATCTCCTTAGCATTCTAATGATAGCCCCTATTAGGTTAGTATTAAGTAAAATGGACAAGCACTGTAGCCCCAACCCAAGGACTGTGGAAAAATAAAAGATTAGAAGTAAATCTCTATCCCCCACTCTACTGAATTTGTGACAGCATTTAGTGTTGCCTGTGGTCACAGGAAATTGCCCGCTTGTCCATATAAGCCAGTAGGCTGTTTGCTAGGAAAGCTTCTAGCAAAGCAACCCTGAGTGATGAGTAACTGACAACATCTTAGATGTTCTTTTACTCCCTGGTTGGTCCCCTGGACTTGTTGGCTATGTTGGCATAACATACTGGGGCTGAGCAAGGGAACTGAGGACAGGAAAAAGCATGTATTTACAACCCAGTTACCAATTAGAAAAATGAAATTACTAAGAACTAATAGCAGTAGTTTGTATAAAGCAACATGGTGCTGTAAAGAGGCAGACAGAATCTGCACCCCAGCCCTGCTACTTACTGACCAGCTGGTTGTGTCAAAAGTTACTCTGTAGTGCATTTCCCAAATGAAGGCAAAAATATTTAATTTATAGGACTTTGAGAGGATTAGGTGACATAATGTATGCAGAATACCCGACACATTGCTTGGTACAAATTAAGTGCTCAGTAAATATTGGTCTTTGTATATATTCCTTTCCCCAAAATCACACCACATGAATATGGAGGTCATAGATTACTAAATGTCAGAGCTGAAAAATACCTTAAAGGTCATCCTTTTTTATCAATAACCTTTATTATCCTTTTCTCCCATTGACCTCATGGTCTAGGCACACTGCATTTAGTATTAGATAACTAACTATACCAACTTGATACAATTTTAACCAAAACAAACAAAAACTTTAGAACACCTCCACAACTTAGTCTCAGACAAATTCATGATTTCTTTTAGGTTCTTAGGAATACTAAAAATACCTCATGGACCACCATTACTATGTGGGACCCACTAAGTGTCAAGGAACCTTGGGTTGAAGCCCATGGAGCTAGTCTTAACTCCCTCATTGAGTACAGAGTGAAGAGGTTAAGCGGTTTGCCCAGGGATACTGTATGGTGGAGTTGAGACTAGAACACACATCTCCTGGCTGCTGGCCTTTCTGTTATACCAGTCTTTCAAAACCTGGATTATGTAGATCAAGACCATTTTCTAAGGCACTGCAGTAAATTACTTAGCAAGTCATGTTGTTTTCAACATTATTTGAGTAAGTTTATATCAATTTTTCCATCCATGTAACTTAACTTTTTTAAAAAAATTGATTCTTCAGCAGTTTCCTCGCATAATTCAATTAACCAGCTACTGAATTCATCCCAGAAACTTTTCAAGTATGTATTTGCTATTATTCTTTCCTATGTAAGAAGGTTGTCTTACACTTTCCAGTATGCACAGTCAGATCTGCCAGTCTGCTTTTTTTTTTAAACATAGCCACATGATCCAATCAAGTTATATTTTTCTAATAAACTAACACAACTGTAAAAACCGTGAGCATGGTGGCAGATTGGAGGGGAAGAAAGAGGCAAAGCATATCCTCCATCACCCTTTGGTATTTTTAGTTTTCATTTTTCCAGGATCCTAGAGTTCTAAAGCATTTCATAAAAAATACCTTTCCCAGACAATGGCCATGTGTGAGTAGCCAGCTCAGTAGGCATTTCTTCTTTCATGACAAATTCTTCCTTTTTTTTATGGGAAAGAAACACTCCTCTTCCAGTTACTTGTTTTTCCATTTTCTTATGTCCAAACAAAGAGGTTTGAATTAAACTAGGAGGTCCCAGCTTTTACTTACCAGTAAGGACTAAGTCACAGTCCCTGGGGAATAGAAATCTCACCTATGAGAAGTCATCAGGTGCTTTGGGAAGGGAAACATGTTAGTAGCCTGGCCACCCATTTGGTCTATTATTTTGATGACTAGACTTTTAAGTTCATTTGTTGGGGAATACTGGCATCTTTTACAGCTTAAATGTCAGTGTCCATGTAGTTCTCTGGTTTTGTTATGTTTTGTCCCACATATCATTTCTTCCTGTATTTTAGTTTACCATATTAATAGGTTCTCTCTCTCTCTCTGTCTCTCTCTCTCTCTCTCTCTATATATATATATAGGCTCTCTCTTTTGCGCTCTCTATATATGGGCTTATTACAGAATTAAATATAATTAAATAGGATCTGATCAACTTACATATTCTGATCAAGGGCGGGGACGAACATGTTTTTTTCATGGCTAGAGCACCCAAATGCCATTTTTATCTGCTTCAACATAATTGGTTGAAGGAATGGAAGACTTTATTTTTGAGGGATTTGTTATGTCTTTACAGACAATACTTACAAAATTTTGTCGTTTTCACATTTTAAGGTTTTCTGATGCTTCACTGTTATGCAAATCAGCTTCCGGATGTATCTAACACATGCTTGCTGATTTTCTAGTAGCCTTAGATTACTTACAGCTGGATAAAATAATTACCTGGATATGCTTTGCTAGCAATGTCATCATTGACTACTCTTTCTAATGATGCATAGAAGCTTGATTTAGATTGCATTTTGCTTAGTCAGCATGTAGACACTAGGAGCCTTACTAAGGGTCTAGTAGACACTGACAACATAGGGCTGGCAGCACTTTGTAAACATTTTCCAAAACAAGTGGTTTGCATTTATTAGTCTTCTGAAGGAGTATTTTAGAAGTCATGAAACTATTTGTTCCTTGAAGTAAATTTTTATACTCAATGAAAAGTATGTCAGTATTCAAACAAAGCATGATTGGTTCTGTTTATCGTACCAGTTGTTTCTGAAATTATTTCTCAATGTTGCTACACCTCGTTTAGTTTAATTAAATATCTGCCATTAGTTTGCTAAAACTTAAATTTAAAAGATAAACAGATTTTTGAGAAAAGTCAACAGAAAAAATCAGCAGGAAAGCATTCTGTTGAAGGAAATGTAGAAAGAAGAAGTCATACCGTACGATTGGTCAAAGTGACCTGATCACATAATCACTAAATGCAACATGGGATCCTGAGTGGGATCCTGAAACAGAAAAAGGACATTGGAGGAGAAGCTGGTGAGATTGAAAGGTCTTTAAATTGGTAGTATTGTATCACTGCAAATTTAATGGTTTTTGAGAATCATAATCTGATTTTATGTAAGTTATTAACATTGACAAGCTGGATGAAGGATATCAACTTTTCTGAAAGCCTAAAATTGTTTCAGAATTTAAAGTTTTTAAAAAATGACCTGATCAGCAATTGGGTAAGTAACTTTAATAATATTCATGCTTTTAAACATCTAAGTGATGATTTTATATCGTAAACTTTTGAAGCATATTTTTAAAAATTTTGTCTTTACTGTTTTTGGAAATTTAGGGAAAAAACTACAAGTACAGAAAATGTACAGGGTAATTCATCAAATGCCTGTGTACTCATGAGCTAGAACAAATATAAACATTTGTCTTATTTGTTATAAACACACACACACACAGAACTTTACAAAATTATTCAGGCCTTTTCCAATGTTCCATTGTTAAGAAGGTAGCTCTTTATAATTTTTACTTGTAGGCATTTTGTCCAATGGTGCATTTGTCCCCCTAGGAAGAAGAACACATGTCTTAACTCACTTTCTGTTGCCATTTATACCAGGTTGTTGGATGTGTAAATATCTAGTTTACATGAACTCTGAGTATTCTCTGTGGCCCTAGGTTTATATGTGTGGTAATATATAAGATTCAAAATAAGGAAGATATTTAGTATGTTTCCTGGGAAAAAAAGAAAGGCCTGATGTCCCATGGGCTGGCTTCTCAGAGTGAAATAAAGGGGAAAGGAAAATTAATAACCCTGTCATGAGTCCCAGGGATTACTTTCGTATTTTGTGGTAAAAGTGTATAATTTGGTTTACTATCCTGTAAGTGACCCTTTGTGAAATTCATCACCACCCTTTATTGCTATTAAGTTATCACAAGCTCTTAATAAATACTGGCTCACGCCTGTGATCCCAGCACTTTGGGAGGCCAAGGTGGGCAGATAATGAGGTCAAGGGTTGGAGACCAGCCTGACCAATGTGGTGAAATCCTGTCTCTACTAAAAATGCAAAAAAAAAAAAAAAAAAAATCAGCTGGGCATGGTGGTGTGTGCCTGTAATCCCAGCTACTTGGGAGGCTGAGGCAAGGGAATTGCTTGAACCAGGGAGGTAGAGGTTGCAGTGAACTGAGATCACACACTGTACACCAGCCTGGGCGACAGAGTGAGACTCTGCCTCTAAATAAATAAATACTGGTTCCAAGATTAAAAGCACTTAACTAATGTGTTTATTATTATGTTGTAGCTTTTTTTAATGTAGGAGTAAATGTTCAAAGGAAATATCTATTTTAAACTTAAAAGCTGATATTTGTGGGTTAACCTTTCTGTGGTACTACAGATAACTGTGTTCCCTCATTGAGGAATGGAGTCACAACAGGTTGGTGTGTGCAGTATGTGTAGCAGACAAGGAAGGCACATGGGGAGGAGTTGAATCAGTTGTGTAAGTTTCAAAATTGAACCACACTGAATTTCCTTGTAGGTATATGGCAAGAAAGAAAAGGGACAAAAAGGACCAGGCAGGATATATTTATATCTGTAGATTTTGTATTTTCTTAGTACTTTCTGGCAATGGCTGTTCCTGTGTCCTCACTGCAAACATTAGCATCTTATTAAATTCTCAGTGTCATTTGTGTATTTAAACAAGCTCATGATCAGTGCTGGTAGGCCTGAGTTACGGGCAAATAAAAACTGTAGAATGACTGTAAAAACTAAGACTAAAGCAAGGGGTAGGCTTGAGCAAAAGAATAAAAGAGACTGAAAAAAAAGTGAACAGCACATAAAGTGAATAAAAAGAAAGCAAAAAATATTAGGGTTTGTATGATAGCAGGGAAGTATTCCTGTTCAACAGTTCATGTGCTTAACAGAGTCAATATTAGAAATGTTCTGGGATGTCTCTTCCCCACTCAGTACTTACTGAGATTGCAGACCTTGAAGCTAATACATTGCCAAGAGAAAATCTGATATGAAAGAAAATTGCTAATTATTTACTTTATCTTCATATACCCAATATATGGTAGATAACCACTAACTTTTGGTTGAATAATGGATACATGCCTACATAAATATCAAATTGAAGGTGACCCAGGATATGTAAATTCCTTAGAAACAATCAGAAGCATGGTAATAGCACTTGTTTAAGAAATTAGGCCTGGTTTTAGATACTGTCTCATAAGGACAGAAATTATGGTTTAAGCCATGAGAGTAGAGAAGTTTGCTGAAATATTAGTTCAAGGGGAGAATAGAAAACTGAAGATTACTTATTAAAATCCCATTGGTTAAAGATATTATTTGTGACACTTTGGATTGCACACGACAGAAAATCCAACCTAAACTGGTTTAAGCAGTTTTTACGTATGTGAAAAGCTCCAAACCAGTGTTGTCCTGAGGCATGGAAGAGTCTGTCAGATTTCTTCCCTCTGCGTTACGCAGCTTCAGCCCTTAGGCTCCACATGCTGACTGCCAGCAGTTCCAAGGCCTTCATTTTCTTAACCTCAAGACCAGGGAGCAAGAGGAAGGGTCATGTTCCCAAAAGTATTATTATACCTTAGTGGTTTTCATTGAATATTATGCTCATTCCTGGACCAAATCAATCTCCAGAGAATATCAAACATAAAGTCCCATAAAGTTCCCCATCCTGCTAGACTATTTCCCGGCAAACCAGTCATTGGATTCCGTTGTCACCAGAACATAGCTATAGCTAGCTCAGTGCCTGCCTTCATTGCAGGGCCTCTGTTTCTGAAGCACATTGTGTGTCCTCTGGTCCTCTTTAGTGCTCACCTAAGTCTGGCCGACTTTCTCTCTTCTTGTTCCAGCCTCCCAAATGTTTGTGTGATCATTGGCTTCCTAATTCTGTGCAATTTTACTGATATTTCTGTCCCCACCTTTATCTTTATTCTCTTGAGAATTCTAGCTATCCCATTCTGTGTCCCCAAGCCAAAAAAAAAAAAAAAAATAGGATTTGTGTAATAGTAGGAAAGTGTTTTTCTATATTTGTTTTCTAATAATTCAAGTCTGGAATTTTTTTTTCATTCTCTCCTTGCCCTAGTCAATAAAGTCAATAAGAACTTGTAATTGTATAACGTTGGGGGGGTTAAGAAGAGCCTTCCATCAACTCTACTTAAGTTCTCTAAGAGGTAGGCACTTTGCAAGTGATATGCATCATATAGAATGATATGAATTTTGACATTTCAGTACTAGTTCTTTTAAGACAAAGCCTCATAATTTTAGTACAATATCAGTATTTAGCACAATATCAGTATTTTAAAGTGGTTCCTGCATAATAGAGATACCTAACATGATCCAAATTCTATATGTATTATGTTATTTCTACAAATATAAGATTTTGTCATGCTTACAAATACTCTTTTTTAAATGAAAGCCACTATAGCGTGAGAAAGGAATCTCATTCCTCTGTATGCTTTGTAGACAAAATGTTGTCAAGCCCATTCCTAAAGAGACTTCCAGAAATAAATATCAACCTTTTATGGCTTTTTTTTAGTAGATAATTACCTTTGCTTCCATAAACTTGTTCTTTATGGCTTTCTTAGTTCTTTTGCTTTAATTTTGACCACTCCAAGTGATGTTTTAAGGTGGATTAGAAACAGACACACCTGAAGAGGTGCTTAGCAAGTTTCTGATGGTCATAGAAAGAGGTTACAAATAAGGAAGGCGAGAAGACTAGAAACCACCCTGTGATGTTGGATTTGAACCTGAGGTATCAGTATGCATTCATGGTTTTTAATGTATTTACCAGTGGATAGAGAGAGAGACAAAGATATGTAGGTATACAGGGGTTGCTATACATACATATACTTCTTATCTCTGCTGAAGGGGCCTAGCAACAGTGACACCCCAGTAGCAATGAGCATACCTACCACCCAGATTTTGGTTTCTAGATACCATTCTTCAACAAAAGAAACCAGAGCTCCTTGGAGAAATGGCTGGTGCTAGAGATGGGGTGGTAAAAATACAAGATGAGCCTGAAATATTTTGTGGCCTGAAAGTAAAGAAGTTCTCAAAAAATGATTGGCATAGGCCAGGTGCAGTGGCTCACGCCTGTAATCCCAGCACTTTGAGAGGCCAAGATGTGCAGATCAACCAAAGTCAGGAATTTGAGACCAGCCTGGCCAACATGGTGAAACCCCATCTCTACTAAAAAGACAAAAATTATCCGGGCATGTTGGTGGGTGCCTGTAATCCAAGCTGTTCGGGAGGCTGAGGCAGGGAATCGCTGGAACCCAGGAGGCAGAGGTTGCAGTGAGCCGAGATCATGCCACTGCACTCCAGCCTGTGTGACAGAGTGAGACTCTGTCTCAAAAAAAAAAAAAAAAAAAGACAGGCATATACTAAAAGGACACAGGGACCATCTTAAAGGGCTCCCAATGGCCAAAGCTGGTTCAGAGTAAGCAACAATGTAAATAATGATAGTATTGGATTATAACCCATAAAAATGAATATTCATGAGTCCATACTGATATAAATAAATAATTGAATTAGTATATGGGGTAGAAGGGACAGCTGTAGTATATGTGCTACCAAAGTGGGCGCTAGAAGGGACAGCTCTAAATAAGGGAAATAGGAAACCACCATTATCACACACCACAATAAATCATTGCAGGTGAGACCACTGGTGGATGCTAACATTAGTGGGTGAAAATTTGAAGAAAAAGAGCATATCTGCATAATCTCCAAGTGTCTCCCCACAAAAATACTTATTTACAAGGGGAAAGTGTTAACTTTACAATGGCAAAATCTGACAGACACCACTTTAGCCATATGATCAGAGTTAATATTGTAAATAATAAAATATTGGTATCACATACACCAATATGACGCACTAAGGGGGTCACTTTGGTGGTATTGTCAAAAATGCATAACCTCTTTCTGATCACAAGAAAACATCAGATAAACCCCAACAGACAGACACGTTGCAGAATGATTGTCCTGGGTTATTCCACAGTATCAAGGTCATGAAAGACAAAGAAAGCTGGGGGATGTGTCACATATTAAAGAATATTAAGAAGCTTTGATGATTAAATTCAGTATGGATCCTAGGTTGAATCCTGGACCAGAAAGAGGAAATTAGTGGGAAAAATGGCAAAAATTTAAAAAGATGTGTAGATTATTTAAAAGTATTATATCAATGTGGATTTCCTGATTTCAGTATTTGTACTAAAGGTACATAGCTAGGTGAAGGGTGTACAGGAACATTATACAGTATGTTTTTTCAACTTTTATGTAGGCCCAAAGTTATTTCAAAATAGAAAGCTTTTTTTTTTTTTAAAGTGAGGGGACTTGGAATAGATGATTTCTAGATCTCTTCCATCCAGCCTTTTTATGTTACAGTGGTAAAAAACGAAACCAAAGATGTAAGCAGTTTTATTTCCTGTCTACCAATTAAGAAACATGTTGAGGCAGCTGAAAAATAGGATCAGATTCTAAACTGTCGATTCAGTTCAATGGAACATGTCCTGAATAGCTACTGTTGTGCCCAGGACTACACTGAATAAGCTGGTCCTTGCCTCCAGCATGGTCAGTACTAGAGGTTGAAAATTGTGTGATCTTCTCTTTCACTCACTCATATTATTCAGGTATCTCTTCTTTGATGTTTTAAAATAATGGAATTGGAGAGAATGAAATAGAAATTGATAAGTTTTAGAAATTTGTCAAAGGAAATAAGAGCCTTCAAAGAGGGCCTGAGGTTTTTCAATCTGGGTGCCTAAAGAGATAATAATAACCATTAAATAAGATAAGCAACCTAGGTGGCCTTTGGCATTAAACACTGTGTACAAGGATTCAATATGACTATCACACTAAGATTACAAACAGATAATTAGATATGTCACTGTGGGGTTGTACAAAGATATGTGTATTTGAAAATAAAGGATGATGCAATCCTGACATTCTGTTAATGCTCATTTACTAAATAATTGTACTGAATTAAGGCTATACTTTTATGCCTTTATGGCAAATTTCTGGATGATGAATAGATATATTTCATTTAGCAAATATTTACTTTTAGAAGTTTTAGATATTTTAGAAATGTAATGCTGTTAAGTCAGAAAATTATGGCTTCAGTTATGGACTGAAGTTAATAAAGATGGTTTTTTATTTGGGGGTATTTTGGGGCCTGTTTCTATTTCTTTTATTTTCTGGAGTGCTTTTTTTGCTTGTTTATTTGTTTGTTTAGACTAAGTGGAAGCTTTGAATCAGGATAATTGTAAATGAAATGGTAGTTTCAGTTTCACAATTTGATGAAACATTTTAAGAAATTGATTTCCACCATGATTATTTTTAAACCAAAGTCTTATCTCTAACACTTTTGTGGGTGTGATGCCTTCTGTGGAGGATTAGAGGTTGAATATCTTATTTCTGCAGTAGGAATATACAACATATATGAAATTTTCAAGTCTCTACAGAATTGAAAAGTCAATGTGGTTACTGTACTTTAAAACATGTGTATACTGTGGGCCTAAGGTGTTTTTTAATCTTTCATCTTTTTTAGGGATCAAATATCATTAGAAAAATAAGCCATGGGCATTACAAACGTGGTCTGGTGAAATTCAATATTCACTATGACAATTTAGAATATGAGCTCCTTGGGAGGAAAGTTAACTCACCACTCTTAACTTTGCATCTAAATATCCTAAAATGTGCCATTGGTTTTATGAAAAGGTTTTGATCTACACTCCTATTTTAAGTTCAAAAGAAAGCCTACATTTTAAAGTGTATTCCTTTTCTGGGTATATTTACTTTGAACTATAGCATATAGTTTTTCTCATAAATCTAACCTGCCACTATCTGTTTTTAAGACTTTGTAAACTTCAAGTGGTTATGATGTGTGAAGTTTGGATTAAACTAAAATTTTTAGAAAACACACGTTATATATTTTGATTGTTTTGAATTTTAACATGGGCCAGTAAAAAACTTGAGTGTCTAGCAGAGTAACATACTGCACTCTGTTACTGTAGGAAATCACAGAAAATTACCCTTTCCCATCATGTTAACAATAGACAAATGAAGCAGCTGTTCTTATTCTTAATGTAGTTGCTTGAAAAACTTGCACAATTTAATGAAAATGTCTCTACTCATAAAACTTAAAATGCTCACACATGGAAAAAGTCATAATGTTTTGGCAAATATTACTTTGTTAGGAATGTGAATGAGGTATACCTGCTTCATAACTAGAACTCTGTATAAACGGCATGAAACGGTGGTGGACTGCCAACCAAGCAAGACGACTCTGACAAAGGATGAATTAATACTCTTCAAAAATATAGATAGTTCTTTCCCAAACATTTTTTTTGATAAGGATGAATTATATACTCTTCTGTATTTTTTTTTCAGGCATAATTCTTGGGTCATCATTTCTACTCAGTATAAACGATTTTCTCCTTAAAACAAGTCTCAAAGAAAGAAGCCGCATTCTGATAGGACCATGTTGTGCTACTGCCAATCTGGAAGCTAAGTGGTGTAAACACAGCGGGAATCCAGGCCCAGAACAATCCATACCAAAAATATCCATTGACTTAAGAGGAGGTCTACTACAGGTCTGTGGGTATTGGCCATATTTTTTTCATAGGTTATTAACTAGCCTCTGTTCATTTTTTGAACTGTTTCACTAAATTTTAAATCTTTGTGTGGTAAGAAAGGGTATTTGTCAGATTGCTACTTGTTAAATTTTCAACAACTTTATTGAGATATAAGTCATATACCAGCAATCTACCTATTTCAAGTATACAATTCAGTGGTTTTTTAGCATATTCAGAGTTGCACAATCATTACCACAGTCAATTTCAGAACATTTTCATTACCACCAACAAAAAAACCCATATCCATTAGCAGCCACTCACATTACCCTCTAACCCCCTTATCAGGCCTAGGAAACCACTAATCTACTTTCTGTCTCCATAGATTTACCTATTCTTAACATTTCGTATAAATAGAATCATGTAACCTGTGGTCTTCTGTGACCGACTTCTTTCACTCAGCATGTTTTCAAGGTTCATCCATGTTTACCAAGTGTCAATATTTTATTCCTTTTTATGGCCAAATGACATTCCATCATATGGATATACCACATTTTATGTATTCATTCATCAGTTGATAGACATTTGGGTTCTTTCCACTTTTGGCTGCTATGAATAATGCTGCCATGACCATTTGTGTACGACTTTTTGTGTGGATATATGTTTTGATTTCTCTTAGATATATAACTAGGAGTGGAATTGCCGGGTTGAATTTTTTTTTTTTTATGGGTAGACTTTTCTTTTTGAGACAGGGTCTTCCTCTGTCACCCAGGCTGGAGTACAGGGGTACAATAATAGCTCACTGTAGCCTCAGTCGCCTGGGCTCAAGTGATCCTCTTGCATCAACCTCCTGAGTGGGTAGAACTATGTGCCACCACACCCAGCTAATGTTTTTTATTTTTTTTTTCAGTAGAGATGAGGTCTCACTATGTTGTTGAGGCTATAGATTTTTTTAATTATTAATACAAAGTAGTCAACCTGTTGCAAGCACAGTGTCACTAGCAATATATAAGAACAATTTCCTAATATTAAATATTTTACATGTGATGATATCTGATTACAACACTTGATAAATTAGTCACACTGCAAGCTCTTAATGCATTTGTCTTAACAGCCAAATATAGAATGTGTGAAGGCATCCAACTTATTTCTTGATTATTTTGTATTTGGATAGATTTTAATTTAATCTTCATGTAACTTGATGCCACTCTAAACTTGACATGAATCCAAAAAGCTTGAAAGATTCACAATGATAGAAAATTAAAACAACTAATTGGTCAATAATGGAGACATTAAATGTGAATTTTTTTCTTTTTTTCTTTTTTTTTTTTTGAGACAGAATCTCATTTTGTTGCACATCCTGAAGTGCAGTGGTGTGATAACAGCTCACTGCAGCTTCAGCCTCCTGGGCTCAAGAGATCCTCCCACCTCAGCCTCCCGAGTACCCAGGACCACAAGCATGCACCACTATGCTTGACTATTTTTTTTAAGAGACAGGTTCTCACTATGTTGCCCAGGCTGGTCTCAAACTCATGGGCTCAAGTGATCCTCCACCCATGCTGGGATTACAGGCATGAGCCATACATAGCACCCGGCCAATTTTTTGTATTTATCTAAAAGTTGTATTGCCTCAAGTTTTCACCAGTTTCCTTTTTAATGCACAGAGCAAGATTTGGGAAGATCCTAATAACTTACTGTTTTGTGTTGCTTTGGAGATTTTCAGTATCTATCAGAAATCTTCATATATTTAGCAATAAACATGTATTACTTTATCAAGAATATTCATTGTCTTACCTTTTTTCCAAGGCAGCCAAGTAACTTCACATTGAAAACGACAATGATCTGTTTACATGACCAAGTGCTTAAAAATAAAAAGTAAGAAAATTTTAAACCACAGCATTAATAAAAGCAAAAACAAAGTACAGTGTATTACCTCTGTATTACAGTCATTGTCTCTTGACAATTTAAAGGCTAGAGCACAACATTCTACTCCCCGTTTGACTTTTCACCTGTCTCTATTTTTCAGCATCCAATAAAAATAAGATTGATGAGAACACAAGTACACTTAGTGTTACATCTTTTACTTTCATTTCTGAGATGCCTTAATTCCAGAGAGCAGAACCTAAGGCTAGGGTTTAAAACTTACCCACACGATATGGGGCTATTATTTTCTACTACTATATATTCTTTTTTCTTTTCTGCGTTACCTGGTTCTCTTAGAATTGATAGTTGTATTGCCTTTATTCAGTATTTACAGAGAAAATTAACATTTTTGAAAGTTTTAATCTTCATTATAACCTACTGGTCATTATATGTCTATAACTTAGTAGTTATAGACTAATATTACTCACATGCAGAAAAATAAAACTTAATCTCCATTAGAGGAAACACTAAGTCCTTTTGTTCTGAAACTCTACTGTAGCTACTGTAGTATAATTGATTTTCAGGGGCTCTGGAATCCTCTGTGTTGGCACAGTCTTACTAAACACAGAAGTTGGGAGCCTTCTAAGTTCAGGTTCATTGAGAAATCTCCCTCTAAAAGTGCAGAGAAAGAAACCCTATAATAAGGATTGCTTATTTAATCTCATGGCAGAATGTCAGAGCTGTCCCACAAGGTTATTATTATGATTTTATTAACATTTTGGCCTAGAGGATCTTCATTGCCTTCTCTCAGACTATAATAGGTGTTCTTTTCCCTCTTAGCTAAATTAATTCATAAACATTACTTCACATCAACATAATTTCAATTCAACATTTAAAATTTATTGTTATTCACACAATATAAGATATAATTAATTTTTTTGTTGTTATATATTTATTCAAGCAATAGAATTTCATCCTGTAAGTCAATTACTTTTTAGGAATTATAGTTTATAAGTAATTAAATTGAACATAATTACAGTCCTACATTAATTCAAATATGATTATACCTAATTAGTCTCAAGAAATGTTTGTATTTAAAAGCTACTAGAATTTTTTTATGATTTTAAAGGTCTTCTGGGGTCAAGAACATTTGAATTGTTTAGTTCTTCTACATGAATTACTCAATGGATACCTTAATGAGGAGGGAAATTTTGAAGTACAAGTTTCTGAACCAGTGCCTCAAATGTCATCTCCTGTGGAAAAGAATCAGACATTTAAAAGTGAACAAAGTTCAGATGACCTACGGACAGGTCTATTTCAGTATGTACAGGATGCTGGTAAGTAGCAACAGACTCAGTATGAGAGTGTCTCTGTGCATGTGGTTGCATTTTAAATGCATGTTGACTAAATAAAAACAATCAAGATGGCTTTTTAAAGTGCGTTAAAATTTGCAGTACAAAAATAGTACATTATCATTCAATCTCTCTTAGGGGAAGTTCTTCATTTCTTTCTGTTCCAGAATATATATAAAAATGACCAACTAGCTTCTTTATATCTTTTATTCTCATAATTTCTTCTTCCTTTACTTTTTCCCCTTTGTCATGTTCCCCTTTAAATCATACAATTAATTATACTTTTATTTGACAGAATCTTTGAAATTGCCTGGGGTCTATGAAGTCTTATTTTATAATGAAACTGAAGATTGCCCAGGGATGATGTTATGGAGATATCCAGAACCTAGAGTACTCACCCTTGTACGAATAACTCCTGTACCTTTTAACACCACAGAGGATCCAGATATTAGCACAGCAGACCTTGGTGATGTGCTACAGGTATGTAATGACCATTCATTGTAAAATGAAAACATTGTGGGAAAGGGCTGATCATATATTAGGAAAAATGTTTGGAACATACTTACTTCTTACATTAATAGTATCAGAGAGAAATACACATCTGTGTGTGTGGTGTGTGTGTATCCACACACATATATAATGGGATTTTAAAAAATAAGGTAATAATGTAATCCAAATTCATGATACATGGCAATTTTAAGAGTTCTCAATTCTACTCTCCATTTTATTGTGAGTAGATTATAATGGGACAAGGAGGTGTCATTTAGTTCACCACTCCTTTATTAAGTGCCTATCATGTGTTCACACTCTTCAGAGTTTCTAGAACCGCCCCATGAAACAAAATATGCCCATGTAAGGCTAGAAAGAGATGACTGTAGTTTTCATTTCCATAGCTGAAATGGTCTTGGGGCTTGAGGTAGGCTGATTTTTCTATTAAAGAAAAGGTCTAACCTGTGATCATATTCCCTAAGGTTTTGTGAAAGTGTGTTGCTTGTTATTCCGAGTTTAATATAAATGTCATTGTGGATATCACTATGTTATCTTTGTACTTACTAATGTTCTACTGATAGGAGTTTCTCTTAAAATTTGTTTCTCCCTTAATCTTCCACCTATTACCAGATCATACAACCATCCACTCAAAATCTACAGGTCATTCCTGATTGCCTTCTTTCCCTACTTCCCTGCGTCAAAACCCATCAACAAGTCCTGTCAGTTCTGCCTACAAAATATGTCCCTATTCCATCTACTTCTCTGTTTCTGCTGATACAACTTGAGTTCAAGCTGCCATCTTCTGTTCCCTACTCCAGTAGCTTCCTAATTGGCCTCTATGCTTCTGTTCTTGACCACTTGGAATGCATTCTCCAAATAGCAGCTAAACTGATATTTTTTAAATGTAGGTTATACTATATCACTTCCCTAACTTAAAACCCTGTGGTGACTTCCTCTAATACTTAGAACAAAATTCAGATCTCTTGCTGTGGCCTGCAAGGACCTATAGTCTGGACTCTGCTCACCTCTCCAACTGGAGTTCATGCCAGTTTCTCCCTTTCTCATGATCCTTTAGCCACTCTGGCCTCCTTTTTCTCCTTGAGCAGACCACCTGTCACATTACCAACCTTGGTCTTCGTCAGTCAGGTACCAGCTCAAATGTCATATCCTGACTAGCCCACTACAACTACTTCATTCTGTATTGCATTTCCTTGTTTTGCTTTCTTATAGTTCTTACTGCTAGTCCTAATTATGCATTTGTTTACTTGCGTGTGATCTTTCTACTGTTAGAAAATAAGCTCCTTATATGTCTTGATGATGTATCTCCAGCCTCTGGTACATAGGTACACTCACCAAATGTTTGAAGTGACTGCTCTGTTCTTAACAAATTAGTTTTATAATACAAATCAGCTACATATTAATATAAGTCATATTACAATCTTATGTAATTCCTTTTTTTTTTTTTTTTGAGACAGAATCTTGCTCTGTCACCCAGGCTGGAGTGCAGTGGCAAGATCTCGGCTCACTGCAAGCTCCGCCTCCTGGGTTCAGGCCATTCTCCTGCCTCAGCCTCCCGAGTAGATGGGACTACAGGTGTCCGCCACCATGCCCAGCTAATTTTTTTGTATTTTTAGTAGAGATGGGGTTTCACCATGTTAGCCAGGATGGTCTGGATCTCCTGACCTCATGATCCACCTGCCTCGGCCTCCCAAAGTGCTGGGATTACAGGCGTGAGCCACCGTGCCCGGCCGAATTCTACTGTCTTATCAGACTTGCCTAAATGCAGAATATCTGTAGATTTTCAATCAACATGAAAATACGCATACATTAAAGTTTTAACTTCATGTAAGGGCTAAAGGTTTATAGTTATAGCTAGATATTAACACATTTATTAACATAAGTGTAATAACTAATTATTGGTGGTATGATGTAAATTATATTAATTAAGGCATCTAAGATAGTACATTTACTAGTGGCATATTTTCTATCTTCTCACGGTTATTAGGAGAGCATAGTGATTAAGAGGATGAACTATAGCCAGAATGCCTGGGTTCAAAGTCTTGCTCTAGCACTTGCAAACATTGTCACATTAGACAAGTAACAACCACTCAGGTTGGATTTTTGTTTTACTTTTTATTCCAACAACAAAATGAGGCTAATAATAATGTGATGATTGTAAGAATCAATATTTATAAAATACATAGAACTGTGCCTGGCACATAGCAAATGTTATATAAGTATGACTATTACCACTATTACAGATTCAGCAGTCTAATCCAAAAATCTGAAATCTAAAATACTCCAAAATCCAAAACTTTCTGAGTGTTAACATGATGCTCAAAGGAAATGCTTATTGGGGTATTTCAGATTTTGAATTTATGGATTAGGGATCTTCAACTAGTACGTATTTGCAAATATTCCAAAATCTGAAAAATATCTGAAATCCAACACTTCTGGTCCCTAGCATTTTGGATAAGGGATACTCAACAGATATTATGATGACTATTGTCCAAACTCCTTTCATCAAGTAGAAGCACAGGCTAGACCAAGGAGATCTGGAGTATGATGGATGACTCTACAGACCAGCTGGAGTAGTCCAGGAGATCAGAGAGTCCCAGGGACCCAGACAGTAGCCTTGGCATATAAGCAAAACACAGCCTGGCAGATTTCAGCAAGCAAAGAGTTGGTATCAAAAAGGTCTTGCTATGTTTCATATTTTGTTGGAGAAATGAAGATCCTATATGTGGGCAAAATTCAAAGACAGGGATGCTGGCCTAGGGAGCAAGACAGGGTTGTAACTACCAGAAGTTAGAAAGGAGGGAGAGCTGGATCCTAGTGGTGAGAAGGAGCGCACTCAGAATCTACAACTTGGATCGAGGAACAGATCAAGACTGGCAACGAGGCTGACTTGATACCAAGCTGCTGAGCTCTCAGTTCAATTCTCATACTCTCCCAGATAGGAGCAGAGTTTGTCCCAGAGCTTGGAGTGGGTCTCATCTGTGGAAACAACTCTCTTGAGTTGCAATATTAGAACGATACAAAATATTTTGTTTCATTAGAACTTCAGTTGAGGACAGAACATATGTAACATGAATCACAAGTTTGATTTAATACAACAGCTTTCTCCTTGAGGATCTACAGTGCCAGGCCCTGGGCTTGCTCTGGGGGATCCAGAGACAGATAAGACACAATCAACTCATTAAAAGCTCAATCCTTCAGTCTAGCAGGGAAATTTCTGTGGTCGTGTGGGGTAGAAGAATCTAATTTCATCTGTTGTCAGAATCATTCTCCTACCATATGTGATTATTTCTGGTTCTATACTAGAGGCACAGCTAAAATCCTCAACAGCTGATCCTGAATTTCAGGGAGCTTATGAAAGGAAGGCCCTAATCAACCTAGTGTATATTATAAAATGGGTTTTGAAGTCTCAGTTGCCACTGTCTCCCCACCCCCCGCCTTATTTTAACTAACTCATTGACCTTGGGCAAACTACTGATCTTTTTGAGCTTCAGTTTCCTCAACTGAACATTGGAGTTGATGTTATCTACCTTTCACAGTTGTCGTGGAGTATTATATCTAATACACTTAAATAAATAAATGCATTACACATAGTGAGCTCTTAATAAGGGCTTGTTTCCTCCCCTCCGCTTTTTCTTATCACACAAATGCCTAGACCACTAAAAAAGACTCCTAGATGGAATTCCAGGCTCCAGTATCTCTTCCTTCCAGCCTGTCCTTCTAAGTTTTTAGAGGAACAAATAGATTGTATAATTCCCTGAAGAAAACCTTCAGTGGCTCTGTTACTCTGCCAGACTGACCTTGAGAGCCCGGCATAAACTGCCCCCATCCCCCAATTTTGCCTTGCAGTCCCTTAGACATGGTCTGTCCTCTATCAAACTGGCCTATCTGGCATTCCCCAAACCAACCTATAACATCCTGCTTCCTCTTCATTTGAATCCCTCCCATCTCTGCCAGCTGAATTCCTCCCCACACTTCAGAAGAGCTAAAATGCCATGTAGTCAATGAAGCCTTTCCTAGATGCCATGTTCAAACATGATAAAGCCCTCCTCTGAAATCTTGTAGCACTTCATGGTACTACTTTTATGCTATTTTTCACTGTATTCCTCACACTTGAACTTATGTGTCCCCATCTTGTGTCTCTCCTAGATTGTATGTCTGTAAAGGAAGAGGTTGTATCTAATTTGTCATCATGTCCTTTACAGCAGGGTCCCCCAGCCCATGGCCTGTTAGGAACCAGGCCACACAGCAGAAGGTGAGTGGCAGGCAAGCATTCCCACCTGAGCTCTGCCTCCCAATCTAATGAGCAGGGGCATTACATTTTCATATGAGCGCAAACCCTATTGTGAACTGCGCATGTGAGGGATCTAGGTTGTGGACTCTTTATGAGAATCTAACCAATGCCTGATCATCTGAAGTGGAACAGTTTTATCCCAAAATCATCTCCCCACCCCTTGGTCTATGGAAAAATTGTCTTCTATGAAACCGGTCCCTGGTGCCAAAAAGATTGGGGACCACTGCTTTACAGTATCCATCGCAGTAGAGATGTTCAATAAATATGTTGACTGGATAAACGAATCCATGAACTTCCGTGTTCTGTTTCATATCATTCAAAAGTATTACATTATATATCACTATTTTATGGAACGAATGAATGTGTTTTGATTTTCTACACCAAACTATATCAGGGTGCGTTGTGTTATTTTTCAGTGGTATCATCTGTACACACAGTCTAATGTCATTACATTACTCAACCTCTTTGTGATATCATTGAATAGTCTGCCAAGCTTACCTGCTCCCTTAAACAGTAGCTAATTCTTAAATACAGAGATATATTAATCTCCTTAGGTTTAGTCCTCAAAACAGAATTGAGTTTAGATGACTTTTTCCTTCAAGACCATTTAATTCACTTAAAAATTGGCCTTATAGAGTTGGCTTATAATACAGAAGCCTCAGATTTGTCTCTTTATATTCCTCATTCCATGATTGTTGATGAGATTTATAAACAAACTCCCCATATCACTTTATGGAATTTATTTTGTAATTGTAATGAAAAATATAAACATGAAAAACATGTCTATAATAATAAATCAAACTAATCATAGGTTCTGAATAAAAACCTCAAAAGTAATGTTCCTAGAATGCAAAAGCTTATTTTATGGTCAGCTTATAATTTTATCATGTGAACTTTTAAATGTTAGTAGTATATTTAGATCTCAATAAAATTAGCATCTGTTAGATAAAGTAATGCCACCAACCTAGGAGTGTTGTGCAGTTTAAATGGGTCTCAATAAAAGAAATTTCTGGCACTGTATATGGCACATAGTAGGTTTTCCTCTCTCCTAATCCTCCTGTGTGCACTGCCTATTGAGGATTCCATTTTGGAAATGCATATGTTCCCAGATTATAAATACTCAATCCATTTTTTGGTAGTAAAATTGGTAATGGGTATTTTAATTCCTATACAGATCTGTCATGGTTCTTGGCCATTGTCACATGCCAAATGAAGATATCTAAAAGTTTATGGCAACATATAAATGAAAATAAATATGAAAACAAGAAGAATACAATGATAAGGGAACAGGAACAAATTCTTAAGATTGAAAATGCCTTTTTTAATCGAGAAAGTGTTAGCCACACCTGGCTAATTTTTGTATTTTTAGTAGAGATGGGGCTTCACCATGTTGGCCAGGCTGGTCTCGAACTCCCGACCTCAAGTGATCTGCCCGCCTTGGCCTCCCAAAGTGCTGGGATTACAGGCATGAGCCACCAAAAATTCTATTATTTATAAGTTACCCAGTATGAAGTATTTTATTATAGCAGCATAAACTTTCTAAGACACAGAGAGAACCTAAATGGTAGAGATCTCTGTTATTTTTGCTCCAGTGGGCATTTCTGATCACTTGTGTGTTTTGCACCCAGCACTGTGCTGGGTACTTTACATACATAATAACTCATTAAATTTAATTTTACTCCATGAGGTGGGCCTCATTCCCATTTTACAAGTAGGAAAACTGAGGCCAAGAAAAAGTTAATTAACTGGTTGTGAATCACAAAATTTATAAGTGAGGGAGCCAAAATTTAATCCCCAGTCTTTCTGACTATAAAACCTGTTTTTTTCACTTATATGTAAAAAATTGAGATGATACATTAGAATGACAGTGAGCCACCTCACTGAGAAATGTGGAAAGAAGGAAAATAGAATTATCCTTTTACTTCAAATGTTAAATCATGAAATAATGAGTTAGACAAAGATATGCAAAGTAACTTTAAGTCAATAAAAAGACTGCCAAACACACAAGATGGATTGGGTATTGTATTAGTCTGTTTTCACACTGCTGATAAAGACATACCCAAGACTGGCCAATTTACAAAAGAAAGAGGTTTATTGGACTTACAGTTCCACATGGCTGGGGAGGCCTCAATATCATGGCAGAAGACAAAAAGGAGCAAGTCACATCTTACATGGATGGCAGCAGGCAAAGAGAGAGCTTGTGCAAAGAAACGCCTGTATTTAAAACCATCAGATCTTGTGAGACCCATTCACTATCACAAGAATAGCATGAGAAAGACCTGCCCCCTGATTCATTCATCTCCCACTGGTTCCCTCCCACAACACGTGGGAATTATGGGAGTTACAAGATGAGATTTGGGTGGGGACACAGAGCCAAACAGTATCAGGTTTTAAGATAGCTAAAGAAAAAACTTTTCCTTTAGGAAGATGACTAGTCAGCTCTGGAGCCCAGGAGGGTCACAGAAATATTTGTTGGAATAGATCTTCCTGGCAGCAACCAAAGAAATGGTGCCTAAGAGTCTGGTTCACCTGGTAGCTAAATCCCCTTTATGGAAATGAATGTAGCAGCTGTCAAATCTCTATGTCTAACATTCAAATCATGTAACCACCTAAATATCCTTCTAATAGTTTGGCTCCCAGTGTAGTCTGTCTACATGGAGAAAGTATATCATACACTGGTTGAGCCAACATCAGTATCCAGACTGCTTGGCAGTTATACATCTCATGGTAACTTAATAACATAACTTGGCATTTTGTTTATATGTCAGTCTCTAGTGAACTTTGTTAGCATGAGTCAGCATTCCTAAGTCTAGTCAGTGCTAGAATACCACTGAAATTTTCTGAGACTCTAGGACCAATGGCTAGATCTTGAATGATGGTTAATCCATCACATTAAATGCCCTTTTCATTAAATGCCCCTCCCAGCAGGTTGGCCTTTCCCTGATGACATCTCTGTTCAATATGTCACAAACCTTTTCAAACAAATGTCTATTCTCACTACCTTAAGAGTTATGAGGAGTGGGGATAATGTGTGTGGAGCATTTAGCGTAATGCCTTACATAGTTGAAGACCCAATCAATTATTATGACACATCATAAATGGTAGCTGTTACCATCATTATCTTCTTTCCCATATCAATTGATCAAAGAATCTGGGATTCTAATGTGTTAGACCACATTAGACAGACAAAGCCCTGTTTTCTGAGAAGGAGGTTTTTGTGTTTATAGTCTGTTAATGTCGTAATAATTGTTAGGGATGCTGGCTCTGTGTGTGATTGATGAATGCTTTCATTGAGAGCAACTGCTGTAAGAGACACTATCTTCCCCACAGTTATGGTTAGTGGACTCTGGTAGTATGTCGACTACAGTTCTTTAGGTTGCAGGTAGCAGAAACCCCACTGAAGTTAGCTTAAGCTAAAATGAGGGGGATTAATATCAAGATACAGTGGGCAGTCCTGGAAACAATTGCAAATTGCAGCAGGGCCTCTGGAAGAACTGGGGCCAGGAATGGAAGATAGGAACCCAGGGGAATATTCACTCGCTATTGCTTTTTCTCTTTTTCTTTCCCCGTATTTGCTTTATTCTTCCCTTTCAACAGACTTTTTTTTTCTCCCTTTCTTCTTAGGCCACCCAGTACTTTCCCCACAGCTTCCAGAGCTCCAAAAGTCACATTTACAAGTCCAGCCTCTGTTTCAGATCCACATTCGTAATTTACCAAGTTTGATATCAGGTGCTCTTGGCCCAGTCAACTTTGGTCATGGGGAGAGCCACGTTTTACCAACACGGCTGAATTTGGGGTCATTGTGAGCTTTACAGAAATTTCCCAGGGGATCTATTTTATGTCACATCTCTCTTACTGCTCTTGCTTTCCACCCTGGCTATATTGGGCAAACTCATGGTTTGTGTTGACCTCTCACTGACAAAAATTGACTCAATTTTGCTGTGGTTTTTCCAGCTTTTCCCTTTGCAAATATCTGGAAAAGACATTCTGCTCTGCACATCAAAGGCTATCTGCATCTGGAGAAAAGCCTTACACCATTTTTAAATCCTGTCGCTGTCTTCCCCTAGTATCCTCTCAAAATGTAGGTTAGGCAAGGTCCTTTGTCTTACAGACACACATGAGATAGTTTCTTATCTCCAGTGTGCTTAAGATCAATACCTTTCTTGACTAGTGCTTGCTTTTTAGTGCAATGACTATGTAATACATTGGCAACTTCACAGATTCTATAGTCTTCCAGTTCTAATGAAGTATGAGAGCTTTACATATAAAGTAATTTTCTTTTTTTGAAATTGAGTTTACAATGTAATGTTTAATGTCTGTAGCTTGATGGTGATTTCATTGTGTTTAGTTTTCTAATAATATTTTATCTACTACTTGTCCACAGACTGAACTAAAGCTTCATTAAATCTTATAGTTGTGTGGGGTTTTTGTCTTTTTCATAATTACATGGAAAATGTTCTGAGTCAGATAGTAATAGTCAGTATTATCCAATAAAGTAGAAACTAGACTTTTGCTGCTTTAAATTTGACTTTACAAGCTTCCCGTAATTTTGAAGCACCTGGACCTGATAGGCAAAGGTTATGATATTAGCACATGATGGCACTACAAAAAGAGAATCCTTCTGAGAGTTATTTGCAATTGAATATGATTTGCCTCTTCCACACATAGCTTAAAAAGAATAAAAGGAAGTGTTCTTGGATGTTTCTTTTCAGCTGGGTTGGGCAGTTCACTTATAGCTGCACATATGTTCCCAGAATCCTGAGCCTTTTTATAAGCACCTCCTGCCCACTGGCAGCTGTACTAATGTGTCCCAGAAGGCTTTGCTCCTATCCATCATCTTTAGGAGGGATGCTCAAAGCCAGATATGAAATTCATTGTTGTTGAAATGCAGAAAGGAAAATAAAAAGGCCTGGGGGCTTTGGGGAAGTAGGAGGTTGAGCCAGACTCTTAGGAAATAAAGGAAAGGAACAAGTCTTGTGTATCCAGTGGACACAATAATAAATGTTTTTGAATGATGGGTAACGGTGCTGGATCAACTGCTAAGTGTTTTGCTTCCAGAAGCCATTGCCTCCTTTTTTTAGACAAAGAAAAATCTAAAATAGAGTGTTCCCTGAATACACTTTTAATCATTCTGTCTTCATAATGTTGTAAAAGTATGAAAAAAAGATCTAGGAATACATTAAAAAGAGCCCTGCCTGAGATTTTTGAGATTAACTCAGTAAATACAGATGAAAGGACCTGGGCTAAATGCTGAGAGAGAGACACAAAAGTGGAGAGGGCTCTAGCTCTTCTCTCCTGAAAGGTACCTGTAGGTACAGGTACAGGTACCTCCTGAAAGGTACCTGTAGGTACAGGTACAGGTACCTCCTGAAAGGTACCTGTAGGTACAGGTACAGGTACCTCCTGAAGGGTACCTGTAGGTACAGGTACAGGTACCTCCTGAAGGGTACCTGTAGTCTTTCAGGAGGGACAAGTACATAAAACATGACAGGGCAGAACCTGTGACATGCCACGAAAAAGCCACAGAGAATCTGCCTTTTTAAACGAAGCTTACATTTGAATTGAGACATCAAGACAAGGCTTCATGGAGGAGATGGTTACTGAGGTGATCCTTGAAGGATGAAGAGGATTAAAACTGAAAAAAAATGGAGTGAAGTTGTATATAAAGAAGAACTCAGTGAGCAAAATTTCAGAACTGGATAGAGAGGGCAGAACATATTTCTGGGAAGTGGCAAATCATCTGGTTTGACTAGCACAGGTTAGACAAGTATGGGATTAGTGGAAGAGTGAGTGAGAGGCCGCAGATGTGGCTTCTTAATCTCCATTCATTCCATGGTGGGAAAAGAGAAGGAAACTCATTTTTTGAGCACCTAGTATGTACCAAGCACCAAACTTGTCATTTTATATGTGATATCCCTTCTATCTTCCCTCTAACCTTGTATGTACCATTATCTTCACTATAACCCTGTGTGGTATGTACTGTTTAGAGCTAAGGTAAATGAGGTTCTGAGAAAAATAATTTTCCCAAGATCATAAAGCAAGTTAAGGGAGTAAAACCAGGATTCAAATCTCAGTTTGTCGATTTCATAATTCTTTCATCTTTGTTGTGCTACCTTGACTACATTTAGAGTGTGGGGTTTATATTTCATTTGATAGGCATTGGAGAACCACTGGCAGTCCAGAGCTTTGGAAACATTAGTAGTCTTGTGGAGGTGAAATGAATCAGGAGAGACCAGAATAAGAAGACCTGGTAAGGGTCTTAGAGAGATGAGAGGCTGCAACCTGAAGGGAGTAGTGGGGAAGGAGAAAAAGAAATGAATGCAAGAGAGGTTATAGAGAAGAAATCTATGTTCTTGACAACTAATATGGTAATTTAATGAGGAAGTAAGAGAAGTCAAGGTAATTGCAAGATTTAAGCTCAGTGGGATGTGTGGCAAAAGCATTCACACAATTTTGGAAATAAAGAGGAGTGCCTGCTATGCTAGGCACTATTCACTTTGTGAGGTGCTTTACACACATTCTATCTAAGCCTGAATCAACCCTGCAGAGAAAGTGTTGCTATCCCCCTATTACAATGAAGAAGCTGAGGATCTGAAAAGTTAAATGGGGGACCTCCTCTCCCTGAGCAGTGCATGAATTAACAAGAGATTTAACATACAATTTCAGGAAGTTTATAGACCCCCCTATAAGCCATGAAAGAGTCTCTCGTGAAGAATCACAAGAACATAAGAGACACTGCTGGGGCTTTTCAGCTCTATGTCAATTAGTATTAGGTTTAGATATGAAAGACAGAAAATATGCAATACCAGTAGCTTAGGTAAAATAGAAGTTTATTTCCTTTCACACATGGGAACAGTCTGGAGGTTAGTGATCTAGGACTGCGAATGTCTCTACGAAGTCATGAGGACCCATCTTCCTGCTGTATGCTACTCTGCCATCCCCAGCACCCTTTCCTTCATGGTCCAAGATGGCTGTAGAAGCTTCAAGCATCTTGTTCCTGCTCCAGCCACAAGAATAGGAAAGGACCAAAACAGAGCATGCCTCCCCGCTTTATGGATATGCCTTGGAACCCACACACTGTCCTGCTGTGCTGCTAACATCCCAGAGCCCAGAATTTTGTCACATGGCCACACCAAGTTAAAAGGGAAATGGGGCTCGTTTGCAGAGGAAGAAAGAAAGAGGAGATATTGGGAGACAACATCAGCCCTGCTGGCATCACAGCCATAACACCAAGGAACTGTCCACAGTCTCTCCACCCACCCAGTAAACTGCTTCTCATCTTGCCTGATTGTGAGCTTCTTTGTCTAGTCTATGGTGCAGTAAGAAAACTCGCTTTCCAGTTCATTAACGAAAGGTCTGCCAAGGCAGAATTTGTAGATAACACTTAAGAAGCAAATGGGATTTTCGAAACAAAAAATAATAATAAATAGTTTGAAATGCTAGCATTCCTTGCCCTTCAAAAAAGTAAGAGGTGGGGAAGGAATTTGTCAGTAAGACGTGCTTTTAAAGTAAATGGAAAACATTTGCAAACTGGAAGAATACTGAAGTCATTTTTATCCTGTCACTTTATTTGGTGGTAGAAATTTTATTAGCCTATTTCTCTTTTCCTATTAAATACTCTCACATTTAAAAGGGGGAGGGGAGCATTTCTCAAAATGAAGAACTATGTTTAGCAATCAGTGTGTTTGATGTTCACTGCTCAGTATTAAAAATGTTTGGGGTGTAAAAAATGAAAGAATAGTAAATATGAATTGATGGTCTGGTACCATCTTTTATGACTTGGTCTCTGTCAAATAGAAGTATTTGCCTCCTATGAGATTCACAATAAAAACCATTATCCATTAAGCATAGATCATTTCTTGGGAGCTACATTGTTGAAGAGAACAGCAAACAGAAGGAAAGAGGGAAGTACAGAAAAACAATGTCGTCCAGCTGTTAAGAGCACAGATTCTGGAGCTAAAGTCTCTGAGTCCAAATCCAAGGTCAGCTGGTGATCTCGGGCAAGTTATGTAAAGTAACTTCTTAGTACTTCAGCTTTCACATCTGCAAATTAGGGATAATCATAGCTCATGCCTCATTCAGTTGTTAGGAGGAATAAATGACTGTTGGATGTAAAAAAATATGTAGAACAGTGTCTAGCACATAGTGCTGAATAAATGTTAGCAATTATTATGTTCTGCTAAGGGCTTATCATCTGCAGGTGCTAATTTGCCTCTTGTTCTGTCCTAGATTTTGAATCTTGGAGGAAATCTGAGTTTTGATTGCAAGCTACAAATTCTTTACCTCTTTATCTGTCCTTTCCATAAAGATATTGGAAAAAAAATTTATTTTTGTCAAGCACACATGGCTTCCAATTTTAAAAATTCAATACCTAGTTAAAAAAAATGAAACTTTATTACCTTAGATGTTTTCTAGCAACATTTTTAAATGCTACGTCAAAGTTAAAGGTCTTGGTTCTCTTATGCTTTTTAGCAGCAACCTTTTTAGCAGCTTTATTGAGATATAATTCACACATCATACAATTCCCTAATTTAAATAGTATAATTCAGTGATTTTAATATATTCATGAAGTTGTGAAGTCCTCACCAGAATCAATTTTGGAATATTTTTATCACCTCAAAAAGAAACTTAGGACTCTTTAGCTTTCACCTTCTGGTCTTCCCAACCCCCAGCCCTAAGTAATCACGAATCTACTTTCTGTCTCTATATATCTGCCTATTCTGGACATTTCACATAAGTGGAATCATATAAATATAGTTTTTTTGTGACTGGCTTCTGTCATTTAGCATGTTATTTTCACAGTTCATCCATGTCGTATCATGTATCTGTACTTCATTCCTTTCTGTTGCCAAATGATATTGCTTTATATGGATATACCACATTTTGCTTATCCATTCATCAGCTGATGGACATTTGAGTGTTTGAACTTTTTGAATCCTTATTTACTTTACTTAGACTCTGTTGTATCCAACAAACTTGAGGGGAAGACCAAAAGATGATGATGATGATTAATCATATTTACAAGGTACTCTTAATGTACATTTTCTCAAAAAGCTTAAAATCTAAGCTTCATGAAACAAATAGATTGGCAATAATTACCCAGCAAAATACAGTAAGTGTTATAACTAAAGGCAGGGATGGGAGTTGATATAATAGGAGATGGGTGTGAAAAGTAGACTTAAAGCATGATAGTGGAGGGTTTTAAGTGCTTGCTGAGACACTTGGGCTTTATTCCATAAATAAGCACTTTATTCTGTGAAGGTAGTCATTAAGGCTATTGAGCTGAGCAATGACCATGACCAATTACAGAGGAAAGGATGAATCAGGACATACTATATATTGGATGCATAGACAACTGTTCAGAGCACATTATAATTACTCACAAGTAATAAGAATGACAGTTGGAATGGGAAGGAGGAAATGAATGTAAGATGGAGACATCTGGAGGCAGAATAAACAGATTTCAATGCCCGGATGTGTATGGTAATGGGAAGGGAAAATTAAAGATGACCCTATTCTAAATGACTAGATGGATGGAAAACCATTAATGGGGACTGGAAATGTCAGAAGAAAAATGGAGCAGCCAGGACTATGGAAGAGATAATAGGTTCTACATTGGACATTTAAAATTTAAGGTTTTGGAGGAATAATCGTAGTAAATGCCACTAGAAGTTTGGACATGTGGGCTGATAATTCGGAGAAGAGGGAGACTTATTTAAGAAATGGTTTGGGGAATTATCTTCATGGAAGTGAAAAGTGAAGCCAAGAAAGCAAAATAGAAGTCACACTCAGAAAAAGTAAAGAGTTCAAAGACTAGAGAGATGAGAATAGAACCATGAAAAAACTCATTGTATCTAGTAAATAAATAGTAGATGAGTAATTTTAATGGGTTGAACAGTTTCCCCTCCCAAATTCATTTCTACCTGGAACCTCAGAGTGTGACTTTATTTGGAAGTAGGGTTTTTGCAGATGTAATTAAGTTGTGATGAGGTCAGACTCGATTAGAGTGGGCTGTAATCCAACAAGCAGTATCCCTTATAAGACAAAGGAAATTTGGACAGAGACACAGACACACAGAGGGGAAGACCATGTGCAGAGGGAGGCAGAGACTGGAATGTCGCAACTACAAGCCAAGGAACACCTGGGATTGCTGGGAGCCACCAGAAACTAGGAAGAGACAAGGAAGGGGGTCTTCTCTATTGCCTTCAGAGGGAATATGGCCCTACTGACACCTCAGTTTCAGACTTCTAAACTCCAGAACTGCCAGAAAATAAATCTCAATTGTTTTAAGCCAGTAAGTGTGTGGTAATTTTTCATGGAAGCCCTAGGAAACTAATACAGGAATCAACAAAGGAGTGGTCAAAAAGGAAGGCCGTGGAGGCAACAGTGTCAGGAAAGCCCAGGCATAGTGAAAATCTCAGGAAGTTTACAGAGCTCAGTGGTATCACGTCTGCAGAAAGAGTATATTATGGACTGGGGGGTGGAAAACGCTGCGAATTTGACAACTTCCAGATCACCACTGACTTGAAGAGATCAATTTTAGTTGCCAGAGCACCATGTAGAGCCCTTTGAATAGCCCATCTCCCTCTTGTGTTCTCTGCGCTTGGGTCGCAGTGGGCTTAATTGTTTGAAATCCTCAATACACTGTTAAGTTCCATAGCAGTAGAGTAATGGTAAAAACATTTGTTTTTTACCAATGTTTCCCTGTTGTCTAGAGACTGGAACGTAGCAATTGCTCAGTATGTGTGGAAAGGATTGAAGGATGGAGAGAAGAAGTGAGGAACTAGAAAGTTACGAATTTAGTTTACACTTGATTTTAGGACATGGAGGGGGTTGTTTTTAGGAGGGGTTATAGGTAGAGAGTTGAGTGCTAAGATTCTCTCCTTAGAGGTGGAGAAATTAGAGGTAAAAATAACAGTTTAGGCTGGGCGCGGTGGCTCTCGCCTGTAATCTCAGCACTTTGGGAGGCTGAGGCGGGTGGATCATTTGAGGTCAGGAGTTCGAGACTAGCCTGGTCAACATGGTGAAACCCCGTCTCTACTAAAAATATGAAAAGTTAGCTGGGTGTGGTGGCACGTGCCTGTAGTCCCAGTTACTCAGGAGGCTGAGGCAGGAGAATCACTTGAAATCAGGAGGCAGATGTTGCAGTGAGCTGGATCACACCACTGCATTCCAGTCTAGGCGACAGAGCGAGACTCTTGACTCCAAACAAACAAAAACAACAACAACAAAAATCAGTTTAAAAGAAGAAAAAAAATAGTGAGGTGACAAGGCCTAAATGAGAGTTTGAGCTATATTCATGTGCTATTGTACTGTAGCCCACAAACCTTGACACAAACTTGGAAAAAAACCCTAAGACTTCAGGACTGAAAGATGTAGTTTTTTACTTATTTTATATTTTTGCCTCCATGTATTTTCTTATCTAGTGTCAGACATTACGCTGAGAGCTTTATGTAATAATCTCGTTCAGTCCTCATGCTACAAAAATGTATCATTCTTATTTTATAAAAACTGTTACCATTCTTATTTTACAGATGAGAAAGCTAAGCCCAGAGAGGTTAAATAATTTTCCCAAGGGCATTCCATTGGTAAATAGCAAAGCTGAGATTCTATCAGGCATTCTGATTATTGAACCTACAACTCTTAACTGCAGGGATGGATATATACTTGTAGTTTAATGAAAAATTCTGTCCTATTGAATTTGAAGTGTTTCAGGAAAGCCTTTGAAGATGTCCTTCTTTTTTTTTTTTTTTTTTTTTTTTTTTTTTTTGAGACAGAGTCTCGCTCTGTCGCCCAGGCTGGAGTGCAGGGGCGCGATCTCTGCTCACTGCAAGCTCCGCCTCCCGGGTTCATGCCATTCTCCTGCCTCAGCCTCCCAAGTAGCTGGGATTACAGGTGCCCGCCACCACGCCCGGCTAATTTTTTGTATTTTCAGTAGAGACGGGGTTTCACCGTGTTAGCCAGGATGGTCTCAATCTCCTGACCTCGGGATCCGCCTGCCTCGGCCTCCCAAATACACTTTCACATATGATCAGTGCTTCTTAAATTTTTCCAGTCTGTAGATGTGGTGATAGGGTCCCAAAGCAGCAGCCTTCCCCCACAAGCATAATATTTTTGAAATCACCTCTTGTTTTCCATCCAAATTCTATATTTTGCTCTACTATGCATTTTTATTAGTTTTACTCTTATAAAATAGTTTTCTAATTTCTATTTCATTACCTGTACTATTAGTTAATGGAGAGATCCTGTTGCATTTATAAAATTAAACCAAAAGCGTGTATCAGACAGTTTTCTCTACCTTGGTGCCACAATATTTTGAAAACCTAGAGTTATACAAATAAGTAATTACAGATGGCAACCATTTTTTTCACTGCTTTATCAGCCACATAGTGGTGAATCACTGAGAAGAGATATTCAGAATGCTGCTAAAGCAGCTAAATCATATGTTGGTTTTAGACTACTATTGGAAGGAATTTGGTAAGTGTGTTTTCTTGTTAACAGTTCTCTTGTATCATATCTTAGGCTGGAATGGTTGCTTATTCAATATATGATATAGGAGACAGCCTCTTTTAACTATCTGAAGGAAATACCCACCAAAGGGCATTTCCAGTGAAGAGAGATGACCAATTTGGTTGTGCTCTACTTTGGGGAGTCTCACTATATATAAGCTGAACCCTGATTCTCAAAGGACTCGTTATCACTACAACTAGCTCTCTTAAGACCGCTCTCAGACTTCATTTTATTGCAGTGATCTGGAAACATACATAAGAGTACATTCACAGTTTTATCTATATTTGTTGATTGAAAATTATTCAGCGTTGCAGAAATATTTGCTAAGTCAACTTTAAACCATTTTTCAAAAATGACTAATGATTTCATTAATCTTACATACATTTTTAACCCTTTATCATGACACCTTTTTTGTTTTTAATTCTCCATGAGGAAAAGCCATTTCAATGCAAATTCCAAACACCAACTACTATCTTTTTTCTCTTTAGCTAAATCATGGTATATCTGTATAATATAACAAGCTTTCAGAGTTCCTTTCTACTTCATTAGAAATTATCTTAAAAGATGGGTACTCAAATTACTGAATTTTTTCTCTTTCTTAAAACATTCTTTTGAACACATTAAGAAAATTCAGAGCTTAACCTTGATGTAAGCTACTTTTAGTAATCGTGTATTCAGAATGAAAGATGGTCTTGAAGAATCAACGTTTTCACAGTTTATCCTATTGTAGATTTGACTCCTTCTACACATACAACCTTACATTTTTTTCCAGGCAATATCTTTATCTCTCTAAAGTCTATATACCGTGTTGAAAATCTTCAGTTATTTTACCATTGAGTATAAAATATACCTTCATAAATACCATCATATTAATACAATCAACATAGACCAATAAAATAATTTACTAATGTTTAGTGCTAGTGCTATCATCTAGTGGTAAGTTAAAGAACCTGTCTATCGAGGGTGGAGCCAAGATGGCTGAATAGGAACAGCTCCAGTCTAGAGCTCCCAGCATGAGCAACACAGAAGATGGGTGATTTCTGCATTTCCAACTGAGGTACCAGGTTCATCTCACTGGGGAGTGTTGGAAAGTGGGTGCAGGACAGTGGGTGCAGCGCATTGAGCCTGAGCCAAAGCAGGGCGAGGCATCGCCTCACCCAGGAAGCGCAAGGGGTCAGGGAATACCCTTTCCTAGTCAAAGAAAGGGGTGACAGACGGCACCTGGAAAATCAGGTCACTCCCACCCTAATACTGTGCTTTTCCAATGGTCTTAGCAAACGGCACACCAGGAGATTACATCCCGTACCTGGCTCGGAGGGTCCCATACCCGTGGAGCCTCGCTCATTGCTAGCACAGCAGTCTGAGATCAAACTGCAAGGAGGCAGTGAGGCTGGGGGAGGGGCGCCCGCCATTGCTGAGGCTTGAGTAGGTAAACAAAGTGGCCTGGAAGCTCGAACTTGGTGGAGCCCACCGCAGCTCAAGGAGGCCTGCCTGCCTCTGTAGACTCCACCTCTGGGGGCAGGGCATAGCCAAACAAAAGGCAGCCGAAACCTCTGCAGACTTAAATGTCCCTGTCTGACAGCTTTGAAGAGAGTAGTGGTTCTCCCTGCACACAGCCAGATATCTGAGAATGGACAGACTGCCTCCTCAAGTGTGTCCCTGACCCCAGAGTAGCCTAACTGGGAGGCACCCCCAAGTGGGGCAGACTGACACCTCACACGGCCAGGTACTCCTCTGAGACAAAACTTCCAGAGGAAAGATCACGCAGCAACATTTGCTGTTCACCAATATCCACCGTTCTGCAGCCTCCGCTGCTGATACCCAGGCAAACAGGGTCTGGAGTGGACCTCCAGCAAACTCCAACAGACCTGCAGCTGAGGGTCCTGACTGTTAGAAGGAAAACTAACAAACAGAAAGGACATCCACACCAAAACCCCATCTGTACGTCACCAAAATCAAAGACCAAAGGTAGATAAAACCACAAAGATGTGGAAAAAACAGAGCAGAAAAACTGGAAACTCTAAAAATCGGAGCACCACTCCTCCTCCAAAGGAACGCAGCTCCTCACCAGCAACAGAACAAAGCTAGATGGAGAATGAGTTTGACGAGTTGAGAGAAGAAGGCTTCAGACGATCAAACTACTCCAAGCTAAAGGAGGAAGTACGAACCCATGGCACAGAAGCTAAAAACCTTGCAAAAAAAATTAGACGAATGGCTAACTAGAATAACCAATGCAGAGAAGTCCTTAAAGGACCTGACGGAGCTGCAAACCACAGCACAAGAACTACATGAGGAATGCACAAGCCTCGGTAGCTGATTCGATCAACTGGAAGAAAGGGTATCAGTGATGGAAGATCAAATGAATGAAATGAAGTGAGAAGAGAAGTTTAGAGAAAAAAGAATAAAAAGAAATGAACAAAGCCTCCAAAAATTATGGGACTCTGTGAAAAGACCAAATCTACGTCTGACTGGTGTACCTAAAAGTGACGGGGAGAATGGAACCAAGTTGGAAAACACCCTGCAGGATATTATCCAGGAGAACTTCCCCAATCTAGCAAGGCAGGCCAACATTCAAATTCAGGAAATACAGAGAACGCCACAAAGATACTCCTCGAGAAGAGCAACTCCAAGACACATAATTGTCAGATTCACCAAAGTTGAAACAATGGAAAAAATGTTAAGGGCAGCCAGAGAGAAAGGTCAGATTACTCACAAAGGGAAACCCATCATGCTAACAGCTGATCTCTCAGCAGAAACTCTACATGCCAGAAGAGAGTGGGGGCCAATATTCAACATTCTTAAAGAAAAGAATTTTGAACCCAGAATTTCATATCCAGCCAAACTAAGCTTCATAAGTGAAGGAGAAATAGAATACTATACAGACAAGCAAATGCTGAGAGATTTTGTCACCACCAGGCCTGCCCTAAAAGAGCTCCTGAAGGAAGCACTAAACATGGAAAGGAACAACCAGTACCAGCCACTGCAAAATCATGCCAAATTGTAAAGACCATCGAGGCTAGGAAGAAACTGCATCAACTAACAAGCAAAATAACCAGCTAACATCATAATGACAGGATCAAATTCACACATAACAATATTAACCTTAAATGTAAATGGGCTAAATGCTCCAATTAAAAGAAACAGACTGGCAAATTGGATAAAGAGTCAAGACCCATCACTGTGCTGTATTCAGGAAGCCCATCTCATGTGCAGAGACACAGATAGGCTCAAAATAAAGGGATAGAGGAAGATCTACCAAGCAAATGGAAAACAAAAAAAGGCAAGGGTTGCAATCCTAGTCTCTGATAAAACAGACTTTAAACCAACAAAGATCAAAGGACACAAAGAAGGCCATTACATAATGGTAAAGGGATCAATTCAACAAGAAGAGCTAACTATCCTAAATATATATGCACCCAATACAGGAGCACCCAGATTCATAAAGCAAGTCCTTAGAGACCTACAAAGAGACTTAGATTCCCACACAATAGTAATGGGAGACTTTAACACCCCACTGTCAACATTAGACAGATCAACCAGACAGAAAGTTAACAAGGATATCCAGGAATTGAACTCAGCTGTGCACCAAGCGGACCTAATAGACATCTACAGAACTCTCCACCCCAAATCAACAGAATATACATTCTTTTCAGCACCACACCACACCTATTCCAAAATTGACCACATAGTTGGAAGTAAAGCACCCCTCAGCAAATGGAAAAGAACAGAAATTATAACAAACTGTCTCTCAGACCACAGTGCAATCAAACTAGAACTCAGGATTAAGAAACTCACTCAAAACCACTCAACTACATGGAAAGTGAACAACCTGCTCCTGAATGACTACTGGGTACATAACGAAATGAAGGCAGAAATAAAGATGTTCTTTGAAACCAATGAGAACAAAGACACAACATACCAGAATCTCTGGGACACATTCAAAGCAGTGTGTAGAGGGAAATTTATAGCACTAAATGCCCACAAGAGAAGGCAGGAAAGATCTAAAATTGACACCCTAACATCACAATTAAAAGAACTAGAGAAGCAAGAGCAAACACATTCAAAAGCTAGCAGAAGGCAAGAAATAACTAAGATCAGAGCAGAACTGAAGGAAATAGAGACACAAAAAACCCTTCAGAAAATCAATGAATCCAGGAGCTGGTCTTTTGAAACGATCAACAAAATTGATAGACCACTAGCAAGACTAATAAAGAAGAAAAGAGAGAAGAATCAAATAGACTCAATGAAAAATGATGAAGGGGACATCACCACCGATCCCACAGAAATACAAACTACCATCAGAGAATACTATAAACACCTCTACGCAAATAAACTAGAAAATCTAGAAGAAATGGATAAATTCCTCGACACATACACCCTCCCAAGACTAAACCAGGAAGAAGTTGAATCTCTGAATAGACCAATAACAGGCTCTGAAATTGAGGCAATAATTAATAGCTTAGCAACCAAAAAGAGTCCAGGACCAGATGGATTCACAGCCGAATTCTACCAGAGGTACAAGGAGGAGCTGGTACCATTCCTTCTGAAACTATTCCAATCAATAGAAAAACAGAGGATCCTCCCTAACTCATTTTATGAGGCCAGCATCATCCTGATACCAAAGCCTGGCAGAGACACAACCAAAAGAGAGAATTTTAGACCAATATCCCTGATGAACATTGATGCAAAAATCCTCAATAAAATACTGGCAAACCGTATCCAGCAGCACATCAAAAAGCTTATCCACCATGATCAAGTGGGCTTCATCCCTGGGATGCAAGGCTGGTTCAACATACGCAAATCAATAAATGTAATCCAGCATATAAACAGTACCAATGACAAAAACCATATGATTATCTCAATAGATGCAGAAAAGGCCTTTGACAAAATTCAACAACCCTTCACGCCAAAAACTCTCAATAAATTAGGTATTGATGGGACGTATCTCAAAATAATAAGAGCTATCTATGACAAACCCACAGCCAATATCATACTGAATGGGCAAAAACTGGAAGCACTCTGTTTGAAAACTGGCACAAGACAGGGATGCCCTCTCTCACCACTCCTATTCAACATAATGTTGGAAGTTCTGGCCAGGGCAATCAGGCAGGAGAAGGAAATAAAGGGTATTCAATTAGGAAAAGAGGAAGTCAAATTGTCCCTGTTTGCAGGCGACATGATTGTATATCTAGAAAACCCCATTATCTCAGCCCAAAATCTCCTTAAGCTGATAGGCAACTTCAGCAAAGTCTCACGATACAAAATCACTGTGCAAAAATCACAAGCATTCTTATACACCAATAACAGACAAACAGCCAAATCATGAGTGAGCTCCCATTCACAATTGCTTCAAAGAGAATAAAATACCTAGGAATCCAACTTACAAGGGACATGAAGGACCTCTTCAAGGAGAACTACAAACCACTGCTCAATGAAATAAAAGAGGATACAAACAAATGGAAGAACATTCCATGCTCATGGGTAGGAAGAATCAATATCGTGAAAATGGCCATACTGCCCAAGGTAATTTATAGATTCAATGCCATCCCCATCAAGCTACCAATGACTTTCTTCACAGAATTGGAAAAAACTACTTTAAAGTTCATATGGAACCAAAAAAGAGCCCGCATCGCCAAGTCAATCCTAAGCCAAAACAACAAAGCTGGAGGTATCACGCTACCTGACTTCAAACTATACTACAAGGCTACAGTAACCAAAACAGCATGGTACTGGTTCCAAAATAGAGATACAGACCAATGGAACAGAACAGAACCCTCAGAAATAATGCAGCAGCGTACCTACAACCATCTGATCTTTGACAAACCTGACAAAAACAAGCAATGGGGAAAGGATTCCCTATTTAATAAATGGTGCTGGGAAAACTGGCTAGCCATATGTAGAAAGCTGAAACTCAATCCCTTCCTTACACCTTATACAAAAATTAATTCAAGATGGATTAAAGACTTACATGTTAGACCTAAAACCATAAAAACCCAGAAGAAAACCTAGGCAATACCATTCAGGACATAGGCATGGGCAAGGACTTCATGTCTAAAACACCAAAAGCAATGGCAACAAAAGCCAAAATTGACAAATGGGATCTAATTAAACTAAAGAGCTTCTGCACAACAAAAGAAACTACCATCAGAGTGAACAGGCAACCTACAAAATGGGAGACAATTTTTGCAATCTACTCATCTGACAAAGGGCTAATATCCAGAATCTACAAAGAACTCAGACAAATTTACAAGAAAAAAAACCCATCAAAAAGTGGGTGAAGGATATGAACAGACGCTTCTCGAAAGAAGACATTTATGCAGCCAAAAGACACATGAAAAAATGCTCATCATCACTGGCCATCAGAGAAATGCAAATCAAAACCACAGTGAGATACCATCTCACACCAGCTAGAATGGTGATCATTAAAAAGTCAGGAAACAAACAGGTGCTGGAGAGGATGTGGAGAAATAGGAACACTTTTACACTGTTGGTGGGACTGTAAACTAGTTCAACCATTGTGGAAGTCAATGTGGCGATTCCTCAGGGATCTAGAACTAGAAATACCATTTGACCCAGCCATCCCGTTACTGGGTATATACCCAAAGGATTATAAATCATGCTGCTATAAAGACACATGCACACGTATATTTATTGCGGCACTATTCACAATAGCAAAGACTTGGAACCAACCCAGATGTCCAACAATGATAGACTGGATTAAGAAAATGTGGCACGTATACACCATGGAATACTATGCAGCCATAAAAAATGATGAGTTCATGTCCTTTGTAGGGACATGGATGAAGCTGGAAACCATCATTCTCAGCAAACTGTCTCAAGAACAAAAAACCAAACACTGCATATTCTCACTCATAGGTGGGAATTGAACAATGAGAATACATGGACACAGGAAGGGGAACATCACACACCGGGGCCTGTTGTGGGGTGGGGGGAAGGGGGAGGGATAGCATTAGGAGATACACCCAATGTTAAATGACGAGTTAATGGGTGCAGCACACCAACATGGCACATGTATACATATGTAACTAACCTGCACAATGTGCACATGTACCCTAAAACTTAAAGTATAATAAAAAAAAAAGAACCTATCAGTTTTTTCAAGTATGTATTTTGAATACATTAAAATATATCATTTGATAGCATGTAATAGGCATGGCCCTTTTTGTTTTAGCTTTTAGGCTGCCTCTTTTTACTTTTTTCTTTTTTTGATTCAATACAAATTTGGCCTTTTCTAAGTTATGTGGATTTAGTTTGATCAAAATTACTTCTGTCATATAAACTCCACCTTCCAAAAAGTGATTTGTAAACTGATCTTGAAGAACTTCAAGTAATTTTTTTGGAAGTTTCTTGTTCTATATGTGTCCTATTTTATTCTTCAAACTGAGACTTCTATCATTCAGTCAATTTTAGTTGAAAAAAATTCTGATGATTTCCCTAAAAAAATTTTTCTATTATGAAAAATTTCAAATAAATAATCTCCCTTTATCCATGGTTTCACTTTCTGTGGTTTCACTTTCCACAGTTTCATTTACCCATAGGTGAGTACAGTACAATAAGATATTTTGAGAGAGAGAGACCATATTAACATAACTTTTATTACAGTGTATATTAATCTTTTGCTGAGCATAATTTATAAATTAAACTTTATCATAGGTATGCATGTATAGAAAAGAACATATATAGTGTGTATATATACAGAGAGAGTTCAATACTATCTGCAGTTTGAGTCATCCACTGGGGGTCTTGGAATGTATCCCTCATGGATAAGGAAGGACTACTCTATATAGAAGTAGAGAGATTAGTGTAATTAGTGTAATAAACTCTGAGTCTAACCCATCTTTAGTAATTATCAGTATCTTGTCCTAGTTACATCTGTTCTCCACTTTTTGTTGATGTTGTTATTGTTTTTCTGGAATATTTTAAAAGAAGTCTCAGCTATATCATTTTATCCATATTATCAGAGCCAACAAAAAATTAACAATAATTCCTTAATATCATATTATACTCTATCTATATTTTTCCCCTATTGTCTCACAAATCTGTGTTTAGATTTGGTTTGTTTGAATAAGGATCCCGCTGAGGTCCACACATTATATTAGTTGATATGTTTCTTAAGTCTCTTTTAATCAGTAAGAGTCCCCTTTTATCCCCCTTATGCCGTTTACTTATTGAAGAAATTGGATTATTTGGCCTGTAAATTTTCCCACTTTCTGGATTGTGGCCCACTCTGTCTTTATAATATCGTTTAACATGTTTATCTATTCCCCCATATCTTCTGTAATCTAGTCATCTTATAGAGCTTGATTAGATTTGAACTGGATTTTTTGGAAAGAATACTTCTCAGGTGACAGAATAATATTATTCCTATTGTATCACAACAGGAGGCAAGAGATGTCTGCTTATTTCACTTTTAGCAATGTTAAAATTGATCAGGTAGTATTAGTCTGGCCCATCATTATAAATTCCCCCATGAATATTTTACATGTGGTTTTAGCATCCATTGATGTGTACTATGGTTTGTCAGCAATTTCCCCAACTCACAGGATTTAAATTTAGTCATTTAAATTCCTCCACTAGGAAGGAGGAGGCATCCTGCCGTTATTGAGCAAGTTCTGTGCGCCAGAAATTCTGCTTAACAGTTTACCTACATTCTGTGCTTTGCTCTTCCCAAATCTTGCGCATTCCATACATCATAGTAGTTTAATAGGAAAGGAAACTGCGAATAGAGAGATTAATCTGTTCAAGATCATGTAGCTAGTAAGTGAGCCCAGTTCTGCAGGTTTGGAGGGTTGTTTTATGAAAAATTAACCTGGAAAATATTAATTCTCATTTATATGTAGAAGTGAGTAAACTAGATTAAAAGTAAAGACCAAACTGAATGGAATCAACAACATCTGTAGCATTTGTACTGCCATCAATAAAGCAATGCTAATGTTATACATGCTTAGTACTTCCCTTGCCCCAATTCTGGACCATTGGAGCCTAGCAAATAATTTATTTCAGTGATAAATATCCCTTTAATGGACCAAAAATGTAAGATGTATGTATTTTAAGGAACACCATGACGTCCACCAAATAACATTTTTATAAAATGAAAAACTGTATCACAAAGCATTTTCTATAAGTCTTTAAACATCATTTGTTTTCAAGGTTTGGATTTAGTCTTGTTCAGAGCAGCAAGCTGATGTCTATATGACCTCCCAAAGTCCTTTCCAGTCCTGTGATTCTCACACTAATGAATTGAAACAGAAAAGGATTATTGGGCCAGAACTTGGAGAGTCTTCAGAGCCAGAATGTAGAAAAAGTTACAAAATACAGATGTCTGTCAGGGATGGGATCCAAAGAGAAAAGCAGGCCAGAAGTTAGAAATAGATATGTTATTGTACAAAAAAAAAAAAAAGTTTTAATTTTGGCTTTTAACCAGAATAATTTTTTTAAATATTCAGATAAAGCTATTAAGCTATAATATCCAGTTGAGAGACAGTGAAGTCCTGTGATTAAGGATATATAGGTGAAAAAATTCATAATTCTTTACATTCAAGTGAATACAGACCAGCTGTTGGTTCTTCAGACCTGTGCCAGATTGTACCTTTTAGAGAATCTATAATCTTATATTTTTCATTCAGAAGTAAAATCATTCTGATGCCCTTTGGAATTGTCAGTGTTGCATATCAAGAATTATAAATAGAAATAAAAACCTTTAAAATATTGTATAATTATGTGAGATATGGCAAAAATGTTTATACTTTTTAACCCAAAAAGTAAGCCATTATTTTTATTGTTTTGTTGTTTATTGTTCTATTGAGGAAAAAGCCTCTTAAATTAATGCCATTCATTTTAATTGCATACTAAACTTGGGAGAATTTGTTATATTAGGGAGATTTTGTTCTTTCTGAGGTTTTTTGTTTTGTTTTAACTTTTCAAAGGGTATCTTGTTCCAAGAATACTTTTTTTTTTCTCTTGGGCGGCAGGGTCAGGAGAAGAGGATCAGAGTAGGCAACAACTGAGAAGGTTCCTGATTGACTATTCTGTGTGGATGTAAGACCTAGTCTATGGGCACCACTGGTTGTTGGATCTGTGTTGTTGTCGTTTATCCATCCATACAATTTTTTAGTTTTCTGTTTTACATCTTTATTTTTGTAAACTTTCATGAATCTCAAGAGAAAAATTTGCCACCTATAACCTGTAATGTATCCCCTAAATAGCTAATTAGGTGTCTATGGCTTTTATTCTACCCTATAATGTGTTATGAATTTAACTAAATTGTCTAAAAAGCACTCCCCAAACTCATCTTTTCCACATTACATTCTTTCTACCTGATGATCCACGTAACAGGACACAGGTTACCACCAAATAATAGTGGTCAGTGCAGCCAGAAATTCTATCTGCAAATTCCTGAATTAAGAGCCAGTCTTTCTAGCCCAGGAAATTTGCCTCTCTGTAGATTTTCTAAGGGTTGATTTTGCAAGACTTAGAAAATTATAGATTCTTTGAGAGGCTTCTTTGTTCCCTTAGCCACCTGAAACCTAAAAACAACTAAATGAACAGATGTATGGTTTGATATGTTCAGTTGATATGTAAATAGACATATTTTTGAAAATCCTGTGGCTGCTCTTATGGGAAATCAGGTATGTATAAGGTTAAGAGTGATTGGTGCTAAACTATTATATGTCATTATTTCAAGCAAATTTGACATGACAGACAGTAGGAAAGAAGAACATGATCAATGTCAAAGACATTCATGTTTCCTTGTAATGGTATATGTCACATATGTGCTTGACTCCTTTTTTTTGCATTCTACTTTGTGGAGACAGTGTTGAAGTGGTCATTTAAGAATATGACTGTGTTTGCAAACTATATACTCAGGAGTATATAGTCTCTCTATTCGCAGTTTCCTTTCCTATTAAACTATTATGATGTATGGAATGCGCAAGATTTGGGAAGAGCAAAGCACAGAATGTAGGTAAACTGTTAAGCAGAATTTCTGGCACACAGAACTTGCTCAATAACGGCAGGATGCCTCCTCCTTCCTAGTGGAGGAATTTAAATGACTGAATTTAAATTCTGTGGGTTGGGGAAATTGCTGACAAACTATATACTCAGGAGTATATAGTTTACTATATAAACATGAGTATATTCATGTTTATCAGATTTAAACAAATATTTTGAAATTCCGAGTAGTTAGAAAAATTTATTTTTAATTTTTTGGGTACATAGTAGATGTATATATTTATGAGGTAAATGAGATATTTTGATACAGTCATACAATGCATAATAATCACAACAGGGTAAATGCAATAACCATCACCTCAAGCATTTATCATTTCTTTCTGTTATAAACATTCCAATTATATTATTTTAGTTATTTTTAAATGCACAGTAAATTATTGTTCACTGTAGTCACCCTGTTGTTCTATCAGACACTAGATCTTTTTCATTCTAACTGTATTTTTGTATCCCTTAACCATACCCACCTCCCTTCCCCTGCCCCAATACTCTTCCTAGCCTCTGGTAACCTTCCTTCTATTCTTTATCTCCATGAGTTCAATCATTTCAATTTTTAGCTCCCACAAATGAGTGAGAGCATGCAGAGTTTGTTTTTCTGTGCCTGGCTTATTTCATTTAACGTAATGTCCTCCGGTTCCATCTATGTTGTGGTAAATGACAGGATTTCATTCTTTTTTATGGCTGAGTAGTACTCCATTGTGTGTATGTACCACATTTTCTTTATCTGTTCATCTGTTGATGGACACTTGGGTTGCTTCCAAATCTTGGCTATTGTAAATAGTGCTGCAATAAACATTAGAGTACAGATATCTTTTAAATATATGATTTCCTTTCTTTTTGTTATATACCTAGCAGTAGCATTGCTGGATCATATGATAGTTCTATTTTTAGTTTTGTGAGGACCCTCCATACTGTTCTCCATAGTAGTTGTACTAATTTATATTCCCACCGACAGTGTACATGGGTTCCCTTTTCCCCACACCCTCACCAGCATTTATTATTGCCTGTCTTTTGGATAAATCCAAGTAGTTTTATGTGTCATGAACAAAACGTATTATACACATAATGAAAATTAAGTTTTCTGATTTTTAAGTTTATATGCAAATACATCTTAACATCTTATCTATTTTTTAAAAAGAGACTTCACAATGGTTTGCAATAATTACATTTTTATTTCCTGTCAGTGGATTTATGTGTGTTTGAAATGGTTTATATTTTATATGCATTTAGTTTTAATTGAATGGTATATATTTTATATTCATTCGTGATGAAGTATTTCTAAGGTAGAAAAGACCTTAAGTTGAACTCTGAAATAGCAAACACATTGTGGACATTTGTGAATTTATGTTACTTTTATATGTTTATTTCTTGACCCTTCCTCCAGAAAGCCTTCCCCTGATGTCCCCTGTCTCCAACCAGGTGGAAAAGTTGCCCCACTTTGGGACACTTATATTACCCTTTCCTGGGCCCATTTATATTACTTCCTTCCACTTTGCTCTTCTTGAGAACAGAGTTTATATAATATTTATCTTTGATCTCCAGTGCCTAACATAGTACTTAGTGAGTGTTGACTACGACTTCATGAAAGCTTAAAATGAAATAGAAGAAGATTATCTTAATGTACTGAAAATGTAAAGCCCATAGTCTGGGCTTTACGTGAGCAGGCTGAAGAGCAGGAGACCTTTGTAGCACTTCTGGAGAGGGTTTTGAACAAAGACATAGAAGCTGAGATTAGTGCTTATTCTACACAAGGCACCATTGTGGAGAGACAGGCAGTTAGAGGGGCACATAAGTTAGAGTTCTCTGTGCACAGATATGCACAGATAACAACATTAGATAGTATTATTAAGTGCCGTAAGAGTTTAAACCATACATGGGGTGTTTTGGGAATTCAGAAATTACTTCTAATTTGGATGATTGGGGAGGGCTGTTTGTTTTTGTTTTTCTTTTTTGTCAGAGGTGTAGTGAGTAGTTTTGAAAGATGGATGAGATTTCAAGAAACTGAATGGAGACAAACTGATGACAGCTAAAGGTCTATGTAGTGTGAAGTGGTACATTAGTTTGGGCAGAGAGTTAGGGGCCAGAATTGGGGCCTAATTCCTTAGGAATGTTGATGGAATTTGCACACAATTGTGTTTTGACCACACTGAGATTTATTCCCCTAGGACATTTATCCAGAATACCAGAGGTCAACTAAGATAACTATTTTCAAAACTACACTGTATAGTCTGCCCCTTACTTAGGAGCTAATTATGCAGGCTTATTATTTTTTTTTAGCTTTTCATGCTTTTTATTCTTTCTCCTTCCTGTTATCTGCCTATAAATAATTTTTATTTTGATCAGCACCTCCATCAGAGTCAAAATCATGAGTGTCTTGCCTACTTTTCATCAGCTCTACAGTATGAAATTACAGACTTATTATATGAGAAGAAGATCTCTTCCACTGATAGTTAAATTAATTCATTTAATTTAATTTGGACTGTAAAGACATATTCAAATCTACCAGAAAAGTATGGAATGAGTACATTGGTAAAGAAAATGCTTATATTTTTAAAACACACTTCAAATCACTTCTAGTAATCCCAGGTACTTGACTATTTATTACGTTTGTAAGTTCTATGAAGTCACGAATCATGTCTGTCTGCCTCGCTGATCGTTGTATCCCTAGTTTACACTTATCATGGAAACATTTAATGAATATTTGATAAATATATTAAGTATACTTGATAGGCTAATTAAAACACATTTTTAAACATACATTTCTATATGTATGTAATATATGTGTTACATATAAAATCACTTTCAATAAAGTACAGACATTGTCAAGAATTGTGAAAAGTTAGAGTTTGACCTTATTTGCAAGTCTCATGGATAGAAAACATGAGAATGCTGGATCAGAGATGAAACATAGTTCTTTACCTACAACAGAGTGTCTGCAGATATGCTAGTTCCAAACCCTAAGTCTCTGAGGATGACATGAAGAGGACCAGCTGATGTCTGCACACACAGGGAGTTGTATTATAGTAGAGGACTCTGATTTGGAGGACCTGAATCTTTTATAATGGACAGTAAGCCTGCCTGCCCTTTTCTTTCTAGGGAGACAACTATCTGTCTTCGTTGACTGTTTATCATATATTTATCCTTGAAAAAACAGTCTGGACTGGGTTTGTGGCATGCGCCTGTAATCCCACTCAGGAGACTGAGAGAGGAGGATCGCTTGAGCCTAGGAGTTCAAGGCCAGCCTGGGCAAACATAGCAAGACTCCATCTCTAAAAAAAAAAAGTACATTTTAAATTTTAAGAAAAGAAAAGATAGTCTGGGGAAAAGGCAGGCAATGCCTTTACCTATAAGATATGTGAAAATGTGCTAGACCCATGGAGAACTATTCCCTAGTAGACATATACCCTAAAGGGCCTCTGTAAGGGCATTGCTTTTCATCTAATCAAGGGATCAGCAGCAAACTACAGCCTGTGGGCCAAATCTAGCCCACCACCTGTTTTTGTAAATAAAATTTTATTGGAACATAGACACATATGCTCATTTACATATTGCTTATATACTACAATAGTCAGAGTCAAGTAGTTGTAGAGTCAAGTAGTTGCAACAGAGACCACGTGGCAAACAAAGCCTAAAGCATTTGTTCTATAGCCCTTTACAGGCAAAGTTTACTGACCCTAGATCTAGCCTAAATATTTGACATATGAGGAAGCTTTGTAAAATATGCTAAGTTGACTTTTTTCTAAAATATTTAAAAATTTTAAGTTATTCTCTAATCCTTATTGACTTCTTCACAGTTACTGAGAGTTGCCTATCTGTACTATAGTTTTCACATTATCAAGAGTTATTAAGAACCTATTATCTACCTCTGAATGTAAAACTTGAAAATAAATTTTGAAAGAACCAACTATCAATGATTACACCTTTTTAGCTTTAAAACAATCATGTAACAAGTTGTCACAGTGTAAGTGTTTGGTTTATGAGCATTGCTTATTTGTCAGTTTATATTTTTGAAAACCATGACCGTCAAGTAACTGAAATACGGGAGTCAGTATGACAAGGTGAAAAAGCTTCCTGGGCTCTGGAATCTCCAGGAGTCCCGGCTTTGCAACTAATTATCATTGAGATCCTTGACAGGTTTTTTTAACTTTCTGAACTTTATTTTCTTGATCTGTAAAATGGATATACTCTTACTAACTTACAGAATTACCATTAAAATTGAATAATGTAAATCTTCACATGTAGTATGCATTTTAAAATATTAGTTCTTTTCCTAAAATATAAACTTAAAAAAGTAAATCTTATGTATTTCTTCAGAGTTGGAAAGAACTAAAGTAGTTCTTATTCTATCTTCCTAAATTTTTGTGGGTAAGGAAACTAAGGCTTACGTTGGTTAGGTGACTTTAACTCAAGATGACAAAACTAGTTAGCAAGTAAATGTAGAATTAAGCTCTCCCTGATTCCCAAGTATTGTTATTTATAGTAAATGATGTACATTTGACTGCATTTGATACAAATAAGTAAAATATCTGAACAGTTAGAAATGAGACTAAAACATAATATGAGTTTAGAGTTTGTAGTCTCATTAAAAGACACCATAAACTAGTAAAGTTGCCCCTGCTCTAAGTTTTAACTCAGAAGTTCTGAGTATATTTTTATTCTTTCTCTTTAAGGAAAAATATTTTCTTGAAAGATGTCATATTACACACCTGCATTTGCTTGAAACCTGGTAGCTTGATAAATCGATAAGATAACTGGGTCATATGTTAAGTTTTTTGAAAAACCAACCCAAACATAGATTCTAATAAAAGAACGTTACACATTTCCTTTTAAAGTCTAAAAAGTATTTCTCAGGGCTCTTAAATTACCATATTCTGATACCAGGGGAAAATAAAATCTGGACTTAGAGTCTTGTTTGTACTTAGAGGGTTTTCCGGACAGGAAGGCAGTCTTGATGCAATGCAGTAAGCCACAATACCAGTGGGGCATTACAGGTGAAAAATCTGCAGCTGTACCCCTTCACCACAGTGTATTACAACTGTATGCTGGAATATTTCCTGTACAAAAATAGGGTTTGGTTAACTTTGTTTCCCAAGAGTAGATCACATTAAAATGTTATAAAATCATGATTTCCTGCATTTGAATACTTGTGGTTTCTCAACTGGTTCCAATAGTATAAGGGTTTTTTTTTTTTTTTTTTTGGTATGACTTCTATTAGTTGAAGATGTATAGAAGCTTTTCTTTTCCTTCTTCAAAATCAACTAAAAAGCAGATACATATAAAAAGAAATAATATTATAAGCTAAAACTTTTGAGATTGCAAGCACATTCATCTTTTATCTCATTGGTAGATTTTTTAAATGATATAGAAACTCAAAATCCAACTTCCATTACCAGAATACATTTTATTTTTATTTAGTAACTATTGAAAAGTATCTCTACTCAATTTGCATTTGTTTTGAGTGATGAATATGTGTCTCCTACTGTAAATTATAAATAACTGATTGTAAGAAATACTCTTTATGTTTAAAAGGACAGTTAAGCCCTAACACATTCATAAAGAGAAACCTCCCATTATTGTACAAAGACAAAGCCGGTTTCTTAGCCTATTAAGGTTTTGATGTTCATAATGCTGTCCATTTATCCCTATCTCTAGATAAGGACTGTCTCTTTCAGTCACTGAACATGTCTATTTCATGCCCAGACCTCACTTTCTATTTTTTAACTATCTACTTACTCTCCTCCAGCCATCAGTTTAAAACTCTTTCACCTATGTACTTGTCTACTAATTTTCTAGTACTTTTCTCTTTGGGGAATATATTTGGTTTTATCACCATCTTAACATTGTATAAGTGCAGTATATACTTTTACTTTGTTAATGACATAAAATAGCATTCTATAATTGAAATAATAGTTTCACAACAATTACTCTTTCAAAAGTTACTAATTAGGAGCTTTCAGGGGCAAAAGGCCTCCCCCAACCCCCATGCCCCCACTCCCTGCCACAACACCTAGGGTTGTATGTCAAAAATAATTAGAGGCAATTGATTAGTTTTAAAGTTGCTTGAGGCAGTGGGAACCAGTTGGGGTAAACAATAGGCTAACCAAAATGTTTGAAAGGAAAAACGGGAATGAGATGTCCATGGGGTTTTGAAAAGCTCCAACATATTCCTGGGAAACTACAAGTACATGCTCATGAATAAGACTATGCACACCCCCAGGGATGTGTGCCTGCTCAGGGAAGACCTGAGAAGGTCCTGTACTCTCACCTCTGTCTGTCCTTAAAGCTCTGTGCAAGCAGTAAGTGAAGGCTAAGGAGGAGTTGAAGGTGTGCGCCAGAGCTCAAAGAGCCCTTCAGCCAAGAATTGGAGGCTTATTGGTTCCAGACCTTTAGGGAAGTCTGTTTAATCATTAGCTGACTACTACACTAACCAAGTGGAGACTTCACTAACCAACTGGAGACTTCACTAATCAATTGGAGACTTCAGTGGCCACACAATGAAAATTACAAACTTCACAAAATTAGCTCATAAATATTACTAAACAACAACTACAATGTATAGCAAGGATAATAAACCCTGAGGAGGCTGGAGGCGGTGGCTGATGCCTATAATCCCAGCACTTTGGGAGGCCGAGGTGGGCAGATCACCTGAGGTCAGGAGTTCAACACCAGCCTGGCCAACATGGTGAAACCCCATCTCTACTAAAAATACAAAAATTAGTTGGGTGTGGTGGTGCATGCCTGTAATCCCAGCTACTCAGGAGGCTGAGGCAGGAGAATTGCTTGAGCCAGGAGGCAGAGGTTGCAGTGAGCCAAGATCGTGCCACTGCCCTGCAGCCTGGGCAACAGAGGGAGACTCCATCTCAAAAATAAATAAATAAATAAATAAACAAATAAGCAAACCCTGGGGAAGAGGAAGGATCTGATTTTTAAAGTTCCCTTTGTTTATTTACAATAATATAGTTAATAATGTTATTTATTAATATTATAAAATCTTATATCATTAAAAATGCCATTTTCAAGAAAGTAGTATGAGATGGGCAAAGAAATAAGAAAGTACAGCCTGTATATGTTAAAAAAGCGATCAATAGAAATTGTCCCTGAGGAAGCCCAGATGTTGGACTTATTAGACAAATACTTGAAATCACCTGTTTTAAATGTATTCAAAGAACTAAAAAAGGCCATGTCTAAAAAGCTTAAGTATAGGAATCATGTCTCACCAAATATAGAATATTAATAATGAGATTGAAACAATAATGTTTAAAAACAAGTACAAATTCCAGAATTGAAAAGTGTAATAACTGAAATGAAAAATTCACTAGAGGGGCTAAGCAACAAATTTAAGCAGGAAGAAGAATGAATCAGTGAGCTTGAAGTTAGGTTGTTTTGAGATTATTGAGTCTGAAGAACAGAAAATTTTAAAAAATGAAGAAAAATGGACAGAGCTTCAGAGATCTGTGACACACCATCAAGTGTACCAATATATGCATAGGGGAAGTCCCAGGAGAGGAGAGAAACGGGAAGAAAGAATATTTGAAGAATAATGGGCAAACACTTCCCAAATTTGATGACAAACATTTATCTACATCTAAGAAGCTCAATGAACTCTACCTTAAATAAACTCAAAGATATCCACACTTAGACACAAACTGTCAAAAGACAAAGAATATTGAAAGCAACAAAAGAGAAGTAACTCATCACATATAAGGGATATTCTAAGATTAACAGCTGATTTCTCATCAAAAGCCATAGAGACCAGAAGACAGTGAGATGACATATTCAAAGTGCTGAAATAAAAAGACTACTAATGAGAAAAAGCCTGCCAAATGAAGTAACTATAAATGACTGGGATAAGTGGCAAAAATGAAAATGTATTCTCCGTTTATTGCTTCCTAAGAACCCACTTTAAAGAAAGTGGAACTGGAAATTGTAAATGGCACATTATGGGGTCTATCTTATTTAATCTAAAAATTATTAAAGAGCATAGGATTTACAACCAGAAAGTTTGCCACTTACTAAATGTGTAATCTTGAGCAGGTTACTTAACTTCACTGAGCCATATTTCACTCATTTATAACATGGGAATAATATTTTCCTCCCTGAAATAATGTGTAAGAAAAATCTGTAAATTTGTATCTTGTAGAGGGCTATTCAAAGGGTAGTTTCTTCTACCACAGCTGCCATCACTACCTGCTACTATCAAAACACCGATGATGGTAGATATATAGCTGTTCTTCTGCTATAATTACCCAATTTGGCACCCTGGGAAGTCTAGAAATATGGCGGGAAAAGTGATGAAGAGAGTATCCTCTGCTGTAACCAAACTCTAATAACTAAGTCTAGAATGGAAGCTCTGGCTTTGTACTCACTAACCAGACTTACACCGTCAGCTACCCTGTTTTGTCATAGTTGAGCAGACCTGATAGGCTACATCAGTTGCTAGATCTCCCCTCTCTACCTACCAACTCTTTATTAGGCTACATCAGTTGCTAGATCTCCCCTCTCTACCTACCAACTCTTTATTATGCACATATATACAGCAAAGACACTTCCTTTGTTGTTTTGCCTAGGTTGCTTAGTTGGACTGAGTGGAGAAAGGGGTAATGGCCCAGCTTCAGCAGCCCCTGCGCAAAGAAATCCATGAGGACAGATGGGCAGTCATAACCCTGCTAACAGTCTTGGCAGTACTATTAAGTAATAAAAACAAATTAAGTGCCAAAATATTCTTTGTACCAAAAATATTTTTAAATGGCCAACACACATGCAAATCTTCCCAAATTAGCCATCAAATGGAAACAAATTGTGGAATAACATTTTAAATGCAAAAATACATGTGCTCTTACCAACTGGCAGATATACAACCTAAGATATTCATATGCAAAGACTACATATGCTTAGAGTACAGTTTATTATGTATGGCTGGCTAATTTTTTAGGTCCTGTCAAATAATGGATAGGAAAACAAAATGTAATAAAAAAATATATAATCCTGACAGTCATTTGAAATGTACCATGTGTTACATGTGGAATGTTTTCCAGTGAAACCAATTTACTTGTTCCCACTTCCCATGACTCAGTACTAGATATTCGGGCTTTCTAAACTATTTTTTTGGCACCAAACTCTTGGAATAGTCATCTTTCCTTCAAGTTATTCAGTACAGGCATTAATAACAAATCCTTAGTTATAGATATTGTAACTAAAGATCATTCACGTCATCTCTTTCAAAACTAAAAGCACATAATAAAGTTATTTTAAATAGATCACACAAAATAGAGCCCAGAGTTATTCCTTGAGAATAATTAATTGCTACCATATGAAGTTATAAGAACAATAAGACCACATTAGGTTTTTAGCTTAATTATGTCACCACCAACTAGAGATTAGTTGGGCAATGTCAACTTCTAACTGAAAGACAAGAGAGGATTAGTGAGTTAAGTTAATGCAAAGTTTGTTAAAAATTGGCATGAATGCAAAATAATTTGAGTGGAAGTACCAGTATATTAAACAAGATCTTTTTAGAATAAAAGACTGCTAAAGAAGGTAGCATGGTTATTTTTAAGAATACTAGTCTGAGAACGTAGAATAAAAGACTGTTAAAGGAGGTAGCATTGTTATCTTTAAGAATACTAATCTGAGAACACATGGCATGCAAGCCAGGCCTCAAGAAGTAGTAGTAGGTTACCTTTAGAACCACAGCCATTGTCTCTACTCCTCCTAAATCAGGTGTCAGTTCCACCACATGCTTCACTTCCTTGTTTTCTAGTCACCACCCAAACTATAAGATGCATTTCTTCCTGTCTAGATACTGTACCTACTCTTACCAACCTCCCTCTTCCTCAGCCTTCCATGCCCTTCCACTTTGCCCTCTGGATCATCTTCTCCTTGATTAATGAACTCTCCCCTAAACCTCCACCTGTTCTTCCAGAAGTTCTTCTGTGCCATTACTTTGAATAAAATTTTGCTGTCCCCTGGGACCTAGTTCACCATTGCGACCCTCTGATGTGGAGGCTCTCACGTTCTTTTTGTCTCAAGGCCAGGAGGATAAGTGTTCTCCTTGCTCACCAGTGCCACTGGCCTTTACTCTTCAACCCTCTTGTCAAGTCCCCTTGCTTCTCATTTTCTCTAATTATATTCTCCTCATCCCTCTTTGTTGTTGCCATCTACTAACTTTTTGGTCATTCTCTCCCATTCTCACAAGTCCTTACCCCATGGCTGCCAACCTTTTTCTTCACTGCCATAAATTACCCAGCCAAAACCCTACGTTGATCTCATATCTCTAGGAATCTTTTCCACTCCATTTAACTACTCACTCCCATGCACAAGCCCTGGATCTTGTCATCATCCACAACTGCTGTGACTCCTAAATCATTATTCCAGCATCTTAAGCTCCCTCACAGTCTTTCATAGCTCTCTGTCCTGCTTATTCAAAAACCCCCACTACAGTTATTCATTAAACTATTCATTAAACTGTAGTTCTCTGATGTCCTCTTTTCATCAGCTCACCATTTTCATATCCTCTTTTAACCAGTTTGCATTCTTAGTTCATCATTTAAAATACCTTCTTACAAATAAGTAACCTAAACTTCATTGCCCTCTGTTTTTCCACTATACACTCCTGACAAAAGGCTAGTGCTGAATGAACTGTAGCTGTGTATCAGCACAGTTAACTCCCTCTTCCAGTCTCCAGAATTGCCAACCCCTTATTCAGTATTTTTGCTGGGATGGCTCATTGGTACCTGCAGCTCAGAATGGCCAAAAATGAACTTCTGATCTCTCCTCCTCTACCCACATATACTACGTATCAGTCTTACCCATCCCAGTAAATGACATCAGCATCCATATGGCTGCTCAGGCTAGGAAACTGGGAGTTATTCTTGGCACTTCCCTCTCACTTCTCAGCCAATCAATCAATAAGACTTATTAATTAGTATGTCCCAAGAATCTCTTACATACTACTCTGTTGCCACCAACCATACTCTCAGCTATCAACATTTCTAGCTTAGACCTCCTAATTGGTCTTATTGCATCCACGCTTGTCTCTTTTTTTCTTTTTCTTTTCTTTTCTTTTTTTGTATTATTGTTATTATTTTTGAGACAGAGTCTCACTCTGTCACCCAGGCTGGAGTGCAGTGGCATGATCTCGGCTCACTTCAACCTCCGCCTCCCAGGTTCAAGTGATTCTCCTGCCTCAGCCTCCCAAGTAGGTGGGATTATAGGCGCCCACCACCACACCTGGCTATTTTTTTATTATTATTATTTTTAGTAGAGACGGGGTTTCATCATCTTGGTGAGGCTGGTCTCGAACTTGTGACCCTGTGATCCACTTGCCTCAGCCTCCCAAAGTGCTGGGATTACAGGCATGAGCCACTATGCCCGGCCACTTGCCTCTTTTTATTCCGTTGTCTATAGTATCCAAAATCTTTGAAAAATACAAATTTGACATCACTTCTTTGCTTTCAGCCCTTCAAAGAAAATAAAGTCAAAAATCCTTAATTTGGCCTAAAAACAATACAGGTTTTATTATCCTTGTTTACAAGTGAGGGAACTGAGGCTCAGAATCATTAAATAGGTTGCCCAAGGTCATAGAGCAGTGATTTAAGTGGTAGGGCCAGGATTTTATCCGAAGTGTGACACCAATGACTTTTTTTTTTGTAGGATGGAGAAATAAGATAATGTAAAGATGATGTCTACATGCTTTTAAAAGTAAATTTATGGTTCAATATGTATTTGAATAAAATCTTTAAAATATTGTACTCAGTGTTGTTTTTAGGTTTTATTTCGATGTGTTAAGGACAAATAGAGTTAGCCTTTTGTATCCATCAGTTCTACCTCCATGGATTCAGCCAACCACCAATCAAAAATATTCAAGAAAAGAAAATTGTGCTTCTACTGCACATTTACAGACTTTTCTTGTCATTATTTCCTAAACAATACAGTGTAACAACTATTTACATAGTATTTACATTGTATTAGGTATCATGAGGAATCTGGAGATGATTTAAAGTATATGGGAGGATGTGCATAGGTTATATGCAAATACTGCAGCATTTTATATCAGGGACTTGAGCATCCATAGATTTTGGTATCTGTAGGTAGTCCCAGAACCAACCCCTCATGGATACTGAAGGATGATTATATATTCTTATAATGGGAAAAAAGAATAAGTACGTGACTTTTATACATGTATTTAAAGGCATACAACTTAAATTTTTAATAGGGGTTTCATTTGGTGTGAATTTATTAATATGCCTTTGTTAACAGAGTAAAATAGGGCACATAAAGGAAAATTCTGACGCATAACTGACATACTTTGGTATGTATCTCCATAGTAATCTATTGTTTTCTGAATTTTCAGAGTAGCTGAGAATATTCCAGCTGAAGTATGTAACTACAGAGCCAGCCTCACACAAGTTGTGAACTAAATAAAGTTTTTCTTTGGCATTCTTCCACATCTCTTACTTTAGGCTCCCAGAATTCCTCCTTCCCTAAACCCCACTGTTGGTGCAGTCCACATTCATTGCCCCTAGGCTACCTAATGGCTTCCCACAGCAGTTCCCATCTTGGACTGCCTTATATTATGTACCTACTCCAACCCTCGCCTTGTACTTAAAAACTTAGTGGTGCTTTTTCCTTAAGGTCCTACTCTGCCTTCCAATGTGCCAGCTAATTTTTATAAGCTATTATATATTAATTTTAATGCAGAATTTCAGGAGATGATGCTGGAAACAAGTATTTTTTGCATATTTTCTGTATACCCTCTCCACCAAAAAGATTACATTGAACTTTATATTCCGTTATTTGTATTACCAAAAACAATAGGTATATTAATATGCTTTTTCTTTTGGGTGGATGATAGGCAATTTTATATTCTTTGTTGTACTTGTGTTTATGCAACATTTTATAATAAACACATTCTTTAATTTTTTATTTTTAGTTAGTATGGGTACATAATCATATATATTTATGGTATGGGACACGTAATGTTTTGATACAGACATAGGATAAATAAGATCTGATATTTGATAGCACAGCAAGGTGACTATATCATTAAATTATTAATATGCTTTTTCTCAACTCATTTGCCCTTCCCTTGTCCACTGAGTTTTTGTTTGTTTGCTTGTGGTTTTTTTTTTATTTTTTTGAAACAGGGTCTCCATCTGTTGTCCGGGCTGGGTGCAGTGGCACAATCATGGCTCACTGCGGCCTCAACCTCCTGGGTTCAGGCGATCCTCCGACTTCAGCCTCCTAAGTAACTGGGACCACAAGAACATGCCATCATGCCCAGCTAATTTTTTTTCCTCCTGTAGAGACAGGGTCTTACCGAGTTGCCCAGGCTGATTTCAAACTCCTGGGCTCCAGCAATCCTCCTGTCTCCACTTCCCAAAGTGCTGGGATTATAGGAATTAACCACTGTGACTGGCCTCCACTGAGATTTTTATATGTCTCTCTAGGGATTTATACTCCAGTTACCATATCTCTTCCACCGCTGGTTGTTATGAGTGTCTTAAACCACAGGGCTGACCCACTGGCAGTCCAGAGAGTAGTTAAGCAATGATATATTCCTTTATCTCTGAAGTCATAGCATATATGGAGGGCCACACTTTTAACAGGTATGTAGCAGAAAATAATATTGAACTGTGGGTACAGTGTTCCTGAACATCCAGATTCATAGTTTATTATTTTCTTCCAAGAAGTCCAACCCATTATTAAGAAATCTAATAATCAGAACTCTTACAACTTACCTGATTCTGGCAACAACATATAAGCTTCCAAAGTGTTCTTTGAGCATGAGAGGGGTAAATAATGGCTAACATTTCTTAAGCTCTTACTATGTGATATTAAATAAAATGCTTTGTCTCATTTAATATTTATGAAAATTCATGAGGGTAGCTATATTCTTATCCCCCTTTTACACATATGGGAACTTGTGTTAGAAAAATTAATTTAATTTAGGCCTGGCACAGTGGGTCACACCTACAATCCCAGCACTTTGAGAGGCCAAGGTAGGAGGATTGCTTGAGCCCAGGAGTTCGAAACTAGCCTGGGCAACAGAGGGAGACCGTGTCTCTATAAAAAATACAAAAATTAGTCAGGCATGGTGGCACGTGCCTGTGGTCCCAGCTACTTGGGGCTGAAGTGGGAGGATCGCTTGAGCCAGGGATATCAAGGCTTCAGTGAGCTGTGATCACACCACTTCACCCTAGCTTGGGCAACAGAGTGAGACCTTGTCTCAAAAAAAAAAAAAAAAAAAAAAAAAAAAAAGAAGAGAAAAATTAATTTGCCCAAGAAAAAGTTAATGGAGCTAGGATTTGAATCCCGATAGATCTGATCCAAAGTTCATACTTTCAACTTCTATACTTCTTTGTGGAGAATCTTTAATGTGCCAGAGATGGGTTGAACCACCCAGAATGTGTATATTCATTCATTGATTCATGAATTATTCATTCATTTATTCAGCAACTCTTTTTGAACATTTGCTGTATTCACTATCCCAGGTGCTGTGAAAATTCAAAGCTTAGCCAAATAGAAATCATTCCCTCAAGGAATGTGTCCACCAGAGAAGATGTCACATACAGAAATAACTATAACATGAAGTATATAGTGATAAGAGCTGTAAAAGACATTCCCATTTTAAAAAAATTATTTGTGTTCAGAAAAGAGAAAGGATTTTTCCATCTGGGGAGGTGAAAAGGCTGAGATAGGTGGTATTCTATTTGGTTATGGATTGATGTGAAGGATTTAGACCTGAGACAGTGAGAAAGTAGGGGGTATAGAGGTATTTCAGGCTGAGAGAGAATATAGGAGCAATAACCCAGAGAAAAGAAGTTAGAGAAAATTATGTCATGGAAAGCAAGAAAAGAGAGAATTTCAAGAAATGGTGGCTAAAAGTTTAATGCCATGGATATGTCACTTATCACTAACCAGAATATGTGCTACTATTTCATCACATTTACCCTCTTCCGCATATCCATTCTCCCCTCGTCCTTACAGCATCTCATCATATATGGATGCTCAAGTCACTGTTTAAAGAAAAGAAACTTAATTATAGGTGGAGGTAACGTTTATTTCAACATTTAGTCCTGTTGAAAGATTGAGAATTACTTATTTAGGAAAGAAAGGTTAGGGAGCAATCTGTTCATTAAAGAAGCTTTTTTGAGATCCCATTTTGTCCTCAAAACTGTGTTAGGTGCTAGTAATATTTTTTTAAATAATGTGCCATTTCTGCCCTCAAGGATCTTAGAGTCAACTAAAGGAGACAAACATATAAATAAGTAATTACAAAATATAGTGAGTCCTGTGTTAGAGTAGTGTACTAGGTATAGACATGACACAAGAGAGGCAGTGATCAGTTCTGAGGATGGTAATTAGGGAATGCTTCCAAAAAGGGAAACACATCTGAGCCACTCTTTTATTTTTTAAGACACATAGGATTAACCCACATGTTCTCATCCTAAACAAAATAATATTTCCTAGATGTCTTTTTGTGTTAATATAGAGAGAGATTCTTTTTTTTTTTTTTTTTTTTTTGAGATGGAGTCTCCCTCTGTTGCCCAGGCTGGAGTGCAGTGGCGCGATCTTGGCTCATGGCAACCTCCACCTCCTGGGTTTAAGCAATTCTCCTGTCTCAGCCTCCTGAATAGCTGGGACTACAGGCACCTGCCACCACGCTTGGCTAATTTTTGTGTTTTTAGTAGATACGGGGTTTCTCACCTTGTTGATCAGGCTGGTCTTGAACTCCTGACCTCAGGTGATCCACCCCCTTGGCCTCCCAAAGTGCTGGGATTTCAGACGTGAGCCACCACACCTGGCATAGAGATATACTTTATTCATTTTAACAGTTGTGTAGAAATACATCCTATAGATCTGCATGTTACATGTAACCAATCCTCTATTGATGATATTCGACTTGTTTCAACTTTTCTTATTAATAAACACAGTACTGAAGTACATACACACACATATGTATATACATATATATGTGTGCACACACACTTGTGCTTTGGAATCTCTGTAAAACAAATTCTTAGAAGCATACTTCCTAGGGGAAAAAAAAAGTTTTGGCTAGGCGCGGTGGCTCATGCTTGTAATCCCAGCAGTTTGGGAGGCTGAAGCAGGTGGATCACCTGAGGTCAGGAGTTCGAGACCAGCCTGGCCAACATGGCGAAACCCCTTCTCTACTAAAAATACAAAAATTAGCTGGGCGTGATGGTGCATGCCTGTAATCCCAGCTACTCGGGAAGCTGAGGTGGGAGAATTGCTTGAACCCAGGGGCCAAGGTTGCAGTGAGCTGAGATCGTACCACTTCACTCCAGCCTGGGTGAAAAAGCAAAACTCTGTCTATAAAAGAAAAGTTGTTTTTTTCTCATGCTTGTACAGTACTCAGACCGATCAGTCTTCTTAAACTGAAAGGTTAGTAAATAAAATATTACATTATTGCTTTAATTTGAATCTCTTTGAGTATTGGTGAAGTTGAGTATCTTTTTATCTTTTTGTGTTTACTGGCTGGTTATATTTTTTCTTCTGTGATCTAACTGCTGTCAGGATCTGGGATTTTACCCAGTGCAAGCTAGTAAGTTATCTTGTTAGTGTTTCATGGGTGCTGGCAGAAGGAATAAGACTCCTGGTCAGAAGCAAAGAAGTCTATTGCTTGTGGCATGGCAAGCAGCATGAGCATCATGTTTTCATTGGTTCCCCTTGTTCCCAAGTCCCACAAGCGTGATGCAGAAGTGCCCCCAGGGGGATGCTCTGCTTGCAGTAGACATTTGGCACAGTTGAGGAACTTGTAAAATCTACCTTTTCTCTGTGATTATGTATCATTTTCTCATTGATTTGTAAGAGCTCTCTCCTATCAGAATGAATATTCCTTCACCTGTCATCAAATGTTACCTGTCTTATTCCAGTTTACTTTTTAAAATTTGATTTTATCATGGGTTTCATGCCATACATACAAAAGTCTACCCTATTATAACATTTTAAAAATATTAACATGTTTCTTCTCTTACACTTTCACTTCTTAGCCTTCAGCAGTTTTATCCTTTTGGAGTTTACTTTTGTGTAAAGAATGATGTAGGGACCCACTTTGGTTTTACCAAGTGACTAGTTAGTTCTTGCAGCTTCATTTTCCGTCTTTCTCCTACTTATTTGGTGTGGCACCTTCATTACTTTTTTTTTTTTTTTTTTTTTTTTTTTGAGGCAGATTCTTGCTCTGTCGCCCAGGCTGGAGTGCAGTCACTGGTGTGACCGCTGCTCACTGCAATCTCTGCCTCCTGGGTTCAAGTAGTTCCCCTGCCTCAGCCTCCCGAGTAGCTGGGATTACAGGTGCACGCCACCACACCTGGCTAACTAATTTTTGTATTTTTAGTGGAGATGGGGTTTCACCACGTTGGCCAGGCTGGTCTCAAACTCCTGACCTCAGGTGATCTGCCCGCCTCGGCCTCCCAAAGTGCCGGGATTACAGGCACAAGCCACCATGCCTGGCTGGCACCTTCATTGCATAGTAAGATTTTGTCTGTACTTAGCCCTTTCTCTGCTATTTTATTCTTTTAATCTATTTGTATGTTACTACACTAGCCTTATCTTTTACTTACTATGGGTTTATAATACATTTAACACCTTGTAGAATTTGTTCTCCATTATTACTTTTAAAATTTTGGCTGTTTTTATATATTATTCTTGAATTGGTCTTTAAAAATAAACAGGATGAATATACAATAATATGAAAAGAAATCCTAAACTACTGTCTTTTATAACCTTATTCTCCTCTAAAGGTCTTAATGTTATAATTTTTATAAAGGTTTAATTTGAATTTCAACAAATATAAAAGCATAGTTTCTATTTGCAACTTCTAAATTTTTTTTATTTTAACATAGGTTCCTTGTAGCTTGGAATACTGGGATGAACTCCAGAAGGTTTTTGTTGCATTTAGAGAATTTAATCTGTCTGAAAGCAAAGTTTGTGAACTGCAGTTGCCGGATATCAATCTCGTGAATGACCAGAAGAAATTAGTATCTTCAGATCTTTGGAGAATTGTCTTGAACAGCAGTCAAAATGGAGCTGATGACCAAAGGTAATTCATTGAAAGATGATATGGTAGCATTACACTGGGAAACAATGATAAGTCATCTTTTCCTATCTAGTGACCCCTCACTTAACTGTATCTCAGCTGTCTAGCAGCTGCATCTCTCTGAACAACAGATGAGAACCACAAAGAAAGACAAAATCTGATGTTTCAAAGTCTGCATACTCAAAATCCTGTGTTTTTACTCATAATACAGCTCTGTGAGCCCTCACTAAGAACCTGTTCCTTAAATATAAAAAGAAAAAAATGGAAAAAAGCAAGTTAAACAAAAAGTCTAGTCATCTTCAACCTCAAAATACAGAGGCATACAGTCATACACACACCTCAATAGAAGCTTAATGACATCATAATCAATATGTGTAATGATTATCCTGGGGCATTAAAAGAAATGTTAAAAAAAAATTGAATTGTCTCCTTCTAAAAGGTAAATTTTAGGAATATTTTCATCTTAATTGTTTTTTTAAAACTTTAAAAGACAAGCCTCCCCTAGGTGACAAAGTGCAACTCTCTCAAAAAAAAAAAAAAAAAAAAAAAAAGGCGACAGTCCTCCAGACACTAAGAAACTTGTGTAGCTAACCAAAATAACTCATACCCAATGGATTTTATACAGATAAAGTTTTATCCACCTATAAAGCCTCACTGGCCATAAAGAATCCCTAGAGCTGGCCGGGCACAGTGGCTCGCAGTTGTAATCCCAGCACTTTGGAAGGCTAAGGCGGGTAGACTGCTTGAGCCCATGAGTTTGAGATCAGCCTGGGCAATGTGGTGAAACCCCATCTCTATAAAAAATACAAAACTAGCTGAGCATGGTGGCACACACCTGTAGTTCCAGCTACTTGGGAAGCTGTTGGGGAGAGGATCCCTTGAGCCCCGGAGGGTGAGGTTGCAGTGAGCCGTGATCTCACCACTGCACTCCAGCCTGGGTGACAAAGCAAGACCCTGTCACACACACCAAAAAAAATCTCTAGACCAGATTATCCTCATTTCAGTTTTTGCCTACTTAACACATCCACTAATTTACAGTAGAGAAAAATAGCTTCAGCAATCTATTCTTCAGCACTTCTAGCTTACACACATTTGCTAAGTCCCTTTGCTCATGCCCCCATAAAAGACGATAAACAAAGTAAACCACAACCAGTGGAACAGCTTTCTTGGGTCATATACTATCATGTGTACTGTGAGGCTATGCTGTTCATTGCTGTGGATGCCCTACGTGCCACTTCTCCTGATGGGCTGGCTTAGTGTTGTTATCTTATTCCTTTTATGTAATACCTTCTTCTTTCCCTGGAAACAACATTCTGACAGTAACAGAAAAAAAACCATCCACCATTCCAATACCTTGCAAATCAAATGTTTTTTCTTTTCTCTGTTACCGTTCTTTTTGCCCATATGTGTACACGCTTTTACAAGGTTATAATCATAGCACACCACTTTGTATTCCAGTTCCTACTTTTTATTATAAATTATTGTGAATACTTTTTCTTTGGAAATATTTATTTTTATTAACATATGTTCATTGAAGAACATTTGGAAAATAAAACAATACTGCCCATAATTACAAGGAGATAACTTCTGTTAACATTTTGGTTTGTAGCCTCATAGTCTTTTTCATTGATTATTTTGTATGCTTGATAATAATGTGTTTTGTGTTTTATATTTCATATATTCTATTTCTAGGTCATTTGGGCTCTTTAAAAATATTTACTTTCCTAACAGTTTAGCTAGTATTGTAGAATTAGTGAAAATATATTAGAGAAGTAGTGTTTTAATTTTACCTGCATATAGTTCAGCAATAAAAAGAACACCCATCCTGTGATGAATTATTTCATGGATGGAAAGATTGCTTTTTCTAAGTTCAGGTTATCTCATCAGAAACCAGGAAATCTCAGAAAATAGAGCTATGGATAACTAAATTGATTTTTTTAAATCTGAGTTTCATTAATAGTATCAAGTTAGAAATGACTTCTTGATTCTAATTATGAAGTAATACATTTTCACCATCGAAAGAAGCATTGTAGAGAAAGCTAATGCCTCTGAATCTGAAACATTTATAAAAATTACTTTTGTGGTAAGCTTAGCAGTATAGAAATGTGGAGCCTTTAGGAAACAGAAATTTAAGCAGATAATCAAATTCAGGCAGTTTTTCACCAAGCATCTGACATTGTAGTCACAGATCTTTGTCCTCACCAGGGATTTTTCACCTTACCTAATATTTCACAATTTATCTCACTTTAAATTGTTTGAGACTAATCATTTTTCAGATAGAAGTTGATATTAATGAAATTAAATTAGAAGAGCTGGTTTAAAAGTCAACAAAATAAAACACTATTAAGGATTATATTTGTTTCATCCAATTTCTAGAAAGAAAACAGTAATGATTTGATAATATGTCAATATTTCATGCAGACAGAAAGCTTTTACAGTTAGCCTCAGTATATTCTGTCACAAGAGAAATCTAAATCTGGACAAAAACCTGGTACTTTTATGATTAGAGATTGTCTTATAAAGGATAGTCTCAGTGGTTTGAGAAGGATTTACATCAGACTATTGGACATTACTGGAAGAAAGGTCACAAAAATATATCCCATGAAGCCTAATTTAAAAAGAAGAGCCTCTTGCCTATAATTGAGATGAAGTTTTAATGTTCCTGTGGTAATGGCATCACCGTAAATATGTAAATAGAGATAGCATTTAATAGATGTAGAAGACCTCTATTCCACCTTTCAAGGTGAAGACCTAGGTTTAAGGCCTGGCTCCATCAACAATATGCTATTTGGTGTTGTGAGATTGATTTCTAAACTGAGACTTTAAGGAATGAATAGGCACTAACCAGTTCAATGGATGACAGGGAGCCCCCAGTGCAAATGACCAAAGACAAAATAGAGTCAATAATTGGGTGGGTTCAGTGGCTAACATCTATAATCCCTGCACTTTGGGAGGCTGAGGTGGGAAGATGGCTTGAGCTCAGGAGTTCAAGACCAGACTGGGCAATAGTGAGACTTTTGTCTCCACACAAAAATTTAAAAATTAGCCAAGCAAAACGGTGCATGCCTGTAGTCCCAGCTGATCAGGAGGCTAAGGTGGGAGGACTGCTTGAGCCCAGGAGGCAGAGGCTGCAGTGAGCCAAGATCACACCACTGCACTCCAGCCTGGGTGACAGAGCGAGACCCTGTCTCAAAAAATAAAAAATGAGTCATTAGTTAGGTTCCTATATCTTTAACTAATGGTTTGCTTGATCATATTATGGTTTTTGGGAGGGAGCATTTGAAGTAAATGTTGACCTTTATAGTACTGACCTTTGAAAGCCTTCCCCTTCTATTTGCTGTGCACTGGACTAGAGGCAAGGGATGCACCCTCTGGAGCCCTGGTCATGCTATCCATTTCAGCTGTTTATCTTACTCCCATCGTGTATGTATTTGTCCACACCCATTGCCTGTTTCCAAAGCCTAAGTAAACCTCTTATCAGTCAGGTTCTGACAGGAAACAGATGGCAACTCAGACTGGGTGACTGGGGAAAGTTTAATGAACTGCAAAAGTATGGGCTAGGAACCCTGGGAAACTGTCCCAATCTTAGGCCAAAAGAAGCCAGGTGATAGAGCCATTATCAAAACTCTAACTCAGCGAGGATGTTTGTAGCTACGTTTGGTAGAGGAACACAGCTAATGTACAGAGATCTGGCTGCAAAGGAACCGGGAAAATACATACCCTTACCTCATTCCTCTTCTGCCTTCTAAGTCACCTTGTGGGTACCTCCCACTGACTGAATCCGAGGACAAGCCAGAGGACAAAGTAGCTTGTTGGTGCAGTCCAGAAAGCTCCCTTCCGGAGGCAAAGAAGAAGGTGGGGAATGGTAGAAGGTGGGTCAAGAGAGCAAACAGAAGACATCCAGCAAGTGCACACTCTTATTTGCAATTGGCAGCTTCTTACCAGGTGACTAACCCTGCGAGGAACAAAAGGGAAAAGGAATCATGAGCCCTACTCTCTTGGGCCAGCCTGGCAGGTTCCCTGGGTTTGAAATCAATCAGGTGTCTTCTGATGGATCAGAACAATTTTTACTTTATTTATTCCCTCTTACCTTCACCCCTAGAGAGCTAATTCCAGAAATACTTATTTTGGCTGTGGAAAGTCACACAAATTACAGACATTTATTATATAACACAATAGTAACTGTGCAGATCTCAATATGTATGTCTGGTTAATTCTGTATAAGTTGTTTGATGATAATGTTAAACTCTTGATCTGTGCCAAGACTTTGGTACTTTCCTGTCCATATTTCATGGTCATCTTCTCACAATATTAAAGCATGTGAGAGCAGATTGCTTGTAAGGACTTTTTATCTCTACCCACAAAATGCTGACTCATGACAGAAGGCATCTTGGAAAGAGAAATGGCTTAAGGGTGTATGGCTCTTTCTTCATGTGATAAAAATTAAACCTCTGGCGAGTTGTATAAAGTGCTTTTTAATATATCTATATATTTTTTCTTCCTACTCCCTTAAGGTCTCATAAAAGAAATCACTGTCCACTCATATTTGGGAATCTTTGAGACAGTGATCCACAGCCTGTGTATATATGAGTGTGTGAATGTGAAGAAGAACTCCTTTTCATTTCCCAAAACCTTTATTCTTGTGTATATAGACAGTGGAGGAATCAGAGAAAGCGTGATGATGAATAAGTCCCTGAATCATTTCTTTTCTCTCTGCTGGTTGAACTCTCTCCTCCCAAAAAGTGACTGTGGCCTTCCAGATATTGTTTCTCTCCATTTGGCTACTTGGGTCTGCCCTTTTAGATGTATCTAGATTTTTGGGTAATTCATTTAGTGTTATAAGCCATTTATACATAAATCTTGACATTTGGAACTGCTTTGTCACCTGTGTTTCTAGTTACACACTGGTATAATCCAGGATTTATCCAGAAAATTCTTTCCTTTACCCTTCCCTAAGGCTAAAGCTGAGTTTTTGTCTTCTCTTCCTTGAATGGAAGGAATACTTACATTTTTTCCCCAGGTTTGCTTTTGAGGCCCTTTGCTATTTTCTTTTAGGTGGTGATTGAACTCTGTATACGAAGTCCTCCAGGGAGTTGGCCTTTGCCATGCAGTCCTTCTTGCATACACAGTCCCTGAAGTACTCAGGTGCTGCTCAGGTCTCAGAGTTCTTGGATGATGGTACTTATGAGCTCTCTATGTCGTATTGCCTACTCTATGAACCTTGGGAGATTACTCTTCCTTTTTTTTTTTTTTTAAGTTAGATTTAAAGGAGTGTTTTACCTGAAGGCTCATTTAAGGTTATTTTTCAAACTACAAACTGGAGCACATTCATGGGTTATGAAATAGCTGGTTACAACTGGAATTTTTTTAATAACATAAAATAAAATAGAAAATAGTTTGAAAAAGACAAATATTATATGATTCTACTTACATGAGATCCCAAGAGTAGTCAAATTCATAAAGAGCATAGTGGTGGCTGTCAGGGGCTGTGGGGAGGGGAGAGTAGGGAGTGAGGGTTTAATGGACATGGAGTTTCAGCTTGGGAAAATCAAAAAGTTCTAGAGATGGATGGTGGTGATGGTTGCACAACAATGTGAATGTACTTAATGTCACTGAACTGTACACTTTAAAATGGTTAAAATGATAAATTTTATGCTATATAAGTTAATATATTATCACAATAGAAAATAGTATGCATCATATTTTCAGAAAACCTTTTCCCCTGTTTTATATGTGTATACTGGATTACAATAAAAGTGTGCTTGTTATTTGGAGTTAGGGTTAAGACATTTGGAAAACAACCATTGTAAGGAGTGGAAGAAATGCAGTGCAACAGGCACACACTCCTGCATCCTCTCTCACCTCTCTCCTGCGTCCTCTCTCAGCCATTCAGCACTCTCACGGGATGGACAGAGCAGTGTTCATGCAGTGGGTAGGGGAGAATTTATGTGAACCAACGTTGAGAGACAGTGCCCCATTGAGATGAATGCCAGTATGCTGTTGTGAGATCCCTCTTAGGAAGCTAAAGATAATCAATTAACATTAACCTATGTAGCCAGTATGGTACCTTGTCTTGCCCGCAAGAAAAAGAGGAATGGATTTTTTTCATCATTTGTTTTTAATCAAGTGGTGGACATCATGCTAAGTAGTTTATATGCAGTAGCTCATGTAATACTTGAAAAAGGTAGGTCTAATTACTGTACTCATTTTATAAATGAAAAATACAGAGACTTAGCCAGGTGAAATAACTTGCATAATACTATAGTATAAATGATAGCAGCGCATACATTATTCTAGGTTCTCCTACCTTGGTCATTCTCTGCTTAATCTCACAATCATGGCGGAAGGCAAGGAGGAGCAAGTCATGTCTTAATCTCTATGCTATATTATCCTATATTATAAAATCTTTATTACCATAAAGGGATCCATAGAGAAGTGACATTCAGAGCTGGATCTTTAGGGATTGTGCCTAGGTCCCCACAGTGCCATTAAGATAGGATCAGTCTACATCTAGATGTACTGAACACTCCTTGTTTAAAGAATTGATCCCCTCTGTAGGTCACTCAGGACAGTTGGTAAGTAACTCTTTGGCTAAAATGAAGGTATAAATAAAACACCTGCCATCCTTCTCACTGTCTAGGATATTTCCACTATCCTAAAAACAACACTTAAATAACCCTCTGAACTTAAAGCTACTTGAATAAATTACTGAATCGTGAATTGTGTTTATTACTATTTGAGAGGTCTTGCTTCCAGGAACTATTTTCCAGTTAAAAGTGAAGAGCACCAGATAATTCTGTGAACACTGTCATTGGCCATGAATTTGACCTGTTTTGAAAGTCTTCTGGGAAAAGGGGAAATATTGAAATATAAATATTATAAGTTGTGATATTTTTTACTTTTCTTTTTCTGCTTATTATACATCTGATGTTTGACCTTTTAAGATGTGAATCAGATTAAAATCCACTGTTGTACTTAATTAGGGAAATTATACAAATGTAGCTACTGCAAGTCTCTAGCAGGGTCATCACTCATATTTATGACTATTTAGTCCTATTGTACTTAGATCATTTTAATCCTTAGGTAAAAGGTAAACACATACATGCTACTTTTATAGTATATAATGGTGATTTAAGTTAAGAATATCAAAAACTATAAATGTGCTAATGTAAAATAAAGTTGTATTCAAATTACATATACTATATTTTGTGTTTAAGAAGTGTGTGATTTTGTTGACTCCGATTTTTAAATAAAAGTTTTAATTTTTGCATATAAATTAACCTAGTAACCATTTTAGTCGGGATTTCAAGATTGAAGGAGTATTGCTGACTAGAGTAGTGCTACTAGCACTAATGCTTACTGGAGTATGATTTTATGATTCAGGAGCTACTGTATATACCTAAAAATATGTCTAACCATTGCTTTGTGCATTCAATTTAGGAAAAGTGAAGAATCAATCAATTTGTTATAAGTAAAGATTGTATTAGATACTCATGATGTTTTAGCAACCTTTTGTAATATGTTATAATATTTGCCACTCTCAGGAGATAGAAAAATAAATCTTGGAAAATATCAGAGTGTCAAAAACTATAATTGGTCAGAAAAATGCTCAAACTGTGTACCCATTTTAAAAAACTGGTCCCATAGAACTCTTGCCTGGATTTTTAATAATATTTTGACTAACATTGTGCCCTATTTCTAAAAACTTACATGAGTAGTATAAGGGAAAGAGTTCAAATGTGTAAAACACATGTACAACTAATATATTTTCCTCTTTCTGAATAAATACAAGTTTTAATTTTATCTTGCCAATGAAATCTTTTGTTAACTCTACAAATTCCTAGAAAGTTACTTGGATTACTGTGCCCATTATAGATGTTTTAAGAATATACTTAGCTGCATTTTTGTGCATAGTCAATAACCTAGTGCTCCAGAGTCTGTTTTCTTTGTCTGCAATGGAGATTTACTAGCATTGCAGTAAATGCTTACACCACATAACTGAAAACCCTTTGAGGTTAAACAACTCAGTAAACATGCTGGAATGCTCCTAGCTTTCATTTTCACCAGCCTGTTTCACAACCTCTTTCAAAACCCAATGGAAGATTCACACCTCTGAAAATCCCACATGATTCACCCATGCCATTAAGTTCCTCTTGTGTTTCCACCCTGGCAGCACTTCCCACTTTCCTATTCCTGGGGGGTCGTTCTGTTTGGTAATTTTTGTAAATGTCTACGTATTGAGTATCACCAGTTAGACTGTGAGTTCTTTGAAAATCAAGGATTTGTTTCTTTAGTGCTTCCTGTCATAGTTCTCCCTAGGATACTGTAAATGACATTGCTTGTCCTTAGGCTCCTCATGGATTTGGGAGCCAGGCTGTGATAGCTACAGAGCATATTTCAGGATGAAAAGAAGAGAGTGGAAGACAGTGAGCTGTGGGGAAAGGGCAACATTGATTCGGTGATCCACAATTAACAGGACACACCTTGTTCTCCTCCAACAATCCCAAATTCCCAGGTCTCGTGCTCCTGTTAGCATTAATGCAATCTAGGCAGCATGCTTCCCGTGCACAGCAGCAGCCACCATGTGCAGACATCTTCCCTTCTATGGATGCCATCACTATTCACTTTAATCAGATTTAACTCATACAGGCTGGGATTGGTGGCTCATGCCTGTAACCCCAGCACTTTGGGAGGCCAAGGCGGGTGGATCACTTGGGGTCAGGAGTTCAAGACCAGCCTGATCAACATGTTGAAACCCCATCTCTACTAAAAATACAAAAATTAGCTGGGCATGGTGGCTGGCGCCTGTAATCCCAGCTACTTGGGAGGCTGAGGCAGGAGAATCACTTGAACCTGGGAGGCAGAGATTGCATTGAGCCAAGGTTGTGCCACGCTGCTCCAGCCTGGCCTGGACAACAAAAGTAGACTCCATCTCAAAAAAAAAAGAAAAGATTTAACTTGTATAAAATAGTGTTAAGAGGATGGGCAAGTGAAGAGAGGACCCATGCATTGTAATTGTCCATGGGACCCTCATTCTTCTGGATATGGTCATAACTTTTATGGCACCCGTTACAGTAGTGAGTGAGTGCTTAATAAAGAATATTGACTGACTCCTATGGAAATATGGGTATGGACAATCTGGAGAAGTAAAACAAGGGTGAAATATTTATGGTGACACTGAAGTATTGGGTTTTTGAGTGGCAGAGTCATACTCTGAACTGCATTGATCTTAAACTAATAACAGAACAAATGGCCCGTAAGTTTTGTGAGATGTGGATGGAAGCACATTGATTTGGAGATCAGTATGATCATAGATCAGTATGAGTTGGCATTTGAGGAATCCTTTAAAAGTTTTCTGTGAACAATTCATAGAGAATAATCAACATGATTCCAGGCTGGAATGCAGTGCACGACAGCCTTGACCTGCTGTGCTTAAGCAATTCTCCCACCTCAACCACCAAGTAGCTGAGACTGCAGGTGCATGCCACCACATCCAGCTAATTTTCTGGATGAGGTGAGGTCTCACTATGTTACCCAGGCTGGTCTCGAACTCCTGAGCTGAAGTGATCCTGCTGCCTCAGCCTCCCAAAGTACTAGGATAACAAGCATGAGCCACTGCACCTGGCCAAACACGAGCTTAATTTTAAAAAATAGCTAATTTACATAGGAAAATACAGAAGATTTGATAAAATATTGACTATAGGATTTTCAGTACTAGTTTTAGAAACCCTTATAAAAAGACGTTTCACTCATATAATATTGGGAAATTTTGGTTATTGAACTTCTTTTATCACTTCTTTCCCATAGCTCTGCAAGTGAGTCTGGTTCTCAAAGCACTTGTGATCCACTTGTGACTCCAACAGCCCTGGCTGCCTGTACCAGAGTTGACTCCTGCTTTACCCCATGGTTTGTCCCATCCCTTTGCGTTTCTTTCCAGTTTGCTCACCTGGAATTCCATCTTTGTCATCACCTTGACCAACTAGGCACAGGTACTCTTTTTTTTAGCATCAGAATAACATCCATTTAATACTTACCATTTTCTCTTGAGTGTTTTCAAAAGAGAAGTCAACAATCTTAGATAATGTATTTTCAGGAAGTATAAAGCGAGCAGTGGCAAAGTTATCCTGGGGTTGACTTGGCAAAACAGGCATAACCTTTACTTCTGAACCAGCTTATGAACCCATTATATAAGTTGTCAATGGTATTGAGCTGACATGTTTTTGAATGCTACCTAATGAGAATTTTTCAAGGAAGTTAGTTTTACTGTAATTCTAATTATGATCTTGTATTAGTTCATTTTTCACGCTGCTGATAAAGACATACCCAAGACTGGGAAGAAAAAGAGATTTAATGGACTTACAGTTCCACATGGCTGGGGAGACCTCACAATCATGGTGGAAGGCAAGGAGGAGCAGGTCACGTCTTACATGGAAGGCAACAGGCTAAGAGAGCTTGTGCAGGGAAACTCGTTTTTTTATAACCATCAGATCTCGTGAGACTTATTCACTATCACGAGAACAGTACAGGAAAGACCTGCCCCACTGATTCGATTATCTCCCACAACACGTGGGAATTCAAGATGAGATTTGGGTGGGGACACAACCAAACCATATCAGATCCCTTTGAAAGAAATATGTCTGTTCTTGTTCAGTATCCTGAGTCATTACATTAGTAGCAAATAGATTCCAAAAATACTTGGTATTGCCTGATTTCAAAATCATGAATACTTTCCACAAAAGATAGGCACAGTCTCAAATTAATTTAAAGGGGTATCATTTTTACAAGTTTGGAAGGAAGTTTAAATTTTCCCACACACCAAAAGTGGCCTTTTATAAGCTTACTAATGTTATTTGAACAATTATTTCTCAATATGCTCTGTACCAAACCTTTTCTAGGTGATACATTTTGACTCATATATTAGGTTTTTGACCTACATGTAATGAAGGGAAGAGGAGAAAATCAGATTAAAACCAAACACAGCTGGCTGGGCACAGTGACTCACACCTGTAATCCCAACACTTTGGGAGGCCGAGGCGGGTGGATCACCATGTCAGGAGATTGAGACCATCCTGGCTAACACGGTGAAACCCCATCTCTACTAAAAATACAAAAAAATTAGCTGGGCGTGGTGGCAGGTGCCTGTAATCCCAGCTACTCAGAAGGCTAAAGCAGGAGAATCGCTTGAACCCAGGAGGCAGAGGTTGCAGTGAGCCAAGATCACACCACTGCACTCCAGCCTGGGTGACAGAACAAGACTCCATCTCAAAAAAAAAAAAAAAAAATAGCTGTTGTTAAGCATCTTGCCTTTTCAGCAAAAATGGAGTTTAACCTGCTTTCTCTAACTCTCTTTGAGTCATGTTTTTGTTTTGGTTTTGAGATTTGATTGGTAGCTACAGAGCAGTTCTATAAAATTCTCTTTAGATAGATACCTGCTTTTCAGTTTATTTATTGGCTTCTGTGATCAATTTTTTGTGAAAGTTACTTTTGGACAATATATATTTAAGAGGCCTAATTGAACAAAACAGTTTTGTTTTCAAATATCAAATGGGAATCCAAAGATTATAATATCTTCAATAAATAATTTGAATTTATTAAACACCAAAAACTAATTTCAATAATCAAAAAGTGAATAGTTTGAATGTCATTTCACTCTTTATTTTCACAAAATATTGGCTCATCTTAATTGCTGTTTTCCTTGTTTGTTTTCTCAACAGCTGCACCACAGTACCTACAGCCATTTGTTTCCGACAGAAATATGCCATCTGAACTAGAATACATGATTGTTTCCTTCAGAGAACCACACATGTATCTTCGACAGTGGAATAATGGTTCTGTCTGTCAGGAGATCCAGTTCTTAGCTCAAGCAGACTGTAAACTTCTAGAGTGCAGAAATGTCACTATGCAAAGTGTGGTGAAACCCTTCAGCATCTTCGGGCAGATGGCAGTTTCCAGCGATGTAGTGGAAAAGCTGCTTGACTGCACCGTGATAGTTGATTCTGTATTTGTAAACCTTGGACAGCATGTAGTCCATTCACTAAACACTGCAATACAAGCTTGGCAACAGGTATGCACATTCCATAACAGTTTACAGTTTGGCCACATATGATCTTTTATTAGGTTCTGTATGCTATCACTTCTGATAATAAGTTCAACACAAACAAAAATGTTAGAGAATGAAGAATTTGATGGGCACCATTATACTTGAGGCCTTCTCTGTTTTGGCAAAGTGATGCATGTTATTTTTGAAAAACTGGAGAATATAGGTTCTCTACACATGCATTGGAGATCATGCCCACATTTTTGTGACTAATGCACCACATCTGTGTGGAAAGTAACATATTCCCAGAAATTTTTTCCAAGTATTGTGGCTTTAGTTTGCCAAAGCTTCAACTTAGCTATGTATCAAATTGTCTAACGGTCCATTGCAGAAATAAAGAACCTGTGTGACCCTTTCTAATGATAAGCATTCGATCTTTTCAAACAAACAAACAAAAAAAGCAGCGAGATGAAATATGTGAGTACAATACAGTCTTAGTTTTTTCCTCTACTCTTTCTGACTTTTTGATTCACTAAAAAGTACTAGATAATGGATTTTTAAATCAATTAGAGAGCCTTGATTATTTTAATAATTTTTTAACTTTTATTTCTTATCAGAAATAAACCAAACCAAAAAAAGGGATGAAGCGTAAGTCTATGATAAGTGGCATATTTAAAATGGGAAACCTGTCCATGTCTGCTAGCACAAAAGTAACTTCACAGAATATTTGGATGATAATATGTTCAATGATTTAAGAACAAATCACTTCTGCTTCCCTTACTGATTTTAGTGTTATATTGTATTTCCATCAAGTTTGTGTTGCTATTTAAGCTGAAACATTTCCCCACATTTTGTATATATTACATTTGTGTGAGGCTGGCTACCCGAGAGAAACGGTGCTTCATCCCCCACTGACCTCCTTTTGGGATGGAGCAGTTAAGGGGAAGAGGAGCTTTTGTTCTCTAACTTAAGAATTTGTATGAGAATAAATATTTTTCTTTATATGCATGAAGACCTATACAAGACCAAGGAATTAATTACCTAACATGGCACTATAATAGCAAAGGGAAAGAAGATAACACATCTGTTTTATGTTTTAAAAATATTTTTTAAGGGCATTCCATGGTTTTCTTGTTGCAAAGGACATGCGTAAAATAAGAGCTAGTGTGATCTAAATCTTTGCAGCTGGTTCAAATAGCCATGTGAAAAAAAAGACCTCTATGGCTCCAATTTCTGTTTTTTGGTTGTATTTTGAACAATACATTTAATAAAAAACAAACCTAGAAAATATAAAAGAATCATTGATAGAACATTTAAACCCAGGATATTTTTGTCTTGGTATCAGAACCATTATAAGGGGACTCATGTGTAGCAACTACTGCAAAATGGCCTTCAGAAATACCAGTTTCCTCCCAGGGTAAAAATACTCTCTTAGACACAGCTATACATATAAATAAAATATGGTGCATAAATATTTAAATGTTTTAAACCACATCAGAGTGTGAATGACTGACTGGCTAACATAGTGCCTTGAAGGAATATTCTGAGTTTTTTTAATGGAATTGTATATTTGATTAAGTAGAGCCATATGTCACGTAGCATATTGCTGACAGGTACATTCTATGAATAGTTGGTTCTGATTTATACAGGGATTTGGCAACGTTAACATGAGCCACAAGAGGATATACTTCTGTAATTGTTGCTGTAATTTTCTTGTTTCCTCTCATGTCAAGGGTACTTGCCACCAAGTTTTAATGTGGTAGGCACCTAACCCTGTGTATTCTAAAGTAAATATGAAAGTGCACTACTTTGAAATTATAGGACATTTGACATTGAAATGGGCTTACAAAGGGTTATTGAGTTCATTGTTTCTAAGATGTTCTGAATGTGGTTTATCCCCTTTAGAAGCGGAAGTTTAGTTTCCCAAACTTGGATTTTATTGTGTGTATACTGCTCACATATAGTGTAATTGCTGCCAGTGAAAAATATGAATTTAATAAGCAAGCAAAGTGATTTTAGTTCTCCACATACCTTTTATCGGATTCATATTGGAGACAAGTCATTTTTCCCCAGTGTGGATGGACCAGACAGTTGAAGCATGAAACAATTTGGCCTTCCACCTTTAGGTCATAAGTTCAAGATTAACAGAAGCCTTCATCAGTGTCTGATTTCTCTGGCTATAGATTTTCTTTTCCCTTTTATAAATGATGACTGTTTTGTGAAAACAGATTAAGGATCCAAAATGCCATTTGCAATTTGTTTTATATTTCTATGTCACTTTCCCAGATTTGGACAAAAAGTATTAAAAGGGTTTTTTTCTTAAATTAAGGTTACACTTATGTGTCTTCTCTTACACCAAAATGGTGTATCTGTTTAACTGCAAATGCTTGTATGACACTCCATGAAACTTAAATGTGGATAAGCCATCTTTTAATTATGATTCCAAGTGAGCATTCTGAGGCTCAACATCTATGATGTGACGTCAAATACATGTGAACTTTTTAATATTACAACAGAATTTAAAACATTCCAAGAAATGCTTAAACTTATTACAGTTATAATGAACTCCACAGATGAAGCAGCAGTAGAGAAATAGTTCCCTGAGGACTTTGAATATTCTTTAGAAAAATGTAAACAACCCCCTTGTGTTCTTTAATTTACATTTTTTCCTAAAACCCTCATCATTTATTAAAGGTCAGTTTTTAGAGATGAAGAAAGTAATATGATGTTTTTTTTCTGCTCAAGCCCCATCTGGTAACTTAACCTCTGTGTTACCAGCAGATTGATCCCAATTCATTATGAAAACTGAATTTTAATCTCAGGATGTGTAACTAAGTGGGAGATTGGAATCATATCCCTTTCTTCATGTCTGTACTCGCACTGAAAGGAAAGAAAAATGTTTACAAGTAGAGCAGTTCATGTTGATTATATAATGCTCAATGGAAAAATCTCATCAAAACTAATTACATACTATGATTCCAGTTTGATTGAAGGTTTGTAGATAAATATATAAAAAAGGATTGGATAGGACAGACTAGAATAGTAACAGGCAGGACATTCAGAAGGGAAAAACTATTTGAAGAAAATTCACCAAAATGTTAATAGTAGTTATTGCTGAGTTTAAAATTAAAGATTTTTAAAAATCCATACTTCCTGTATTTCCTAATTTTTCCCTCCCCTTCTTCTCCCCTGTATTTTCTAACTTTGTACAGTGAATATATAATTATAATTTTACAAATTAAATCTACCAAAGTTTTCGTTTGTTTATTTCCTAAGTATTTATCGGCTAGGCATTATGCTGGATACTGAAGATAAAACTGTAAAGAATAAAAACTGTAAAGACGTGGTTGCTGCCCTTCTGCAGCATACAGTCTAATTATGGAGACAATATTGAACCCATAATGGTACAAATTAACAAGTGCTCTGAAGGTGAAATATAGAATCTTATGTAAGCGTAAAATAGGAGAACCTACCTTGACCTTGGGAGGATCTCAGAAGGCTGCTCTTAAAACCAACCTTAAAACAGGAATCTGGAAGTTGAGTAGAAACAAGTTGGTCAAGCAAGAAATGGAGAAAAAGATGTCCAAGCAGAGGGAAGGCTCTGAGGCAGGAAGTAGTTTGATGTGTTGGATGAGTTGGAAGGAGGTCAGCGTAGTGCTGGAGGAGCTGGAAAAGGCTAGTGGAGCTGGAGTGTCCTGAGCAAATGCCCTCAGCAAATGGAGAGTAGCTCAAGATGCAGTTGGAGGCATGGGCAGGGGCTGGGTAAGATGATTCATCTAAAACTCAACAGCAGTCAAGTTTTGAAATCATTGCTACCAATTAAAATCCATAGTAGAGAGTATTATGGTAGATGACAGATGCTTGTTGTTATGAGTACTTTGGTCTCACTTAGCCAGAAACTCTTTTGGCGATTAGTGTGACTATGAAGCAAGGTTCGGTTCAATGGGAATAGATGGATGATGTGAGAGGGCTTAGAAGTCCTCAAGGGCCTCTGGAAGAATAAGGTATGTCAGGGCCACTTCACCACCTGCAGCATAGAGCCTGCCCACCTACTTCAAGGGCATTCTGGATGATTAGGAGTAGATTCTGTTTCCCAAGATGAGTCTGTACCCTAATGGGTACAAGTCTGGTCATGGCCCAGGCTGGATTCCAAGTACATTCATCTGTAGTCTCCTTGGCTTCATGCCTCCTCCGTACTTGAATCACAATGCTTCTGAGTTGTATCTCTGTTTACTCCCCCACTTCTCAGTAAAGTGGCAAATGATGGAGTGTGACATTTTGACATTATTTAGATCCATAGCCAGGAAATAGAGGCCAACTGGAGAAGCATCAGTTACATGTTATCTCCCATTATCTGCAAATTAATTAGCTACTTATGATGTTTTTCTTATATTCTCAAGTTAATCATTTATTTAGCATTCTTTTAGTTTACCAAAAGTATGTTTATTCTTTTTAAGCCATAGCCTAACCAGAGTGATAAAAGAGTAAGCAAGGAAATACTTTATTACTTTGCCAGTGTTTTAATGTAACAGCAACCAATGGAGGCACCATTAAATGAGAAAGGAGTTATCAACAAAGGAACGTATTATTAATTTGCTGCGCTTTAGCTGACTAATGAAGGATTTTAGCTGACTGATGACTTAGCTGAAACAAATACTGAAAACTGTTTCAACTAACATTATTTCTCAAGAAAACTGCAACTTGGCTTACACTGACTCTGGAGTTGATCTGTTTTGTATGTTCAGCCTCTTAACAATAGAGGGAAAGTTATGGTTTTATTTACATCTCTCACTGAGCAGATTTACACACACACACACATATCCACCCTCCCTCTTAAGGGATCTGGGGATGTTTTACCTAAATGATTCTTACTTTCTGTAGGGTACAAACTGTGGCTTTGGTAATTGGTCTTGATTGTTGAGTTTAGAAGCTGGGAACATGGTAATTCTAGCCTCCAGTACTCTGCTCAAAAACGTGCACTACCCAGTACAGCACTGTTTGTAGCATGTTAATTCACTTTAAGAAATGTTAAAAGTTTGAGGGATCTCATTGTTCTTTTACTCTTCAGCGTGTATGATTTATTTTGAGGGAGTATAAATCAAAACACATTCTTGGAACATTTAAAATCTCTTAAAGGTATTTTTTATGTGTGTGCTTATCCTGGCAGTATAGAATACTTTGTATACCAGAGCTAATGACAACAGATCTTTTAGGGTTTCTGTGTTGTAACAATCGCCACTGGGCAGACAGCTGCCAAACATCTTACAATTAATCCGATCCATGTTGGCTTTCGTATCCTTTTTCTTTCAGAACAAATGCCCTGAGGTAGAGGAGTTGGTCTTCAGCCATTTTGTGATCTGTAATGACACACAGGAGACACTGCGGTTTGGCCAGGTGGATACTGATGAAAATATTCTGCTGGCGAGTCTCCACAGTCACCAGTACAGCTGGCGCTCTCACAAATCCCCACAGGTATTTGAGAAACACCCTTACAAACAGCCATTGTTAAGGTTGGGGATTCATTTCTTCTGCACTTGTGTGCCTGTCCAGTTATTTCCCTTTTTAAGTCTCCGAAGGAACCACACAGCGTAGCTACATCTGACGGAAACCCAAGAGTGTTTAGAGATGGGAGCACACGCTTCTCTTGGAATGGAGCATTTTCCTGTTTAGCACTGGTGCTTGGGGCGGGGGCAGCAGGGTGTGGTGATGAAGAGGCTGACTCGAGAGCCAGGTTTGGATCCTAGCTGTGTGTAACCTTGCTCTACTTTCTGTTCTTCAGTTTTCTCATATGTAAAATGGGATAAAAGTAGTACTTATTTCATAGGGTTATAAGGACTAAGTGAATTCATATGTATAAGGCATTAATACATAAGCATTGTGTTCGGTATTATTATTCATTTGTTTCTTCAGATTTTTTTTCTGTGTGTGTCCTTGGTAGCAGGCACATGCTAGGCACTGGGAATTCAAAGACAGGTAAGTCACAGGCCTTGCCCTCTGAGGACAGCTCACAATCTGTGATACAATGACAGTGAAAAACTATGTCCAAGGGAGCACTGAGAAAAGACACACCAAAGGATGTCTGTTTTCCAAGTAGTGTAATTTCATTTTCCTGTCCCTTTAGATGGGAATAATTAGAGATATGTGTCCTGTAGCGATAATATGAAGATGAATTAAATACAAAGATGTAGTCTTAAGTGAGCAAAAGAAATCCTAGGAAGTACTCTCGAGAATAATGTATTTGTTAAACTCTGGGTAATAAGAAAACTACTGCCTGCTTGTGATTAAAAGAAAGTCATTAGATTAGAGAACAAGTTTTCCCATCTGGTCTCTAGACCAGCATCAGAATACATTATACCCCTTGGGCTCCATCTGAGGGTAGCTAGATGCTGATTTCTTGTTTTTTCATCAGATTGCCACACTATTGGTATACAATTTGGAAAAGTAAATATAATGCAGTATTTCTTATTTAAATATATTTAGTTCACATTAATCTGACAGGACACTGAAATACATGTCTGTTTTTCATAAAAATTTTTTCACATGATATGGTATTGCATTCATATTTTTAGGGTAAATCACATACCCTTGTTTTCTAATTTTCCTCTTTAGAAATGTCCATGTTAGAAGTATTTAAGTTGTTTTCCTCGTGTAACATAAAGGATGTTTTATTTGTTTCAAATTCATCTATGTTTAATTTTTTTTCCTATGGACTACAAAAGTGAGAGCATACAGGTATACTGACAAAACCAAACAAAAAACACCTATAATTCCAACCACCTAGAGAGAACTCATGTTAACACTTCCTGTATAACCTATTAGATCTTCTAAGTTTCCATTGTCATTGCATTCCCAGCAATGAATTATGTGGGACAGGAAAGAAGCCTCTGAGAAGCTGCAGTAACATGTAATTGTACACTGTACCTGTAGCCACTTTACCGATGCACACACAGCAAGCTCCAGGCCTTAGCCGGTAGAAAGCAAAGCAGAGGAAGCTTAACTCTCCAGTCATTTGAAGATGCATAGCTTGCATATCCCTCAGAGACCCTCAGGATTCTCTGGACACTGGAGCCAGGATGGGAAGGGTGATCATAAGAGAACAACTGGCTCAGGAGTGTGGGGAGCAGTAGTCTTCATGCTATAGACATACAGTTTCTGGGTGGAGAGGAGGTCAGCAGGAAAGAATGAATAGACAACCACTGTCACCAGCACACCTTTCATTTTCATACTCATTTGCACTATTTCAAGGCCTTTTTGTATTTATTACAAGTTTTATATTCACAGCATTCCTGTGCAGTATTATTTGTTATGCATATTTTATAGATAAGGAGACAAATAGAAATGTTAAGTTAGGTAGTGGCAGAATTAGGACTGAATTCCTTATCTTTTAATTCTCAATACAGTGTCACTTCAATGTTGTCTCACTCCCCTAGGTTTTGGCAGCATGATTTGTCTGTTAGAATAGCCAAGCTTTGAAGTTTGAAAAGAAGGGCTGAGAAATCACTGGAATAGTAGGCCACATCTAAGGCTAAACTAATAGGGGATTCTTAGTCCAAGTATGAACCCTTGCAAAGTCTTAACTGTGTTACCAAAAATAATAGGAGCTTCTTAATCACAAACTCTAAACATAAAACAGGTATCTAATAAACTTTGTTTTTTCTTTTAAATTTGTAACTGCATCTTGTGGATGCAACTTTTAAAATAAGCTGCAGTCATTATAATCTTCTTAAGACTAAAACCTAGATAACCTAGATAATATTTATAAAAAACGACGTCTTCTTACTATATTTCTGTATGCTAATGTAAGTGGGTTTTAGGACCCTCTGAAGCCAGAAGCCTTAATGGGCCCAGAGGGTCTTCATGGGATTCCTTACATTCATTACATTCACAGTTGAAAATTCTGCTGTGTTCTAATGAGAGGCTACATGAGGATCAGAAAAACTAGCCACTCAGTTTCAAACTGCACCTGGAGCTTGTCATAGATGCACAATTGAGCAAAATATTCCTTTTTCCAGACTCCAAGTCATATCCTGCATTGCCCAGCAAGCTTTGTTTTAGGAACATTTGTGTCTGCATGTTTATGCTACCTTGGGTGTTAGTCAATTCATAGTCTCAGGGAGGATTTCTAAAGTTCACGGAACTTAACTCCACTAAACAATGTAGCTAACATTGCAGAGATCAAGAAAGTGGCAGTGACACCTGGAAAGGTTTCAAAGAGGTCAAGATATCTTAAAACCACACAAGAGGTTGCTAACAACAGTAAGTCCCAATAGGATGAAGAGAAACATGGACACAACCAATTCTAGAAATCCAAAGCTGACAAACCTTTTAGAATTGAAAGTCATAAAATGCTCCTTATAGTTTCTAACACATGCTCTGGGGCAGAATCACTTAACATTCTGGATATCTCACAACAGTTTCTTGCCTAAACAAACAAAGGAAGAAGAAAACTATTTCCTAGGGAATAATTGAATATATTCAGCTGCACAGAATCATAGATGCCATCACAAAGGGCTCTTAAATATTCCAATTCAGTAGACTTTAGATCAGGTTGGATGAGAACAATAACCAGCAAGGGACTGGTCTTCAAAGAAGTATGTCACATTATGCTACGTTGAATCTAGGGACCAGAAGTGTGAGTTTATAGAATGTTTCCCCAAAATATAGGCAGTATATGCAGTTCATAGTCAAGGGAGGCTTTGTTTAATTTAGACAAACCAGCTATAGTGACATCTCCACCAACTGGTAGGATTTATATAGAGGCTGTTTAACTTCCTTTTCTAGTTAATAGAGAGCACTGTTGGTTAAACTGCTTGGAATAGTATTGCCTTTATCTTGTATGTAAGGATTTACACTTGCTTTTAGCCTCAAACATGTATAATTTATGGGTTATGCATTTTTTTCAGAATTACAGAATTCTAGTTACCAATGACTTAATTGTGGTAATCAAACCATCAAGCAAGTGGAAATAGGCTCTAGACAGAGCTATGGAAAATAATAAAACATTTATCCAAAATGAATATAACGGAAGTTTCATAAGCTTATGAAAAAATAGCAAATATTTAAAACTACAGGTCAGGCATAGTGGTTTATGCCTGAAATCCTAACACTTTGGGAGGCTGAGGCAGGAGGATTACTTGAGGCCAGAACTTCTCAAGACCAGCCTGGGCAACATAACAAGACCCAATCTCTATAAAAAAACTTAAAAATTTAAAAATCTAAAAATTAAATTTAAAAATTTAAAAATCTCCACAAAAAAATTTAAAAAGTATGTGTGGTGGCACATACCTGTAGTTCTAGCTACTTGGGAGGCTGAGGCAGGAGGATTACTTGAGCCCAGGAGTTCAAGACCAGCCTGGGCAATATAATGAGACCCCATCTTAAAAAAAAAAAAAAAAAAAAGCAAAATGTAACAAGGTAAAATTAATTTTGATGAGCAGCAGAGCATCTTGGAAATATTCATTAAACAGAGTGACACATAGTGACAAAAATATAAATCCTATATTACTTTAAAGCAGAGGTGGCAAACTTTTCCTGTAAAGGGCCAGATAGTAAATATTTTAAGCTTTCAGGATTTACAGTTTGTTGCAGCTACTCAACTCTGTGTAAAATCAGCCATAGGTGATATGTAAACGAATGAGTGTGGCTGTGTGCCAATGAAACTGTATTTATGGGCAATAACATTTAAATTTCATATAATTTTCAAACATCACAATTACTATTCTTTTGATTTTTTCCATCCATTTAAAAATGTAAAAACCATTCTCTGCTCACAGGCTATCCAAAAATAGGCTACATGCCAAATTTGGCCTATAAGCCTAAGTTTGCCAACACTTGCTTTAAGACTTCTCAGTTGATCAAATTCAGTAGACTAAAGGTTTGATTTAAAATTGTTTTCACTCTGACCTCACTGGTATTCCTATCATTTGAAAGCTTGGTACAAAGTTCCAGAAATTGAGAAATGACAGATAATAGTTAAAATCTAACTTCTATGTAATTAACCTGTACTCACCAAATTACAGAAAATATTTTTATTATACTCATTCTGGTCCTAATCAGTACATAACAGAAAGTTCTCCAATTTTTGTTTTGTATGTAACAATATTTTAAAACGAGACCTGGTAATTTTTTCATTTGTCTAAAACGGAAAGCAACAGGTTTTGAGTATCTGCCTATCTTTTAGTAATTCCAGCCAGTTGTCAATTTCATTAACTAGACTGTAATTCTTAGTTACTATGCTTTACAAATCCGTTTATATAATGCATGTATACATATATATTTAGAGAAAGAGCATATTTCTTGTTGCCACAGTAACAATTTAAAAACTTAAAAAGCCGACTTGGGGGACAAAGAAATACTCTGTGTTGCCAAAGCTGATAAATTTTTCAAGTGTTCTCCTATGTGTGCATGCATGTTAAAGTTTGTTTAGAAAGGGCAAATGAATAGACACTATTACACACTGGAGTTGCTAATGGAATTGGTACTTTATTTCTAGAAAGCAATTGGGTAAGAAACTTCAAAGCTATTAAAATTATTGTAGATTTTGACCCAGTAAGTCTCCCAGTAGTAATCTACCCACTGGAGAGAAGGCAAATTAAAACAAAGATTTTTATACCATAAAAGTTAATCACAGTTTGTCACAAAATATTTAAAGCACCAAAATGTTCACTTTTAAGGAGTTAAGTAAAATCTGGCATAAGACTATCTTATAGATATTTTATGGGATCTTTACATTTTTACATGGAATGGAGGAAGTCCTACCTATCATATCATATCATATAAGTCAGAAAAGCAGAATATGAAATTCTATGTATACAATGTGATCATAACAACACACAAGCAAATGCACAAAACATACTGGAAAAAGACATGTCAAAATGTTATCAGTGGTTGCCTCTGAATTTTGGGTAAGGTGATATTATTCTATTTTTGTCACATTTTTATGTACTTTTCAACTTCTTATTAAGGAGAAAGAAATTAAATTTGAGACATTAAGCACCCCCACACACACACCCAAAACTCACATACAGACTAAAAGGAACTTCAAATATTAATTCTTAGGAACAGCACCAAGTGTAATGATATATCAAGAGTGATTATCTTTATTACTTCTTATACAAACTATTGCAATAGTTTTTCTCAATTGTTCTCTTAGTTAACAGTTTTGCCCTGTTTTAACTCTGATTTATCTCTCAGACTACAGCTCAAGCAATTTTCCTAAATACTTTGATTGTTACACTTTCCTGTCCAGAAACCATCACATGCTACACCATGATTTATTAAATAATATCCAAATTATCTGACCTCCAAGGGCTAACTCAGTCTTTTCACAGGCCCTCCTGCCATTATTTCTCTGTAGCTGTTTATTTAGTCTCCCTCACATTCATTTTTTTAATCAGTATATTTTCATGTATTACTTATTGCGTTTAAATATATACATTCTTCTAAGGAACTTACTGTCTATTGAGGGACCCAGAAAAGTAAAAAATTATTATAGACATGACATTGTCTATCAGTCTATCAGGATATCATTGCAGTAGTTCAGGACAGAGAGAAATGAGGGGTGAATAATGAAAACACTAGCCATAGGGAAGAAATGCCAGGGAATCAGGAAGTAAAATCAATTGCATCTGGATATGAACAAAGTCTTAATGGGAACCCAAAGGAAATGTTTCCAAATCCAACATGAGGATGGGAAGCTGGCAAGGCTTCCAGACAGAAGGGATATTTGTATTACACGTTAATGCCTTGGAGTTAGCTAGGCCAGTGAAGTGAGGGTGGAGGCGATATTCCAGCTAAGAGGACCAACATGTGTGAAAGCCACAGAGACATGAAACAATATGGCACAGAAGGATAACTTGACTAATTTGGCTACAGTGTAGAGTACATGTGTGGAGCTGCAAGAGGGGGAAGTAGGCTAAGGCCATGAGGGCTCCTGTATGCTGTGCTAAGAAGTTTTAATACCGTCTTGAGGCCATGATAGCACAAAGGTGTGATAATCTACGTACCCAGAGAGATCAAAGTTAGCTTTCCACAGAAGCTAAGTTTGAACAGTAAGTATAGGTTGGCCCAGCGGATGACAGTGGAGGAGTACACCAAGAAGAACAAGGGAGGTATATATAAACAGCAAGTTATGGTCAAGGGATTTCAGGTTTTGTGCAGTGTAACTCAATCATAAAAATTGCAGAAGAGATATGTGCTGGTCCACTGGCTCTTAGAGTGGTAGTGGTGGGGAACCCCTGATTGTAGGGATGGCCAACTTTCATGGTGTAAATACTCCAAAGCTTATTTCAGGCTACCAATGGGTTGACCACCAGTTTGCAAAATCTCTAAACACTTAATTGCTGGTTTTCACAAACAAGTATGAGCCAGCTCCAGCACACCACTGTCTGGCAGAGTTGTGTTCTCAAGAGCCTGGGAATCCATTTCAAGAAGATATACATCTATGTGATGGGCAGCTCTTGGCTACTGAATGAGTTTAAGTAGAGGAATGCCAGGATCACAGATGTATTTCAGAAAAGTTCTACTAATGTATTTGAGAAGACGGTCTAGAGAAGATTGAGAATACAAACAGAGACTACTATGGTCACTGCTGCGTAGTGCAGGAGTGAGAGAGATTATAGTAACTGAGCTAAGACAGAGTAAGGGCATTAAATGATATAAATGCCTAAGAAACTGATATTTCTGTGAATAACAGCAACACATTCTGAACAGAACTTAAAAAAAAAAAAAAAAAAAAAAACTACCTGAAGGCTCTGGAGACTAAACAAAGGCAGATTTTGGAGGGGAGTCAAAATTTTGAGCAAGTAATTTGCAGGATGACTTTCCCATTTTTTTGGCTTTGCCTTGAGGGCAACTGCAGTCACGGCAGCACAGGGGTGGCCTATCATCTTTCTGGCCCAGGGTACCAGGGGAAATAGCCTAGGCATCCTAGGCTGCTAGAGTGTGAAGAGAAAACCCTGGAGAGGAGAAAGCCATAAAATGGGAACATAATATTTTTAAATGTAGCCCAACTGTTCAGCTGACTGCTGAACCACACACATGCATGGGGCAAACTGAATGCAGTTTGTACCCAAGGCTTAAAGAAGTAAACTAACCTGAGCTGCTGCTCACCCAGGTATGAGAATTTCCAGTTTGAGTCTAAACAAGTTAGTTGCCTGTTAACTACAAACATCAACACTCTTTGGAGCAGTCATAAGAGAATCCAGATTCTCCACAACAAAACATGTACAATGTCCATAATATAACCCAAAATTACTTGACAGATAAGAGTCAGAAAAAAAAATGTTAACTCAATTTCCAGGGAAAGACAATTAATAGATGCTAATCCAAAGATGACCCAGATGTTGGCATTATCGGACATGTACTCTAAAGTGTCTGTGTCAAAGGTGAAGGGATTTTACAGATGTAATTAAGGTCCTAAATTAGTTGATTTTTAGTTAAGAGAGAAAATCTTGAGTGGGCCTAATTTAATCAGATTAAAAACCCTAAAAGAGTGATCGGACCCTTTTGTAAGGAGAGAGAGGCATAGAGGCTCCTGCTGGCCTTGGGAAGCAAACTGTCATGTTCTGATGGCCTATGAAGAGGGTCCTGGGGCAGGGAGCTGTGGGAGGCCTCCAGAACCGGAAGATGGCTGCCAGCACCAGGCAGTAAGAAGTTAAGGCCCTTGTCTTACAGCCACAAGAAAATAAATTCTGCCAACAACTTAAGCAAGCTTGAGTAGAGTCTTACCAAGTCAAGCCTCCAGATCAGAATGCAGCCAACTGCAGCTCATTTGGAGTCTTATGAACCCTAAACAGAGAACGCAGCTAAGCTATACATGGACTCTTGACCAACAGTCACTGTGAGAGAGTAAATGTGTGCTGTTTTAAGCTGCTAAATTAGTGCTAATTTGTTACAGAGCAATAAAAACATAATAGATGGGCCAAGCATGGTGGTTCACGCCTGTAATCCTAGCACTTTGGGAGGCCATGGTGGGTGGATCTCTTGAGTCCAAGTGTTAAAGAGCAGCCTGGGCAATATGGCAAGATCCTGTCTCTAAAAAAAAAAAAAAAAAATTAGGCATGGTGGTGCACACCTGTAGTCCCACCTACTCAGGAGGCTGAAGTGGGAGGATTGCTTGACCCTTTGAGGCAGAGTTTGCAGAGAGCTGAGATCATGCCACTGCACTCCAGCCTGGGCAACAGAGCAAGACCCTGTCGCCAAAAAATTTATATATATATATATATTTGGAGACAGGGTCTTGCCCTCTCCATATATATATATATATATATATATATATATAAAATACATGATGGAAGAAAAAAGTAAATTTGAAGATACCAGGAACATCATTATGAAACTACTGAAAAACAAAGATAAAGAGAAAATTTTGAAAGCAGCCAGAGGAAAACAACGCATTACCTACCACACATTAGGAGAACAACAATCAAATTACTATGGACTTCTCTTTAGATACTATGGAGGCTAGAAGACAGTGAAACAACATCTTTAAATTGCTGAGAGAAGGTTTAACTTGATAGAGGTCTGTTTGGAAGATATTTGGGAGGTTAAAATCACCAGGATTTATTATTGATCATGGAAGAGAAGAGTCTGGTTTGACTCTGAGATTTCAGACTTAGGTGATGTGTTGCTAGTTTTGCTATTGGCCAAGACAGGGAGCTGAGTAGGACAATGTTTGAGAGACAGAGAATGGGGCAGGGTGTAAGAGCATAACAGAGTAATCGTGACAACCATTTTGGACACATTGAATTTTAGGCTGCTATAGAGGGCAGGAAGGATGGTATATTAGAAAAAGCACAAATTTGAAGCCATAAATACCTGAGTTTCACTCCTAAGGTTTGATAGCTGCATGAAGAGTGGACAGTTTCTTAATTTCTTGGCACTTCAACTTCCTCTTCTGCATAATTAAGAGACTGTTGTAAATATTCCATGTAAAACATTTATAAAGTTCCTAGTAAAGGACTCAGCTTGGCTGGGTGCAGTGGTGCTTCACACCTATAATCCCAAAACTTTGGGAGGCTAAGGTAGGAAAGATAGCTTGAGGCCAGGTATTTGAGACTAGCCAGGGGCAACATAGCAAGACCCTGTCTAAACAAAACATTCTTTAAAGTAAAAAGAACTTGGCTCTCTATAACCAAGGGTTCCTTTTTAGTCCTTTTCCCCTAACTAGACATCCAAATGGACATGTAAAGTAAGCAAATTCGATGTAAGAGGCTGGAGCTCAAAAGAATAGTCTGATCTGGAGATATAAATTTGGCCTGTTATTGGTGCCTAACTAGAAGTGGGAATAAGTGAGCATTCCCAAGGAGAGAGTGCTAAGAGAAGAATTATCTGTTGCTGCAGAACAATGTACAATGGTATACGATAGGCATACGATAACTACAGTAGACATTTCCATGTATAAAAGTAGGAAACAGAAGACACACAGGAGTTTCTGGTCCATAGAAATTATTAAATTCAATCAGATAAATGTTGGAAGTTTCTTAATTAGTACTCAGTATTACTCCTGCTTAGAAATAGCTCCCCGTTGCTCGTGGCTTTGTGCACATGGCTCCAGCCTCTGAGTCACCCATTCTTTTCCATGAAAAGTAGCTTTTGTTTGCACCTTGTAGTTTTCCCAGCCTGCTTTCTGCTGGTAGAATTTTGAAGGTTCAGAGTCCTCTTTTCATTTTGTACTGTCTTTATCTCTTTCAGTCTAAGTTGGCAGTGTTTCTGCCAATATTATTCTTTAAACAACTTTGTAGGTCTCTTTTTATTCTTACTGAGGTTTACTATATTAGACAAAATTAACACCCATGTATCTTTTAGATAAGCCCTTCTCTACTTTAAGATTTTTCTGATATTACTGAGGGACATAACCCTTAAGAGTCTTAGAACTCCTTTTGTTTGACTAGCTCTCTGAGCCATCAATTTAGGTCTTTCTAAGGTCTTTCAAAAGATTTTACAGGCATATTATTTGCTTCATATTTAGACCCAGCTTTTCCAACCATGTCCTGGATTTGATCTTTGCTGGGAAGCCATTTCTTGATTTTAGCATCATTTGCATCTGATAAAGCTAGGAACTTTCAAAATAGCAAATCCTGGCTCCTTTTTATCTGACGGTCCTTCCTTAAGCTTGTATCTCCCCTTGTGGGTTTTAATATTAGCAGCAGGTAGAAGCTAGGAGGCACTTCAACACTGCCTGGAAATCTACTTAGCTAGATCATGTAGTTTATTAGGCAAATTTTCTACTTTCCATGTTACTGCAGGTGATAGTGTTGAAAAACTTTCTGCCACCACATAGCAAGGATCCCCTTTCCACCCATGTCCAATAACATTTTTCGCACTCTGTAGCTGGCAGTCTCCTGTAGGGCCATCACGTTTCTATTAATAATCTCTCTGAAGTATGTAGACATTCACTAACAGCCTTCTCAAGTTCTTCCAGTTTTTACTCACTTTCCAGCTCCAAGCCTCCTCCACATTTTAGGCTTTTGTTACAGTAGTATCCCATTTACAGATACTAAATCTCTATTAGTCACCTATTGCTGTATAAAAAATTACCCCAAAACTTGAGTAGTTAAAGCAATAAGCACTTATTATCCCACAGTCTTGTTAGTCAAGAATTTGGGGCATGGTCTAACTAAGTGATTCCAGCTCAGCGTTTCTGATAAGGTTGTAATCAAGACATCACATGGAGCTGCACTCCTCTGAAGGCTCATCTGGTCTGGAAGATCCATCTCCAAAATACTTACCTACATGCCTTTTGGTAGGAGGCCTCAGCACTCCACTACAGGGATCTCTCCAGAGAGTTGCTCGAGTAATCTCATGACATAGCAGCTGCTGTCTTCCAGATCAAGTGATCCAAGGCAGAAGCCACAATATCTTTTATGTCCTAGCCTCAGAAGTCATTCATTGTTTTATTTGTAATATCCTACACAGATCTGTCCTATTCAGTGGGGGGAACATAAAGGCACAGATAACAAGAGGCAAGGATTACTGGGGCTGTCTTGGAGGTGAGCTTGCAAAAGGATCAGTAGCAGAATTTGCGAGTTGGGCTGTGAAATAGAATGTATTGAGGGGAAATAAGAGCTATGAGGAAAACCAAGATGTCACAGGAAAACCAGGACATAATGGTGTTTTAAAATCCAAAAAGGATATTTAGGGGGATAGAATTATCAGTGTTGTTAAATGTCCTAAGGGAACTGAGTGAGGTAAGAATTGAAAAAAAGAGACCATTGTATTTGGCGATTGGAACATCATTGATGGCTCAAGGAAAGCACTTTCAGTAGAGAGAGGGATAAAAGCCAGATTACAGTGGGCTAAGAAGTGAATGGGAAGTGACGAAGTGGTGATGATGAGCATGAATTTTTTTTTTTTTGTCTTAATTATGTGTTAGCTACAGAAAGCCACAGGTTTAAGGAACAATTTTAAATGGAAGAGAGTTAGGCACATTAATATAGAAGAAGAAAGAAATGCGAGATTGATGATCCAGAAGAGAGAATGACTAATGGCATAAAATCTTAGAAGGGAAGAAAAGGAAAGAATTCATATCACGAGTGGAAGGATTGACCTTGAATGGGAAGAAGTTTATACCAAATTTTATTGCTGTTTAACAAACCATCCCAACACTTATTGACTTAAAAACCATTTATTAGCTCGTGAGTCTGTTGGTCAGACATCTAGGTGCACTCAAAAGGTTCTTCTGTGGGTCTCACCTGGTCTCACTTAGGAGGCTGAAGTCAGCTGGAGGTCATTCAGGGCTGGGTGGTCTACAATGGCCTCACCCACATATTTAGTGGTCAGCAGGCTGTTTGCCAGGTGTCTTGGTTCTCATCCACGTGATCTCACCAACAAGCTAGCCAAGCTTCTTCACCTGGTAACACTGTCCCAGGAGAATGAGAGCAGAGACTCCAAGGCCTATTGAACCTGGGCTCAGAATTCACCCAGCATCACTTCCGCTACATTCTGTTGCGCAGAGCAAGCCACAAGGTTAAGCCAGATCCAAACAGTAAGGAACTAGATCTTGGTGAGAGTTGCTGCAGAGAATTTGTGGCCATTTGCAATGTACCACAATAGTTTCCTCCTTGAGATAGGAGGGAGAGAATGAAGATGGACATGAATATGGTTGAGGTTGTATTGGATGTTTGCTGAGAATGAAAGGGAAGAAAAAGAGGGCTTTGAATAAGGTATTGTTTCCACAATATTTAATCCTGTATCTTGCTTATAATAGACAGCTGATAAGTGTTCCTTTATTTTTATTATTATTTTTTTTTTTGAGACAGAGTTTTGCTCTGTGGCCCAGGCTGGAGTGCAGTGGCACGTCCACAGCTCTCTACAGCCTCTGACTCCGGGGCTCAAGCGATCCTCCTACCTCTGCTTCCAAAAGTGCTGGGATTACAAGAGTGAACCACCACACCCAGCCAATAAATGTTCATTGAATAAGTAAGTTTTGGGATTTCTCAAGAACATAGATTTAAAATCTTAATAATAAAATTGTCAACACTGTTCTTTGCATAATGTTGGATACTTTTGTATATACTATTAATATACACAGAAAAGAGGCACTGATCTCAAAATATATGCCTCAATATACTGTCAATTCAGTTGGGCTCTTAAGAGTAGCTCCTGGTCACACACCCCTCCCCTTTTCCCATTCCTGCCCCTTTGGCCTCCTTATGGCCTCTAATGAAAAATCATAAAATAGGAACATGCTACAGGAGGAGATTAGCAATATACTTCAAATTGGCCACAACTTTCATGTATGTCTAACTCTTCACATTTTTGTTTAGCCTTTTGTGCTTATTCTATGAAAATTTTTGTTGTTTATCATAAACTGAAAGTATATAGTGTAATCACTAAATATTATATATTTAAAGTAGATGTCATTACAAGTTAAATTTGCCACATATTGTCTTTCTCTAACTGTGGAAATAGTTTCCCAGAAATCTACAGTATCACCCTTATTGTTGTGTAGGGCACAGCTGTCTGCAACTAGCAGTTCCATTTGGGGAGGAAGGATTTTATGCCTTTGCTCCCGAGTGGCAGTAACAAGCTTCTTTTTATTGTTGCTGACATTAAGATAGCTAAAATCAACAGTGAGGTAAACACTTCTTGGGACCATCTGGCAAGCATTTTAATCCAAAATATTCTGTAAACACTGACTCCATTTGAGTACCCAGGAACTACCGTCCAGCCGCCATCAACTGCATTTTTATTTCAGTTTTAAGCAGTAATTGAAATAGCCAAAAAAAAAAAAAAAAAGGTAGTCTGTAGGGATTCCAGGAAACTTACATTCTCTGAGGGAGCTTACAGTGCCTTTTGAAGTCACCAGTAGAAGTAAATGGGGTCCTAGCAGTTTTGGTCATTAAGTATTTAATGCACAGAGCATATTTGGATTTTTTTCATTTTCTGTTGGGAGATACATTCTACCTAAATCAGAGGCAGAAGTTTAGGGTTGAGTTTTCCTTTTCCTTTATATTTCAAAGTTTCTTTGTAAAACTAATTTATAAAATGACCAATTTCAAGAATTTTAAAGTCTTTCACAAGAAATGGCAAAGATAGGATTGTGATAGGGTCCTTTATCCAGTCCCAGGGCTGATTTCTGGAGTTTTCTGCAAGCCTGCATGAAAGAGAATGGGGATATTTCAAGTGCAAAGCGCCCAGAGGAATGGCTGCTGGTGCGGCTAATGGTCTCTCTCTTCCTCCCCTGGCAATAAATCTCAGATATTGAAATATAGCTTTGGAGAAAAATATACTGAAGATTTCTTAAGCTTTTTACAAGACACTCAAAGCCTTTTCACAAGCCAGTGCTCTGCAAATGTAAATTCTTGATGTCTAAACATAAAGGTCCTTTACTGAGCTAATTTTAAATGTGAATTTTAATACAGAGTACTTGGAGAAAGGTAATGCAGCTGGCCTATTAAAGCATGGTATTTTGCCATTTTTAAGTAATGGGAAATACTGATTAAGAATGTTATAAAGATTTCAGCATACATAATGTTGTTGTCTTTAATCATAACCTGTTACCATGAGTCTGTGTAACAAAAGCATTAACTCAGAGACAATGGCATACCTATTATACTGTGGCACTTATTATTTCCGTGCTTTTAAATTATTTCCAGAATATTGAAGAGCTTGTTATTTAAAGGTCAGAATAATGCCCAGGACATGGCCAAGCCCACTGAGTGTCAGATGCATGGAATGTTGGATGACTTCATAGTTATAAAATTATTTCATTTCTCATGATAATTCCGGACTTGCCAAGTTAGTGAATTTTAAGAACTCTGAGAGCAGATTTTAAGATAAATGTGAAATAATCCATACTTCTGGAGTCAGGGACTTCCCTTCAGGCATTAGTTCATGTTTGACTTGCTTGACTTACACTTGGGGATAAAATGAGTTAGGACAAGGTCTTAGATACCACATTCCCTTACTGGGAAAGAAAACCAACTTGCACAACTTTGGCTGGCTCATATTTCTTGTTATACAGGCACTAAGAAGCAGCGGTTGCCATGAAATACTTTATTTAACCTTTACAAAAATGTTTTCTTAGTACAGCAAGGCAGTTTAGTTAAATGAAAATAAATAACTGTAAAAATTTTGGATTTCTCTTATATCCATCTATTGACTTCTTTTTTCTAATTAAAAATTAAAGATAATTACAGTTGTCCACATTGCCATGATGACTAAAAAATGAAGTTTATGTAAAAATCACTTGATCTTTTCTTAGGACATGTGTTGGCATGTCTTCTATTTTACATTAAACTGAATTTTACTGAATAGTGAATGTTACATCTGAGAACAGTTTAAAAGAAAGTTTTTATTCAAACTTTAGGTAGGTTTCTCTATTGTTTGTATTTTGTCAAAATTGATTTTCAAACAAACAAAACCTGACAATTTGACTCCCAGAATATTTATTCAAATCCGAATGACTAACAGACAGCCTCTCCAATTTCTTATCTTGTTGCTCCCATTTCTCAGCTCACCTAAATTATTCATCATCATTTCCTTCTAACATACTGTTAACTCTCCCACTGAAGAATTGGGTCTAACCAAATGCATGATCACCATTGACTATCATTCTGTTAAGAGTTTGTCTGCATAGCATCAGAATCTCCTGGTTGTTGACATAACTTAAGCAATCAAAGTCGTATTTATTTTACTTATTTTTAAAAAAAGAAAATGTGAATTATTTCAGATTTTATAGACAGTCCCTCCTCTTCTGTATGTACATATATATCAAAGTTCTTTGAATCTGTGCTTTTCAACCCTTTGTGGTGGTACCAAGGGTAAACAGTCTTAAGGACTGTCACACAATTCTAGACTTAAGGCAGCTGTTAATATCACAGCTCATGTTTTTTCAGTCACGTATCATTTATAGGGAAGCCTTTAGAAGAATGAAAACAATAGATATGTATAATGTTGAAATGACCTATTTAAAACAAGCCTATTTATCATTTCATACTTTTTTAACTGTATTTATATCTGATTTCATGATTGAAATGGTCAAAAAAAGTTATGCATAAAATTTAAAAATGAAATATTTTAATGCATGAAACATCTTTCTCATTAAATCTTTTTGCAAAAATGTTTATGCAGTATATTAGTTTTCCCTAATTTAGTTCACTTAGATTTAATTTTTTTTTAGCCCAGAATACCCATGAAGCATCTCATTGTTTTGTAGAAAATAATTTAAATGAAAAATGCTACTATTTTCCCCACTTTTCTTTTTTTAGGTTATTTTACATATGTAAACTTCAGCCAGAGATTGAACAGAGAAAATTCCTGAACAATAAAAATCCATAAATAAATTCTTGAATTTAGAGTTGTGTTTATAGTTATTTGTGAAAAATAATAAAAAGATTCTATGGCTTGATTATAGGTATGTTGAAACATGGATTAAGCCTTAATGTTTGCTAGAAACATGTGAAATTTGATACCCTGACTTACCCAGGGAAATTCAAATGACTATTACAAAGTATATGATGAAATGACACAATGCACTGTTTTAAAGCTATGAAGAATATAGATATAACATATGAGTAGCATTATTTCAAACAGCCAAACAGTGACTTTCTTGTCAGTTACTTTGTTCCATTGTCTCTCACGTATCAATCCCTGGTGTTTATTGATGATTGATGCTCTGAGAGGAAATAGCAGTTACTGACCTAAGAGTTCACTTTCTCTTCACCCTTCCTTCCTATATCTCTCTCCCACCCTCTGTCTCAAGATTTGACCTCCTAAAACAATGATTTTTTTATTCCAGAGTGACTCCTTCTTTCCAAAATCAATATTCAGTGACTCCATTTGGGTTACAATCAAAACTATTAGAGGAAAGTAAGCTGACAAGTTGATAATAGAAAGTTAATTTTCTAAATTCTGTTGACAAAACAAATGACCAGGAGTTGTTTTCACAAATAGTTTGAAGCCATAGCTTGCTGCATTTATGGCTTGTCTTTGTTTCTAACACAGTCGGTATGCTTTGTAGACACAAATTTTGTGCAGAAAGAACTACTCCCTCCCTGGTTGTCACATGACAGGTTAGGTTGTCACCTACTTTTGTTTATCGGAAGTAACATTACTGTCATCTTTTGTTCTATTTCAACATGTCTTTCTTATTTTGGGGAGTAAGTAAAATACATTCTCTGGTCCAACTTTTAACTTCCCCAAGCAGAACACCTCAGAAGCCCTATGTTTTTCTTACTCTAAAAACATTTTGCAGTGTAATTATTCTTACTGAATATCTGTTTATCCTACTATATTGTAAGCATTTTCAGCCCAAGTGTACTGTCTAGTTCTTTTCTGTACCTACCATGTGTAGTACAGTTAGTTGGCTTATAGTAAACATTTAATAGCTGTAAATCCTTAAAAATACTTGCCAAATTGAGCCAGGTACAGTGGTGCATGTCTGCAGTTCCAGTACTTGGGGAGGCAAAGGTGGGCAGATTGCTTGAGTTCAGAAGTTCAAGAGCAGCCTGGGCAACACGGCAAAACACTATCTCTACAAAAGATACAAAAATTAGTCGGGCATTATGGTGCATGCCTGTAGTCCCAACTACTCAGAAGGCTGAGGTGGGAGGATCACTTGAGCCCAGGAGGTTGAGGCTACAGTGAGTCATGATCGTGCCACTACACTCAAGTCTGGGCAATAAAGGGAAACCCAGTCTCAAATAAAAAAAAAAAAAACAAGCTGTGGCCCTAGGGAAAAAAGCTCACATAATTGCATTAAATGGCTCCTAAGAATCATGTGAATATGTAATATAGCAATATAGCAAGCCAGACTCTGTGCTAGGAATTATGGAGACTACAGAGATGAACTGAAGATCATGTCACCCTCTTGGCAAAGTGCCAAGAGGGCAAGTTGGGAAAATTTGGCTTTCATTAGGAGGTTGAACTTGAATTTTTAAAATAGAAATGTGTAATTTCTTTTTACCTAAAAATGTGACCTCTGTATGCATCCTATTAGACATTTTTTTTATTTTAATAACATTTTTGTCTGATTGCCAAATAAGACATAGTTGTAATACAAAATTTGGAAATTACCTGAGGAAGCACACAAAACACACATGGAAAAAAGGAAACTTAAAATGCATAATCCTATAACCCTAAAATAACCACTGTTAGCATTATGGCTTATTTCTAGCCTTTTTCTTCCTTTGGAATAGGTATACATACTTTTTGTTTATTTGTTTTACAAAAATGGGGTGTACTGCCCATACCTTTTTGTAATGTGTGTTTTTCAATTAATCTGTTGTTAACTGATAGCATTAACATGTTTTCCTGCTATGACTGTTTTTCAGTCATTTGAAAGTGCTCTACAGTGTAAGTATAGTTTTGAATAGAGGCTCTAAGTAATTTCAGATCTTTTATCTTTCCCTTCCCAACACTCTGGCCCTGAAGAAATCACTCAGCCTCTGTGTACCTCCATTTGTTTTTTCATCTGTCTACCTTACAAGATTGTTTTAAGGAATAAGTAATATTAAAAATCACTTAGCCCAGTGCTTGACACATAATGTCTAATAAAGGAAAGCTGTTTTTATTTTTACTGTGTTATTTGACCAATTTCCTAATGCTGCCAAATTTTTATTAAAATAGCACTGGGATAAACATACATCTAGATACATTCTTTACACACATCTGTAATTATTACCTTAGGATAGATTATTTCATAGAATTGATGCATCAATAGGTATTACAAGTAAGATTTTTTTATATAAGGATTACCTTTCAGCCACAATTTTTATTCCAACCAGCTTTTTATGAATGTGTCAGGTTTCCCTCTATTGTAAGAGGTTGTTTCATGCTAATTGCACAGTATTTGTGGCCTTCAGTTAATTCAGATAATCTTGAGAGAGAACTTACAGCACCCATAGTTTGTGGAAGAATAGCCAACACTTATATCACGACAATGCAGCCTCCATTATATCACACCCTGAATGATTTAGAAAGGCTTTCTCAGTTGAGCTTACTTTCTCTTTTTCTTTTTCCTACCAAAACAAACTACATCAAAGGGTCCAAAAATAAAATTCAGTTGTATTTATTTAAACTTACTCTTTTAGGTGGGAAATTATATTCTATAAATGTGAAAGGATATGCAGGGCCCTCAGAATTTTAGCATTAAAAGTTTCAGCATTGAATTGACACCAAGCATTAGTCATTACCTAGAAATTTTTCTACTTAGTTTTTGGCATTATTTCAGATAACGTTGAACATCCTGAAATTCAAATTCCTTGAAAAAGCAATAATAAGCAACATATTTCATTTTTATGCTAATTTAGTAGTGTGGAATGTACTATCAGTTCCACTTAGACTCATGTATTCCAAGCAAGTGATTTAATTTCGATTCAATTGACTTTCCAGAGAGTATTTTGGATAGACAAGAATTATTTTAGTATTTTAACTTAATTTTTACTCATGATGCTCACCTATTGTATCATTTTGGGCCTACTTGATATTTTAATATCAGTACTGCAGTATCTGAATTATGAATCTGAGGGATTACACTGACTTGGCGTTTAATCTAATATTATTATCCCTGTAAGACAAATCTGTGTTGAAAGATCATTCAAAATAGGAAACTCTTGTAAATATCTTGATTTAATACTCATTTTGGTTTGGGTTTTGTTTCGACATTCTTGAGTTTATTTGGACAGACCTGGGGTGAGAGGGCCCAGCACCTAAAAGAAGGTGTTGGGCCTCGTGGTGTTGAAGCTTGGCTTGTGCTGGCGACGCAGGATGCCATGAGGCAGCAGGAATTCGATCTCGGAGTTGTAGAATGGCTTGGCTGATGGCTGGCAGCACTTGCTGGCTGCAGTTTTTTCTGCCTTCATGATCTGGATTGAGTGGGCCCAGGCACAGTACCCAGTGTCCATGTCTTAGTCTGCAGAAAATAGGAGGCAGGGTGACCACATTCACCAGGATTTGGGCATATGGCCAACCTCCTATCAAGTATCTGGCACATCCTGTTTGGTATAGTAATTGCCTGGGGACCGCAACTGGGGACTGAATTGGGGACGGAGTGACTGCAGTCTCTGGCCCCAGGAGGCACTCATACTAATTCTGTGATACCATTTTATGAACAAATATCACCACTGACATTTTAAGATATTTACTGTTGGTTATTTTGTATTAATCTTGATTTATTTATTCAACAAATATTTATTGAATGCCTGCCATACACTAGGCTCTTGGGATATTACGATGAGTTTAGAAGTTTATAAAATAAATGGGCCGGGTTCAATAGCTCATACCTGTAATCCTAGCACTTTGGGAGGCCAAGGGGGAAGAATTGATTGAGGCCAGGAGTTCAAGACCACCCTGGGCAAAATAACAAGACCTCATCTTTACAAAAAATAGAAAAATTTGAAAAAGCCAGGCATGGTGGCATATACCTATAGTCCTAGCTACTCGGGAGGCTGAGGCAGGAAGATCACTTGAGGGGTCAGGATTTCAAGGTTGCAGTGAGCTATGATGACACCACTGCACTCCAGTCTGGGCAATAGAGTTGACTCTATCTCTAAAACATAATAAAATAAATGGTGCCTAAGTTTTGATATATAAATAATATATAAAAATATATTACCAGAATATATATATATATATACAGTAGTTTATTTCACTTGGATTGCATGTTAATTTTTAAGAACTCTTAAAATTTCTACAATGAATACAATGGATTGGGACATTTTTTGAAGTTGTTTAAATCTCCAGTTTCTGTTTAGAACATTACGTATTACTGTAGGGTAAATTACTATAAAATGCAAAAAAAAAAATACACAAATGAGTGTGAAGATAAAATTTTAATTTGTGATTATTGAAGTAGAAAAAATCTTGACAGTAGTTTTAAAATGAATAGTGAAATATGTAACTTCACAAAAAAGTATTTGGTACCTTTATCATTTATGTTTTAAGATGCAGTTTAACATTTTTTATTTAACCATCCACTTTCTCTTCTTTGGTGTACTCTGTTTTCCTAGATTTTATCTTATTTTTCTTTCCTCTTAAATATATCAATTCAGGAATTCTCCCTTTGGACAAAACTGTAGGTGGTCCTCAGGGCTGATCCCCAATTCCCTGATCAGTAATTCTGTTTTAAGTTTTATTTTGTATAGAAAAAAAATGAGTTGAAAACTGTATATGCTTCCATCTGAGGTCTTCAATGGGAAAACTATGAATTTAGTCTGGCTGCCAGCGCAGCTCTGGGGGTCTGCTGGAAAAAAAGAAAATGTACTCTCTTGGGACCTTCCATCGAGTGTGGCCACTATACAACCTGCCTTATTGCTTAGTTTTAGTTGTCATCGAAAACTTCCAACAAGAATAGTTCCTGTTTGACTTTTCCCCCCACCGTGGAAAATATTAGACACTATCTAAGTAGACCAAAGAGACTGAAAAGCCTGGATAGATTGAATGATGGTAGGGGAAGTAAGGAAGGAAAATCTTAATAGAAAAGAGGTGAAAGAAAATTTCCAAATTGATAAAAGAACACAAAAATGCCCTGGGCTTCAGGCAGAAGGGATAGTTATTTTCTGTGAAGCCCATTGCTTTCCTCTCCCCTGTATTTCTAGCCCACGTTGCCCCTCATGCAACTCCTGCAGTCTTCCTGCCTCTCCACGTGCTCTCACTCTTTGTCAGCACATTGCTCACTTATAGGGAAGATATCAGTGACTATCCACTAATTCCTGCATAAAGTGCAAATTCCTTAGTTTAGTAAATCAGTGCCAGCCACAATCTAAATCTATGTATTTAACCTTATCCTCCAACCCTTTATCCACGTTCCCTTTTCTCTCGCCAGTTGAGATGGTTAACCTTGTCCCGAGCATGTGTACTACTTTGCACATCTCACATTGTCTTTTTGGCATGGGAAGGAACTATCATCTTTGCCAGTTGAAATCCTACCCAAACTCTGAGACCCAGCTGCTTCCCAATGTTTTCTTAATCACAGCAACCTGATCCAGACCCTTCCTTAACTGGACTACTATGTGACTGCTCCTCTCCTTTCCTGACTGCTTCATGTTAGTTATTTGTTCTTGCCTTATTTTCCCTATGTGATCATAAGCTCCTTGTGGGGCAAAGAACATATCTCTTCCTCTATATTTCCTCCATAGTGCCTAGCATATTACCTTCCTTATAGTACTTGAGTAATGAAAATGTGTTGGATAATGATCGAAATCTCATTTGAATCAGGTGATCTAACACAAATGTCACATTTTTTTGTGCCTGATTTTATGCTTCCTTCTGTATAGAAATAAAAATAGGTATGCAAGTATTTGTTACTAAATGGAGACTTACAGTATCTGTAGCAGTGAAATTTAGTCAGTGGGTCCAACAAGAACAAAACCTCTCACGTTAGCTAGGTGTCTGTGCATATCTGAGCACTCACTGCCATCCAGTGCTCAAATCCAGTGCCGCGGGTTCCCAGGCAGGGGTGATTACACCATGGGAAGGAAAACTGAAGTACTGCTAGGCCTCCTGAATTTCTTTTTGTTGGTTTCTCTCAAGAATGTAGTTCCTTTCCTAATGAATTATATGCATCTAATTGCCAATGATATTTAGATGTTTTTTAACAGTAGACCAAACATTACAAATGTTCCATTGATTATGCATATGGGAAGAAGTGTTACAAATGCTTTTCTCCCACTTAATTTTCCTGTGTGAACTAAATCCAAACATATCTGAATTTTCATAATTCAAAGAAAATATCTGTGCCAACATTCTGAGAACAAATAGCTGCCAAGCAAAACCTGACAGCATATTCCTTGGTGACATCCAGTCTTTAAAAGCTGTGTACACAGAGTGAGCAGCTATCTAAAACTGAGCTCATATGCAAATGTGAACATTCCTCACTTAAAATTACATTGTGTACATTAAAACTTTCTCTAGAGTCTATGAAATGTTCAGGAAAAATGTAGCTGAGCTTGATCTTAAGTACCTTGCCTCATTATTTTTTTTTTTTTGTCATTTCTAGCTACTAGTCTGTCCAAAGAAAACAACTTTCTTATTTCTTTTAGTTTTGTGTGTACCCTGAGCTTGATTCCCAGTTGCTGCTATAAAAAACTGAAAGGGTTCCCAACACTGCTATTTTTCTTTTTTTCTCTGTTACTAACATTTAAACATCAAAGATATTCTGGTACTTTTATGTTGTAGAGTATATATAAGACCATATTTTCCCTAAAGGTATTTACTATCCAGGGTGTGTTTGTGTGTGTGTGTGTGTGTGTGTGTGTACGCACACGTGTGTTTTCTTAGCTGTTAGCCTTTTTTAGAAGTCACCTAACTGATAGCATTTTCCTATCACAAGATCACTGGCAGTGCGTGGAGGAAGAACTTGAGTGAGGCCATATTAACAGCAGGGAGATGAGTTAGGAGATTTTTAAAAATAATGTATTCAGATTTAAAAAAAAAAAAAAAAAAGCCCTATCTTAACATCGAAAACGTATGTTGTGATGACCTTGGGAATTTTTTAAATTTAAGCATGTTATCAGGACTCCTCCTAAGGCTGAAACTAAAAACTAACCTGCTTCCACCAAGACATTTAATATTATGGCAATTTCCATGTAAATCCTTAATGTATTTATTATTAGGGCCTTTTATGATAGTCTTACAGGAGGTTTTCAAAGTTTTATTCTGTCTACTAATTGGGAGTTTTTCATGAGATTTACCTTTGGTTAGCTCTGTTAAAAAATTATATGTGATATGAAAGAAAGATTTAAATTGTTTGCATATGATATAAATATATCTTTCTTAAAATATCAGTTTTCAGCCAGGTGCAGTGGCTCACGCCTGTAATCCTAGCACTTTGGGAGGCCGAGGCAAGCGATCTTGAGGTCAAGAGATCGAGACCAGCCTGGCCAACATGGTGAAACCTCATCTCTACTAAAAATACAAAAATTAGCCAGTCGTGGTGGCACACCTGTAGTCCCAGCTACTCGGGAGGCTGAGGCAAGAGAATCGCTTGAACCCAGGACGTGGAGGTTGCAGTGAGCTGAGATCGTGTCACTGCACTCCAGCCTGGCAACAGAGCGAGACTCAAAAAAAAAAAAAAAAAAAAGTCAGTTGTCTTTCCTTGTACTTACAAATCATAGAACGTTGTTTTCATTTAAACCTGTTTCCTACAAAAGTACTAATTATTATTATTTTTTGGAATACTCATATAGTTAAACTGATTTTCTTAGCTGCAGTTAGTGGGTAAGAGTAGAAATAGGACATATATGACCCCAAAACAAATCCAAACATGACCAGACATGGCAATGCTACATGAATAAATATAAATATGTATCAGGAGGCTCAGTTGGTAAATGTTACAATAAGTACATAACAAAAAAAAAAAAGAACAAATACATCATATCTTACATTTAAAATGTTGAGGGTATTTCTAATTTGATATATCTGTGATCTCATAAGGAAAGTATATTAAATGAATTGCATCTTCAAACTGCTATTTTGTTCTTTATCAAAAGAAAAAAGGTATGACAATTGATGATTAAAAAAAAAACCCACAAACCAAATTTAGCTTTCATTACTGTCTAGCCATAAGAAGGAAAAAACCGTCAGCCAATACCAAGGTTCTTTGATCTCACGCTTCAACCTTTTTGTCCTCCAGATGAATGAAATGATCTTTTCTCAAATGTTCAGCAGGCCTTTTACCATTTGATAGGAAAATTATTTTTAAGAAGGTTTAAAATGTGATCTGAAAAACCACATTGACTCTATGTGACATATTTGCTATTCTTAGCCTGGTGGAATAAGTTGGAAGTGGATGAATAATGCAGGTTAGAAAGAAAACAGATGCAAAATATTACAAATGGAAAGGTTTTCCAGCAATGAGACTTTCATTTTAGGACTAGGTTTTTGTTGGCACGTTTGGCATTATGACGATTATTGTTTTTTTCTCCAGCTGTTACACATCTGTATTGAAGGTTGGGGCAACTGGCGTTGGTCAGAGCCTTTCAGTGTGGACCATGCCGGGACTTTTATTAGAACAATTCAGTACAGGGGTCGAACTGCTTCTCTCATCATCAAGGTTCAGCAACTCAATGGAGTACAAAAACAGGTAAGTTTCTTTGTGTTCATGACCCAGACACCTCTTAATTATTCAGTGTAATGGAGATGAAAATAATTAATAATTTTTTTAAAATCACAGTGGTTATGCCTAGTTATATCTACTACTACCATGCATGTGAGCATTTAATAAATGCTTATCTATGATCCTGACAATGATGATGGCTTCAAACCCTTTGTCCCACTTCTTTTACAAGAGCTGCTAACAAGCAGTAAAATTTACTGATTTTAGTTTCACCTCTTCTCCCTGTCACCACCTACCTTCTGGTGGAGGTGCTAATGAGCTGTGAAATAGCCAAAAGTCCTTTATTGAGAAGGAAAAGAAGCAAAGAGTAGTGGGAACCCTGGATAATCCACCAGCGGATAACCAAGAGTTGGTTCTCATGCACGTGAGAATGATCTGTAAGGAAGTGCTGTGATACTCTCCCATGACAGAGTGGGCCTGGGTCTCCAGCAAGCTTTTCTTTTCCTAGGAGTTAATATTAACTGCAGTAAAAATTCACTGCAGCCTAACTCTTGGCATATAAAACCTCAGCTCTCAGCACATATTTTTACGTATTTTATAAAACTTGCTTTTTGGCTGTTTTTGAAGTTCTAAGACTGCAAAGGGAAAAAAGTATCTGACACTTTCTTTTTGTTCTTAAGATGTGAAAATGTGGTTTCTAAAAGATGTTTTTCAAGCATGGACAAGAGTAGAAAGAAAAGAAGGAAGTATTAAAATCTGAAAACTGGCTTCACTGCACACATAATAACTGGATTTGTCGTTAGAGTTTCAACATATACATCTGGATTGTAACAGTCTACCCAGAGCTTTTGTGGGACATGATAGAAACAGCACTTAGTCCCTGGAAAAGGGGAGCTTCCCCTATGGAGCAGCAGGGGCTATTCTGTTGCTGCATGCCAAGGAGGAATCAGGAAGCTGCTAGTGAGGTGAACAGTAGGACCCACACCATATGCATTCTTGGTCTGCACCTAATCAAGGAGCTGGACTTGGTGATCTTATTATTGTGGGCCACGGAAATAAAAAGAGAACTCAACTCTAGCAGAGGAGTCTCAGAAAAGAAGCATGGAAGACTCTTCCCAATTAACTGAGCATTCCTCAGAATATTTATTGATTGCCTAAAGTGGAACAAAGTAAAATGGAAAACACCAAGTATGTGAAACAGTCTTTGCTTTTAAATTGCAATTTTATGTAAGCCCAACAATGTTGTCAACTGACAGTAAGTGTAAAGGGAATTTAGAGGTTTCACTGAGAAGATATGACTTGAGCTGGGCTTTGGAAAATATGTAGAATTTGGATTAAGAGAGAGCATTCCAAGTAGACAGTATAGCATAAACGAAGAGACAAATGTGGGACAAATGAGTCTTACTGAAGGATTCCTGCAGGGACCGGCCTACTAGTGTGAGCATTGAGCCAAAGAGAACAAGGAGTGTCACTAACTCCCATCTGCCCTCAGAACACTCTTACATGAATCTGCTGTCAATGAATATCTGCCCAGTAAGTGTATACTGGTTTTCTGATTCTGTCACTCATGGTCTTTCAAGAATGTCTTACCCACCTTCCCATTGAGTAATATGTCTGAGAAAAGGTCATCCAGCCTCTTTGAATAGTTCAGATGACAAGAGGCTCATTCCCTCACACAGCAGCCCTTTCTGTTTGCTACCACCAGCTAAGTTTTCTTCCTGATTTCGAACCAAAAATCTTTCACCATTCCACCACCTTTCCCCATTCCCTAGAACTATGAGGCATATACAACAAGCGCAAAACTTGTGAGAACTCCACAAGTCACCTCTCCTCTACATTATAGCCCTTCAAAAACATAAGGGAAGCTATTGTGTTTCCCCTTGGTTTTCTTCTCTCTAGGCCTTCTCAAATTTGAGTATGCATCAGAATCCCCTGGAGGGCTTGTTAAAACACAGATTGCTGGGTCCCAACCCCAGAGTTTCAGATTGGGTGTGGTCTGTAATTTGCATTTCTAACAAGTTCCCAGGTGCTGCTGATGCTGCTGGTCCAGGGACCACAATTTGACTACTATAGCTCCAGTCTAAACTTTCCCAGGTAGTTCAGCTCATTTTAGTGTGGCTGCTAGAACATTTATCAGTTACTGAAATGGCAGGGTCCCTCCATAGAGAAATGGTTTTAATGGTATGTCCTCGTAGTCAAGATCATAGGCAACTTGGCTGTATCCGCTTGCTAGCTGTGTGATCTTCAGAAAGTCATTTAAACTCTGTGAATCAATTTCCTCATCTGTAAAATGAGGATAGTAATAGTGCCCTCCTCAGGAAGTTAGTGTGAGGATTAACTGAGTTTGTGTATGTAAAATGCTTACAACGTGCCTGCCCTCCTGCCATAGCCCTATATACCATATTTAAAATTACTCTAATGAAATGTTATCAGGCATGAGTAACACTAAGTTGGACGGTTTTGTATTATAACAATAGTGACTCATTCTTGAATAGATACTATATATTTTCAAGAAACAATGTTAAATTTCAGGGATAAATTAATATATACAGTGTTCCTGCACAAATATTACACATCGCAACAGTATACCTACCAAATGTCATAAAAGTTGGTTATTTGAAAAATACATTTCTAAAAATGTCTGGCAGTTTTACCTCTTCCCTGCCCCCTCACTCACTCAGATACACACACCCACAAGCAAAAATGTTAAATGTCTTTTTCAATTGGATTTAATTTTTGCTGTCAGGGTAGTTTAGCGTTCAGATTTGTTCTGGTTAAAGTACATCAGAGACGTAGGATTTCCTCAATTGGCAAGGTTGGGAAGGAAGAAGGGAACCAAGCTTCAGAAGAGCTTTGTGGATTCTTGTCTCCCTCACATCTTGGCTTCTTTCCTTCTACCCCACCTGGGCCTGGAAATTTGCAATAAACTGCAGCTGCCTAATTACCAGGGCCCATTTGGGGAGGTGAGTATATGCAGATCCCTGATGCACCTTAACACCCCCTGGATAATGGAGAATTGGCTAAAGCTCTTTTCTTAACATTGATGCTGGGTTATCTGTGCTCTGCATTTCTTATACCCCTCTCATTTCCCTCAATTGAATGAAAATTGACCACAGAAAATTTTGTGGGAACTTTGTATGTTCTACAACTACTATGTACACACATTTGCTTCCATGTTTCCCATCTTTTTGTTGAAGAAACCTTTACTACTCTAAAATCTCAAATGTACACATGTATGTATGTATAATGGTGTCTTTATACACATACTTTTAATCATGTTTAAGATATCGTTTTCCAGTGCATCTGGTGCTCTGGAGTTATTCTTCAATATCACTATTCTTCTTGGCACTGATCTAATAAGAGTTCTGAAACCTGCTAAGTAAAATCATATGTGGAAATCTTCAATACACATCTTTGTGGCTTTGGGGAAGGAGGGGAATTAGTGTGAAACCTGGAAATGTGTATTAAAGAGAAACCGTGCATTTAAAAAAATTAAGTAGCTGTCTTCAACTGATAAATTAATCTTGAAATTCTAACCATAATTTTCAAAATAAAGGCATTGTAAGTTTTGCCACTTTGAAGAAAAGCAGATAGAGCTCTCCTGAGCCTAACCCTGGAACAGCCGTGCAAGCACACTACTCCACTGAGTGACCATTTTTGGATTTTCTTTCATCTAAAGTAGCCTTCCCTCCCTGGCCACTTTTAAGAATTTTCTTTTATCAAATTTGAAAGCCTATTTAACAGGCTTTTTAGTTGAAAATGAGACTATAAAAACCCACCAAGAGGATCTTTGTCTTTAAACAAAGTGAGTCCCAGATGGTTGTGGAGATTCTGTGGTTTCTCTGAGAAACAGCCAAATTCTCTTCTAAATCTCCTGGGGTCCAAAGGTTCTGAAGCAAGAGCCATGTGCATATATTGCCAGGCTTGGGCACATCAAGAATAACAGAGTTAAATAATGCTTCAGAGTTTTCAAATGTTTATTTCAAGTTAGGCAATGCTATGGCATCATAAGACTTATCATGAGTGTCTAGTAACCCCTAGCATATGCTAAAGAAAAGTTTGCTTCCTAATTTAGGATCATAGTTCAGTTGACTTTTATGGTTTGTTATTGTGAAAGCATAGTTTTAAAAGATTATGATGGCTAGAGTATCTAGGGGAAATACAACTGTTCAGCACAGCTTGGTTTTACAGATGTGCTCCTTCTAAAGAAAATTCAAATAAGCAGATAGTTGAGAAATAAATGAGAAAATCTAAACCTCACCATTCAAATAATGCAAATTAAAACAACAATGACATTTAATTTTTGGTTCCTCAATCTAGCAGGTTTCTTTTGATTAAATAATAGTTCATCCCAGCGTAGTGGCTTATGCCTATGATCCCAGCACTTTGGGAGGCTGAGGCAGGAGAATCACTTGAGCCCAGGGGTTTGAGACCAGCGTGGTCAACATAGCAAGACCCTATCTCTACAAAACATAAAATAAAATACATTAGCCAGGCATGGTGGCATGTGCCTGTAGTCCAAGCTACTTAGGAGGCTGAGGCAAGAAGATCCCTTGAGCCGAGGAGTTCAAGGCTGCAGTGAGCTGAAATCTTGCCACTGCATTCCACCTTGGGTGACAGAGCAAGACCCCCATCTAAAAATAGTGATAATAATAATAGTTCATTTATAAATAGTTATTCATATTTATTGGTGTAAATAATAGTTCATTAAAATTGATGGTTACAGAGAACTCTTGATGACATAGGAAAATGTATCAGTTAGGACGCTTTCAGTTTGAAGTTACAAAATATGCTTGTTAATCTTCATAGCAAGTTAATGAGGCAGATACTATTCTATTTTATGTTTATTGTTTCACATAACGAGGAGGAAGAAGGCTGGTTCAGTATTGGCTAAGCAACCCAGTGTTGTATTTGCTTCTCTGTCATCCTCTTAGATTTGCCTGCCTGGTCTCAGGTGGCATTAAAGCTGTATACATCCTCTGATAACAGCTTCTGTGACACAAAAGAAGGGCTTCTCTTCTCAAACTGTCTCCCTTATTATCAAGGAGTAATATCTTTCCTAGAGCCTTTTACCAGTCTTACCTTCTCATATTATTAGCCAAACCAGAGTTCCATGTTTACCCTGATCGATGGCAAAAGGAGAATGGAATTAACAGGATTGGCTTGTACCAATCATGATACAGCCACTGGGGGCCAAGGGAGGTGTCTACCTTCCCTGAGTACTTTGCTGCCTTTTGATACCTAACCAAATCAAGTGAGGGTTTTTAACAATAAGAGGAAAGGAGAGAACAGCTATTGGGAAGAGAAGCAATGGTGTCTGACACATTTATGTTATAAAGAGCAGCCCTTACTTTCTTTTTTATGGTTTCTAACTTTTCTTAATGAGTAGATATTAATTTTATGAGAGACAGACTATCAGGGTGATGATCAACAAACTCTGGGCCAGACTTACTGGGTAACACCAAGCAAGTTATTAAATATCTCTGTTAAATTTTCTCTCTGTTAAGATGGGGAGTCACAGTAGCACCTACTTTATAAGGTTGCTGTGAGAATGTGTTCTCCAGAAAAACCGCACTGATGAGGGGGTGTGTGTGTGCACACCCATGCATGCACACATGTACATGCATGGGTGTGTGGGAAAAGAATGATTTATTATAAATTGACTCGTGATTATGAAACATGACATAATCTTAGAGAAGTCCCAAGATCTGCAGTCAGCAAGCTGCAGACCCAGGAGAGCCAATGTGTAGCTCCCATCTGATTACAAAGGCCAGAGAACCAGGAGAGCGAATAGTGTAAGTTCCAGTCCAAAGTCTGGCAAGTTCAAGACCCAAGAAGAGCTGATGCTTCATTCCAAGTCCAAAGGCCAGAAAAGACCAATGCCCTAGCTCAAGCAGTCAGGCAAAATGAGTTTCCTCTTACTTAGCCTTTTCCTTCGATTGGGTCTTCATTTGGTTAGATGAAGCCCACCCATGGTGGGGAAGACAATCTGCTTTACTCAGTCTACCAATCCAAATGTTCATCTCACTCAGAAACACCCTCACACACACACCCAGAATAATGTTTGACTAAATGTCTGCTCATACCATGACCCAATCAAGTTGACATACTAAAATTAAATATCATATGCTTAGACTTGTACATATACTGTGTATGTGTGTGTGTGTTATTCTGGAAAAATATTACAAATAGGAAATTCAGTATGTGAAAGTCCTATTTTCTCCAATCATGGTGAATATTCATATTACAGAAGGATTTGCTTTGTGAAAGAATTCACCACCGTATTAAATTTTGCATTATATTTTCAATTTCAACCAATTTAAGAAAACATTTGTTGTTTTTTGTAGAAATAGGGTCTTGCTCTGTCACCCAGGGTGGAGTACAGTGGTGCAATTACAGTTCACTGCAGCCTTGAACTCCTGGGCTCGAGTGATACTCCTGCCTCAGCCTCCCAAGTAGCTGTGACTACAGGCATACACCACCATACCTAGCTAATTTTTAAATTTTTTGTATAGATGGGATCTTGCCATGTTGCCCAGGCTAGTCTCAAACTCCTAACCTTGGCCTCTACCAGGCCCCCCATTTGTTTTCTCTCTCTCTCTCTCTTTTTTTTTTTTAGACGGAGTTTTACTCTTGTTGCCCAGGCTGGAGTGCAATGGTGTGATCTCGGCTCACCGCAACCTCCACCTGCCAGGTTCAAGTGATTCTCCTGCCTCAGCCTCCTGAGTAGCTGGGATTACAGGCATGTGCCACCATGCCCAGCTAATTTTGTATTTTTAGTAGAGACAGGGTTTCTCCATGTTGGTCAGGCTGGTCTCGAACTCCCGACCTCAGGTGATCCACCTGCCTTGGCCTCCCAAACTGCTGGGATTACAGGCGTGAACCACCGCACCTGGCCAAGACCCCCATTTCTTAATACCTACTATGAACTATACTCTCTTACCTGGGTGTAAAGTTGAATAACCCATAGGTTTAGTGGATAAATCTGTGTGTTTATAAAGATAAAACTTACACAGTTTAGGCCAGGCACAGTAGCTCATGCTTGTAATCCCAGCATTTTGGGAGGCTGGGGTGTGAAGATTACTTGAGCTCAGGAGTTTGAGACCAGCCTAGGCAACACTGAAACCCCATCCTACAAAAAAACACAAAAGTTAGCGAGGTGGGGTGGTGCATTCCCTGTAGACCCAGCTACTCTAGAGGCTGAGGTGGGAGGATTGCTTGAGCCTGGTAGATTGAGACTGCAGTGAGCTGTGATCATGCCACTACACTCCAGCCTGGGCGAAAGAGCAAGACCCTGTCTAAAAAAAACTAAATAAATAAACTGAATAAAATAAAAAAAATTAGATATCTGCATCAAAGATTTTGTATTATCTGTTTATACAGAGATTTCTTACTAGATAAGAGTGAAATAAACCCTTGAAAATCAACTTCAAGGAATAGATTGATCACAATTGCCCTCTCAGTTACCAGAGCTAAATGATTTTCAATTCCCAGTCTTTTCCATTTCTACTTCACTTGACAAGATTCACTGCCACCTCCTGGGCAGGCACTTCTCTTATGGCTTCAGCAAAACTACTGTCCCCTGATTCACCTCTGTTCTCCTTCATCCCTTCTTCTCTGGCCCCATTTTCTAGCTTTTCACCCCGAGTCTGCCCTTGGAGTATTGGTCAGTTTCTGGGTTTGAGCTTCTACCCTCTCTTTCAGGTAAACTATCTTCTGCTTGTGCATGTTTGCAAGGCTCTTCTTTCACTAATCATTATCTCCACCTCCACATTTTCTCTGGCCAGCACCTGAGCAGCATTTCTAATTGAGTACTGGACTCCTACATGTCTGTCCTTTAAATACTGCAAACTCAACATGGCCAAAGCAAAATTTCTTCTTGACTTCAAGTCTTTTTTCCTTCTTGTACTGTTTAAGCTAATTACTTCATTTTCTTTCCATTAACATCAACATAGTTTACTCTGTTTGAATGATAACATATTTCCAGTTAATGAAGTCTGAATTGATGAAGCCTTATATACTTAACTGTCTTTTAGATTATCATCTGTGGAAGACAGATCATCTGTAGTTACTTGTCTCAAAGCATAGAACTAAAAGTCGTTCAGCATTACATTGGTCAAGATGGACAAGCTGTAGTTCGGGAACATTTTGACTGCCTCACAGCCAAACAGAAATTGCCTTCGTACATACTAGAAAACAATGAACTGACGGAGCTGTGTGTGAAGGCCAAAGGAGATGAAGACTGGTCAAGAGATGTGTGCCTGGAATCCAAAGCCCCTGAGTACAGCATTGTCATTCAGGTTTGAAAAGACGTTCAATCTAGAATAGAGCAGCTTTACCATTGAAATTTTCTCAAAATGTTCTTTACTCGTACAGCACTTAATTTATTAAAAAGTGACATATAAAAAAGGGGAGTGAAAGGCTTTGAATAGTACTTCTCAAACTGTTTCCTCCCCATCCCACGACAATACATTTGTATCAGTTCCAGTAGTTCTTACAGCCAAGACTCTGTCCCTCCCAGACGCAAGTGATATCTTGAAAAAGATTCTGCTGCCCCAGGGTTAGGGGTAGGGTGGGACTGTGGGGGTGGTATCCTCCTCACTTAAGGATCTTTATGATGGTCTGTTACTTTATCTCTTCCTCAGTCTTTACCATCATCACTTTCATTCCCATAAAGGATAAATTCTCTTTCATTTTGCCACTTAGTCTTATATCTCTCCTTATGCAAATCTCTTTGTCTTTATGGAAAGAGTTGGCCCCGCTGACTCACTGCACATTTGCTTTCTGCCATAATGAAGTCTGTTTTTGCTCAGTTTTTTTTAATAATGGCTTTTTCCCTAAACTTTAAACTCTTTTTAATCTTCCAAACTGATGTATCTGTGCCTTATTTTGATTAATTAGTAAACTGCTTAGTATTCAATAGGACCCTTTGCTATTTCATGTGCAGGTGCCATCTTCAAACAGTTCCATTATTTATGTCTGGTGCACAGTTTTGACTTTAGAACCCAACTCTCAAGTGCAACAACGAATGGTGAGTGCTTTCCCAATCCTAAAATATGGTATATGACTCTGACCTTTCCTGTTCTGAAATAAATTAAGGTCAGAGTGACCCAGGGAAGAGATTTATTACAAGTTTGTTTCAGCATCAAACAGCTGGAATACTGCAACAAAGCAAATATGAAAGTTGTTCTATCCTTTTATTTTTATAGATTGTGTTCAGCCCTCTTTTTATCATGAGGAGTCATCTTCCAGACCCCATTATCATACATTTGGAGAAAAGGAGTCTGGGATTGAGTGAAACACAAATTATTCCAGGAAAAGGGCAGGAAAAACCACTGCAAAACATAGAACCTGACCTTGTACATCACCTGACATTCCAAGCAAGGTACTAGAAAAATCCTTCCATACATTTTACATTTTCCTAGGAGAAATTAAGTAGAAAAGTAACCTTGCACTGGGGGGCGGCGGGGGAGGGGTGGGTAGGGAGATGGGAGTGGAGGGAGTTTTTTGTATGATTTCTTATCTTATGAGAATGTTATTTTAAAATTGCCCTGCCTAGGGATCTCTTATTCTCATCTGTAGTTTTAGATAAAAATCAGCCTTTCTCATTAAGCTTAGAAATAACCAGCAGGGATCATCAGAACTTTTAATTTAATTTAGGTTTCATTGACACATGACTTCTGTGGTGAAAGAAGATGTGAATAGAGATCAACACCCAGGAATTGAGGGGTGGGGGAAGAAAGAGGAAAAGCCAGGGCCCAGATCATCCACACACTGTCCCATAAATGGACTCTATCTACCAAAAAGGTGTTGGTCTATAATACATTTGTAGTTAGATATTTTTCAATAAATTATATACCACTTTAGAAATCTGATAATTATTCTTGGTTTTTATTTCAATTTCCTAGAGAAGAATATGATCCTTCAGATTGTGCAGTTCCCATCTCAACATCCCTCATTAAGCAAATAGCCACTAAGGTACACCCTGGAGGCACAGTTAATCAGATCCTTGACGAATTCTATGGGCCAGAAAAGTCGCTTCAACCCATATGGCCCTATAATAAGAAGGATTCTGACAGGTAATATTCTTCAGTGATCTTTTTCTACAAAAATTTCTCAACATTAACAAATGATCATTCACAAAAATATTAAATACCATAAGTGGTGTGTGCATGTATCTGTCAGATTCTTACCTTTTATCATCTAGTAGGTGTATTTTGTAGATTTCTTTATTCATGATCTAGATCATAATTGCATGAAAAGTTGCTTTCTCCTGCATGCAAATTTAGCATTGAAAGATTCTGGTATGAGGAGGTATCATGCAGGAGCATGGTGTGTTTGGAATCTTTAAACATATTTCACAAATATTAAAGTTATCATATTTCATTGAGTCTCTTGGATGTGGTTTTTGGAACAGGAATGAACAGCTAAGTCAGTGGGATAGCCCAATGCGAGTGAAGCTGTCAATCTGGAAGCCATATGTTAGAACTTTGTTGATAGAACTTCTGCCCTGGGCCCTGCTTATCAATGAATCCAAATGGGACCTCTGGCTATTTGAAGGAGAGAAAATTGTTCTACAGGTTCCTGCTGGCAAAATTATTATTCCTCCTAATTTTCAGGTACTATAACTTTTTTAACTAATACGAATTCTTATCTCTCAACAAGTAGATTTTATTGTAAAGTTGCGTTTATGATCTTAACAGAATGAATCAGTTGTGAAAAATTCTTCTTAGATGCATATGTAAGAGGTATGGAATGTTCTTTGATATTCAAGGACTTTTCTGATGTCTTTTTTTTTTAACCATCAACACTATTGGTGCTTGAGTTACCATTAAATTTGATAACTTGGATTAGTTACATTCTTATTTCCATTGTTATAGGATATTTGACAAGTATTTGGGCTGCTCTATCAGTACATATTAAGGAAATAGAGCCATCATGTGTGCTTATCCATACCCTAGGTACTCTTTGCTGTTCTTCTGGAAATTCTCTGCAATCTGCAAGATATTGAGGATTTCAGAGCAACTGTTTTTGTCAGGGACCCCTTTCCTTTATAGGTGGACTTGGATGTTCATAATTATGGATGTCTACCCAGTTGATTATAACAGTGTGGAATGATTACTGACACAGAGAGAAACCTAATTGCAAAACAAAATATCGCAGGAAAATTTTATATTTCTGTCACAAAACCTTCTTTATAAGGCTAGTCTATTTCAAGAAGACACACAAATCTATTTAAAAAATAGAGTAAAAGTAACTCCTAAATAAAATGTCTTTCTGATAGAGAACAATTTCAGAATCCTTTTTTGAGCTCCAGGTCATAAACATCTTTATTTAATTGCATTTTTTCTTTTTTCTGTAAAATAATCAGGTGATGTTACCTTATGGAATTGGAATGTTGACCTATGTGGACCTAATGTTGCATATTATTCTCTTGTCAAATGAGATGAAACCTTCAGTTTTTAAAGCCTTTGGTATTTGCAGGGTAGTCACTGTTTGGGTTTGGTTTTCCCCTCCCTTCCGTAAATACGAATTCCATTGTGAGTAAAAAAAAAAAAATACATTGGGAGCCAAAATAGAATGTACGTTGTCATTACAAAACACACACACACACACACACACACACACACACACACACACACACACACACACACACACACACACCATGGAGGGATATTTGGTTACCTTAGTAGACCTATTATATAATATTAAAAAAAAAATCCTGAGGATTGAAGTAAAAAATATCAAAGGTAAGAAAATTACTTTATAATTGAGGCATTATTTTTCCAGGAAGCTTTTCAAATTGGAATATACTGGGCAAATACAAACACTGTGCACAAGTCAGTAGCAATTAAACTGGTCCATAACCTGACATCTCCAAAGTGGAAAGATGGAGGTAATGGTGAAGTTGTGACACTGGATGAAGAAGCGTTTGTTGATACTGAAATAAGACTTGGTGCTTTTCCAGGACATCAGAAGGTAAGATCAAAGTCTATGTGGCTGGGAGGAAATAGCATGCCATCCCCTTAACCTGTCTAAAATGAATCTGCCTTTTTCTTTTTGATACCTTTTTCATATTACTTCTTCTAAACAATTTATAACAGTACATTTGATTTCTTAACTTCTTAGACCTCTGTTTTACAGTGCTTTTTTTTCTTTACCAGTGATAAAAGCTGTGTCACATAATTTATCCAATAATTGTTCTATTTCAGAATACTCAGCAGTAACTTGATTTATAGTATGTGGGGAGAAAATGAACTTACTCCAAAATATCCACAAATTGTACTTGGCCTCCTTCTTTAGAGCAGAAAGTAGAGTCACTAACGTTCTGAGCATAGAGTGAAAGGACAAAGGCTCCTCCTGCAGCAAAGTTTATATTTCTGGAAAGGACATCCTGAGAAAAATTATGTGGATCAATTCTAATTCTCTCCTAGAACCACTGTTATATGAGGAAGTTATATTCTTGAACAGTGGACTGGTGTCTATGTTTTTGGAGATGCATACAAAAAACATAAGTCATTTAAATATAAATGGTATGTGCTTTTCAGCATAAATCTAAAGTCTATGAAAACAATTAGCTGAATAATATAACTAATCACATTATGTATGAAAGTACAATATCATAGTGTACCATGCAGAAGTTTTTTGCTGTACTTCTAATATCATCATTATTTTAGCTGTCCAAAATTAGAAAAAGAAGGGATACTTCATCAGAGTAGTAGAATTCAGATTGACCTTTTTCAGGGGAGAAGTTAGATTTTTGACAAGTGTCTTTGAAAAGTCTTTTGAGAAAAGTTAGGGTCATTTGGTGACTTTTTAAAAAATAAATTTCCGTGATACCAAGAAATTGGTCTTTCTTCAGCATTCAAGGCTGGTATCCATTTCCTCAAAGTTGTCTGGGCAACACATGTTTATGCTCTGACGGCCAAAGTACTGTAACATGGGTGTAAATGGCAAAGAGCTGTAAGCATGAATCACCCAAAGTTGAATAGTTGTAAGTTGAGAACTACCATCAAAACCTGGAAAAAATGTTATAATATTCAGTCAACACCCAATACCTCTAGCACCTAACAAAGTAGCCACAGCAAGTGTTGAATAAATGTTTGTGAATCAATGAATGTACTGTTGGAACACATATTGATGTCTAATTATGCTTTGGTAGTGACTCAGGACCTCTTTATACTCTTTTTAGTCTCAGGACCCCTTTATACTCTTAAAAATTATTGAGAACCCCCAAAGACCTTTTGTTTCTGTGGGTTATATCAGTATTTATCAGATTAGAAATTAAAACAGAAACTTTTAAAACACAAGAATATACAAATATATATTCCATTAGCTATCACAGTAATAACATCTCATGTCATGTACCTCTGGAAATCCACTGTACGTTCATGAGAGAATTCAAGTGTAAAAGATTAATAGCATCTTACTATTATTATAAAAATAGTTTTGACCGTGGGACCCCATGCCCAGAGATCCCCTGTGGGTCCCCAGACCACCCTTTGAAAACCAGTGTTCTGATACTATTAACTAGATGGGTATGTTTAAGCAAGAAACATCTTCTCTGAGCATCAGTTCCTTACATAACATGATAAGGTAATGAAATGATACATGTAGTGGTTAAGAGCAGCACCACAGAGCCAGACTGCATGGGTTCCAACCCCCTAGTTAGACCCTCTTCATCTTTGTGACCTTGGGGAAGTTACTTCTTTGTGCCTCACTTTCCTCTTCTGTAAAATGGGGTTAATAATAGTAACTCCCCCACGTAGGTACTGTGAGGATTTTGTGAGTTAATATGTATACAGCACTTGAAACTAGTGGAACACAATATTGCAATATATGAAGGTCAATCCTTATTGTCTTCATTGTCGTCATTACTGAAGTTCTCAGAACTCTCCTTGGTTCATCATAGGCATTAGTGAGGCAGCTGCTGGGAGACCATGAGGAGGAGGAGGAGGAGGAGTGAGGCTGGGTGGAATTCTGCCAAGTAAGATGAGTGGCATTTATTTACATATACATGCTTTCTAAATAAACACTTTGTGAGGTTACTGGTAAAATAACCAGAAAACAAGTCTTTTATCTGTCACTACAGAACAGCAGCAAAAGTAACAGGGCTGCTAAAGCACCATGTTGTAGGCTAAATACTGACAGGGGCCAGAACATTTCTGAGAATGAAAGGAACGCCATTAAATATTCTGGGGAAAAACAAAGGTAAAATTGGTACTGTCCTGGCAGACAATTAGATAAAATAACCTTTTAGGAATACTCAAGAGATTTTGATATGCCTTACAGTATTGTCAAAATTATTTTTTCTCAATTATCTTGTAGTTATGTCAGTTCTGCATTTCCTCCATGGTACAGCAAGGTATACAAATTATTCAGATTGAAGACAAGACTACAATAATCAATAATACACCATATCAAATATTTTATAAACCACAGCTATCTGTCTGCAATCCCCATTCTGGAAAGGAGGTAAGCAAATCATAACGATTCTTTTGTCTAAGTTTTGATAAAGAAACAATAAATAGGATCAACTTCTCTTTAACCTATAGCAAATGAAAAGCTAACCCTGAATGTAGGTAAAGAGAAATTCACTTATTTTTGTTGTAATTAAAACCATGAATGTCATGGTCACTGCTTCCAAGGTAATTAATGAGCAGAAATCCTACCAAGAAGGAGGCCCTGACACACTGCTGGATTAGTCCTGCCTGTGCCCCATCTGCTCAGAGGCTCCAGCCTAGTCCTCTAGCATGCTCACTAGACTCCTACAAGCAGAGACATAGTCATGAGGACTGGCTCCTGGGTCACATGGAAAAGCACATCTGTCTCACAGGCTGCAGTGCCTGGGGGAGCCATGCAGGCAAAAGGCTAGGGCCTAACTGAGCCGTGGATCTGCGAGCAGTGAGCTCTGTGGTTACAAGGAGAAAATGTGGAAATGTACTAGCTCATTTATGTTAACATCTTGATGGCAGAATATATGGAAAATAAATCTAAGAATTTCAGTTCTTTGAACAATTAAAATGAATAGTTAATATTTTAAGAGAGGAGAGATTTTTTTTTCTCTCCATTACATCTTAGATGTTTTCCCTTTTTTTTTTTTTAATTATACTTTTAAGTTCTGGGATACATGTGTAGAACATACAGGTTTGTTACATAGGTATACATGTGCCATTGCTGCACCCATCAACCCGTCATCTACATTAGGTATTTCTTTCTTCCCTTTCCTCCCCCTGCGACAGGCCCTGGTGTGTGATGTCCCCCCTCCCTGTGCCCATGTGTTCTGATTGTTCAACTCCCACTTATGAGTGAGAACATGTGGTGTTTGGTTTTCTGTTCCTGTGTTAGTTTGCTGAGAATGATGGTTTTCAGCTTCATCCATGTCCCTGAAAAGGACATGAACTCATTCTTTTTTATTTCTGCATAGTGTTCTATGCTGTATATGTGCCACATTTTATTTATCCAGTCTATCATTGATGGGCATTTGGGTTGGTTCCAAGTCTTTGCTATTGTAAATAGTGCTGCAATAAACATACATGTGCATGTGTCTTTATAGTAGAATGATTTATATTCCTTTGGGTATATACCCAGTAATGGGATTGCTGGGTCAAATGGTATTTCTAGTTCTAGATCCTTGAGGAATTGCCACACTGTGTTCCAATGGTTGGTTTAATTTACACTCCCACCAACAGTGTAAAAGTGTTCCTATTTCTCCACATCCTCTCCAGCATCTGTTGTTTCCTGACTTTTTAATGATTGCCATTCTAACTGGTATGAGATGGTATCTCATTGTCGTTTTTATTTGCATTTCTCTAATGACCAGTGATGATGAGTTTTTTTTCAGGTTTTTTGACCACGTAAATGTCTTCTTTTGAGAAGTGTCTGTGTATATCCTTTGCCCACTTTCTGATGGGGTTGGTTGGTTTTTTCTTGTAAATTTGATTAAGTTTCTTGTAGATTCTAGATATTAGCCCTTTGTCAGATGGATAGACTGCAAAAATTTTCTTTCTGTAGGTTGCCTGTTCATTCTGATGATAGTTTCTTTTGCTGTGCAGAAGCTCTCTAGTTTAATTAGATTCCATTTGTCAGTTTTGGCTTTTGTTGCCATTGCTTTTGGTGTTTTAGTCATGAAGTCTTTGCCCATGCCTATGTCCTGAATGGTATTGCCTAGGTTTTCTTCTAGGCTTTTTATGGTTTTAGGTCTTAGTTTAAATCTTTAATCCATCTTCAGTTAATTTTTGTATAAGGTGTAAGGAAGGGATCCAGTTTCAGTTTTCTGCATATGGCTAGCGAGTTTTCCCAACACCATTTATTAAATAGAGAATCCTTTCCTCATTGCTTGTTTTTGTCAGGTTTGTCAAAGATCAGATGGTTGTAGATGTGTGGTGTTATTTCTGAGGCCTCTGTTCTGTTCCATTGTTCTATATATCTGTTTTGGTACCAGTGTCATGCTGTTTTGGTTACTGTAGCCTTGTAATACAGTTTGAAGTCAGGTAGCGTGATGCCCCCAGCTTTGTTCTTTTTGCTTAGGATTGTCTTGGCTATGCATGCTCTTTTTTGGTTCTACATGAAGTTTAAAGTAGTTTTTTCTAATTCTGTGAAGAAAGTCAATGGTAGCTTGATGGGGATAGCATTGAATCTATAAATTACTTTGGGCAGTATGGCCATTTTCATGATACTGATTCTTCCTGTCCATGAGCATGGAATGTTTTTCCATTTGTATGTGTCCTCTCCTATTTCCTTGAGCAGTGGTACATAGTTCTCCTTGAAGAGGTCCTTCACATCCCTTGTAAGTTGGATTCCTAGGTATTTTATTCTCTTTTTAGCAATTGTGAATGGGAGTTCACTCATGATTTGGCTCTCTGTTTGTCTGTTATTGGTGTATAGGAATTCTTGTGATTTTTGCACATTGATTTTGTATCCTGAGACTTTGCCAAAGTTGCTTATCAACTTAAGGAGATTTGGGCTGAGTTGATGGGGTTTTCTAAATATATAATCACGCCATCTGCAAACAGAGACAATTTGACTTCCTCCCTTCCTATTTGAATACCCTTTATTTCTTTCTTTTGCCTGATTGCCCTGGCCAGAACTTCCAACACTATGTTGAATAGGAGTGCTGAGAGAGGGCATCCTTGTCTTGTGATGGTTTTCAAAGGGAACGCTTCCAGCTTTTGCCCATTCAGTATGATATTGGCTGTGGGTTTCTCATGAATAGCTCTTATTAGTTTGAGATATGTTCCATCAATACCTAGTTTATTGAGTGTTTTTAGCATGAAGGGGTGTTGAATTTTATCAAAGGCCTTTTTTGCATCTATTGAGATAATCACGTCGTTTTGGTCATTGGTTCTGTTCATGTGATGGATTACATTTATTGATTTGTGTGTGTTGAACCAGTCGTGCATCCCAGGAATAAAGTTGACTTGATCTTGGTGGTTAAGACTTTTAATGTGCTGCTGGATTCGGTTTGCCAGTATTTTATTGAGCATTTTCGCATCAGTGTTCATCAGGGATATTGGCTTGAAATTTTCTTTTTTTGTTGTGTCTCTGCCAGGTTTTGGTATCAGGATGATGGTGGCCTCATGAGATGAGTTAGGTAGGAGTCCCTCTTTTTCTATTGTTTGGAATAGTTTCAGAAGGAATGATACCACCTCCTCTTTGTACCTCTGATAGAATTTGGCTGTGAATCTGTCTGGTCCTGCGCATTTTTGGTTGGTAGGCTATTAATTACTGTCTCTATTTCAGAACTTGTTTTTGATCTATTCAGCGATTTGACTTCTTCCTGGTTTAGTCTTAAGAGGGTGTATGTGTCCATGCATTCATCCATTTCTTCTAGATTTTCTAGTTTATTCGCATAGAGGTGTTTATAGTATTCTCTGATGGTAGTTTGTATTTCTGTGGGATCAGTGGTGAGCTCCCCTTTATCATTTTTTATTGTGTCTGTTTGAGTCTTCTCTCTTTTCTTCTTTATTGGTCTGGCCAGCAGTCTTATCTATTTTGTTGATCTTTTCAAAAAAAAAAAGCAGCTCCTGGTTTCGTTGATTTTTTTTTTTTTGAAGAGTTTTTTATGTCTTTATCTCCTTCAGTTCTACTCTGATCTTAGTTATTTCTTGTCTTCTGCTAGCTTTTGAATTTTTTTGCTCTTGCTTCTCTAGTTCTGTTAACTGTGATGTTAGGGTGTCAATTTTAGGTCTTTTCCACTTTTTCCTGTGGGCATTTGGTGCTATAAATATCCCTCTAAACACTGCTTTAGCTGTGTCTCAGAGATTCTGGTATGTTGTGTCTTTTTTCTCATTGGTTTCAAAGAACTTATTTATTTCTGCCTTAATTTCATTAGTTACCCAGTAGTCATTCAGGAGCAGGTTGTTCCATTTCCATGTAGTTGTGTGGATTTTAGTGAGTTTCTTAATCCTGAGTTCTAATTGCACTGTGGTCTGAGAGACTGTTTGTTATGATTTCTGTTCTTTTGTATTTGTTGAGTGTTTTACTTCCAATTATGTGGTGAATTTTAGAATAAGTGCTAGGTGGTTCTGAGAAGAATGTATATTCTGTTGATTTGGGGTGGAGAGTTCTGTAGATGTCTATTAGGTCCTCTTGGTCCAGAGCTGAGTTTAAGTCCTGAATATCCTTGTTAATTTTCTGTCTTGTTGAGCTAATATTGACAGTGGGTGTTAAAGTCTCCCACAATTATGGTGTGGGAGTCTAGGTCTCCTTATAGGTCTCTAAGAACTTGCTTTATGAATATGGATGCTCTTGTATTGGGTGCATATATATTTAGGATAGTTAGCTCTACTTACATTGATCCCTTTACCATTATGTAATGCCCTTCTTTGTCTTTTTTGATCTTTGTTGGTTTAAAGTCTGTTTTATCAGAGACTAGGATTACAACCACCGTTTTTTTTTTTTTTTTTTTTTTTTTTTTTTTTTTTTTTTTGCTTTCCATGTGCTTGGTAAATATTCCTCCATCTCTTTATTTTAAGCCTATGTGTGTCTTTGCACATGAGATGGGTCTCCTGAATACAGCACACTGATAGGTGTTGACTCCTTATCCAATTTGCCAGTCTTTGCCTTTTAATTGGGGCATTAGCCCATTTACATTTAAAGTTAATATTGTTATGTGTGAATTTGATCCTGTCATCATGATGCTAGTTGGTTATTTTGCCCATTAGTTGGTGCAGTTTTTTCATAGTGTTAATGGTCTTTACATTTTGGTTTGTTTTTGCAGTGACTGGTACCAGTTTTTCCTTTCCATATTTAGTGCTTCCTTTCAAGAGCTCTTGTAAGGCAGACCTGGTGGTGACAAAATCCCTCAGCATTTGCTTGTCTGTAAAGGATTTTATTTCTTCTTCACTTATAAAGCTTAGTTTGGCTGGATATGAAATTCTGGATTGAAACATTTTCTTTGAGAATGTTGAATATTGGCCCCCACTCTCTTCTGGCTTGTAGAGTTTCTCTTGGCCGAGAGATCCACTGTTAGTCTCATGGGCTTCCCTTGTGGGTAACTGGATCTTTCTGTCTGGCTGCCCTTAACATTTTTTCCTTCATTTCAACCTTGGTGAATCTGACGATTAAGTGTCTTGGGGTTGCTCTTCTTGAGGAGTATCTTTATGGTGTTCTCTGTATTTCCTGAATTTGAATGTCGGCCTGTCTTGCTGGGTTGGGGAAGTTCTGGATAATATCCTGAAGTGTGTTTTCCAGCTTGGTTCCATTCTCCCCGTCACTTTTAGGTACACCAATCAAATGTAGGTTTGGTCTTTTCACATAGTCCCATATTTCTTGGAGGCTTTGTTCGTTCCTTTTCATTCTTTTTTCTCTAATCTTTTCATGCTTTATTTCATTAAGTTGGTCTTCGGTCTCTGATATCCTTTCTTCCACCTGATCAATTCGGCTATTGATACTTGTGTATGCTTCTCAAAGTTCTCGTACTGTGTTTTTCAGCTCCATCAGGTCATTTATATTCTTCTCTACACTGGTTATCCTAGTTAGCAATTCATGTAACCTTTTATCGCGGTTCTTAGCTTCCTTGCATTGGGTTAGAGCATGATCCTTTAGCTCGGAGGACTTTGTTATTACCCACCTTCTGAATCTACTTCTGTCAATTTGTCAAATTCATTCTCCATCCAGTTTTGTTCCCTTGCTGGTGAGGAGTTGTGATCCTTTGGAGGAGAAGAGGCATTCTGGTTTTTGGAATTTTCAGCCTTTTTGTGCTGGTTTTTCCTCATCTTCATGGATTTATCTACCTTTGGTCTTTGATGCTGGTGACCTTCAGATGGAGTTTTTGCGTAGTTGTCCTTTTTGTTGATGTTGATGCTATTGCTTTCTGTTTGTTAGTTTTCCTTCTAACAATCAGGCCCCTCTTCTGTAGGTCTGCTAGAGTTTTCTGGGGGTCCACCCCAGACCCTGTTTGCCTGGATATCACCAGCAGAGACTCCAGAACAGCAAAGATTGCTGCCTGCTCCTTCCTCTGGAAGCTTTATCCCAGAGGGGCACCCACCAGATGCCAGTTGGAGCTCTCCTGTATGAGGTGTCTGTCAACCCCTGCTGGGAGGTTTCTCCTCATCAGGAGGCTCGGGGGTCAGGGACCCACTTGAGGAGGCAGTCTGTCCCTTAGCAGAGCTTCAGCACTGTGCTGGGAGATCCACTGCTCTCTTCAGAGTTGGCAGTCAGGAACGTTTAAGTCTGCTGAAGCTGTGCCCACAGCTGCCCCTTCCCCCAGGTGCTCTGTCCCAGGGAGATGGGAGTTTGATCTATAAGCCCCTGACTAGGGCTGCTGCCTTTCTTTCAGAGATGCCCTGCTCAGAGAGGAGGAATCTAGAGAGGCATTCTGGCTACAGCGGCTTTGCGGGGCTGTGGTGGGCTCTTCCCAGTCCGAACTTTCTGGAGGCTTTGTTTACACTGTGAGGGAGAAACCACCTACTCAAACCTCAGTAATGGTGGATGCCCCTCCTCCCACCAAGCTGGAGCATCCCAAGTCAACTTCAGACTGCTGTGCTGGCAGTGAGAATTTCAAGCCAGTGGATCTTAGCCTGCTGGGCTCCCTGGGGGTGGGATCCACTGAGTAAGACCACTTGGCTCCATGGCTTAAGCCCCCTTTCCAGGGGAGTGAACGATTCTGTCTCGCTGGCATTCCAGGTGCCACTGGGGTATGAAAAAAAACTCCTGCAGCTAGCTCGGTATCTGCCCAAATGGCCGCCTGGTTTTGTGCTTGAAACCCAGGGCTCTTGTGGTGTAGGCACCAGAGGCAATCTCCTGGTCTGTGGGTTGCAAAGACCCTGGGAAAAGCGTAGTATCTGGGCTAGATAGCACCATCCCTCACAGCACAGTCCCTCATGGCTTCCTTTGGCTAGGGGAGAGAGTTCCCTGATCCCTTGCGCTTCCCGGGTGAGGCGACACCCCACCCTGCTTCTGCTCACCCTCCTTGGGCTGCACCCACTGTCTAAACAGTCCCAGTGAGATGAGCCACGTACCTCAGTTGGAAACGCAGAAACCATCCACCTTCTGTGTTGGTCTCGCTGGGAGCTGCAGAACGGAGCTGTTCCTATTCAGCCATCTTGCCCGGGAATTGGTGTTTTTTTCTTTTTTTTTTTTTTGAGATAGAGTCTCGCCCTGTCACCCAGGGTGGAGTGTAATGGCATGATCTTGGCTCACTTCAACCTCTGCCTCCTGGGTTCAAGCGATTCTCCTGCCTCAGCCTTCTGAGTAGCTGGGATTACAGGTGCCCACCACCACACCCAGCTAATTTTTGTATTTTTAGTAGAGATGGGGTTTCACCATGTTGGCCAGGCTGGTCTCAAACTCCTGACCTCGTGATCCACCTGCCTCAGCCTCCCAAATTGCTAGGATTACAGACATGAGCCACTGGTACCCAGCCGTAAGGAGAGGTCTTAAGAGAACTTAAAAACAGAAAATGTTAAGTGGTATGCTATTGTTTTATACTATTGAAACTGTCTTATAGGAAAGTATTATCTTTCTTTACCTTTGTCTGCACTTTTACCTCCTGCTTTCAGCTCCTAAAAATTATGTTAGATTAATCAAATAGGATAAAAGTCTTATACTTTTAAGCTTACAATGCATTGTGGTAAAGTCAGCCCTCTGTCTCTGTAGGTTCCATAGTTATGGATTCAACCAAACATAGACCAAAAATATTCAGGAAAAAATAAACTAACAATACAACAATTTTTAAAATACACATTTTAAAATACAATATAACAATCATTTACATAGCATTTACATGTTATCAAGTATTACAAGTAATATAGAGATGATTTAAGTTATACTGTAGGATGGCACGGTTATATACAAGTACTACGCCATTTTTGTATAAGGGACTTGAGCATCCGTGGTATTCTCACTGCTTCTAATTATTTCATTAGGACATTCTCATGGGGACAGGATTCATAATATTCCCATGTCCCCAACCCAGCCTCTTTCTAAAAATACATAGTTATAGATGGTGTCTTAGAAGATGTGCTTTACGGGGCCAGGCGTGGTGACTCACGCCTGTAATCCCAGCACTTTGGGAGGCCAAGGTGGGCGGATCACTTGAGGTCAGGAGTTTGAGACCAGCCTTGGCCAACATAGCGAAACCCCATCTCTACTAAAAATACAAAAATTAGCCGGGCGTGGTGGCATGTGCCTGTAGTCCCTGCTACTTGGGAGACTGAGGCATGAGAATTGCTTGAACCCAGGAGGCAGAGGCTGCAGTGAGCCGAGATGGTGCCACTGCACTCCCGCCTGCGTGATGGAGTGAGACTGTCTCAAAAAAAAAAAAGAAAAGAAAAGAAGATATGCTTTAAAAAGTTTAATTCTGCTGTATTACTGTAGCTAATGTGCTCTCTGCATTTTTTTTTTTTTTTTTTTTTTTTTAGTATTTTCGTGTTCCAGACAGTGCTACTTTTAGCATTTGCCCAGGTGGAGAGCAGCCTGCTATGAAATCCAGCTCCCTTCCTTGCTGGGACTTGATGCCTGACATCAGTCAGTCAGTACTGGATGCATCCCTGCTTCAGAAACAGATCATGCTGGGCTTTTCTCCTGCCCCAGGTGCTGACAGCTCACAGTGCTGGAGCCTGCCAGCTATAGTTAGACCAGAGTTTCCCAGACAGAGTGTGGCAGTACCCCTCGGGAATTTCCGGGAAAATGGATTCTGTACCAGGTATTTTATGTTTATATAAATGTCTGTTCTTCTTTGCTTGTCAGTCTAGCTGTTCATCTAGATGCCAAGAGAGATACAATGGTCGCAGGGCTCCCCATATGTAATATTAGGCTTTATTTTTAATTACTTCTAGACATTGTATACAGTGGGTCAAGTGTTATAATCACATATGGCTTGTCCCAGCATACTACTTAAGGGATTTTTCCCCATATGGAGCTTACGCTGGGGGGAAATGATGGTACTTGTACCACAGAATGTCATTATATGAAAAGATCATATGTATCATCATACAAATAGCATCGTATGAAAAGATCATATCATAATGAAAAAATTACCTGTTATGAGTTCTTAGCCTCCATAAAATTATAAGAAATAAGGGTTAAAATATGAGCAAGTCAAGTTGGAAGACCTTTTTCTTTTCCCATATTTTACTTTTACTTCAAAATGGAATTTTTCTCAAAAAAGTCATTAAGAGAGATAACTTAGATAAACACAAGTCACAGAAGACTCTGTTCTGTGGTCGTTCCTGCACGCAAGTTGCTCCAATTACCGATTACCAGTTATGCAAATAACAACCACAGACTCAAACCAGAGACATATAATGGTTTGTTCATACTGGACTTCTATTATGTGGTTGTCTTGCATGTAAAATGTCCCTTCTGCAGCTGTCAAGAATAACTTAGTATATATAACAGCTACAAAAGAAAACATATTGTGCCCTTATGATAAGTACCTTATTTTCATGATTATGAATTTGTAGACTTTATTTGAGATTTAGCAATGCTAACTCTTTTGATGTAATATTTTAAAAGACAAGAGAGATTTTTTTAATAGTAATATTTTAAATAAGTTATTCATAATGGTAAGGTTCTGTTCTCCACACATCCCTCCTTCGTTCACAGTATTCACAAAATCCTTGATTTTACAAACATTTGTCATCTTTTACACTGTAGAGGAGTGGTTATCCTTACATTCTGGTTGGAGATGTTAAGCATAGTGAGTTTAAGGGTGTTTTTTGAAAGCTATATGAACTTATAATAAATAAAACATTTTTTAAAAAACAAAATTTGAAACAAAACAATTTGGAAATTAAGCTTAAAATTCTGATAATTACAGTATAATTTAATCTTATCTATAAATACTAAGCTAGATATTGGACAGAAAGTACCATACTTGAGTCCTGGCCCTAGCCTTCTTGGCTATCAAAAAGAAGTTATCTGAGTTTGGCTCGCCTAGCTGTTTTAAAATTAGGCTGGGAAAGGAACTTTGCTGTTTATCGAAGAACTATACTCTTAAAATGAATTTATTTTGTGCTGTCCCATCTCCTCATCTATTTCCTTCCCTCAATCCAACCAACAGCACACATTAGATGGTGTGATTAATGTGCTTTTACCAAATGCTAATGGACCATTCACTTTGACATTTCACACAAATACAATCTTTGGGAAGTACTCACACTGGCAAATGAGATGGATGGCAAATGGAAGCTTTTTAGAGCATTATTGACCCCTTTTAGTCAGCTGAGGGCCACATTTGGCAAATTGTCTGATTTCTTTGATTAATTTTGGCAATCATTCTATGTAATTTAGGCTTCAGAGTAATTTCATTTTCCTGCTTCAAAGAAATATTCTTTGTGGTAGTCTGTAATCTAAATAGGAAAATTTCTCTCTCTTCATCACAGAAGGCAACCTTTACTCACACAGCTGGTTTTCTAGCTCCAAATAATACAGCTTTGCTCCTGCTAATCAAAATGTACATTTTTTAAGGTGTGATGGGCTTGTGGAAATTGACAGCAAACATTATCAGCCTGCCTACCTCTAGAAAAAAAAGAGCAAGCACCCAAATTCTCTAGTAGTCCTTTTAAAAGAAGGTCAGCTCTTATTTTTATTTTTTATTTTTTTTGATACAGGGTCTTGCTCTGTCACCCAGGCTCGAGTGCAGTGGCACAAACACGGCTCACTGCATCCTCAACCTCCCAGGCTTAAGCCAACCTCCCAGGCTCCAGCCATCCTCCTCCCACCTCAGCCTTCCAAGTAGCTGGGACCACAAGTGTGCACCACAGCACCTGGCTAATTTTTGTATTTTGCTGTAGAGATGGGGTTTTGCCCTTTTGCTGAGGCTGGGCTTGAACTCCTGGGCTTAAGCAATTCTCCTGCCTTGGCTCCCAAAGTGCCGGGATTATAGGCGTGAGCCACCATGCACAGCCTACCAAGCACTTTTAAGGAAGAAGAAAGTACCCTGCCTGGCGAAGGAGTTTAACACACATATGCATGGGGGAAGAAAAGAACAACAGGAAATATTAGCACAAGGTTAGCTATAGTTCTCTCTGGGTGATAGAATTATTTTGTTTGCCTTTAAATATTTTTTCACATTTTATGAATATTATAAATATGTTACTGTTATCAGAAAAGGAATCTCCCCTGAGTTATAAAACAGATATTTTCGAGTTCTGAATGTTGCAAATCTAAATAAACATGTTCCAGAGGAGAGAGCATTCATTTTTTTTCCTAAACATTTCTGTCATTTGACTTGATTCTCTTCCAGGGCTATAGTGCTGACATATCAAGAACACCTCGGAGTGACTTATTTAACCCTCTCAGAAGACCCTAGTCCTCGAGTAATTATCCACAATAGATGTCCAGTAAAAATGCTTATAAAGGAAAACATTAAAGGTATGTTTTATACTATCGAATTTAGATAATACTAAATGTGTATTTTTTCTGGGATTTTTTGATTTAGTAGTTACCTGTGATCCTGTGAAAAAAATATTTAAATAAAAGCATTAATGATCTCTTTTTGAGAAGTTTCTTTTGCCACATTATGTTCTGTCCCCCAAGTCTCTGTCTTTAAGGGCTAATTCTGCATATGCCTTTTTTAAAATTTCAGATATTCCAAAGTTTGAGGTTTATTGCAAAAAAATTCCCTCCGAGTGCTCAATTCATCATGAGCTGTATCATCAGATTTCCAGTTATCCGGACTGCAAGACCAAAGACTTACTTCCAAGCCTACTTTTGAGAGTTGAACCTCTAGATGAAGTAACAACTGAGTGGAGTGATGCCATTGACATCAACAGTCAGGGAACACAGGTCAGTGAGCCATGTGTTCCTGCCAAGACCCAAAGAAAAATGCCCTTTTCTGAGGTTTTGTCAGTTGCCTATTTTTAAACATAATTTTCTAAATGCTGAACATCTTTTCTCTGTGTGAGAGAACATGTGTATCCATTTTTACGTCCTCATTAAGTTATAAATTCTCAAACTCAAGTATGTATCTGCAAAGTAGACTACACAATCATTGACTAGAGAGGAGCACTAGTAAAAGCAGGCCCATCTTGGATCTAATCCAAGGTTGAAATGGAAATCAAATTGTTAGGCTTATTTAGATAGAACATAGTTCAGCTGTACAGATTTTAGTACAGTCATAATACAAATCCTCTTTTGTGTGTTATTAGGATAAATATGTGTATTTTAAAATTAGTAATTTTAAAATTAGTAAAACCCCACAAATATAAGTACAGTTTTAAAAACCTGAGCAGATAAAATGTCTTGATTTGTTTCTGTCTTCGTCTGGATGTTAGTGATACTAATTTTGTTGAAAATGGCATAAGAACTTAGCATTTCCTTTCTTCTGGACTTAAAATTTACCATTTGTTAGTGTATAATTTAGTGACATTAAATATATTTATAGTGTTGTATAACCATCACCACTATTTCTGAAACTTCTTTATCATTTCAAACAGAAACTCTGTACCCACTAAGCAATAATTCCCCATTCTCCCCTCCTCCATCCCCTGGTAGCTCTCTTCTTCTTTGTCTCTGTCTCTATGAATTTGCCTGCTCTAAGTATCTCAGATAAGTAGAATCATAAAATATTCATCATTTTGTGTCTGGCTTATTTCACCTAGCATAATGTTCTCAAGTTTCGTTCATGTTTTAGCATGGATCAGAACTTCATTTGTTTTTATGAGTGAATAATATTGTGCCATACTTTTTTAAAAAGTTCTTCCACATTTATTAGTTCATCTGGTCTTCACGACAAGCTTGTGAGGTAGGCTACTGTAATGGTTACAAACCATATATTAAAGTTACAAATGCATTTACGGTAGTAATAATAATGGTTATCATTGAATAATCACTTACACCATACGAGGCATTGTGCTAAGCACTTTACATTCATTCTCATCTAACCTTGACAACAGCCATACAAGTTAGTGACTATCATCTCCACGGAGGGAGAAGTAGAAACTAAGACCTCCAGAAGTACCTTGGTCTAATTTGCATGTAGTGGAAGCAAAAGGCCTGGAATTTTATCCAGTTTTGCCAGACTGCAAAGCCGGTGCTCTGAGCACAATGCATGCTGTTTCCTTACATGAAACCCCTTGGAACCCCTCTTTCCCAGTCCTCCTGGTGCATTTTTTCTCATCTCTCAAGATTTCATTAAAGCTCCTGTGAAGTGTATTTGTGAAATGTGGAATGACTGATCTGCTAAGGGAGAGAAGGAAAAAGAGAGGGGCCTGAGAAGAGCAGTAGCTGTGGAAACTGGTGAAGGGCCTGGCTGGAGACAGGGGAAGGGATGGTTGAGTGCACTGGAGGGCCACACTCACCCTGGAGACCTGCGTTTGTAGTGGCCACAAACTACTCAGGGGTGTGCTTTCTATCAGCTGTGTTCAGGGGCTGAACAGTGAAAACCCGCGGGATCTGTGCAGCCTCAGGAGATGCTCCCAGTCTCATTAATTTACAAAATAAATATTGCAAGCTTCTCAAGGGTCTCTGAACTCCCCTGCATGGGTTTGAAGATTTTTGAAATCTTGCTTATATTTGACTGGGGAATTCTTTACGATAGACATTCTTCCTGTCAAACCTTATTTTGGGGATTCCCATTCACTCTAAATTTCCTCAAAACTTTGTAGTCAGGGATACTTCAAAGCTAAGAGGAGGTGCTCTTTCCAACACCCTTATCATCTGTGGTTTGAGGACCCAGCAGTCTCATGTTCCCATTAATCTTTTAGGAGCTGTGTGCCATATGTCCTGCAGACCGTGGTTTACTTCCTACTCTGGAGGAAGATTTGTTTCAGACCCTCACCGACATCTCCTCAGTAATATCCCAGGGCATATAAATCACTGGGAAGCAAAAGGAGCTGTGTCCTCTGATGAAAGGAAGGAGCAGTCCTTCTGGAGGAGGGAGTTTGTCTTCCAGGAACCTTCCTCAGCCATTGGTCTGTGAATTTCAAAGCTGACCTAAACAAGCAAAATCAAAACACCATAAAATGCCCATTATGCTGCAAGGAAGAAAACTCCTTTAACTTTTTTCAGTCAAGCCCTCTGCTTCCATTGTATAAATAAGATAGTCTCGTGTTGTAGAATTTTGAAATGGATTGCATGAGGAAATATGCACATAGGAGTTGTATACTCTCACAGAGTATTCTTTGGACCAACAGTTATTGAGAAGACCTGCTAACATGTAGGCTGCAGAATACCGATTGTGAAGTTGCTGTGGGCTTTCTGTGGTTGAATCCCTGGCTCACACCTAGTCAGGAGACATCTCATGGTTATTCAACCAGAGACCTGAAGGTGGCACCTGGTGCTCATACCCATGATTTGATAGTTAGTGGTAGCCTGACTTTAGGACAAAAACAGTCTTTAGGTGCTCAATAAATAAAGTCATAAAAGTAAGTTTACACCAATAATTTTAAGTCATAATTTTGATCCTACCAGGAAAATAGTTCAGACTCCTGTCATAGTGTATAGGATTTTAATTTCTGATACTCTGAAACCACTTTTGTCAGAATTAGGCAACATTATTTTGAAAAAGTCAAAATAAGGAACAAAGAAAACATAGTAGTTACCACTTAACTACCAACAACATTGAGAAGCCTGCTTCATTCATTCAGTCAACAAATACTGAGTTTCTAACATATGCCAGACATTATAACTTGGTACTGGCACCATGTAAAATATACTGAACAAAAATGTAGCACAGCCCCTGCCCTCAAGTTTACCTGTGGAGGAGATAGATAATAAGCAAGTAATTGCACGGGTAGTTGTATTATAAGCACTACAAAGAGCTATGCAGGAAAGGTACAGTTGTGCTATGTGGGTGTACAGCAGACAAGTTTGAGAGGTCAAGGAGGGTGTCTCTTACTGAGAGACCTTGCCTCTGTGCCTTCAAGGTGAACAGGCACTCCCTAGGCAAGAGAGTAGGGAATCTTTCCAGGTAGAAAGAGCAATGTGTTTGAAGCTTCAGTGTTCAGAGGGCACGTGGTCCTTTCAGGGAACTAAATGCCAGTGCGGCTGTAGCGCCAAATGACAGAGGGTCGGAGAGAGGGCTGGTGAGGCGATGAGAGACCAAACCTGGCAAGGCCCCGTAGGTCCTATCAAGGATTTTGGTTTTGATCTTAAGAGTCATGGGAAGTCATTGCATTGTTTATGAAAAGTACTTGCTGAGCCACTGAACTGCAAAGAATGAGTAGTTTGAACCCCAGAAAGTGAATTAAAATGACCCCTTTGCAGGTAAATTCCCTTCTGAAAAGATCCAGTAAATTCTCATGATCTTTGACTCTTAGCAGACATTCGTAGTCGGGTCAGTGTCACTGCTGTTTCTTCGCAAATGGATTGTTTTGTGGGGAGGAGAGAATGACAGTCCTTCATGTTTCTACAGCTCTGTGCCATTTACCAAGTGTTTTCACAGGCACAGTCTCCATTCTTTTATTCATTTGTTCAAACTTTTACTGAGGACCTATCAGGTGCCAAACCCTTTGCCCTAAATAAGGCACAATTCCTGCCTTCAAAGACTTGAATAACCAATAAATGCAGTAAAGGGAAGATAAAGCCTTTGATCACTGCAAAAATTCTAAGGGCAATAAGTTTTATGTCTATTTACTGATGAGAGATTTGAGGCTTAAAGAGTAATCAGCTAGGTGACTTGCAACTAAGCAGGAGCAAGCCGGAGCCTAAATCTGCTCCCATGTGGTCTAGTCCTGTTTTTCCTACACCAGGCTCAAGCCACTGTCTGTCCTCTGAAGTCTTGCCTTGGCTACAAATAGTAGCTGCCTGAAAGTTCATCAAAGCACAGGTTAGAAGAGATTTTCTGATCTCCGCATTCACCTAATGCAAGAATCCCTTCCATGACATCTCACCCCAGAAGGCTCCCAGTGTAATAGTCATTACTTATCCAGTGGTGGCTATGAGAAATTTTCTTCTTGTATCAATCTGAAAACTATTACTCTGTAGCATCCATTCATTCATCTTTGTTTTGCCCTCTGGGACATCACAGATTGTTTATTTCCCCTCAAATACAGCAACGCTACAATTATTTGAAGGCAGCTCCAACATCTTTCCTAAGTGTTCCCTTATCCAGGCCAAACATTTCTGGTTCCTTGAATCATTCCTTCAGTAAATGCAATTTCCACACCCATCACCACAGTTACCCTTGTGTGAACACTCTAGTGTGTTATGTTCCCTTTTAAAAATCTGGCAGCCGGAATTACACACAGTATTCCAAATGTGGTCTAACCAGCTATTAACTCCCTATGCTTCCATTAATAAAGTAAAAGATAGAGTTAGCTTTTTATTAATGAGTTCAGACTGTCTGTTATTATTGAACTTGTGGTCAACCACATCCCCCAGGTCTTTATCATATGACTTGCTATACAGTTGACTTTTTGAACCCAAAGACAGGACTTTACATTTATCCCAAATAAATTAAGTCTTGTTGATATTGGCCTAGTCCAGCTTGTTGAAATCACTTTTTAAAAAATTGTGATGCTGTCATCTAACATATTAAGTATTCCTGGTAGCTTTATGTCATCCATAGATGTGGTGAGCGTGCATTCTACATGTTCATCCAGGTCATTAATAAATATGTTGAACAGGACAAGTTCATGGTTGACATACTGCAGTGAATCATTAGACACTTCCCGAATGCATGGGGTCAATCAGCCAGACTCCACTCTCATCTAGCCCATGTTTCTTAAATAAGAAAATGCATCTAAAATCACTTTTAAACTATACAGTATAAGATATTATCTACAAGAATATCAGAACATACTTTGTTAAGTGCCTTGATGAACCAGGACTCAAATGTGTAATCTGTCCATTTGGTGCAGATCACACAGAGGTAACCTTGAACACTAAAGCTTAAAGCAGCAGGTAGTAATTTTCAGAGTTATGTCTACCCTCCAATTCAGGAATTTTTATAAAGAAAAAAAGTCAGTGCAGGTGAATATCTGATTTATAAAATGTGTAATGCAGGTATTTTGACTTCTTGCTTACTTCGCTCACCTTCCCAGTACTCCAGGGCACAGTCGAACAGATACCAGCAAGTTGGCACTGACTTCTGAATGTCTGCTAGGTACCCTGGTCTAGAGTCTCCTCTGTGTTTACAGTTTGTTCTGGCTGAGTCACAACTGTTTCCAAAGATACTCAGGAGTAGTGATTTCCCTAAGATGTTTTTCAAGAAGTATACAGTAGGAAAAATTACATCCAGAATATCCACTGTTTTCTTTTCATCTCTGTCCAATCCTTCCTACCTTGATCAACTTAGAAATTCATCTTCCTTTCTTCTCTTGGATATCTAATTCACCTCATAGCTTTAGCTACTGCCTGTCACCCAGTCACTCCCAGAAATTGATCTCCGGGCCCCATATTACTCCCAGTGTACAAATCTGTGCTTCTGCCTACCCACTAGACATGTCAGCCTGAAAATCCTACAAGCATCTGAAATCAACACATCTGAAACCAAGATGATCATTTTTCTTACCCCAAGCCAGCTTCTTCTAGAGTCTCTGCATCAGTTAATGTCATCACTGTTTTCCCAGTACAAAAACCATAAATAAAATGGATTCAGATAATATTGAATGCCTGTTTTATCTCAAGCTCTCTAAAGGTATAGTCATTAGTCCCTGTCACATCCTTTAAAAGTAGATGCTACCCAAAGCTCTGAGAGGTGAACTTGCTCAGGATAAATGGTCCTGGGATTCAAACCTGGGACTGTGTGGTTTCCCAGCCTACCTTCTGCCTACTGCTTCTCAGTGTCTTCCTTTCTCTCTGATCCTCCACACATCCAGTAGGCCACCAGCTTCTATCAGAAATATCTCAGAAACGTCTCTGGAATCTGCCCCTTTCTTCTGTGACTGGGGTCTGCTTCAGGCCTTTGGTTCATCATCTCCCTCCCAGATTTTAGCCATAGCGCCTTAATAGGTCTCTCCATTGTCAGCCTCTCCAACCTCAAGTCTCTCTCTGTAACTAACCCCCAAATGATTCCTAAGACACAGACTCCAGCCCAGAGAAGAGAACCCAGTCCACCAGGTTGCTTAAAACAGACCTCCACCTGAGACCAATCAGGCCCCGTCTCACTCCTGTTCCCCCTCTACAGGCCAGGGCTCAATCACCTCTTCCCGCCTTTCAAAGTCTAAGTCTATAATTCTTCCATAGCATGGTTTCCTAGTTAAGATACTCTTTTACAAACCACATATATAGAGATATCAGTAGTACATTTTAAATTTATTCCTTCCCAAAATGGGAGATGATATTTTTTGTAAGAAATGACTTTTAGCCCAAAGTCAGCTGCACAAATAAAATGCCTAAGTAGCATATTTTCAGATCAGTTTAGACATATCAACTTGCAGCAAAAGATGAGTGTGATACTATCTGCAACTTAAATGTTCAAAAGTAGGGAGACTAGGTGCAATGGCTTATGCCTATAATCCCAACACTTCAGGAGGCTGAGGCAGGAGCATCACGTGGGGCCAGGAGTTTGAGACCCATCTGGGCAACATAGCAAGAACCCCTGTCTCTACAGAAATTAAAAAAAAAAAAAATCACCAAGCGTGGTGGTGCACACCTCTATTCCCAACTACTCAGGATGCTAAGGTGGGAGGATCACTTGAGCCCAGAAGTTGGAGACTGCCTTGAGCTATGATCACGCCACAGCATTCCGGCCTGGTTAACAGAGCAAAACCCGTCTCTATTTTTTAAAAAAACAAAAAACTTCCCACTATTTTCTTTGTCACCTTGTAATTAATTTACTTAGTAAAATTGTTATAATTCTAAAAAATTTGTTACATATAAATAATCATTCAAATAAAGATAACTGAGTACATAGAAAAGCAGAAGTTATATTAAAATGCTTCTTGTTAGTAATTGTGGTAGAAGATATTGTACTAAGTAGAAACCAGTATCCAGGCCTCAAATGGTTTTCTTAGACCTAACATATGTATGATGGGGCTGAGCACAGAGACTTATGCCTGTAATCCCAGCACTTTGGGAGATTAAGACAGGCAGATTGCTTGAGCCCAGGAGTTTGAGACCAGCACGGGCAACATGGCAAAATTCTGTTGCTATGAAAAATACAAAACTTAGCTGGACATGGTGGCAAACGCCTGTAATCCCAGCTACTCAGGAGGCTGAGGTGGGAGGATCACCTGAGCCCAGGGAGGCGGAGGTTGCAGTGAGCCATGATCGTGCCACTTCACTCCATCCTGGGTAACAGAGTGAGACTGAGACCCTCTCTCAAAAAATAAATATGATAGTGTCTTGCTGACTGAAGTGCTCTAACACAGATTCAAATGGCAAAACGGTGAGTCTCTTAGTATATGTCACCTAGAGCCTTCCATGCCACCCCACCTCACCCTACTAGTGAAGAAAGTAAAAAGAACCAAATGATGGCATTGATCAGGACTGGCCGGGTTATTCTGTGATAACAAACAGCTGAAAAAAAAATCCCCTTGGCCATCAGTCATTAATTATTTTTTTCCCCACACACAGAACAAATCTTCCCCGCAAGGTTGGAAGCAGTCACTCCATCACCCTTGAAGTCTAGCACTTCTAAGCGATGCTCAGTCTGTATGTGATGCCCTTTGATCTGGAGACCTATGGAATTACCTGCTCCCCCTTTCCCTGCTGTTTTATAGGACAGGGTAACAGTAATAACCCCTCCACTGTGGAAGGGGGAAGAATGAGAGACATACGGCAGTCTCTTGCCTATGGCAGTTCTGAATGTTTTCTGGGCACATATTGTGGGGTCTATACCCTGGCAGCAAGAAATCAGCTTTCACTGAGCACTGTTTCTAATCCTGAAGGAGCTCTTACCATTGTCCTTCAGGTTCCTGGCTCCACCTTCTGGGAGATCTTCCTTGGACACTTGAAGTTTGTGTTTCATCTCACATAATCACAGTCTCTTTTACTCCAGGTTTGTAAGTATATAGGGCAGTGGTAATTTCTCAACTCAGTAGACTTCTTACCTATTTGGTTCCAGAAAATTCCCTGTGCCAGGAACCATATTCATGGTCCTTAAGACACATTTCTTTGCTTACTTGCTTCCTTCCTCTCTGGATTTAAGAGAGCTTCTACAGGAAAGTTATACCCTTGATTTACATTTTTTTCCAAGTCAATATAACAGTTAAGTTTTAACAGTGAGTGTGTTGCCTATAGTCAGTCTTAAGGCTGAGTGTTAATCTGCCTTCGTGTTCAGAGGCTAAGTTTAGACCTTGCTATTTGAGGCTTTATCTTAGTCTGTTCAGGCTGCTATATCAAAATACCTCAGACTGGTAGCTTATAAACAACAGAAACTTATTGTCACAGTTCTGGAGTCTAGGAAGTCCAACATCAGGGTACTGGCAGATTCGGTATCTGGTGAGGACCCACTTCCTAGTTCATGGATGACCATCTTTTCACTGTAACCTCACATGATGGAAGGGATGAGGGGCTTTCTCAGGCTTTTTTTTTTTTTTTTTGAGACGGAGTTTCACTCTTGTTGCTCAGGCTGGATGGAGTGCAGTGGCCCGGTCTCGGCTCACTGCAACCTCCGCCTCCCGGGTTCAAGTGATTCTCCTGCCTCAGCCTCCCGAGTAGCTGGGATTACAGGCACCCGCCACCATGCCCAGCTAATTTTTGTATTTTTAGGAGAGATGAGGTTTTACCATGTGTCAGTCAGGCTGGTCCCGAACTCCTGATCTCAGGCAATCCGCCCGCCTCAGCCTCCCGAAGTGCTAAGATTACAGGCGTGAGCTACCGCCCCCGGCCTCAGGCTTCTTTTATAAGGACACTAATTGCATCCCAAAGACCCTGCCTTCTAATATCATCACATTGGGGGGCTAGAATTTCAGCGTATGAATTTTGGGGGAACACAAACATTCAGACCATAGCAGGTTTAAAATTATTTCTAACTTTGCAAGGTTCTACATTTCTGGAATCTCTCTATTATCTTCCATTTTTATTTGCAACCTGGCCAATTCTTTCCTGAGCTCATCTCTTCATAAAACAAAACGTAATGTTCCAGACACAGGCAACAGCAGCCAACATAACACCACTGATGCTTGGTTTTCAGACCTCATCTTCTAGAGCTACAGATTTATGAAGTTTATGATCTACCTCTCAAGTCATCTCAAGCAACAGTTTTACTGAATATCTTACCACTTCAAAACATATATGCCCATTTTTATAGCTTTCAATATCGATTTCTACTGTCTGACCATTAAGCCAGGGTCTCCTGTTGTAGGATTTTGCTAGAACACTACTTCTATCAACAATATCTATATTAGTAGTATAAGCTCAGTTATGCTGCCTATCATAAGCCTAGAACTTACCTCTTGTTCATGCTAAATGCCTAGTGTGTGTCCTCAGGGGGTTTTGTTCTACATGGTCACTCAGGGACCCAGGTTGAGGGAAAGTCCATCATCTCGTATCTTCCCCCTTGTAACTAACCACCCCAAAACCTACTGGCTTAAAAGAAGAATGATTAACAACTTCTCAAGATTCTGAGGAAGTGGCCAAGTGACTTTTCTGCAGGATGAGCCTGGGATCACTCGTGCATCTGCATTCACCTAGAGAGTTGGCTGAGGTATGGGTGCAGCTGGGAAGTCTGGGTGTCTCTCTCACCATTCTGTCTGTCCTCCTTAAGGAGGCTAGCCCAGGGTGGCAAGCAGGAAAACCCCAATAAGCAAGCTGTATCAAGCTTCTTACTTGCTGATGTCATGTTAGCTGAAGAAAGTCGCATAGCCACGCCCAATGTCAGTATGGGAAGGTACTACACAAGGGCATGGATACTGGGATGTACAATTCATTGTGCAACAGTCTTCCACAGCTATCTAGAGCAGGAGTCAACAAATATTTTTTTAAGGTCTGGATTGTAAATATTTTAGGTTTTGCAGGCCTTATGTTTTCCCGACTTCTCAATAGATGGAGAGATATGTAAGTAAATGAGCATGTTCCAATAAAGCCTTATTCACAATAGCAGGCAGTGGACCAGATTTGGCCCACCACTGAGCTGTGGAACATAAAGCCCTTATTTATTCTCTAGAAGGAATACATGTCAATTCTGCCTTTAGCCCATTGGCCAAAACTAGTCACAAGACCATATCTAACTGCAGGGGTGGCGGGGAGTATAATCCTGCTCTATTCCCAGAAGGAGAGAAGAGCTAGACATGTGTGGACACTAGAAGTCAATACAGCAGAAGCCACATTGAGAAGATGTATGTTCAGATCATCAGCTTTATCTTTATTGAGTACCCGGCACTGGTTGTAAGTACTGAAGAAAACACACACAAAACCATTGCCCTCATGGAACTTACACAGAGTCCATGATGGTGAATACACTGAGAGGGAGACGCATTTTATACACCTGTGGTCTGGAATTGTTAGTTGTCATCTCATTGTTTGTGTACTTGGCTTTTTCGCCAACTAGGCTGTGAGCAGTGCGAGGGTAGGATTGCATCTTCTCTGTGCCTGATGCAGTGACTAATTCTTTGTAGGCACTCTTTAAGTGTTTGTCAAGTAATTGATTGTTCAAACCATTAGACCAAGATAAGGATTTACTTTGGACTTGTGGGGAACCTGGATATAGATGCCTAATTCCTGTATCACTCAGGTACCTAACTATCTAACCCCTAGAGCTGCCATCATGCAAAAGGCTACAAGGTGTGAGTTGTTTCTCTAAATGTGAAAAGACAAGGATAGACTAAAGTCTGTGTTTCTTCCATTCATAGCAGTGAGTGAAAGGGACAACAAGCAAAAATTTCCCTCCAGAGTCTAGGTTTTTTGCCAGAAGAAGTACCGTGAAAGTTCAGATTAATTTGCTTGCCTTCAGAAGGCCCTTGGGGCATTTAACAGAAACCATCACCTTACCTTAGGTTTATTATCTTAGAAAGTGTAAGTATCCTCATTTCATAATGCCTGAAAATCACTTAGAGAAGAGAACAGTAAATATTTCTCTATTCGCATCCCCTCCCTCTCTCCTCTAAGGGGTCCTGAAGTTATGGACGGTGACTTAGGAAAAGGAATATGAGATGGGAGCATGGGACTTAAAAAGGTTTCTACTGAATGGATAATTTCATATCTTTCAACCTAGTAAAGAAAAGCAATTGATTTACCTTATGTATCATACAAAGGGATGGTGTTTATAGATAGGAATATTTCTTAAAGAATATCTCTTTTGTTTTAGATTCATGAGCTGAGCCATTTTTAAGCCATTAATTATGTTTATTCTCAAATTTTATTGTAAGTTTAATTTTTACCTTGGAACAAATAGGGCAAATTCAGAATACAAGTCTTTTGAAAAAGATATTTTTGCAAAACAGTCCATTTGGGAAACGTGTTCATAGAGAATACAGATACAACAAATGGACTCCATTTCTGCTGTCAAGAGATTTACAATCTAATAATTGGGTCAGACACATAAGTAACTGTAGTACAGACAATAATATTTTTGATCAAATAGAAATATGGTTAAAATTGTTTTAGAATGTAGAAGTAGGTGTCAGTCCAGAAGGGAACAGAAAAATTAAGGAATGGCTCTATGGAGTAAGCTATCCTTTAAGCTGTATGCACCAGGACATACAGGCTTTTGAAAGGACTTATATGGAGAAAAGTATATTCTAGGCGTGGTGAGTAGTGAGTGGCAGGCAAGGGCCTCAGCTGAAGCAGAGGCTGTAAAATGAAAAAGAAGGCAGCAGTGGAAGAACCAGGAAGAGCTGGAGGGGCTGGGCTGCAGCAAGGAGCAGAGGGAGAAGGCAGAGATGACATCCAGGTAACCTGCATGCTGAAGATGGTCAGAAATTCTGAATTTCTGAAGTCCATGAGAAAGCCATTGCATGAGAAAGAAGACCAGTGACCTTGAAGTTGCTTCCAAATAACTCTCTGGCTTTCTCCTGTGGTTCTGTGTACACTCTGGTGCTTCTTCATGTGATCAAAATTAGAATATATTCATTGTTGGTCAAGCAAGAGGCCACCTTTGTTCCGTCATCCAGGAATTTTCAGTATGTCTGATTTTATTTGCTGCCCTAATAATAACATAGGGCCCAGACTTGGACTGAATTGATACTGCAAATCATCAGAACCAGCCTTCCCAAGCATAAGGAGGTTTTTGCCCCTACCCTCAGGTAATCCTGGCTGTGAACATGATGTTCTTGGAGTTGTTTTTTAAATAGCCCTGTTCTGTTTTCAAATATTTACCCATTTAAGCAACTCACTATTTAATACTGAAAGGGTGTTTGTTCCACTGTCTGGCACCTGGATCCTGAGGTAGAGCTTTTTTCTAGGTCTTAGTCCATATTCTCATGGTAGAAAAATTAATTTTTTACTCCGAGCAAATTAACTTATATCTAACATTCTTGTTACGAGTTACATGAAAGACCCTAGAGGGGTTGTGATATGCTCCTAGGTGGGTTTTGAGGTATGTTTTTGTGTCCCTAGCCCAGAAGGACACCCCTATAGAAGTAAGTCAACACCCAAGAGCCTGAAAGTTGTTTGCACATTGCACTTCAAGTCCCAAGTTTTAGTTTTTTTCCCACAAAGATCCATATGCACACATATAGTGGGCCCCATGTCTGAACTCCAGCCCACACAGAGTTACTTGCCAGTTCCAAAGAAGCAGAGAATGAAGATACTCATGCCCCATCATCCATCATTTTTTTCTATGAACCTTACAGCTGAATATTGAAAAATCTGGTTTTGATCTTTTGGGTATTTTTTTTCATTTCAAGTCAACTGAATAGCCCGTACACATGGATATAAAGAAATATAACCAGGAATTGTTTGTGGTATTGAATCAGAACTGGAGACATTTGAAGTCAAGCCACTTCAATAGTGTTTCTTATTTCTTTTTAATCAGATTTTGAATATTCTTTCTGCAGGTTGTGTTCCTGACTGGCTTTGGCTATGTGTATGTGGATGTTGTACATCAGTGTGGCACAGTCTTCATCACTGTGGCCCCAGAAGGAAAAGCAGGACCTATTTTAACCAATACCAACAGGTAGGTTTAATTATTTTCCCAGTGACAACATAGTAAGTGTTACTGTTACAAAGTTGTAAACTTAGTATTTATCTTTGTCATCTCCACATAATGTATTAAAGCTTTTGGTTAATTATCATGTAATCCATAAAAAATATGGTTATTAGCACTAAATCATCCCTTCAATAGGTAGCAATAAACCGTCTTTCCTAGATACCACTTGCACTCCTTCTGTGGTAGGGTTAACAAACTGATTTACAAACTATGCATCTTGGAATCATACCACTATTATTAGCATGAAATGCACATTAATACCTCTGTGTCTGCATGACAGTGTAGTAATTAATAATAAAACTTAGCAATTAGAGCTACATCAAATATAAATACGCCTCTTAGAGCCATATTTTCCACCCCCCACTTTGACCTGAATGTTGCCATCAGGTTTTAAAAACATGAAATAGACAAAGAGTTAATATCCTTAATTTAAAAGAATTCACATAATTCAATAGGAATAATATAAAGATGGCCTTACAGAAACAAAAATAGGGGCAATAGGCATGAACAGAAAATTCTAAGAAGAGGAAATATAAGTAATCAAAGAAATGCTAATTTATCAAATTAACAATGATGTTGTATCATATACAGTCCTGGTGAAAGTATAAATTGGTACTATTTCCAATTTATAAGCACTTTGGTAATACATATTAAGAGCTTTAAAATCCTTTTGGCTTAGAAATTCCACTTTTAAGTGTGTTAGGAGTTTCAGAGTTAAGGAAATGGAGAAGTGGGCAAAGATATACACAGAGAGATGTACACAGTGAGAGATATCACACAGTTAATTACAATGGCAAAATATTCAAAGTAAAAATGCCCATCCATAGGGAAATAGATGATACATAATTGTACTATAAATGTTACAACTGCAAAAAGTAGATCTCAAAGAATTTTAATGGAATAGAAAATGCATATTATAATCTAAAATAAAACAAGTAGAATATAATATTGAATATATATGATCCTAGTTATGTGTTATCTGTACATACATACATAAGTACGCATGTATGTACTTATACATACCTACATAAGTACGCATGTATGTACTTATACATACCTACATAAGTACGCATGTATGTACTTATACATACCTACATAAGTACGCATGTATGTACTTATACATACCTACATAAGTACGCATGTATGTACTTATACATACCTACATAAGTACGCATGTATGTACTTATACATACCTACATAAGTACGCATGTATGTACTTATACATACCTACATAAGTACGCATGTATGTACTTATACATACCTACATAAGTACGCATGTATGTACTTATACATACCTACATAAGTACGCATGTATGTACTTATACATACATACATAAGTACGCATGTATGTACTTATACATACATAAGTACGCATGTATGTACTTATACATACATAAGTACGCATGTATGTACTTATACATACATACATAAGTACGCATGTATGTACTTATACATACATACATAAGTACGCATGTATGTACTTATACATACACAGAAAACATTCCTAGAAATAAGACTGAAAAGAAAAAAACTCAAAATTGGTAACAGATGTGGGGTTAATGAGTTATTTAATATGTAATTATTATTTGATTTCTGTATTTTGATTATTTATAATAGCATTTATTTTATGATCAGAAAAAATAACTTAATATTAAAATATAAATACCACCAACTTTCATACGTTTGTTTAAATCTTTCTTTTAAAAAGCTCATTGCAGCCAGGTGTGGTGGCTCACACCTGTAATCCCAGCACTTTGGGAGGCCGAGGTGGGTGGATCACCTGAGGTCAGGAGTTTGAGATCAGCCTGGCCAACATGGCGAAACCCTGTCTCTACTAACAGTACAAAAATTAGCCAGGCTTGGTGGTAGGCACCTGTAATCCCAGCTCTTCAAGAGGCTGAGGCAAGAGAATCGCTTGAACCTGGGAGGCGGAGGTTGTAGTGAGCCAAGATCATGCCACTGCACTCCAGCCTGGGCGACAGAGCGAGACTCCATCTTGGAAAAAAAACAAAACAAAACAACAACAAAAAAAGTTTATTGCTTCTCATATATGGTTAAGAACTCATTAATTTGGACTCTGCTAATTTGAATTTATAATATTTCAAACAATGTTGGATAGAATGTTTTCTTTGCCCAAAAGTGTTCATAAAAAATTAATAGCATAACAAAATTGAAGACGAACTTTTAACTAGTATAGCACAAAATTTCGGGTTTATTCAACAATTTCAGAAACATTTTATCTAGGGCATAAATGTTAATAACAATAGAAGCAAACTTTCATGAGAAAGGTACAAGTATTTCTTGGAATTTCATTCATTCATTCAACAAATGTTTTTCAAGGGCTTATTGGATGCCTAGCATGGGATGAGGATACATCCATAAATAAAAAGGCCCAATCCCTTCCCTAGAGAAGATGACTTTCTCCTCATAGGCATGGAATTGGGCAAGGTGATGGGGGGTGTAGAGAGTAAACCTAAAAAGAAAGGAAATGTTATGGTGCAGTAGAAGGTCAGCATTCTACAGGGATGAAAACAGAGCTCAGTAAGAGGGGCTGGAAGTGCCAGGGCCAAGGGACTGGGAAAGTGTAGTTTTAAACAAATTGGTGTAGGTAAGCTGCACTGAGAAGTTGATGTTTGGGCGGAGACTGGAAAGCAGTAGGGGGTTAGTAATGTGACTATCTGAAGGAAGAACTTCCCAGGCAGAGGGCACAGCCAGTTCAAAGGCCTGCAACAACATGCCTGGCATCAAGGAGGAGCAGGGAAGAGGCTGTTGTGGGCCCAGTGGAGGGGGTGGAAGTGGAAGTAGCAGTGCATGAGGTCCAGGAGGTAAGAGCTAGAAGGAGGGAGACCTCATGGGCCATTGAAGGGCTTAGCTTTAATTCTAAGTGAAATGAGGAACTCATTGGATCATTTTTGAACATAGAAGTGACACCCTGTGACTTAAATTTCTAGAAGATCATTGGCCGCTTTGTTGAAGTAGACTGTAGAGAAACAAGGGCACAAGCAAGCAGGGAGACTAGTTAGGAGAGGATTACAGTTGCTCACATTAGAGACACTGATGGCTTAGACTACAGTGGTGTCAGTGGAAGTGGCAGAAAGAGTCAGATTCTGGATATGCTTCTAAGGAAAAGTCAATGGGATTTTCCTAATACATTGAGTAATGGCTAAAAATAGAGGCATCAAGGATGACACCGAAATTTTTGGTCTGAGCAACTGGTAGGATATGGCTGCCATTAACTAAGATGAGAGAGACTATCTGCAGATTTAGGAGGAAAGATCAAGAGATTGGTTATAGACATGATAAGCTGAGATGTCATTTAGACATCTAAGTGACTGTGTGGATAGGTAGTTTGATACACAAGATTGGAGTTCAGTAGGGAGCTCCAGGATAAGTATATACTTTGGAAGCCATCAACATATAGATGGTATTTCAGGTCATAAGACTGGATGAGATCCCCAAGGAAGTCAGTGAAGATGGGGGTGAGAAGAGGACCAAGGGCTGAGCCCTAGGCACTTTAAGAGGTCAGGGAGAGGAAGAGGGATCTGCATAAATAACTGAGGTCAGAGAAGTAGAAGAGCTGAGAGAAGACAGGAAAGAAAAGTATTTCCAGGAGGAGGGAGTTGTCAGCAATGTCATATGTTGTTAGTATGTCGAATAAGCAAAAAACTGAAAGTCCATCATTTGATGTAGCCAAATGGAAGTCACTGATGACGAGTTGTTTTATTAGGCTGGGGATGGAGGCACAAAAGGCTGCTTAGAGCAAGCCTTAAAGAGCAGGGAAGGAGAGGAGTTGGAGACAGTGTGTATAGAACACACTTTAGAGTTTCTGTGTAGAGAGGATCAGAAAAATGAGTGGTAGCTAAGGGAGAGAGTGGAGTCATGAGGGATTTTTTGAGCTGAGAGATGACAGCATGTTTACAAGCTGCTAGTAATGAAGAAAAAGATGATGGAGGAAAGGGGTGTGAGTTGCTGGAGGGATGTCTTTGAGTAGGTGAGAGCAGAGTGACTTGGTGCACTTTGGAGAGGGGTTCACCTGAGACAGAAGCAAGGGTGGTTCCGCCCCAGAAATGGAGATGGAGAAGAGCCAAGCATGGACTCAGGCACGGTTGATGGGCAGTTGTGGCAGGAATTCCTGCTAAGTTTTCTTCTGCTCACATCACTTTTTCAATTTAGGGAGTCTCAGTTACTTTATTATCTCTTTCTGTCTTGTGATCATCATGATAGAGAATTAGTACACAAAGACTAGAGGGATTTTGGGGTAAAAATCTGGTGTTGATAAGGGAAACATAAGGAAACATGACAAGAGCTTGTAATAGTCCCATTGGGAACATTTCCCAATACTGTTGGAGTGTGACTGACTCCGTCCAGACACAATGTACTGAAAGTTGAGTTCTTATTTGTTTCTTATGAGAATCTGATGTCCCATCAGGAGGTATTTAATAGGGTACTGTCAATAAAAAAGAAAGAAGAGAGAAAGAAAAGGTGAGTGGGGGGACTAATGTTCTTGTCCCTTTCTCCTCTAGAGCGCCAGAGAAGATTGTTACATTTAAAATGTTCATCACTCAGTTAAGCCTGGCAGTGTTTGATGACCTCACCCACCACAAAGCATCAGCTGAGCTTCTGAGACTCACACTGGACAACATTTTTCTCTGTGTGGCCCCGGGAGCTGGTCCCCTCCCTGGGGAAGAGCCTGTGGCTGCGTTGTTTGAACTTTACTGTGTGGAGATCTGCTGTGGGGACCTGCAGCTAGACAACCAGCTTTATAACAAGTCCAATTTCCACTTTGCTGTCTTAGTCTGCCAGGGAGAAAAAGCAGAACCCATTCAGTGTTCCAAAATGCAGAGTCTCCTCATATCCAACAAAGAGTTGGAAGAATACAAGGAAAAATGTTTTATCAAACTTTGCATCACCTTAAATGAAGGCAAGAGCATCCTCTGTGATATTAATGAGTTCAGCTTTGAATTAAAACCTGCTCGGTTATACGTGGAAGACACATTTGTATACTACATCAAGACTTTGTTTGACACCTACCTTCCTAACAGCAGGTTGGCTGGTCACTCCACACACCTCTCCGGGGGTAAACAGGTGTTGCCCATGCAGGTCACACAGCACGCCAGGGCCTTGGTGAATCCTGTGAAGTTACGGAAACTGGTGATCCAGCCAGTAAATTTGCTCGTCAGCATCCACGCTTCCCTCAAGCTGTACATAGCCTCAGACCACACTCCTCTCTCCTTCTCGGTGTTTGAAAGAGGACCCATCTTCACCACTGCGAGGCAGCTTGTGCACGCCCTGGCAATGCACTATGCCGCTGGGGCCCTTTTTAGAGCAGGTAAGAACACAAGCTGAGGGTCTGTGATGAGCTAGAGCCCGGGTAGAAATGACACGCTTGGGGGTAGCACCTCATTTCAAGACCTAAAGAAGCAATTGGCAAGAGGTGACACACCTGAGCTCTACAGTTACACAGAACTGGATCTAAATCTAGAGCCTGCCACTGTTAGCTGTAAGACTTTGGGCAAGTTATTGAACCTTCCTGAGTCTCCATTTCCTCATCGATAAAATGGCTTTGAAGATTTCTGAGAGGATCAGATGAAAGTACGTGAGGTACCCAGCATTTTGCTTGCCACTCAATAAACATTCAAGCAGTAGTAGCTGTTCTGTAACTTAGAATTTTAGTTCAGTTTAGCACACACTTTTTTTTAGCAACTTGCAGGCACAGAGCCCTTTCTTAGCACACTAGAGCAACTAGGAAAACTAGCCCAGGTCTTCAGTCCCTCGGCCTAAAAGGAGTCCAGTTCTCGTTTATTTTCTTCATTGCTATTTATGAATAGCGGTAGGTGAGAAATTCAGAGGATTTGTGTGCTTGTAAGATGCACATTGAGCCCTCTATCTACCCAGTGCTGCACTGCCTGTCTATATAGCTGGCAAAGGGAAGGCTGTGAGTGTGTCAGCCTCTCCACAGACCTGAGCTCAAAGAGAAGGAATGGCCCATCCACTCTCTGGGGCCAGGCAGGTGGCCTCTTGCAGGCTGAGGGCTGCTGTTTCTCAGGGACTCAGTGGGAAAAGTAAGGATTCCCTTTTCAGTCTGGCTGGAAAAGTCTGCAGGGGGTGGTTTGAACATGCATACAAAATTTTATAGAGGGACTACTGTGTACTAGCAACTGGTGGATAGCAGGCGCAGTGGCTCACACCTGTAATCCCAGCACTTTGGGAGGCTGAGGTGGGAGGATCACTTGAGCACGGGAGTTCAAGACCAGCTTGGCCAACTGGTGAAACCTTGTCTCTATAAAAAATTAAAGTTTAAAAAATTACCCAGGTGTGGTGTCGTGCACCTGTAGTCCCAGCTACTACTGAGGCTGAGGTGGGAGGATTGCTCGAGCCCAGGACTTTGAGGCTACAGTGAGCTATGATCACATCACTACACTCCAGCCGGGGTGACAGAGCAAGACCTTGTCCCAAAAAATAAGATTGAGTGGTGGGAACCATGTGGTCTCAGGGTACGTTATGGTAATCGGCATCACAGTGTGTGTTCTTGAGCCAGGTTCACTCTAAAGCAGTTTTAATTTGATAATTGGGTTCCCAGAAATTCAAGCAAAGAACAGCATCCAGAGTTAGCCTTGTCAGCCCTTTCCAATAAAGAACATGGAAATCTTACTTTCTGAAAGTAACAGAGGAGAGAGCCTTTGTTCTATCCTCTTTGTAAAGTTGTACTTTGTGAATGCGTTCCCATGTAAGATTAAGATTGCAGCAGTAAACGACCTGTGTTATTGCCATATTGGTCAGATTACATTTTCTCCATAATGAAATTCATAGACTTACTAGGGTTATCTAGACTCTTTTATAAAAGATAACAACAAGATCAGGGAGAGGGTCCTGCCAGACCTGTTGTCTTGATAGCTTGCACAACAATGAAGAAAACATTTCCCTATTGCTAAAAACTCATTTAAAAATAAGCAGTCCACATTTCAAGTTTAATAGATGGGTGTATTTATAAACAGTTCCAGAAACTTTCCCTTCAGGCAGCCTTTGCTTTTTCACATAAGAAGCAGGCACGTAGGTTACTGAGCTCCAATCTGAGGCCTGGCAAGGACGAAGGCTCCCATTCAGTCTCTGCACGACGCAGCAGTGCAGTAAGCAGCAGGGAAACTCTACCTGTGGCACCAAGTAACGGGCCCTGCAGCCCGTGTGCTAAAAACGAGCTCTCTTTGTTTTGGTTTATATTTTTAATGAGCTTTCACAAGAACATTCTATTTGAATTTTATAGAATTCACCCAAAAATCCTCTAAGCTGCCGTTCCAATCTCACTGTATACCAAGATAAGGGATTCTAATATAGAGGGCCAAGTTTTCAGAGCCTGTTGGAAACTCTGTCACTAAAAATCTATGGACAATCTGAAGACCATCTGAAAGAAAGCAGTGATTGAAGGAGTAGGAAATGGGAAGATGCTGGAGGCTCCAGACTCCCAGGTTAGCATCCTTGTCGAGGGAAGGGAGAGAGCTGGCTGCAGGTGGGCAAGTTGCCCACCCACATCTCACTTGAGTCAGAGTGCCCCTGCCTGTCATGGAAAACACCCTGACCTCATTTCTAGGGAAGTTGTGGTATCAACTTGAAGAGGTTTTAAAAATAAAGAAACAGGCCGGGCGCAGTGGCTCACGCCTGTAATCCCAGCACTTTGGGAGGCCGAGGTGGGCGAATTGCCTGTGCTCAGGAGTTCAAGACCAGCCTGGGCAACATGGTGAAACCCTGTCTCTACTAAAATACAAAAAATTAGCCAGGTGTGGGGGCATGCACCTGTAGTCCCAGCTACTTGGGAGGCTGAGGCAGGTGAATTGCTTGAACCTGGGAGGCAGAGGTTGCAGTGAGCCAAGACTGCACCACTGCACTCCAACCTGGACAACAGAGCGAGACTCCATCTCCAAAAACATAAAAAATATTTAAAAATTAAACAACTAAAAATAAAAAAGTATGGGTGGGAGAGGCAGAATAAAAATAAATAGTAATTGGAAATCAGTAACTGACCCTATCTGAAGGAAAGCATGTGGTCTTTATCCTGAGGCCCCTCTCTAACCCAAAGTCTCAGTTTGTTGGGAGCCAGGCAGACTCCCTTCTTCAACCAATTTCCAAACGACTGAGCAAAAGATAGATTTGCTTTTGAAGGGCAATAAAGGAGTACCCTTGGATCTGTCTGCCCTTTTCTGACCAGCTAAGATGTCACTGAGATGTAGCTCTGGCCTACACATAGCCCTTCTATCAGGCAGTGGCTTCAGGATTCAAGGGTTCCAACCCCACGACAGGGGAGGACCTGCCACTGGCAGGAGCAAGAGGCCGAGGCGGATTCCCACTCCCTCTCTACGCCCACGGCACCGACCTGAACAGGCCTGTCGTGGGGGACACTGCTTGGCCATAGCTGCTACTCCTTTCTTTTATACATGGACTCCGTGGAGAGATGGGGAATTAAGATGTTTCTAGACCAACCTTCTGCCGTTAGGTACACCCTTACAGCCATTCAGGGCTAAAGGGAATCTGCTGTTTCTTTACCTCCAGAGAAGGCCCTCCATGGAGGAATATTCCACAGCCTCCCCAGCTCCCTCGCCTACTCTTTGCAGCCTGAGCTCACAGAAGAAAGAGGTGGGTGAGCTTCAGAATTAGGAAAACCTGGGTTGGAAACCCAGCCCACAGGTGGATCATCCAGGGGACTGTGAGCAGTTGGCTTAGTCTCCAAGCCTCAGTCTCCTCCTTTTCCTGCCTGTGAGGCCGTGGAAGCAGTACCACCATGTTGCATTCACCTCTGCCTCCTGTGCCTGGTCCATTCCCTGACCCAGACAGCAGCTCAGTCACCAGTTAGCCTGCACTGATTTGAAGGGAGAGAATACTTTTCTTGCAGTTACCGTGAGAATTAAATGTGTTGAATGCCTGGCATCCATAGGGCCTCTCATTTGTAATCTTTATCTTCCAGAAATTATTCCCTCCTTTGCCCTAAACCCTAGTGTTATCATCCTAACGTTCCAGAGAAGGGAGGAGGGCTCAAAATTTAAGAGCGTCCCTCTCTTCGTGGGCTGGGCATGGGATTCTTCGGGACCTTGGCGTGGCTGTTGTACCCTCACCTTCCTGATCCCCTCAGATCGCTGAGCTGAGGATCTCTGTCACAGGACTGTCCTCCTCTTCAGAGCCTGCTGGTGAAGGAGGGATGGCTCCCACCCAGTCCTGTCCCCACAGCCTTCCCATTACCGGGCTCTGAGCACCAGGCTGGGGAGGTCAGTGGCTTCCCGGAGAAAGCTGTCTTTTCAGACTCCTCCTCTCCTGGGCCCTCACTTGCCCCTCCAATTCTTGGGGCCTACAGCCCCAAATCCCCACCCCAGAGAGCCAGGGTAAGGGCAGTGCCTGCCAGACTCCACGCACAGCCGCGTTCCCATGGGGCAGCAGCGGCTGAGTGGCAGGCCAGCTTCTGGCCAGCCCAAGCTTCAGGAGGAAACCAGATCCAAAGCTGCCCTCCTGGGACATGCACAAGGGAACACTCCCCTCTCACTAACCTCATCAGAATGTCCCTGTCACAGAGTTCAAGACCAGCCTGGCCTACATGGTGAATCCCCATCTCTACTAAAAATACAAAATCAGCCAGGCGTGGTGGCATGTGCCTGTAATCTCAGCTGCTTGGGAGGCTGAGGCAGAAGAATCGCTTGAACCCAGGAGTCAGAGGTTGCAGTGAGCCGAGATTGCACCACTGCACTCCAGCCTGGGTGACAGAGTGAGACTCGATCTCAAAAAAAAAAAATGTCCCTGTCTCTGGTGTTTACATAACCGGAGCAGGGGTTGAAGGGTCCAAGACATTTGTCTGGGTCTAGCTCTGCTCCAAAGGGAAGCACTCAACTCAGTAGGATTGGGAAAGATTAAAAACAACCCCTCCATTCTTGTCAGAAGTTTGCATCCCCTTTGCGACATGCCATTGAGCATCTGGCCGCCCCTGGCCAGGCATCTCCTCCTATCCTGGTGCCTCCGCTGTCCCGGGGAGGCTTTAGAGAGAACCTCCCACCTGCAAACACCTGCAACCCAAGAAGGCGCCCTTCCTCAGGTGGTAGCAGAGTGCATCCCCGCCACATGGACCCCCGTTAGCAGGAATATGGGAGGCTTGGGCAAGGCAGTCATATTAAAGCCATTTGTGGGGCCGTCAGAGGATCACTTTGATTTATAAAGTATGAAAGTTTGCCATTTATGAATTCACAGAGAATGACTTATTTCCCTTATTTTCTTCCAAAGAAACAGATTACTTTCCCAATTCTAGTGTGAAAAATGAATTGCAGGGAAAATGGGTCACTTTTTCACAAATGTTGAAAGTTCTGCATTTGAGGTTTCAATCACCCCTTCCCTCTTGTGCGTTGCAGGCTGGGTAGTTGGGTCTCTGGATATTCTTGGCAGCCCTGCAAGCCTGGTGAGAAGCATCGGGAACGGGGTCGCCGACTTCTTCAGGCTTCCGTATGAGGGGCTGACCCGGGGCCCTGGAGCCTTCGTGAGTGGCGTCTCCAGAGGGACCACATCGTTTGTAAAGCACATCTCCAAAGGTAGCGGGTTCCGTTCCTTGTAATAATGCCTTCACTCCTTCCCTTTTTTTTTTTTTTTAAAGAATGTGCTAAAGTTTTAAATGCATTCAGATTGCCTCTAGCTTTGTTTGGCCTTTTAGCTTGCAGTGAGAGTTTGGGTTTGTAACAAAGCTCATATATAATGTCTTATGTTTTGAACAGATCACTACTTGCCTCTGGTGTGTGAAAATGTTTCAGAAACTTCAGAATTTTAAGCCTCCCATTGGGAAAACAAGGATTGGCTCAAATGTTATTTCATGTGATAAACACAGAAATATTAAAGGTGTTCAGGATTTCTGCTAAACATCAGAAACCCTACACTGTGTTGCCTCATCATATTTTTTTAAATGTAGATACAGTTGTCATAACTTTCTTAAGGATATGGATACATTCTGACATGGAAGCGGATTTGGGGGTGAAACAGCCAACTTTTCTCTAGCACGCCACGTAAACAGTGCCATCTTGTGGCCCAGACAGGTCATCGGGCATGGAGGCCAAAGTGCTTCCCGCAAGGACAGTGTTTTAGTTTTATCTGTGTGTGTGTGCTTGATGTTATTTTGGTCAGGTTGGCAGAGACTTGGGAACTAACAAGGGCCATCTGAGTCCCCTTTTCTTCTCAGCAGGAGGCAAGGAAAACAGGGCAAAGGGCTTCTTCCCGTAAAAGGCATCTGACTATAGGCCATAGGACAGGTCTGTGAAAGTCTCTGGAAGGCCTCAAAAGAAGACTTGATCTTGAAATAGGAGAATCCATGATCCATAGAGCGGGTGAGGGACTGTGGGTGGGAGGGCTGGCAAGAGAACAGCCAGAGTCATAAAAACAAATTCCACGGACAATGAAAAGGACACTCCCCCAGGCCTCAAATCATCTGGGAGGACTGGGGGCTGAGCTGCAGAAACTCACCCCATGAGTCACTGGCAGACTGCTCACTCTTGACACTGGAATCTCTGTGGTTCTGTTGTTTTTATGTTAAAATAAGACAACTAACACCTGCTAAATTGAACCTCAGTGGTATTTTCAGCCTACTGACTCACTGAATGTTTTTTACACTTGTTCTTTTCTTCTCTTAGCAAAATCTTTTTGGTTTGTTGGCATCCCTATGTGTGTGCGCACACAGATATTTTTCTTTTCAGATTACTGGTAAAGATGCAGCTGCAAAAACGACATTGAGCATTTCTTCCTGAAACTGGACCTGCAATAACAGATGAGCTAGTTTGTTAGTGTCCAGATCTGTCCATGAAAGTCGCTCAGTTTCGCTCACTAAGATGTGTGCAGACCTGCTAGAGGAATTGTGGCTATTGTGAGCAAATGCTGAAATAGCCCTTCTTAGGAAAACCAGACAGATTCACGGCTCTCACATGATTTACTCCCTTTATTCCCCTCACTGGTTTTTCAGTTAACATCCTGAATATCAAAATTGCACATATTCTCCATGGCACAATAATTACATCCTCAGAATGGCAAATGATAAGGTTTAGTATCTCCCCCTTTGTTATGACTGAAGTTATATGGAGGGAATAAAATTTATTCCTAAAGCTGAAGTATTTCTTTATAATCTTTCTAAAACTTAGCAACATAACTTTACCCTTTAAAATCACAGCAGGCAGATTTTAACCTTCAAAATTGGGCCTCAGTGAAGGCATCAATACTGTTTTAACCAAACCTTGACAAATTAAATTATAGTGAAGGATAGTTTCATATGAAACTCTAGGCTGTGTTCTGCACCTGCGATTCTTACCCTTTGAAGAGTGTCATCACCCCTGTGGGCAAGTGTTCCTCTTTACCTCATTTTCTTTTTCATTTTATTGTATCTTATCTTATTTGAGACAAGGTCTCACTCTGCCACTCAGGCTGGAGTGCAGTGGTGCAATTGCAGCTCACTGCAGCCTTGACGTCCTGGGCTTAGGCGATCCTCCCACCTCAGCCCCCTGAGTAGCTGAGACTACAGGTGTGCACCACCACACCCAGCTAATTTTTTAACTTTTCATAGAGACAGGGTTTTGCCATGTTGCCCAGGCTGGTCTCGAACTGCTAGGCTCAAGCAATCCTCCTGCGCTGGCCTCCCACAGTGCTGGGATTACAGGCGTGAGCCACCACCCCAGTTGTTTACCTCTTTTCTTAAGGCTCTTTCTTCAAATTGCCTGAGAGGGAGCCACCATCACTTGCCACTGGGCATGTCCAGGAGGGGCCACAGGTGCTCCCGCTGCCTCTGAAACTACTGCCTTGGGGTCCATCATGTATGCGACAAGGAGGCTAACCCCATGCTCTTGTTCCCTCAGGTACCCTCACATCCATCACCAACCTCGCCACAAGCCTGGCCCGGAACATGGACCGGCTCTCACTGGATGAGGAGCACTACAACCGGCAGGAGGAGTGGCGGCGGCAGCTCCCCGAGAGCCTGGGCGAGGGGCTTCGACAGGGCCTGTCCCGGCTGGGCATCAGCCTGCTTGGTAAGGGGCTGCGGGGCCTCCCACCTGTCTGTACTCCAGCAGGCTGAGATGCAGGGTCTCCCAGGACTGGGCAACTTCGCCTTCTGCCTGGGAATGACCAGGAAATGCTCAGAGAAGGTAAGGCACTTGCTCTGAGTTCTACAGTGCGTCCCGCCGGGGGCTCACCTGCACAGCCGCACATGCAGCGCCTGTGTTTGCTTTGTGCATGAAATGTATCTTGGGCCTCACTGAAGTTCTTAAAAGAAATCCTAATTTGATAGGACCTGCTCTAAGCATAGTGGTGTCTGCAAGAGGACAGCAGCATCCAGCTGTTGGCTTTCTGAAGAACGTGATGGGCAACGCTTCCGAAGCACTGGCTCCCTCACTCCCACACATGCTGAGCCGCTTCTTTTGTTTGAGAAACACTAGAGCAACATGCAAATGTCACGTAAACTTCAGTGAGGAGCCCACTTTGTCCTTTACTTTTTTGAGATCAGCCTGATTCAGAGTAATTATTGTTTGTAGAGCAGCCAGATGGTATAGTTAGAGGTGAAGATTGCTCTGCATATTTCAAAATATTACAAATGTTTGAAAATAAGTTGCTTTAAAAAATTTATGAAAAGGAAGCTTCAGAGCTAAAAGTTTGCAGGGCAGGATTTTCAAGGATTTTTTTGTTTATTTGTTTGCAAAAGAATTTAAAACTGTATTGCTTGGCAATGTGCCTTCCGCGCATCTGAGGAAGTGTGTGCCTCCCAGAGATCAAAGTGACCCAAAGCAGTGCAGAGCAAAGGGTAGAAAAGATGAGTTTGAAAGGACTCGCCCTCTCTCTGATCTTCAGTTCTCTACAGAACTCCTAGATTGGCAACTGCAGCTAGCTGAGGCTCTGGGAGGAAGTGGTAAAATGGTACAAGTTCAGGTTAAGTTGCTGGAAATTATATAGGTAAAAACATTCAGTGGTGTGGGGCACTGTCATTTGATAATATGTGGAAACTGGGAAGCTGGTGACCTGTGGTAAACAAGCTGGGTAAGGGAGCAACCTTCTTGCTTAACTCAGTAACCCAAAGGTGATGGTGACTCCTTTGGGGAAGGTGGTGTGGCAGTGGACCCTGCCCTCAGAAGCCCCAGACCTTGGGCTAGGGTGTTCAAGTCCTTTCTTTGTGACCTCAGGCAAGTTCTCCTCTGAACCTGAGTTTCTCTTTTGTATATTGGGCCTGGTGATACCATTGTTAGAAGTAACAGTGGGTAGTTATATGGCAGCCACCATGCTCATGTTTGGTAAACAGAACCTATCATTATCATAGTATGGTAGCAAATGAACTGTAAGAGTTGCCTGGTTTCCAAGAGTGCCTCAGCAAAAAGAAATATTTGAGCAACGGCAGTAATATTTTCACTTAATCCAATGGATTAAGTGGCTGTAACCAGAGGAAGTGACAATGAGGTTATATTGAGGATCTCAAGGTCATTGTTTTGCAATTCGGGACCTGTTGATGCTATTAATTGGAGACTTAAGTACCACTACTCTGCTCCACCCCAGCCCTTATAGGAGCTTCTAGGCAAAGAGAGAGAGAGAGACCCACCCCTGGGCTGGCTGGTGTGTGGCTGTCTCCACCCCAACCCCCGACTCCCTTCCTGCCCGAGGGTTCCAGTCTCTTCCCAGTCAGAGAAACCCCAGCCAATGCTCCGTTTTCAGTGTGTAAGATTGTACCTGATGGGAAAAATCAGTTGTGTGAGGAGTCACAAATCAGCCCTGATGAGGTCATCTTTCTGGGCGTGGGTCCTGTTGACCGGGTAAGTCATAATGCTCTGATCTTTGGTGTAGTCATTGTGTCTTGCATATCCTTATCCATGTGAGGGAATTCATTTTTGGAAACTGCAGTGGGCTCATGGGGTCTTTCTGCATATCTGGTAATTTCCAGAAGATTATTAATTCTTGGGGTAACATAAGCCTCCTCTGTAGATGCTGGCTGCACCTGCCAACACTGGCCAGCCCCAGTCCCAGCCCAGCTCACACCCTGAGCAGTGTGTCCATGTCTTGACTCTGCAGAGTTCACAGTGGGCATCTCAAGCTTGGCTCAAACCAGCTTCCTTTCCTGTAAGACTTCAAGGACTTCCTTTGTTTCATGTACTCTTTGGGTTATCTCAAAATGTCTGGTCCTAGAACTACCAGGTGTGTGGCAAGAAGAACAAAGAGCGGAGTACAGCAAACTGAAATCTCCTCACTTTGGAAAGTTATAGATTGGCCACCATTTAATTCTTCCCCAGAAATGGTGTTTGAAATTGCCACATACAATGCAGTGCCTAATTGAAGTTAGAGCCATTATCACATAATAATTTGAAATCCAGGCCGGGTACATGGCTCACACTTGTAATCCTAGCACTTTGGGAAGCCAAAGCAAGTGGATTGCTTGAGCCCAGGAGTTCGAGATCAGCTTGGGCAATGTGGCAAAACCCCATCTCTACAAAAATAAAATGAAATACAAAAATTAGCCAGGCATGGTGGCACATCCCTGTGGGCCCAGCTACTCAGGAGGCTGAGGTGGATCACTTGAGCCCAGGAGGTCAAGGCTGCAGTGAGCTGAGATTACACCACTGCACTCCAGCCTGGTGGACAGAGTGAGACCTTGTCTCAAAATAATAATAGTAATAATAATAGTTTTAAACCCATGCCAGTGAAATAGATATTCTAGTTGCTCAGTTTCTTCAATAAAAAGACAGAAACGTTAAGGACCCAGTTAATAAAAATATATTAAAGGAAAAGTTTAGAGTTGGCAAAGCGTTTTCAAAGGTGTCATCTTATTTGATCTTCACAACCCTTCACAACTTCATAACCCTTCATAGCTTCACAACTTTGGATGAGGTAAAGCGACTTAGCCAGGTCAAACCTCCAGCAAGGACAGGAGCCTGGGCCTTTCCACCATGTCGCCTACCCCTGTGGGGCTCCAGGCCTGGAAACAATCAGGATGTGGGGAGACTGAACAATTGCAAGTTCCAGTGTAGGAAAAACACATTTCCCCCAAATGTTTACGGGTTCGGCGGGCCTTCTTGACTCTGCTTCACCCTCATGGGGACACTATGGAGCATTATGAGGCCCTTGAAAATTAAAGCAAGTCTGCAGCTCCATGCCCAGCCGCACTGCCCCAGGTCAGCAGGGAAAAGTGTCTGCTGGCTGAGAGATGCTGCCGAGGCCTTTGGATGAGCTCCATGACAGTTTTCCAAGAGCAACGGCTTTTGGAAAAACTCCGTTTAGCCTGCAGTATTGGCATCAGCCTTGCCCACATTTACCAGATCTGTTCCCCAACACCCTCACTTTCTACTACACTCTGGAGCCTGCACTGAGAAAGGACGTGCAGCTCCGCATCACAGCTGCATTCTGCGTTTCCTCCCAAACCTGATGCCTTCTCATGAACACCAAAGCTAGGATGTCAAGAATTGCTTCTCTGACCCCCACTTCTTTTGGGATGCTTCCTGGTTTGTGATGCGCTGCTGGATTCCCCAGAGACCACCTCCTCTCTCTTCATGGGCACTCTTGGCTATGCCATCTGGAATCCCAACAAAACAGGCCTCCGCCAGGTGAAATCAGAAAAGTCCCCTCCGAGGGAGTGACTCAAGAGTTGCACATCCCAAGAGACAGCCCTTAAGAGTCATCCCTCCAATACCACCATCTGCCATTAGCAGACTGGTGTGTATTATAGTCAGTGCGGAATTTAGGAATGACTGGCAAAGTGCTTCCTTGTTGGTTTGCTCGTCTGTTCTGGTCAAAAAAAAGAAGCGCTGAGCTGGAATGTGCAGTACACTCTATGGGTCTCGTTACTTTCTGGAAGGGCGAGCTGTGGCGTGGTATCCCATTTTATGCCTGTCCTTCTGATAGTGTGACAAAAAATTGCCAGAAACAAAATTACACCACATGGTAAAGGCAGCATCAAAACAGACACATCACCAGGAACTTCCATAGCCCAGTGACCAAGTAGTTTCTGCCCAAGGCCTAGGAGCAAGTCACAGAAAGAGGTAAGGGAAGGCCTGGTGGTTTCCTGCTCCACAATGAAGGCTTTCCTCCTCCTGCGCCTTCCAAGGCACAACAGGCAATAGCTCCTGTGTCCTGCGGGGTGCAGCACTCACTCAGTCCTGGAAACCCCTCCCAGTCACGCTCTTCTCTCTTCACTGGCTTCATCAGATCACAGCCATCTCCATGTGGTCGCCCACCCCACGGGCCTGAGGCCAGCAGACAAGTCTTGGGATCAGTTTCCACTCCTGAAAGCCTTCGAGCAGAGTTTAAGTCTATGACAGTCCATAATTTACCAGTTGTGGGATTTAGCTGGATATACTTCAGAGGAGAGCCATTCCAGGCTCTCAGAGAGGCTGCCTCTCTCAAAGCAGGGCTGCAGGGACCATGAAGTGGCTGCTGGTCTCTTAGCCTCTCTGTTCTCCAGCTTGTGAGCACAGAGGTAGATAAGGCACCTGGTGGCTGGTGAGGTGTTGGTGTGTGTGACAGGCCAGCTTTCCCCCTCAAAGGTCTGCTGCTGAGCCCAGGGCAGGTGGTTCCACAGCTCCCTCTCTGACTCTCAGAATCTAACACCTTGTCATGGGACTCAGGCTTTCCACTTTTGGGGGGCTGCCCAAATAGTCTTATCTGTCAAAGCCACAGTAACCGAAGCCTTCACTGTGGCCAGAGAAAACGGAAGAGCAGAACAGAGGGGGCCTCACCTGATACCTGCATGTGCTGGAGCAGGTGGCTGTCAGCACCCTGTGCGGGTGACCGCAGCTGGCCCAGGCCCCACTCTTTGATTTGATGCTGTTCACTTTGATAATCTGCTGAGGTGACTGGAAGAGAAGACCCAGGGTTCCTGCCTGTCCCTCAGTGTGGCCACTATGACTTCTGATCTTCCAAATGGAGTGGAGCATCAACGGCAAATGAGGGGTGCTCCCAGCTGAGCGCCAGGCCTGACTGTCTGTGGTACTAAAAGAGTGACCCTCACTCTTGATAGCTGGGGTGGCCTGGGCCTGCCGGGAGCAGCTTCCTCTGCTCACTCTTGGCATTTCTGTAGAAGGTTTGGCAGCACGACTCTAGGCTGGGAAACAGGTCTGTTGCCTCAGGTCATTCTGAATCTGTCAATGCATAAACTTAAATGTCTCTGTCAAAACCTAGAGGAAAGGAGTCCATGAAGAGCATTCCCTTTACAATTGACGTGATATGCACTAAAATTTCTACCAGGGGCCAGAGCATTTTCATCACTCCTAGCAGTTTTGAATTGAAAACAGAGAATTCTGTCAAGAATTGTAAAGAAATTTTCCCTTCTTTCTGAGATAGGGAGCCCTCCACTCCATCACGAAAAAAAAATCAGAATGGTAAGACTTTTCTAGCTCTCACTGTTGGCCTCTCAAAGCAGGAGTAGCAAAGGGGCCGTATCCACAGGACTGCCTGAGGGGCTCCTTTCATCTGTAGCTGCCTCAGGCTCAGTGCAGGAGATGGATGCCCTGTGCTACAGCTGTGGGAGCAGAGCTCCAAGGGGTTTTGGTCGCTATTCTAAGTGAGGAGTAAGTGGCCAAACCTCAATTCCAGTGAGAGAGAAAGGTTTTCCAAGATTGGCAAAGAGGAAGAGCCTGTTTTATAAATGGGATAAGCGAGTATCTTGGTGGTTAAGAGCTATGCTGTGACTCAAACTCTCTGTACACTTAACAGCTGTGTGACCTTGGGAAAAAACTCCTTAACCTCTGTGCCTCAGTGTCCGTATTTGGATAAAAACAATGTATGACTCCTAGGAATATGAGGATCAAATGATCTCATACAAATAAAGCTCTTAGCACAGTCCCCAGACCTAGTAAGCATTCAAGATAGATTACCTATAATCCAAATAATAATTACTATATCAATAATTACTCTTAAGTATTAATACTACTAAATTATGACTGTTATCATTATTATCAAAAGTGGAGAGTTAGAAAGGGGCTAACCCCTTCCAGTTTTTCATCCTCATGAATCAGTGCAAATGTATTGGGCTGAACAGTCTTTCTCTGCTCCTGAGGAACTGTTAGCTCCTCTCTCTCAACTTTGTTGCCTGACTTCTGAGGAAAGATGTATGGATGACACTCTGAATAGCCTGACAGGTTTGTTAAATTCTGAACTAAACTTCACAGATCCTGACTGTGTGGACCAAACTCCGTCTGAACATTGTATTTTGATGACGATAATAAATGTCTACTGCCCTTGGTGTACTTAGATAACTGGTAAACAAATGGGTAGTAAAGACCTTTATAATGAGGGTGGGGACTCATTTTCAATCCAGATAAAACTGTGTTCCAGATGGAGCCTTTCATTTTCCGAGGATTTTAAGCCTCTGTCCTTACTGAGGGCTTTTGTTATTCCAGGTGCAATTGCTGGTATAGTTGATCAGCCGATGCAGAACTTCCAGAAAACATCTGAGGCACAGGCTTCAGCAGGACACAAGGCCAAGGGTGTCATCTCGGGTGTGGGGAAAGGAATCATGGGGGTGTTCACAAAGCCCATCGGAGGAGCTGCTGAGCTGGTGTCACAGACTGGCTATGGTAAGTCGGTGGAAAACCCATCAGGCCAACCCAGACGTTACTGATTTGCATGCTTATACCAAGGGTTCCCTAAGATAGTGTAACCTTTCACATGGCAGACAGTGGCTATCTTTCTTACCTCTCTATGCTTATTTACACAGAGTAGAATTTTACTACTAATAATAAAACCATAGAATCAGGAAACCAGTTACTAGTTTCAGTCTATATGTCGTAGAATCTTTTTACAGTACACTTGATAGACTGTAACGAAAAGTAACCAGTTTAGAGGTTGAGGGCAGAATGGAGAATACAGCAGAGAAAAGAATTAAGACTTTTTCCTATGATAAATGTGGAAGGAGAGAGAGGCTGTGGGAAGATAACTCTAAGAAGCAGTAGAGAATGAGACAGAGTGTGGATGTGCACATGGGTCTTTGGGTGTGGGTGGCCTTCTCACCCACAGAGGACATCCTGCCCCTCGCAGCCAGGCTGGGCAGAAACAAAGGGTCTGCAACCAGAAGCCCTTTCACAAGGCAGACAGCTGGGAAGTGCGTGGCGCATGGCAGTACCTGCACTTGGATGGGGCGTGCCGGGGCCTCTCCCCGTGCAGCCGCATGCACACACGAGTAATGGGTGCCTGTGAAAGGAAGCACCTCCTCCCAGGCTTATTTTCTGTGTTCTTGGCAGAGCACATTCAAGTGACTTTCCATAAACCTGTGGCTGGAACTGTTACCATTTTACCTAAAATTGGTGTCATCATTTTGGTAATGAAGCAGGTTGTCTAGCTAGTATCACAAACGACAGAAGCGCCCTCCCGTTTGTCAGACATGTGAGCACACTGTGTCTGCATCCGCATCTGGCCATAAAGCCCATGGGATGTGTTTCTAGGGAGGCATCCTGCTCCTCAGCAGGCCTGACAAGAGGCAGCCAGATCGGGGCATAAAAACAAACAGCGTCTGAAAGGAAGGGAGTGGAGATGAATGAGTGCCCACACTTCAGGCAGCCATCCGGAGAGCATCCTTAAGAGACCACACAGACGCCAGCATGTGTTCCTCTTCGCTTTCCCCTCCTCGCCCGCCTCATTTCCCTCTCCTTCTGTGAATGACATGTTCACTCACAGGGAAACTGTCAATAAGATGTGCTATAACCTATAAGTGAGAAAAGTTACACTCTCCCTTATGATAGGGACTCCAGTGAGGTAAAGTGAAGTCATACTTCATAAATTCTTTTGGTTTTGAAAATGCCATTGTCCCTCACCGTGTTTCCCAGGGCTGAAGAATGCTCCCTTATGTAAGAGGATCTTAGAGCAGAGCTTCACATGGCCGTTTTGGTTTCCATCACTCTTGTAAAACTTTTATTACCGAACTGAAGGTTTTAAAACCACTAACTCTTAGTCTAATGACTATGCGTCGTTTGTAAACATTTACAAGCCCTCAGAAAGCACACATGCTGTACCATCTTTGGTGCTGGAGAGTCTATGTAAAGGCCTATGTGGCTGCTGCTGGGTGCCCTCATTTGGTGCTGGCACCAGGGAGAGCATGTCATAAACCAGGGGCCCCAAGCGTGCTCATAAATGTATATGGATTCGTGTTTAACAGCCGGATTAAGTCGCTTAGCATTTAAGTAGTGTATCTAGGCAAAGGGTGTGCCTTTGTATATATCTGTGTGTTTTTTATTTTTTGACTAGCCTTAGCACAGATACAGAAGTATTAAGGAAGTTAACTAACAATCTAGACTTTTTTTTTTAGACACAGGGTTTTGCTGTCACCCAGGCTGACATTCAGTGACACAATCATAGCTCACTGCAGCCTCCAACTCCTGGGCTCAAGTGATCCTCCCACCTCAGCCTCTGGAGTAGCTAGGACTACAGGCATGCACCACTATTTATTTTTTGTAGAGATGGGGGTCTCACTTTGTTTCCCAGGCTGGTCTCTAACTCTGACTCAAGCAATCCTCCCACCTTGATTTGACCTCCCAAAGTTCTAGGATTACATGCATGAGCCACCACACCAGACCTATCTAGACTTTTTTAACACATCAATTAAAATGATGTCTAGGCTATTGTTCATGACCAGCTACTTTCGGTGTTTTTGCTTCCTCTAATTGCTAGTCTATGCTTGGACTGTGTAACACATTCATATTTTAGTTTGTTACTAATGCAAGATCACCAAGGTTAAGAGCATTGTAATGTTTAATGATTATCTATACGCTTGCTTCCAAAGATGTGACATCATTTTGGATCTGTAACATTTTATGGATGGCTCTGAACAGATGACATCATTGCAGCATGAAACTGTTTTCCAGAAAACAAGTAGTAAAACTCCCTTACTTCTCTTACCACAGGTATTTTACATGGAGCTGGACTTTCTCAGCTTCCCAAACAGCGCCATCAGCCAAGTGATCTACATGCTGACCAGGCTCCAAACAGCCATGTCAAATATGTCTGGTAAAATTATTGAGATACGTGCTCAACTTTACATCCATATTGTATGTTAATAGCTCCTGGCTTGCTCTCAAGCTAATGGGCCATGCTTCCAGGGAGCCCAGGAGTAGCCATTGTTGGCACTGGCATCTCAGGCAGCACAAGAGCACTGTAGAGGGACAGGAAGAGGCTGCTGTTGCCAGGTTTGGGGCTGGCTGCACAACTCCTCTGTTCCGTACCTAACCACTCAAGGAAGGTCATACATTGGCAGAGAAACCCAGTCTTGCTAGAGGGCCTGAGATTCCCTGTGGAACCAGCACTCTAATTAGAGGTGCTATTTCTAATGGGGAGAAAAGGAGCTAATAAGCAAAACCAAGGGAAATCTTTGTTCCCAGGAGGAAGCAGGTTCTGTTAATCAGAATCAGTCTGAGAACTGACAATTACATTTCAAGCTAAAATGGGTAACTGGATTGGTGAGGGCCCTTTGCCCTTGTGGAGGTTGCCCCATTGGTAAATAATGAGCACTGATAAGTGACCATCTTTTCACAGCTGGCCCCTGGCCTCACTTTTCTCCTTTTAAACAGGAAAATGCTTCAGTCTCTGGGCAGACCAGAAGTCCACATGGCCCTGGACGTGGTTCTGGTGAGGGGCTCAGGCCAGGAGCATGAAGGGTGCTTGCTGCTGACATCAGAAGTGCTCTTCGTGGTGAGTGTCAGTGAGGACACACAGCAGCAGGCCTTCCCCGTCACAGAAATCGACTGTGCACAGGACAGCAAGCAGAACAACTTACTCACAGTGCAGCTCAAGCAGCCAAGAGTGGCCTGTGATGTGGAGGTACGTTTCAGAAAACAGGGCAACCAAGACTAGCTGGCCAGGGAGGTTGAGGAGCAGGCTGGTCACTGGTACCTAGGCATTTCTGAGCTGCAGCCTCTGGAGTGGCTGCTGGAGACCAAGGAGAGCTGCTACCCAGAGGAGGAAGTGTAGAGGCCGGAGGGCCGCTGCGAAAGGGCACTGGGAAGCCCCCATCCAGATATGCACATAAGCCCTGTATAGGAGAACCCAGCAGGCGGCCAGCAGGACTCAAGGTCTAAAGCTAAGTAACCAAGCCAATTGAACAAGGCTGATCTGGCTTGGCCGTCATGGGGCTGGGGTGCTCGATGGACAGGAAAATGGAGTTACAAAACGAGTGGGTTGGTTCAGGAAGGGCCAGGATTGGGGCAGCAATTCCACGCAACTGCTCCACAAAGGAGGTCCCCTGGTCTGAAAGCCTAAAGTCAGGTCCTTGGCTGCCTGAGGCCTGCAACTGGCTGCAGGGTGCTGGAGGTCTGTGGGTGCTGGAAAGGACCAATGCAGAAGCAAGGGGCATCATGAAACAAGACTCTCCACTCCCTCCCCTACCCCCAAACCTGGAGACTTCAAGGGTCAACATTTTGTGAAGTGGTCTCTCTCTCAAATCCACTGCTTTGTATTCTGTGGCTGTGTTCTCTTTCCCACAGGATAGTTTCCCACCCCCTGAGTACCACAGAATCCCCCCTGGGGATGATACTTAAGGCTCTTGGGGCAGCTCCATGGCTGGCTCCTGGCCTGCATAAATTAATGTGGAACAGATGCGCAGGCAAGGCATACTGGGTGTCAAGAGTCAAGGGGGAGCCCCAACCAGACAGACCCCAGCTTCCTGTAGCCCAGCCCAGGGTAAAAACAGGTGCACCCACTGGAAAATTGCTCTCTGCCCCTCCTTCCTGGATGATGGCCTGATCCATGAGATCCTAATTATTTACCTAAATAATAGACATCTTTTTCCACACAGCAAGATAGTGGTGGATCAGTGGCAAACTGGAGTCTGCTGGCCCTAACCTGGGGACTGAGTGGCCCCAGCAAAGGACAGCAAACCTACCTCCAATAGGTTCTGCCTGATCCCTCCTTTCATTATTCTCTTCCTGGGATGGGGGCGTGTATCTCCTTCACGCCACTGTTTGGGTAAAATTATCTGAGAAGATGGAAAGCAGCCAACCACAACAACTCTTAAGATTTCTCTAGTTTCTTGGATCATGATCATAGTCAGGCTTTAAGCTAGGGTTTGGCACCAGGACTACATTGCTGCTTCAAGTTGATGACTTTCTGAGAATAAACAGAGGTCAGATGTCCAGGCTGACTTTATTAGATCTGCCAGAATCTTCTGATCAGTTGAGTAAAGCAGCGGTGATTTGGCTATAGGATTTGGCAAGGGATAATATCATTACGATTAAATCTTTAGTCCTTAATGAGAAACCTCCAAGGCCCTGTGACCATCATGATTCCTTAGCTGCTTGGGAAATATTTCAGATCTTAAACTATTAAGACTGCAGATTTCTTTTGCTGTTGAACTGTCTTCAACTGTGATCCTTCTCTTGTATTTTTGTTTGAGGCAGGTACTGTGGAGAATCATCATAGCTGGAAGGAAACAGACCTCAGTTTCCCTAGGGGTTGAGATAGTATCTGGAGTCACCACTCCTAAAAGTTGCTGAGATTATTGGGATTGTGGAATCAGAGAAGCAACACTGAAGCTCTAGATACCATTTTCAGCACTGATTTTCCACTGCTGTCCAGGGCTGAAAGAGGGTTGGGATTAAGGAATGCCTAAAACAGAAGTGGGAAGACATGACTGAGAGCAGGAGCACTGTGCCTGCACAGCCAAGGCCCGGCACTGGCTGGAAGGTAGATGGGCCAGTGTGCCTTCAGCCTCCACATTCTGCTTTCTCTATTCCACTTTCTCTCTCCTGAAGTCATTAATAGGAATAACTGCTGCCTTAATCCTATGTCTATAACCCCAACCTCTCCTACTCACCCCCAAGAAAACTCAAGCTGCAGAGCGTCTTTGAGACTAAACCCTCCCAAGTGCTGTAATCTAGAGTATTTTCAACATGAGTGGGCAGGGGAGGGTGGCCAGCAGCACTGCCTTGTCAGTGAGCTTTCTTGAGCTGTCTGGCTCTTAGTGCATCCCAACATAATCCACAGACATGAGGAAGCCTGTCTGCCGTGAACACTTCCAGTGAAGACTAAAAGTAGTATTTTAAGATCTATAAATGACTTTTCTGGTTTTTAGCTTTTGCCTAGTTCCTTTGAATTTTGGAAGGAATTAATTTGTAGATGACATCATGCAGTACATTTAAATATGGCAGGATTGAGATTTATTTTTTAAGTCAGCATTTGCTTTTCTTGGTTAAATGCAACCAGTTTAGGGGTAATAACTGCTTAATATGCCTGGCACATTATTGAAATCCCTTATGAGTGGCTCAAAATGAGTCAGAAGGTCAATTTAGTCCTTGGCTGGGTTCCTTTCACAACAGGGGTTTTCCTGTGCTGCTGTTCAGGAGGAGCAATTAAAACTTTTTGTGTATTCAAAGCTTTCCAGCTGAATTCTGGCCCCATCAAATGATATCAGAGCTCTGGCTTTTGCCTGGTGGTGCAGAGCTTTCGTCTGTTAGTGAATCTTTGGGGACCGTTTTTCCCCAAGCTTAAAAACACAAGATTCAAACTCTAAGGGATTCCTTACTTATTCTTCTAGCAAGCCTCTTTACTATCTCTCTGCCATCGCACGGACTTTCTCCAGCTTTTAAGACACTTTGATAGCATTGTTACTGGACCACACGCAGAACTAGAAACAAGTCTTTCTTTACCACTTCTTCCAGAGTAGTCTTGCCAATGTTCAGTAGGCAAAAACCACGGAAAGTTTGGTGGCTACCTGAGATTCACAAATCAGTGGCTTACAATTGCAAACTTCCCACTCCACTTGATCTACACACTAGATAGCTAAAGGACTTCAGGGTAGGAAGAATTTATAGCTTCAGCTGCCTTTGATGAGCGCTTTCTCAGAAAATCTCACTGAAGAACCTAGTGTATCTCAGTTCTATTTGTGTTCCACTGAAGATGAGCCAGACTTTTATGAACAATAAATGTACTTTACATCCTCTTTTTTTCCATAAAAATTTCCCCTTCCGCTGCCCAGCTTCTCTATTTTCTCTGGCTTTAAATCCTAGGATTTAGAAAAGCAGAAAATGTTACAGTTCAAAAGGTTTTTTAATGCTCCGTCCAAAGCCACTGGTTTGAAAGAGGTGTTCTCCACTTTAAGACGTTCTATCTGAAGAGGTTTGGGGAGCTAGGCAAACAGAGCTTTTATTTCAGTGCTGAGTTTAATGTTGAATAGATGATTTATGTGGAGGAAAGATTTTTCTCCTTTTTTCTTGGGCTGGCTGCTAAAGAACAATGACAGATGTTTTAATGGTGAGTAGAATGTTATCAAATCGTCAACTTCAAACATGGGAATTTTATGCAACACCAAATGCTTATTCTAAGGAGGCTGTCCTAAGTCTCATGCACAACTTTCAGTTATACTGCTAAAACTGCATTGTTATCGTTGCCATATCTCAGAGGAAAAAAGGAAACATTCTGGATTAATGGCTTTAATAGATGACCTAAAAGGCATAATGTACAAATATATCGAGGCAAAAGAACTAATTTTGTTCTGGAACTCTCGTAAGGGTCTGGCAACTAATCTTTATTATTTTTGGATCCTAGGTAGATGGAGTCCGAGAGAGACTGTCAGAGCAACAGTACAACAGACTGGTGGACTACATCACAAAGACATCTTGTCACCTGGCCCCCAGCTGTTCTTCCATGCAAATACCATGCCCTGTGGTGGCTGCAGAACCTCCCCCCTCCACTGTTAAAACATACCATTACCTGGTTGATCCACATTTTGCTCAGGTCTTCCTTAGTAAATTTACCATGGTGAAAAATAAAGCCCTGAGGAAAGGGTTTCCTTGAGTCCCCTCTGAGGTGTTTATTCCTGCTTGTGTGATTTAGTTTTTGGGTTTCTTTGAGACAGGGTCTCACTGCATTGCCCTTGCTGACCTCAAATTCTGGGGTTCAAGCAATCCTCCCACCTCAACCCACAAGTAGCTACGACTGCAAGCACCTGCCACCATAAAGGGCTGCATTTTGCCACCATAAAGGGCTGCATTTTTTTAAAAAGCCTAGGCAGCTCTAACATCATCTGATATGGACACAAGGCCAACAGTTTCCTTATTTACATCCTTACCTCTAAAAGATACTTCAAAGTGACAAAAACGTGTTCCTTCCCCACTTAGAGACAATGATTAACAGGGCCCTATATGTTCTTACCACATACAGAGGATGCATTTATTTTTGCTCTATGACACTTGCAAAAATCTCTACTGTAATTAATTTGGGTCTATTATTAACTCTCTGTTCCATCATAGAATGTGGCCAGGCCTTACAATGGAGAGCCAGAGTTAAAACTTCAAGTTGCATCTGTTTTTGGGCTGAGTCACCACCTTTGCCTCATGCTCCTTTGTCTGCAAAGGCCTAGGATTCTTTCTTTAAATGAAATGCTTAGGACTTTGTGGCTTGTTACATTTGTCATTTAACTGCAGTGCTATTCTTTGAAAGCTGCTATGTGTATTTTCTCTGAAGTCTGCATTTTACTAAAATTTACAACAGTCTGATGATTGATTGATTACTGTCCAGGTACATTTTAGAAAAAGTGTTCTTCTTCCAGTTTGTTTTACTAAGCAAACTTTGAGTAAATCCTTTGTCCTATATTGAATCCAGTCCCAAAGTGTTCAGGTGAGTTTCTCTAGTTCCATAAACAAAACATACATAGTGGGAACTCCCTGGTATGCCATAGAGCACACAAGAACCCCAATATTAATGCTAACAATTATACCAGTCCATTTTGTTTATTCTGTGGAATTGACTTGACAAAGCATGAAGATATTCCCAGTGTCTGTCTGATAATATTTTGCATCTAAGAATGGGTTTGACTCAAGATCTTGGGTTACCAAGATGTCTTAAATGTTCAGTAAATATCTTTCTTACAGTCCAGTAGCTTAGAGCATGTTTGCTGATTGATATTACATTTAAACTTGGGGCTACAGCTTGTTACCTAGAATTTTGAGATACTAAGAGAATGCAATTTTAAATGCCCACTGGTTTTATTTGTTTTGGAGAGAGGGTCTCATTCTGTCACCCAGGCTAGAGTACAGTGGGAACAGTCATGGCTCACTGCAGCTTAAGCTCACTGCCTGGGCTCAAGTGATCTTACTCCAGCCTCCCAAGCAGCTGGGACTACACCACCACAGGTATGCACCACCATACCTGGCTGATTTTTAAAATTTTTTCTAGAGATGAGGTCTCACTATGTTGCCCAGCTGGTCTCATACTCCTCAGTTCACGCATTCCTCCCACCTCCACCTCCCAAACTGCTGGGATTACAGGTGTGAGCCACCATGCCCAACACCCACTGATCTTTAACTCTCACATGTTGGGCATAAGAAGTCACTATATAATTGTTACTGGAAAGCAAGACTTAACGAACAATTCTGACTATGAAAAATGTCTCTTTCAGTTTGTTCTGTAAATATTTAGAAAAGTGACAGCTGTCAACCTCAGAGTAACTATTTCTAAAAATGTAAATATGTATTAATCCTTGTATCTTTTATGGTAATTTTGCATATTGATATGAATTATATAAAATTGTTTAAAATAAAAGGTGTCCTTGAATTACTGACCACCCATAGATGTCTACTGTTACCAGGTTTTACAATGCAAATTTTCACTAATACCTGGGTTTAATACAGCTCACATCACTGAATGTTACACATGAGTTTAAATGGGTAATATACAGGTTTTGTTATAATAAAGTTACTGATTAAATTAGCTTTGAATAAGTGTCATTTTTTAAAGTTCTCCAGTATCACTTTGCTCGCAATAAACATGAATTAAAGTCCTAAGAAGACCTCTGAAAAAGTACCATACTCTGCTTGTCATTAGGAGACATTACTCAATTCTAGTTAAGTAACCTTTTCTGGATTAGATATATATCCAAATTCTATTACATACTGTTAGCTTGTTATTAATAAAGCAATACTGAGTAAGAAACCCTACATTTGAATTACCTATTTCAACTATGTGGTGGTGGCACAGCTACCAAATAGTGGCAATGAAGGCCAAGGATAGATTTTATTAGGATTCTATCTCTTCTTAGAGCCCACAGTACAGTAGTCTTACAGGCTCATGAAGAACACTTTTTAATCCATAGCCCAAGACCAAGTAACTGCAATGAAACGGACAAACTATCACAGTTAAAGATGTGCTAGAACAATGAAATTTTAACAAAACACGGAAATCAAGTTAGCTTCATAAACAGTTAAATCCCAAACCAATTCTTATGCTAGTAAGTGCCCTGCATTATCATTAAGAACTGAGAAAGACTTACTGTCCAAAGTATTTGTTAATTGTTTATTTATCAAGAGGAACTATTTCTTAGCCCACATATTCATGTGTCATAGTTCAGGAACACAAGTCAGTGACAAACTTCTAGGTAATTCAACCTGAAGAAATTCTGTGAAGAGAAACACAAAGGCTAAGTTAGAGATAAACACTCTCTCAATACTCACCATCTTTGAGGATCAACTGAGGTCTATTCCTACTAGTAGACTTCACACCTTGATCACTCACCCTCAGCCACAGAAAAAGCACAGTTCAGGCTACCTGGACTCCAAGTTTCACTCTCCTTTACGCTCCTCTAAGCTCCCTGACCACTCTGAATAGCCTCTTTTCCATTTTGGGCATACCACACCTTACTCTCATTGCTTGTGTGCATTGAACAAATTCTGCTTTTTTCCTTCTCAATTCTATGCCCACCACCGCCCCCACCCCCCTGCCATTAACCCTTATAGCCACATACTGTTTCTGTTCCAAGCCATATTTTTGTTCCTGTCTCCAAATATGTTCTCTCATACAGGTTTTTAAACATAATCTTAAAAATGGTAAAAATCTAACAAATTTAAATTAGCCTATTAACATCTTCTGATTATAAAATGCATGCTCACTGTAAATTTTGAAAATTTCAAAGTTAAAGCAGATATGTTAAGATTATAAACAACCATTAATATTTTCTTGATTTTTTTTCCTTAATACACATGGTACCCAACTTATGATGGTTTGACTTACAATTTTTTTGACTTTCTAATGGGTTTTCCAGGGTCTTAAATGCATTTTTGACTTACGATATTCTCAACATATGATAAGGTTTATTGGAATGTAACCCACATATATGTAGTGCAACTGAAATGCTTATTTAGGAACACTGCCTGACAAAATAGCAGTTTCACATTCTCTGTGTCACAGCAAACTCATTTACAAGGCATAAACCCAGACTGAAGTGGCAAAAAGAAACTACATTGTTCTTTTTTGTTAAATATACACATAAGATTCCAGAGTAGGAAGTCTCATCAAGGTACTTCATACATGCTATCAAATCAGTTTAGATGACTTTCCATCAGCACACCAGTCAGTCCTTTTCTAGATAATAGAACTTTAATTCACACTGTCCATGAGGCATAAGGACCTTGTGAATACAACAGACCAAACCAGACCTATGGAAAGACAGCTAGTCACTCGTGGACACCCACCTAACAAACTATACTGTCCCAAATACTTTTTTTTAAAAAAGTGACTTCTAAAAGTGTAACATTCGTAATGCCAATCTAGCAATTAATAGCATAACCTATAAAAATGATTTTGAACATAAAAAGTAGTTTCATGTCAGCAAGATAGACTGTGAAGCTCCAGGCCCCCAAACCCCCACAAAAAATAATGAATAAACATATGGACCAAAAATTTAAAAATGTTTAGCTTTATGAGAACTCTAGAAACCAGTTGAGCAGCAACCAAAGGAACCACCTATCCAAGAAAAAGCCACACTCAAAGTAGCAGGAAATTTCATGGCATTTTTGCTCACTCTTGCCAAATGCCCTCCTCAGTACAATAGTCAGAAGAAAACTACCCTGGCTCTTCCCTCAGGACATAAGGTAAAGAATGAAACTGACCTACAATGTTCTGGTTTGTGTGGAGCTGCCCAAGGGACTGCTTTCTGTCTTGCCTGAATCAGAGTGCTAATGGGAACAATGGCATAGTTTGGATAGGAGGTTGGAAAGAGCTGAAAGCAATGATGGGTACCATGGCATGAGTGAGCTGCAGGGGAACACAGACCTACAGAAACCTGTGGGCAAGAGATCAGAGACAAAAGAATAACAGAACAGCTAAGACTCCAAGAGGAAGCTGGAGGCAAACTCAGGAAAACTAAGAAAAACTGAAAGGCAGCTGTGTATAGGAGGAAACTAAAACTAATGCATATGCACAGGCCCAGGGAAGATGGCATCCCCAGGAAAAGTTTGAGAGGACACCAAGCCTTTATGGTGCGCTAATCAGTGAAGGCCTTTCCATGCATGGAGCCAGTCTGCAAAGGGACAGGTAGCTGGTTTTGCAAATGCCTGAATTTCACAAAAGATCACAAGGCACATAAAGAAATAGGGAAACACGGACGATTGAAAGAAAGAAATCTCCACAAACCAACCCTAAAGAAACAGAGGCTGCTGACTTACTCTATAAAACCTTAAGAACAACTATCTAAAAAATGCTCAATGAGCTAAAGGAGAGTGTGGACAACTAAGCAAAATTAGATAAACAATATATAAACAAGTGAGAATATAAACAAAGAGAAAATTATTTCTAAAAACCAAACACACTGTGGAGCTGAAAAATGTAGTAACTGAATGGGGGGAGAAGGGGTCGGAATCACTAGAGGGATTTAACAGCAGACTCAGGCAGAGGAAAGAATCAGGAAACTTCAAGACAGATCATTTGAAGTTATCAAGTCTGAAGAGCAGGCCGGACATGGTGGCTCATGCCTGTAATCTGGGAGGCCAAGGCAGTAGGATCACCTGAGCCTAGGAGTTCAAGACCAGCCCAGGCAACATGGTGAGACCCCATCTCTATAAAATTAAATTAAATTTTAAAAGTCTGAAGAGAAAAAAAAAAGTAACTAGCTTAAGATATCTGACTATACCAAGCAGACCAATATAGGTATTACCGAGTCCCAGAAGAGAAAAAGGGCAGAGAGCTTAAAAAAACAAACAAAACACCTGTCAATTGAGAATAATACATCCCACAAAACAGTCCTTCAAAAATGAAGGAGAAATTCCCAGATAAAAAAGTCAAAGGAGTTTTACCAATTAGATTTGCCCTACAGAAATGCTAAAGGGAATCCTTCAAGTTGAAACAAAAAGGACACTAGTCAGTAACTCAAAGCCATGTGAAAATATAAAGTTCTCTGGCAAAGAACATAGAAGCTTATATTAAAATTTGGTTTGTGCCAGGTACAGTGGCTCATGCCTGTTATCCCAGGACTTTGGGAGGCCCAGGCAGGCAAATCACTTGAGGTCAGGAGTTCAAGACCAGTCTGGCCAACACGGTGAAATCCCATCTCTACTAAAAATATAAAAATTAGCTGAGCACAGTGGGGTGCATCTGTAATTCAAGCTACTCGGGAGGCTGAGGCATGAGAATTGCTTGAACCCACGAGGCGGAAGTTGCAGTGAGCCGAGATTGCATCACTACATTCCAGCCTGGGTGACAGAGTAAGACTCCATCTCTTAAAAAAAAAAAAAAAATTGGTTTGTAAATTCATTTTTAATTCTTTTATAGGATTTAAAAGACAAAAGCATAAGAAGTAACTATATAGGTCCATGTTAATGGATACATAATATATAAACACATAATGTGTGATATCAGTAACACAGGAAAAGAGGGTGGTGCTGTAAAGGAGTTGAGTTTTTATATGCAATTGAGGTTGTTTTAAGTTTAAAATAAATCGTTCTAACTTTAGCATATTTCATGTAATCCCCATGGTAACCACAAAGAAAATACTGAATATAAAAGGAAAGACTGAAACATGTCACTATAAAATAAAAGAGTGAGGAAAGAAATGAGGGACAAAGAAGCTGTAAGACACATAGAAAACAAAATGGCAATACTGTGTCTTTATCAGTAATTATCTTAAATGTAAATGGATTAAATTCCCCAACCAAAAGACAATGACAGAATGGATTAAAAACCTGGATCCAATTATATGCTGTCTACAAGAGACTCACTGTAGATCTAAGGACACACAAGTTGAAAGTGAACGGGTAGAAAAAGATGTCCCACACATACAGCAACCAGGAGAACAGGGGTAGCTACACTAAATCAGACAAAATAGACCAAGTCTAAAATGTTTCAAGAGACAAAAAAGAACATTCTATAATTTAAAAAGATTAATTCACCAATAAGATCTAGCAATTATAAATACATATGCACCAAACATCAGAGCTCTAAATATATGAAGCAAACACTGACAGAATTGAAGGGAGAAGCAGACAGCTCTACAATAGCAGTAGAGGACTTCAATACTCCACTTTCAATAATTGACAGAACAACTAGATAGAAGGATTAATAAGAAAACATATGACTTGAACAACACTACAAATCAACTGGACTTAACAAAACACTCCAGCTAACAACAGAATACACATTTTTCCCAAGAGAACATGGAACATTCTCCAAGACAAACCATATGTTAGGTCACAAAATAAGTCTTCAATTTTAAAAGACTGGAAATCATACAAAGTATCTTTTCTGATCACAATGGCATGAAACTAGAAATCAAAAGCCAAAGGAAAAGAGGAAAATCCACAAATGTGTTTAAATTAAACAGACTCTTAACAATCAATAAATTAAAAAAGAAATTACAAGGAAATTTTTAAAAAACTGTATCAACCTAAGAACTAGAAAAAGAGGAATTAAACCCAAATGTAGCTGAATAATATTAAACAAAATGACTACAATAGAGAAAAATCAAAGCCAACAGTTAGTTCTTTGAAAAGATCAAATCAACAAACCTTTAGTCAGACTAATAAAAAAAGAGAACCACCAACTAACAGAGGGAACATTACAACTGATTTTACAGATCTAAAAAGGAGTGAGAATGCTATGAACAATTATATGTAAACAAACTGGATGACCTAATGAAATAGAAATACATAACTCAAAAAAAAATTTTGTGGGGGAGTGGGGACAGCATCTCCCTCTGATGCCTAGGCTGGAGTGCAGTGGTACAATCACTGCTCACTGCAGCCTTGACCTCCCAGGCTCAGGTAATCTTCCCAGGTAGCTGGGACTGCAGGCGTGTGCCATCACACCCACATTATTTTTTGTATTTTTTTTGTAGAGACGGGGTTTCGCCATGTTGCCCAGGCTGGTTTCAAACTCCTGGGCTCAAGCAATTCACCTGCTTTGGTCTCCCAAAGTGCTGGGATTACAGGCCTTATGAGCTACCACACCCACTCTAGAAACACAATCTAACCAAGACTGGATCAGGAAAACAATAATCTGAACGTCTATAACTAGTAGGAATTTTTAATCAGTAGCCAAAAACTTCAAAAAACAAGAGTCCAAGACCATATGGTGAATCCTACCAAACTTTTTTGAGACAGGGTCTCATATTCTGTTATCCAGGATGGAGTGCAGTGGTGTGATCATAGCTTATGCAGCCTTAAACTCCTGTGCTCAAGTGAACCTCCTGCCTCAGCCTCCCAAGTAACTGAGACTACAGGCATGTACCACCACACCCAGCTAACTATATATATATCTGTGTGTGTGTATATATATGTGTGTGTGTGTATATATGTATGTGTGTGTGTGTGTGTGTGTATATATATATATATATATTTTTTTTTTGGTAGAGATGGGGTCTTGCCATGTTGCACAGGCTGATCTCTAACTTCTGGATTATAGTGATCCTCCTTTCTCAGCCTCCCAAAGTGCTGGGATTACAGGCATGAGCCACCATGCCCAGCCCTCTATGAAACCAGCACCAATCCTCCTCAAGTTTTTCCAAAAACAGTGAGGAAAAGGGAACATTTCCACATTCATTCTATAAGGCCAGCATTATCCTGATATCAAAGACAAACACACGAGAAAACTATAGGCCAAATCCTTTAACACAGATGCAAAAATCGTCAACAAAACACTAGCAAACCAGATTTGACATCGCATTAAAAGAATCATGTACTATGATTAAGTGGGATTTATCCCTAGGATGCAAGGATAGTTCAACATATGCAAATCAATAGATGTGACATACCACACTGACAGAATGAAGGATAAAAAACACATCTCAAAAAATGCAGAAAAAGTACTTGACAAAATTCAACATCCTTTCATGATCAAAACTATCAACAGAAGGAATGTACTTCAACCCAACAATGGCCAAAAAGGACAAGTCTAGTATACTGAACATGGAAAACGTGAAAGCTTTTCCTCTAATACCTAGAACCAGACAAGGATGCCCGCTCTTGCCACTTCTATTCATTGTAGTACTGGAAGTCCTAGCCAGAGCAATGAGGCAAGAAGGAATAAGCAACATCCAAAAAGGAAAGGAGTAAGTAAAACTATCTGTTTACAGATCATATAATCTTACCTCCAGCAAACCCTAAAGATTTCTAACACACAAGTGTCAGAATACATGAATTCTACTAAGTTGGAGGATACAAAAATCAGCTCTTTCTACACACCAACAATGAAGGAAATAAAGGAATGCCTAATAAAGGAAATTAAGAAAATAATTCTATTTATAATAGCACCAAAAATAATACTTAGGAATGTATTTAATCAGGAATATGAAAGACTTAAACACTGACCTAGATGAAACAGATATATACCTGTATACTGCTAAAAAAATTAGCAAATCTCATTCATGCAATCCCCATGGTAACCACAAAGAAAATACAGAATATACACATAAGGAAGTAAGAAGGAAACTGAAACATGTCACTATAAAATAAAGGAAAAGTACGGAAAGAAATGTGTGTCCTTGGACACATTGTTTTGATTATAGTAGTCTCCTTTTATCCAAGGTGATATGTTTCAAGACCCTTCCAGTGAATTACTGAAACTATGGATGGTACCAAACCCTATACAGCTACGTTTTTTCCTATATATACACATACCTATAATAAAGCTTAACTCATAAATTAGGCATAGTAAGAGAGTAGCAACACTAAAAGAAATTAAAGATGCAAACTACTGCTAAAAGAAATTAAAGATACAAATAAGAGGAAAGACATCCTGTGTTCATGGATTGGAATACTTAATATTGTTACGATGTCCATACTACCAAAGTAATCTACAGATTTAATGCAATCCCTATCAAAATCCCAATGGCATTTTTACAGAAATAGAAAAATCCATCCTAAAATTCACAGACTCTTAAGGAACCACAAATAGCTAGAGCACCCTCCGGGTGGGGTGAAAGAAAGAACAAAGCTAGAGGACTCACACTTACTGATTTTAAAGCATACTACAAAGCTACAGTGTAGCAGTCATCCCTTATTTGTGGTTTAACCTTCCACCGCTTTAGTTCTACCCACAGTCAACTGTGGTTCAAAAACAGGTGAGTACAGTACAGCAAGATATTGAGAGATCACATTCACCTTTTATTACTATACACTACAATTGTTCTATTTTGTTATTGTTGCTCATCTCTTACTATGTCTAATTTATGAGTTAAACGTCATCATAGGTATGTACGTACACGAAAAACAACATAATATATACAGGGTTTGGTACTATCTGTGGTTTCAAGAATCCACTAGAGGGGTCTTGAAACATATCTTAGATAAAACGGACTACTGTAATCAAAACAGTGTAGTACTGCCCCGAAGACAGACATACAGACTAAAGAAATAGCCCAGAAATAAACTCTCGCATTTAGAGTCAAATGATTTCACCAAGGTACCAAGACCACTCCATGGAAGAGGACAATCTTAAATGATTTCGGGAAAACTGGATACCACATGTAAAAGAATACAGTTGGATCTTTACACCCTACACAAAAATTCAAGTGAATCAAAGATCTAAACATAAGAGCTAAAACTATAAAAGTCTTAGAAGAACACATAAAAAAGACTTCATGACATTGGATTTGGCAATGATTTATTGAATATGACACTAAAAGCACACAGAACAAAAATAAAAATAAATTCGACATCAAAATTTCTGTGCATCAAGGGACACAACAGAGTGAAAAGGCAACCTATGAAATGGGAGAAAATATTTACAAATCATATCTGATAAGGGGTTAATATCCAGAATATATACAGAACAACTCAACCAATAAACAAAAAACCAAATTTGAAAATGAGCAGAACTGAATAAACATTTCTCCAAAGATAACATACAAATGGCCAATAAGTACATGAAAAGATGCTCAAGAACACAAATAATCAGGGAAATGCAAATCAAAACCACAATGATACCACCTCATACCTATTAGGATGGCTACTATCAAAAAATACCAAAATTATGCCAGGCACAGTGGCTCACGCCTGTAATCCCAACACTTTGGGAGGCCAAGGTGGACGGATCGCCTGAGCCCAGGAATTCAAGCACAGCCCAGGTAATATGGTGAAACCCTGTCTCTACTAAAAATAAAGAAGTTAGCCAGGTGTGGTGGCACATGCCTATAGTGCCAGCTTCTTGGGAGGCTGAGGCAGGAAGATCCCTTGAGCCTGGGAGGTTGAGGCTGCAGTGAGCCATGATCGCACTACAGCACTACGGCCTGGGTGACAGAGGGAGACCCTGTTAAAAAAAAAATTAACAAGTGTTGGGGAGGATGGAAAGAGTGTAAAATGGTGCAGCCACTATGGAAAAGGGTATGGCAGTTTCTTAAGAAATTAAAAATCATATGATCCAGGAATTCCACTTTTGAATATACCCCAAAAGAATTGATAGCAAGGCCTTGAAGGAATATTTGCATGCCTAGGTTCACAGCATCACTCACAACAATCAAAAAGTGGAAGCAACCCAAGCATCTACTGATGGATGAATGGATAACAATGTGACACAACTAAAATAGATCATTCAGCTTTAAAAAGAAAGGAAATTCTGACACATGCTGTAACATGGATGAACCTTGAGTACACTACGCTAAGTGAAATAAGCCAGTCACAAGAAAACAAATACTGTGTGATTCTACTTATGAGATGCCTGGGGTAGCCAAATTCTTAGAAAGTAACACAGTGGCTGCCAGGGTCTGAGTGGAGGTGTGAATGGGTTGCTTAATGGATATAGGGTTTCAATTCTGTAAGATGACGAGTTCTGGAGACTGGTTGCACAACAATGTGAATGAACTTAACACTACTAAACTGTACAATTAAAAATGGTTAAGATGGCAAATTTTATATTATAGATGCTCCTTAACTTACCATCAGGTTACATTCTGATAAAACCATCATAAGTTTAAAATATCTTAAGTTGAAAATGCATTTAATACACCTAACTTACATCATAGCTTAGCCTTCCCTACCTTAAATGTGCTCAGAACACTTATGTTAGCCTACAGCTGAAGAAAATCATCTAACACAAAGCCTAGCTTATAATAAAACACTGAGTATCTCACACAACACTACAGAGTACAGCATCAGCTGTTTACCCTTGTGATTATGTTTCTGACTGGGGGATGTGGTCATTGGTGCTCCCCCACATCACAAAAGTATTGTGCCACTTATTGCTCATGTGGACAAAGATCAAAATTCAAAGTATGGTTTCTACCAAATGTGTATCACTTCCACACCATCGTAAAGTCAAAAAATCTTAAGTCTAAACATTGTGAGGGACAGTCACCTGTATTTGCATTTTACCACAATTAGAAATTTTTTTTTAAGTAACTTCAAATAACCATATTACCTTTATATTCCAAGATTACTTTACACTCTGAAAGATACCAGCCTTCCTCATCTCCTCAAAATCTTTCATGACATCGTAGTTTCTGTAGAAATCTGCGTATGCCTTCTTTCTTTGATCAGCCACACGAAACTAAAAAGCAACCATCCATTAGAGTTTATTTTTCAGATTACTGGAAATTAGATTCCAGATTATAATATATAAAGACAAGGTAGAACACATGTTTTTGTTCACCCTTTAATTTAAACCCTACATTTCCTAAGGGGTGGAGGTGGTGACAGATAAAAAGGAAGACAAAGTCTAAGAAACTGCTAAATTTGCAAAGAAAAGAATGGGGAATAAGGTGTCTATTTTGTTTTGTTCGAGGTTTCCGTACACAAAGGGTGGGTGGGGTTCAACAGAGAAAGAAAAAATGAAGATTCAAGACAAAAATGGAAAGTTTAAGTGACTTATTATTTTTTTTAAAGATGGGGTCTCGCCTGTAGTCCCAGCTACTCGGGAGGCTGAGGCAGGAGAATGGCGTGAACCCGGGAGACGGAGGTTGCAGTGAGCCGAGATCTCACCACTGCACTCCAGCCTGGGGGACAGAGCGAGACTCTGTCTCAAAAAAATAAAAAATAAAAAAAAATAAAAAATAAAAAAAAAATAAAAAATAAAAAAGATGGGGTCTCCCTCTGCAGAAATACACAGAAATCATGCTACTTGATGGAGTAACGCAGTAAGAATCCTTTACCTGACCAGTTTTACTGCTTCACTTCTATTTGAATTCCCAATTTCTTCCCAGTAATAAAATCAAGAGGCAGAGGTCGGGCGTGGTGGCTCATGCCTACAATCCCAGCACTTTGGGAGGCCAAGGGGGGCGAATCACAAGGTCAGGAATTGGAGACCAGCCTGGCCAACATGATGAAACCCCATCTCTACTAAAAATACAAAAATTAGCCAGGCATGGTGGTGGGCACCTGTAATCCCAGCTACTTGGGAGGCTGAGGCAGGAGAATTGCTTGAACCTGGGAGGCCTCGGAGGGTGCAGTGAGCCGAGATGGTGACGCTGCACTCTAGCCTGGGTGACAGAGCAAGACTCCGTCTTGAAAAAATTAAAATAAAAAGAGGCAGAAGCACAAGTGCTGGGGGCCATCATTACATGTACGGTTAATTTGGACTCTCCCTACCTCACTTAGTCATCCATCTGACAGAGAGACAGCCAAGGGTCCTAGCAAAAACCCACCTTCAAGCCTAAAACAGCCTGAAGGCTGAAAGGCCAGACTGTTGGACCCAGATCCCACGACCCTGAGGGAGAGCTGCACATTTGCCCACCCTTTCAGGACTGATTCTTTTTGAGTAATGGCCACAGGCACACTGGGGGAACAGGGTGGAACCAGGAGAAGCTGCACCTTGTGCAGTGGGGAGGAGCCTAGTCTCTTCAGCTCCTGTGTGGTAGCCTAGTATTCAATCTGTGAGGTGGGGGCCTGTTAGCAGGACCCCCTCTTGCTTTGCTGAGAGTCTGTTTTCTTTTTTCCTTTTCACCCAATAAATTCAGCCCTCCTCACCCTTCAATGTTTCCATGTGCCTAATTCCTCCTGGTCATGACACAAGAACCCAAATTTAGCTAAACTAAGGAGCAAAAATTCTGCATCACATCCATCCCTTCTACAAACATTTACTTCATGCCCACTATATATGCCAGGCAGCAGGAATCTCAAGGACCAAAAGACTTTGTGTGCTTGTCTCTCCAAAGAGTCCCAAAGCATAGGTCCACTTAGTGCTCCCACTCAGTGTTCCATCTCCTCTTTGCTCTCCCAGTTCTCCCTAACTTTTTTTTTTGAGACAAAGTCTGGCTCTATCGCCCAGCCTGGAGTGCAGCGGCACGATCTCGGCTCACTGCAACCTCCACCTCCCAATTTTTTTTTTTTTTTTTTGAGACAGAGTCTCGCTCTTGTTGCCCAGGCTGGAGTGTAATGGTGCGAACTCGGCTCACTGTAACCTCCCCTTCCTGGGTTCAAGCAATTCTCCTGCCTCAGCCTGCCGAGCAGCTGGGATTACAGGTGCCCGACACCACGCCCGGCTAATTTTTTTGTATTTTTAGTAGAGATGGGGTTTCACCATGTAGGCCAGGCTGGTCTCGAACTCCTGACCTCAGGTGATCTGCCCGCCTCAGCCTCCCAAAGTGCTGGGATAACTGGCATGAGCCACTGTACCTGGCCTCGCCTCCCAATCTTGGCTGACACCTCTGCCTCCCAGGCTAAAGCCAACCTCCCACCTCAACTTCCTGAGTAGCTAGGGCCACAGGCACATCATGTATTTTTGTATTTTTAGAAGAAATGCGACCGGGTGCGGTGGCTCACGCCTATAATCCCAGCACTTTGGGAGGCCGAGGCGGGCGGATCATGAGGTCAGGAGATGGGAGACCATCCTGGCTAACACGGTGAAACCCCGTCTCTACTAAAAAATACACAAAAAATTAGCCGGGTGTGGTGGCGGACGCCTGTAGTCCCAGCTACTCAGGAGGCTGAGGCAGGAGAATGGCGTGAACCCGGGAGGCGGAGCTTGCACTGAGCTGAGTTCACGCCACTGCACTCCAGCATGGGCAACAGAGTGAGACTCCATCTCAAAAAAACAAAAAAAAAAAGAAGAAAGGCCCAGCTAATTTTTGTATTTTAGTAGAGACGTAGTTTCTCCATATCGCCCAGGCTGGTCTTGAACTCGTGAGCTCAAGCAATCCGCCCACCTCAGCTTCCCAAAGTGCCAGGATTACAGGCATGAGACACCAGACCCAGCCCCTCTCCCTAACTTGCAAGGCTCAAATTCCACCTCCTCTATCAAATAGCTATGACCCACAATAACTGTGAACCACAACATCCCCCAAAACCATTCTTTCAGTTATGTTCTATCTTGCAATGTCTTCTAATTTTTTTCACCTCCCCAACTTGACTCTAAGTTCTTTAAGAACAGAGATTTAGCTACATGCCTTTTGTGTCCTCCAAAGCACTTGAAACTCTACATTACCCAACACTGTACTGAATTTTATACACTGCCTCTTATTCAACAGGTCCTTTTAATAACCTATTTGTGTGTCAGGCACCCAACAACAGGGTGCCACAGTAAACAAAAGACATGGTACCTGCCTTAATGAGGCTCACAGCCCAGTAAAGAACATAAACACTAAACAAAAATTAAATACAAAGAGTTATAAAAGCAAAGCTCTGAATTCTTTCATGGGGTATTATGACAAGCATGATAAACATATACATATTATCAAAAACATTTTTACGGAAAAGTTGTAAATGTGCAGCCTTTGATTAAAAATAAAGGGCATAACAAAATCCACATTAGGCAGAGTGTTAAAACGCAATTCTGTGACAATTACTCAAGGTGTCAAACAGAACTATAATCGGCCCACCATTCCTGCACGTTCCACACTCATGGATTCAAAATAATAAAAAATGCTACAAAATTAAAAATACAATATAAACTATTGACATAGCATTTACATTGCATTAGGCATTATAAGTAGTCCAGAGATGATTTAAAATATCGTCAGGGCTCCTGAACCAATTCCCCATGGATAGAGGGGCAGCTATGCTGCCTTCCCAGCCCCTCTGCATACTAGCTTCTGTAATGGGTTGAATTGTGTTTGACCAAAACTCATGTGTTTAAGTCCTAACTCTCAGTACCTCAGAATCTAAACGTTTTTTGGAAATAAGGGCTTTATAACTAAGTTAAAATGAGGCCTTTAGGGTGGGCCCTAATCCAATATGAGTGATGTTCTTTTAAGAAATTCAGCAGGCCAGGTGTGGTGGCTCATGCCTGTAATCCCAGCACTTTAGCAGGCCAAGGCAGGTGAATCCCTTGAGCCCAGGAGTTCAAGACCAGCCTGAACAACGTGGCCATCTCTGAAACCTCATCTCTACAAAAAATATAAAAATTAGCCAGTTCCGGTGGTGTGTACCTGCAGTCCCAGGTACCGGGAGACAGAGTAAGACCCTGTTTCAAAGAAAGAAAAAGGAAAGAAGGAAAGAAAATGAAAAGAAGGGCAGAAAAAGGAAAGGAAGGAAAGGTAAAGGAAAAGAAAGGGAAAGAAGTTCAGCTACAGATATATGCCCACAGAGGACCCTGTGAAGACAAAGGGAGCCATCTACAAGCCAACAGAGGCCTCAGAAGATATCAACCCTGCCAACAGATTTCTAGCCTCCAGAACTGCGAGCAAATTTAAGGCACCCAGTCTGTGGTTCTTTGTTACGGCATTCCAGCAAACTAACAAGCTTCATTTAAAGATGGAGGACAAGCTATAGTTCCTGTCACACTGAGGTGAGTGCAGAAAGGGTTAGAAAGAAACACATTACAAGGGGGAGTTTCTTTAAAAGATTTTTCAACCAAAAACACATACTTTATGACCTTCGGCACAAAGTAAAAAACATACATACCTTATACAAAGCTGCAACCCCCAGGGATAGCACGAATGCTACAGCCATATGATTTCGCAGACGCCTGGCCAGAAGGCCACGCATCCGAGGTTTTGGCAAAACTTCGGGAGCCATGGTAGTTACTGTCCTTGATACGTATGCTAACCTTAAGAGATTCAGAAAATATGATTAAGTACAGAGTTTATTTAAGCCACAAACTTGAGAATGGCCACCTGGAAGCATTGATTGGAGCTGCCCTGAATATACACTCCGATTAGCAGCAGTTACAAATGAATGTTTTTCTTTTTTGGCAGAAACAGGGTCTAGCTATGCTCCCCAGGCTGGTCTTAAACTCCTGCCCTCAAGTGATCATCCTACCTCGTCCTCCCAAAGTGCTGGGATTCCGGCCTACAAGTGAGTTAAGAAAAAATGAGAGGCAATTCCTAAACTGTTTATCAAAAATTTACATTAAAATAACATAAGCTATTGACTGACTAAACGCTGTCCTTTATATCACAAATTCAGGAATAAGATTTGGGTTGAGACATGGGTGAGGGGCGGCACTGAAGTCCAATACTCAGGTCTCTGCGTCCTGCATACCTCATGTAGCTCTCACTACTCTGAGCTTTTTTTCCCTTTCTCGGGTAAAATAATAAAAGAAAAACTCAGAAAAGATATCAAAAGGAATTCTCATGCATAGTACATTTTACTACCTAGAGAGGCACAGCACGACAGTGGATGGATTCCTCCCACAAAGCCTAAGCTGTCTCTTGGCTTAGCCTGTTTCATCTTCCCCCCGCCCCCCATATACTGAGCGACCACCCTAAATAAACGCGACAAACTGCGGCACACTAGTAATGGACGAGCAAAGGCAACAAAAATCTTTCCAACAACAAGAAAAATAAGCAGTAGCTCCGCATTGGTAATTAACGATTGCAAACCCATTTATGCAACACTTTCTCTTCTAAAAATTTTCTGTCCACTCGTTAAACCTTCGCGACAACCCTGTCAGATCATGAGGCAGGTGTTTTCCACGGTCACACGGTATACCATTAAAACCTGGACGGGAACGCGGCAAATACCATGAGGGCCCAAATTCCCTAACTGCTCCTTTGCCCAGCCTCACCTAAAGACCTAAGGGGCCTAAAAACTTTTGCGTCCCTGCTGGCCTTCAGCTAACGCGGCCGGGGGTAGGATGGGAAGCCGTGGGGCAAGGGAGGTTGCAGGAAGCCCATCCTTCCCCTCCTGCGGCAGGTACGGTGACCCTCCTCCAGTTTTCCAGCTCTAATTTAAAACGCTGCCACACAGCGAGCGACGCTGCCAGCTGCTTCGCCTACACTAACCCTTGCGCCTCACGACCAGCTGCATTAGAAACCACCACCCCTTTTCTCACGGGAGAAACACCGGGGCCAGATAGGTCAAATGACCTCACCAAGGTCACAATGGCTGTGAAAAAGCGCAGCGGGTACCAGCCCCGGGCCAGCTCACTCCGAAGCCAGCTGGGTTCTCGAGGGTCCCGCAGCCCACCCGGCTTCGGTGGGGCCGTCGCAACCCACCCCGGTCCGTGGTCCGCCCGCCGCCCTCCCTCAGGCCGCAGCGGAAGCGTGAGAGAGTAGATGCGGGAGAGGCCTGAAGCTGCACCACGGCGGAGACACACAGTCACGACTAAATCCGAGGCAGAGAGAAAGCGGGAGGGTGCCGTTGTGACAACCCGCAGTGTCGGGGTAGGGATGCAAAAGGGACCGGACTCACCTCAACACCAACGTCCTTCCTGACTAAAGGAAAAACGAACCGTGCTGTAGCCGCGCGCAGGCGCAGAATAAGAGTGCACAGCGAGAACGCGGCGACGGTAGCCGAAGGAGTTCAAAAGACCTCTAGTGCGCCCACCGCAGGTGACAGCCGAAGTTCATTTCGTGGTCTGCTTCTTTCCTGTGTGACCTTGCAAAACGGGCTTGACCTCCTTATTTATCGACCTCTTTATCTTCTTAGTAAATTGAAGATATTAGTCGTACTCATACACAGAGTCCCAAACCATGTGCACAAACCGACATTTTAATTATAACCAACCTTACGCGAATAACCGTTTGGCTTGGGTAAAAGTGAAAAAGCTGACTTCTAGGAGCTCACAGCCCAGAAGATGAAAAAGACAAACAGATTAATACCGATCCCATGCAGTGGGCACTACCACAGAGACGTGGCCCAGCTACTGCAGAAGCAATTCTCTACCTGGCAAAGCTGAGGACGTTTTGATAGAGGGGCGGTATTTTTGTGGGTTTCTTAAGAAAACAAGGATTTTGAAGGAAGGCAACTGGAAGTTCGTGGAAAGTGGTGTAGAAGGGTGAGGCTCTTGTGCCTTAATGATGCCAGGCTGTTTGTATTGAAATAACCTGAATTTTAAAAGCATTATTTAAGTCAACCCATCAAGCCCTGTGGAAGGTAGCTGGGACACAACAGATGCATGATATTGAGTCGATATATACACTGAGTACCTACTATGTGCCAGATTCTGCTAAACAAGAGGACAGATCTTCGGGGAGTCTCATTCTGATCAGGGAGTCTTTGTCCTCAACCTATTAACCAACACTCTGGAGGGTGAAACCTGGCCACAAAGAAAGGTGCTCAATTGAGGTTCAAAAGTAGGTTTGGACTTTACCAACGTTTTTCAGGCCTCTTATCAAGGGTCTACCCAGCTGAAAATCTTTGCATGGAATTTGTCCAGAGAGTAATTTGTTTCTATTCTCTTTCCATCCCCACCCCCAGAGAAGAAGTGGTGAACTTAAGAGTTCACAGGGATTAGTGTATGTGAAACCATCAGGGAAAGCTTCAGACAATACGTGGAAGAGATGGAAGCAGAGCTGAGTTTCAGTCTAATGGAAAGCCTGGAAAACTGGAGAAATTGGAGAGAAAACATTGGCTGGGAGAACATGGCAAAGACAGGCACACTCAGGGCACAGAGCCTGACCTGAGTGAAATACTGAGTGTTTGTTCTGTGCTTCCCTAGCTATCCAGTGAACCATAGTGAATGACTGAGGGTGACACGTGAATAAAACCTGAGCGATAGATGAAGAGAGACATGTTACATATAGGTTCTGTTCTAGAGCCGAACAGACCTGGATTTGAGTCCCAGCTCATCAACTTGTAGCGGCAAATTTCTTCATCTTTCTAAGTCTGCTTTCTCCTCTAAAAATAGTACCCATTTTGTTGGGTTGTGATGTAAATTAAATGGGATAATGTATATGCAGCTTGAGTATCCCTTATCTGAAATATTTGAGACCAGAAGTGTTTCAGATTTTGGATTTTTTCAGATTTTTGAGTATTTGCAGAATACATGCCAGTTGAGCATCCCAATCTGAAAATCTGAAATCCAAAATGCTCCACTGAGCATTTCCTTGAGCATCACATCAGTGCTCAAAAAGTTTTGGATTTTGGAGCGTTTTGGATTTTGGATTTTCAGATTAAGGGTGTTCAACCTATACAGTGCTTGACAAACAGACATTCTGAATATGCATTCCTCCCTGTGTTCTTTTGCCTGTCCTGCATTCCTTCAATCTTTCTTTTAGTAGCAGTGCTTAATCAATCCTTCATCACTTCTAGCCATGTGATTCTACAACAGTCAAATCTTATTCCAGACTGGGTGTGGTGGCTCACACCTGTAATCCCAGCACTTTGGGAGGCCAAGGAAGGCAGATTACTTGAGCCCAGGTGTTGGAGACCAACCTGAGCAACATAGACCACCATCTCCATAAAAAACTTTAAAACTTAGCCGGGCATAGTGTGATTTATGCCTATAGTCCCAGCTACTCAGGAGGCTGAGGCTGGAGGATCACTTGAGCCCAAGAGTTGCAGGCTGTAGTGAGCTATGACTGCACCACTGTACTCCAGCCAGACAGAGTGAGACCCTGTCTTTAAAAAGAAAAAGAAAAAACATTATTCCAGTTGAGCAGATGACCCAAGAGTAGCCAAGCAATGTAGCCCATCCCCTTGGCCACAGTAATTTGTTGAGGATGGGCACAGGATTCTGGCCAGGCCAGTGAAACTCAATTCTATGACTTCTGTTGAAACTACTGGGGGAAAAGATATCTTTTTATAGAGAGAGGAGTTTGCATTGGGTTGCAGTAGGGGTCTTGCAGATCTGTGAGAGTATAAAGCCAGAGGGTACTGTGTGCCTATAATGTGCCAAGCACAGCACATGACAAAATGGCATGAAAAGCCTCATGAAGCTTTCATTCTAGTGGGCTTCGAGGAAAAAACCAACAAAAATAAAAAATATATCTGAAGGAGGTAAGTGGAATGGAAACAACAGAGTAGGGGTAAAGAAAGTCTGTGTGAAGAGGTATCTTTTTATATTGAAAGGTTGATGAAACAACCCATGAAACAAGCCCATGGTCTTCACTAAACTAAAAGATGCCTCAGTGGAAAGACTAGGCTTGTTCTGCATAGCCCTAAGGAATAAAGTAGGATGGATGGGTGGAAGATACTGGGAGTTAGATGTCAGTTAAGTATTCCCCATGGCTAGAAATCAGTCCCTTTCAAGGTCATCCTCAACCAGAGACACATCCACTTGGGGGAGACAAGGATCCCTTAATTGGTAAAGAGGCATACCAACAGTCTTGTTCCCACTATATCTCTCCATTCTGGCCTTGACAATCACCAGGTCAGCATGTTACCTTAAAATGTGTTGATAAGATGCCACTTTTTAAATACAAACTTAGGGGGAAGTGGGGTCCAGGGTAGGGAAACAGCTGGTTGCATGGCAAGAGTGATGCCGTCTTGAAGAAAAACTGCCATGATGACCGATGTTTGACTACTGCATACCAAGGTGTTTCCATGGCATGGATAAACCCTCATAAAGATGTTTATCTAACCTCCCCAGTGGTCACAAGTTTTGCTAGAAAGTCTGAGGCATGACCAGCTGCATGTTTTACCAAAAAAGCTTGCTATATAGAGGATATTTTCTGGAGCACAGATGCGGGGATCTACCATCCCTCAGCCAACAGAGAGATTGTTTCTGTTCCTAAGTCCCTTTTAAATGTTTCTTCCTGAGAAACTGGATTTGTCAGTCTCTCTCTTCAGCCTTTGGGGGCAAGTTTGCATAGACCTGCTCACCACTGTTCCTTGTTAACTGTGAATCCTGTCCTTAGGACAAAAGACCCTTGACCATTAATCTTTCCCTTAGGCAGATTTATCAGCCTCTTTTTCAGCCTTTCAGCTTCCTCAGACTTTTGGGGGTAGGTTTGCCTAGGCTGCCTACCGCAGCACACCCAGGAACATGCTGGCTCCTCCATCACTATCCTGCTCTGAACATGCTTTTGAGAAAACCTGACCTCTCACCTGTGCTGCAGCCTTTCCTATTGTGGAAAGTGTATACAACACCTAGAAAGGCAAATTACAATGCCAAGAGCTAAAAGGAATGAAATGGACCCTGAAACAAATTAGGCAGTAGTCACTCGGAAGAGTGGAAAACTTTCAATCCTTTTGACCATAAGGTATATCACTAATACAGTATCAGTGGGAAGGGCCAGAAATAATTTTATGGATTAAGAAAATGTGAGGGGCTCAGAAGTTAAAAAGCAACAACAGAAACAAGCTCTATCTGAGGTAAAATAGCAGCAGCTGCAATATTTGACAAACCTCAGAGGTAGATCTACTGACTCTTACATATAATTTATTTCCACTTTCAAATTTAACAAATAATGAGAGTGTTGAGTCAGAGTTAGATCCTAGAGTTCAGAGACAACAGGCTGGGCATGGTGGCTCACACCTGTAATCCCAGCACTTTGGAGGCCAAGGTGGGAGGATAACTTGAAGCCAGGAGTTCAAGGCCAGCCTGGGCAATATAGTGAGACCCCCATCCCTATAAAAAAAAAACCAAAACTTTTTTTTTTTTTAATTAGCCTGGTGTGGTGGCTCATGCCTGTAGTCTCAACTACTCAGGAGGCTGAGGCAGGAGGATCACTTGATCCCAGGAGTTCAAGACTGCAGTTAGTGAGCTACACTGCACTCTAGCCTGGGTGACAGAGTAAGACCCTGTCTCTAATGGAGAGATAGAGAAAGAGAGAGAGAGAGAGAGAGGCATTTTTCTCTTTACTATTCATTATTACCAAGAAAATCTAGGATTTCAGAGATGCAGCCCAATAATGTAACTAGACTTCCTATTCTGCCTTCCCACTGATTAATAAATAAGAAATCACCAGCCAGATTCAACAGGGAAACTTATCTGAAAGTGGACAGGAAAAAAGGAGGCATATTCTTTCCCCTAGAATTATATTCTAAGAATTCAGTTGAGGATATGGACCATCACAAGGCTTGAGTCTGGGGTACTTTATTTGACCTGACTATATCCAACATGTAAATAAGGATCCAAGGGAACTCATAAGGGCTAATAAAACAATACTGTGGTTTCTTCTGTGATGTTGTTATTGACTAAGAAAATGCTGTGAGTGATGATCTGCAAATGATCCCCTGCTCTTAAAGACTGATGACATTTAACATAGTTCCAGGTGAGGTGAGGTTTGCTGGCTCTACATGCCTCCAAAAACGGCAGCCTCTACCAGAGAGATCCTTCACTGTCACTGATGCTGTTTGGCATGGGGCTTGGGAGGCACAGGAAGACCGGATGTGGTTTAAGAAGGCACCTGGAGGAGTGTTCCAAGCTCATCAGCGGTAGCAGTGTCCCATATATAGAGTTTTCACTGCAGCTTATGACAAACAACAGGGACAGTTCAGAGGAAACCTGATTCATTTCTCAAAATGGTCCCACACCTCACCTTAAATAGGAGCGGCATGGTGAAAGTTCGTAATAATTTCTTTTTTTCTTTTTCTTTTCTTTTCTTTTTTTTTTTTTTTTTTTTGAGACAGAGCCTCACTCTGTAAAGTCTCACTGTCATTCAGAGCCAGAGTGCAGTGGCGCAATCTCAGCTCACTGCAAACTCCGCCTCCCAGGTTCAAGTGATTCTCCTGTCTCAGCCTCCTGAGTAGCTGGGATTACAGGTGTGTGCCACCATGTCCGGTTAATTTTTGTATTTTGGGTAGAGATGGGGTTTCACCATGTTGGCCAAGCTGGTCTCGAACTCCTGACCGCAAGTGATCCACCTGCCTCAGCCTCCCAAAGTGCTAGGATTACAGGCGTGAGCCATCACGACTGGTCCCAAATAACTTCTTAAATCAGTTGTGTGATGAATAAGTATTTCCATGTAAAATCTTACCTAGGCCAGGTGCGGTGGCTCACGCCTACAATCCCAACACTCTGGTAGGCCAAGGCAGGAGGATTGCTTGACCCCAGGAGTTCAAGATCAGCCTGGGCAACACAGTAAGACCCTGTCTCTAATTTTAAAAAATAAAAATAAATAAAATGTGTTAGAACAGTGCTACCCAATGTAATTATAAAGCTAGCCATGCGGATAATGTTAAATTTTCTAGTAGCTACATTAAAAAAAGTAAAAAGACACAAATGAAATTAGTTTTAATAATATATTTAACCCAATATAACCAAACTATTATTTCAATATGAAATTAACATAAAAATTATTAGATATTTCACATTCATTTTTCATACTCAATCTTTAAATTCTAGTGTGTATTTTTCACTTACAGTACAGCAAGCCCTTGAATAACATCGTTTGGCTTAACACTGTTTCATTGTAACTTTGATTTAAACAATCAATTCCTGGCTGAGGCCACTCTGTATGTGAAGTTTGCATGTTCTCCCCATGTCTGCGTGGGTTTTCTCTGGGTACTCTGGTTTCCTCCCACATCCAAAAGATGTGCGTGTTAGGAGGATTAGATGTCTAAATGGTTCCAGTGTGAGTAAGTGTGTGTGTGTGTGTGTGTGTGTGTGTGTGTGACAGGGAGAGAGAGAGAGACAGAGAGAGAGTGTTCCCTTGGGATGGAATGGTGTCCTGTCCAGGATTGGTTCCTACCTTGTGCTCTGAGCTAGCTCCAACTTCCAATGACCCTGAACTGAAATAATTGGGTAAATAATTATCTTACTTGTTTATTTTTTTTTAATTTATTCTTTTTTTTTTTTTGAGACAAGAGTCTTGCTATGTTGCCCAGACTTGTCTGGAACTCCTGGACTCAAGTGATCCTCTTGCCTCAGGCTCCCAAAGTGTTGGAATTACAGCCTGAGCCACTATGCCTGGCCTTGTTTTCATTAATCTTTCCAAGATTTATGTATTTATTACATTTTGTATTACATTTATTTCAGTGTTTAATATTAGAAGTGTTTTGGTCCTTATTTAAAAGTTGATGAGGTTTTTGTAACCAGAAATATGCCGATGGAATTTACCTCTTGTTTATGTCAATTAGCCCATGGTAAAACTGGTTTTGTTGTACATCGTTTTGCTTAAAGTCACAGTTTCCAAGAACCTATTAATGACATTAAGTGAGGACTTACTGTACGTCTCAATTCAAATTAGTCACATTTCAAGTTCTAAATAGCCATATGTGACTGTATTGGATAGCACAATGAGAACATTTTACTCATAAGAAAATGCTCATGAGCCATTGCTAAATGAAAAGGCAAGCTGCAAAGGTATGCCACGTGATCTAATTTTGTAACATGTGCATACACTTATACATATGTACTGTATATATAAGCAGGAAATAATACTGAAAGGGTATATACCAAAAACTTGTAATTTTTACATTTTATTTTTATGCAATCCAAATTTTATCATGTCTTACTTTTATGGTTAGAAAAAAATAATAATAAATGTGATTTTTTAAAAAGAGGTGTATTTGCTTCCTATTGTTGCTGTAACACACTGCCACAAATGTAGTGGCTTAGAACCACACACATTCATTATCTTGCAGTTCGGTAGTTCAAAAGTCTGACACAGGTCTCACTAGATTCAACTTAATGCATCAGCAAGGTCGCATTCCTTCCAGAGGCTCTAGAAGAGGAAGAATCTGTGCCCTTTTCTAGCTTCAAGGGGCTGCCTGTACTTCTTGGCTCATAGTTCCCTTCTTTCATTTTCAAAGCCAGCTCCATCACATCTCTTCCTCTGCCTCTCCTTTTCTCCCTCCCTCTTCCCCATTCTCCCTTGTGATTATATTGGCCCCACCTGGATAATGGAGACCAGTCTCCCTATTTTGGTGTCACCTGGTTAGCAAGCTTAATTCCACCTGCAATCTTATTTCCCTTTGCTATGTAACATATCATAATCCAGGGATCAGTACATAGACATCTTTGAAGGGCTGTTATCCTTCCTACCACAGGAGGTATGGTCATGATTAGTACTGTATAACTAATATTTCCATTCTCCTTTCAGACACACAGTAGGGTTATACTTCCTTGTTCCCTTCAAAGCAGCCACATGACTTGCTTTGGCCAATGCAATATGAGTGGAAGTGGCATGTGTCCTTTCCAGGTAGATGCTTTATAAGACAGCATGTGATTTACTACTTTCTCTTTGCCCTGCCTTTGATAGGATGGAAGTATTGAAGGAGATGGCACTTATGTCATCACCTATGTCTCACCTGGGTCTGTGAGACACTAGGATGAGCAGAGTCCTCCTACCAACCTGTGGTGGCCAGATATGGTGAGGGAGAAATAAGTGGTATGTCACTCCACTGAGCTTCAGGGGTTGTTTGGTCCTACAGACAAATAGCTCATCCTGACTGGTACAGGAGGTTAAAAAAAATACAAGTATCTAACTGGCAAGAGATGGTATCTCATTGTGGTTTTGACTTGCATTTCTCTAATGACCAGTGATGATGAGCTTTTTTTCATATGTTTTTTGGCTGCATAAATGTCTTCTTTTGAGAAGTGTCTTTTCATATCCTTTGTCCACTTTTTGATGGGATTACATTTTTTCTTGTAAATTTGTTTAAGTTCTTTGTAGATTCTGGATATTAGCCCTTTGTCAGATGGATAGATTGCAAAACTTTTCTCCCATTCTGTAGGTTACCTGTTCACTCTGATGATAGTTTCTTTTGCTGTGCAGAAGCTCTTTAGTTTAATAAGATCCCATTTGTCAATTTTGGCTTTTGTTGCCATTGCTTTTGGTGTTTTAGACATGAAGTCTTTGCCCATGCCTATGTCCTGAATGGCATTGTCCAGGTTTTCTTCTAGGATTTTTACGGTTTTAGGTCTTACGTTTAAGTCTTTAATCCACCTTGGGTTAATTTTTGTATAAGGTGTAAGGAAGGGGTCCAGTTTCATTTTTCTGCATATGGCCAGCCAGTTTTCCCAACACCATTTATTAGATAGGGAATCCTTTCCCCATTGCTAGTTTGTGTCAGGTTTGTCAAAGATCAGATGGTTGTAGATGTGTGGTGTTATTTCTGAGGCCTCTGTTCTGTTCCATTGGTCTATATATCTGTTTTTGTACGAGTATCATGCTGTTTTTGTTACTGTAGCCTTATAGTATAGTTTCAAGTCAGGTAGCATGATGCCTCCAGCATTGTTATTTTTGCTTAGGGTTGTCTTGGCTATGCAGGCTCTTTTTTGGTTCCATATGAAGTTTAAAGTAGTTTTTCCCAATTCTGTGAAGAAAGTCATTGGTAGCTTGATGGGGATAGCATTGAATCTATAAATTACTTTGGGCTGTATGGCCATTTTCACGATATTGATTCTTCCTATCCATGAGCATGGAATGTTTTTCTATTTATTTGTGTCCTATCTTACTTCCTTGAGCAGTGGTCTGTAGTTCTCCTTGAAGAGGTCCTTCACATCTCTTGTAAGTTGTATTCCTAGGTATTTTATTCTCTTAGTAGCAATTACGAATGGGAGTTCACTCATGATTTGGCTCTCTGTTTCTCTGTTACTGGTGTGTAGAAATGCTTGTGATTTTTGCACATTGATTTTTGTATCCTGAGACCTTGCTCAAGTTGCTTATCAGCTTAAGGAGATTTTGGGCTGAGATGGTGGCATTTTCTAAATATACAATCATGTCATCTGCAAACAGAGACAATTTGACTTCCTCTTTTTCTATTTGAATACTCTTTATTTATTTATCTTGCCTGATAGCCTGATGGCCAGAAACTCCAATACTATGTTGAATAGGAGTAGTGAGAGAGGGCATCCTTGTCTTGTGATCATTAAAAAGTCAGGAAACAACAAATGCTGGAGAGGATGTGGAGAAATAGGAACGCTTTTACACTGTTGGTGGGAGTGTAAATTAGTTCAGTCATTGTGGAAGACAGTGTGGTGATTCCTCAAGGATCTAGAACTAGAAATACTATTTGACCAAGCAATCCCATTACTGGGTATATACCCAAAGGATTATAAATCATTCTACTATAAAGACACATGCACATGTATGTTTATTGCAGCACTATTCACAATAGCAAAGACTTGGAACCAACCCAAATGCCCATCAATGATAGATTGGATTAAGAAAATGTGGCACATATACACCATGGAATACTATGCAGCCATAAAAAAGGATGAGTTCATGTCCTTTGCAGGGACATGGATGAAGCTGGAAACCATCATTCTTAGCAAACTAACACAAGAACAGAAAACCAAACACTGCATGTTCTCACTCATAAGTGGGAGTTGAGCAATGAGAACACATGGACACAGGGAAGGCAACATCACACACTGGCCCCTGTCACAGGGTGGGGGGCTAGGGGAGGGATAGCATTTAGAGAAATACCTAATGTAGGTGAAGAGTTGATGGGTGCAGCAAACCACCATGGCACGTGTATACCTATGTAACAAAACTGCACGTTCCACACATTTACCCCAGAGCTTAACATATAATTAAAAAAAAGAAAAGAAATCTTGTGAAAGGCAAAATGATGGTGGCAATCTCATTGTGCTTTAACCTGAAGTATATAAATTACTCTGATAAATTAAACACAGAGAAATTTCCTTATAAAGCCATAAAACATTAGCATTTTCCCAGAAATCAGATATTGAGTTTTTGCTCTCCAACTCCCAAATCAAAATGTTGCAGTAAAATGTTTGTTTTAATACATTTTTTTCTTTGCTGTAAAATAAATAAATAAATAAATACAAGTATCTGTTTTAGTTAGGGATGCATGTGTGTGAACGCTGAGGCAGATAAACTGAGTGACAGAGACGGTGGGAATGTAAAAAAGTAATGGGGACATTAAGATGGGCCTGGAAATAAGCTATGTTGATCACTACAATTTCTTCTAAATTGAAAACAAAATGGAATGGTGGAGCCCAGCCCTTCAACATTAGGGGCCTCCCTGTGCTCAGCCCTGACTAACCTCTAGAGAAGCTGTGAAGAGACCCTGAGTTTTGAAATAGAATCTGTCCTCTGCTTAAGAGTCCTGCTTTGCTGCTGACCTAGGGGAACGCTGGATGTTTGGGTCCCTTCGGGGGTTGAGTGCCTGAGGCACCAGCTTCCCAAGACTTCTCATGGAGTACTGAATTCTAGGAGACTCTGGGCTCCCCTGAAGCTTGTACGTGGATTGGGGACAATGTTTTCTAGCCTCTCCAAGGGCTGAGTTCCTGCCTCACTCTATTCGTAAGCCCTACGTAGCCCCTAGTCGTTTGTAAAACATGTTCACATATGTTTTCATTTTGTCCTCTCAATAATCCTGTGAGATAAGCAGGAATTCCTTTATTTTATTTTATTTTATTTATTTATTTAGAGACAGAGTCTCACTCTGTCACCTAGGCTGGAGTGCATGGCACAATCACAGCTCTCTGCAGCCTCGGACTCCTGGGCTCAAGTGATCCTCCTGCCTCAGCCTCCTGAGTAGCTGGCCACACCCAGCTCATTAAAAATTTTTTTTTGTTATTGAGACAGGGGCTTGCTATGTTCCCTAGGCTGGTCTCAAACCCCTGGGCTCAAGTGATCCTCCCATCTCAGCCTCCCAAAGTGTGGGGATTAAAGGCATAAAACACCACATCTGTCTCTGGTTTTTAGATAAACAAACTGAGGGTCATAGTGGTAGAAAAACAGAAACACTGGGACTGGAATCTAGAGTGTGAGAATCCAGAGATTGCCTTCCACAGCAGGGCTGTAGAGAGCACATCCAAGGAAACAAATCCATCTCAGTGGATAACACTCATTAGCCTAGGATGGTTCACTGAGCACCGATGGTGTGCCCTGTGTGGTTGTCCCTAATGGCTGAGAGGATAGTCCCAAGCCACTGAGGACACTTCCTAAATCAGTAGATCATTCCAGAGCCTTCAGTTTCTTTTAGTTGAATTGATAAATCCTCCTGGCCCCTACTTAGAGAATCAAAGAGGTTATTTATTCAGATGATGAGGTCTGTGCAATAACTAAGTACCAGATATTTGTGTTCCTTTGGGCATTTCAGAGGCAGTACTAATTAAAACAATTTTCCCAGAAGCAGGCTGACGTCAATCACAGAAGCTATACACAGAGATGACCTGGCCTGATAATGGCCTTTATGAAATGAAGCTGTTAAATGAAAGAGTCACGTTAAACTCAGCTGCATTTTGAATACAGAGACAGCAAAAAATTTAAGTTTACTAGATGAGAAAAAAAAAAAAACAAGAGGAGCGGGAAATACCTATTTTAACTTCTAAGAGGATACAGCAAAGTCAAAAGATACAAATTATCATTCTAAGATAGGACACTTGATAATGACTTTTAAAATGATTTTTTTTAAAAAAGGATGTCTTAGCAGTTTCTTTGGAATTCCACTTTGAACTTATGTTTATTTTAATTTATGGATGTGGTGAACTAGTCAAATTCAACAAACATGGATATCTTTAGCTTCCACATGCTCTTCTGAGTAAACAGTAGCTGTGTTGACAGCAGGACACAGTCGTTAGAATATTGTATGGTCACCCTGACACTGCCACATTTAAAATCTGGAGGTGTAGGGCATAGTGGCTCATGCCTGTAATCTCAGCACTTTGAGAGGCTCAGGCAGTAGGGTCACTTGAGGCCAAAATTTCAAGACCAGCCTGGGCAACATAGCAAGACCCTGTCTCTACAAAATAATAAAAAATGAGCCAGGCATGGTGGCATGCACCTGTATCCCCAGCTACTCAGGAGGCTGAGACGGGAGGATCGCTCAAGCCCAGGAGGTTGAGGTTAGACTGATCCATGATCATGCCACTGCACTCCAGCTTGGGTGTCAGATTGAGACACTGCCACTTAAAAAAAATAGAAATACACATTGAAATATTTACCAATCAAATGGTATGATGATGATTTGCTTCAAAATAATACAAGTGGGGTAGGCAGGTGGGCAGATGGGAGTGGAAGGTGTTGATCATAGGCAAATAAAACCTAGGTCACCAACTTTCTCTTTTCTTTTCTTTTCCTTTTTTTTTTTTTTTTAAATAGAAACAGGGTCTTGCCATGTTGTCCAAGCTGATCTCAGGCTCAAGCTCCTGTCTTGGCCTCCCAGAGTTCTAGGATTACAGGTGTGAGCCACAACTTTTTTTTTTTATAAAGGGCCAGATAGTAGCTGTGGGCTGGGGTCTCAAACTGTGTTGCCCACTACTCAACTCTGCCATTGTAATGTGAAAGTAGTCACAGACAAAATATAAAGAAATGAGTGTGACTGTGTTCCAATAAAACTTTATTTACAAAAGCATTCAGTGGGCTGGATTTGGCTTTTGGGCCATAATTAAATCCCCTCTGGTAAAATAATCACTATTTTAGCTGGATCATGAGTACGTGGGAGTACATGAGTACTATAAACTTCTGTCCACTTTTGCATATACAAGAAGTTTGATACTTTCCATTTAAAACAATAGAATGTTTTGAGCATTATTTGCAAGCCTCAGACCAATCCTCAGCCTTCTTGGCATTCTTACAAGTGAGTATTCTTGCTATATCCAACTTGGGTCATATAGCTTTCATTTCCTCTTTTGTATATAGGCCTTCCTTCCTTCCTTCCTTCCTTCCTTTCCTTCCTTCCCTTCTTTCTTTCTTTTCTTTCTTTCTTTCTTTCTCTTTCTTTCTTTTTTCTTTCTTTCTTTCTTTCTTTCTTTCTTTCTCTCTCTCTTTCTTTCTTTCTCTCTCTCTTTCCTTCTTTCTTTTCTTTCTTTCTTTCTTTCTTTCTTTCTCTCTCTCTCTCTTTCTTTCTTTCGAGACAAAGTCTTGCTGTGTCGCCCAGGCGACAGTGGCACAATCTTGGCTCACTGCAACCTCTGCCTCCCGGGTTCAAGCGATTCTTCTGCCTCAGCCTCCCGAGTAGCTGGGACTACAGGCACGTGCCACCATACCTGGCTAATTTTTGTATTTTTAGTAGAGATGGGGTTTCACCATATTGGCCAGGCTGGTCTCGAACTCCTGACCTTATGATCCACCCACCTTGGCCTCCCAAAGTGCTGTGATTACAGGCGTGAGCCACCGTGCCCAGCCATATATAGGCTTTTCAACCAAACTCACTCCCTGAGCAACCACATTAATTTTGTTTTGGTGTTCCTGTTTTCTTCCATGTTGAGATTATCCAGAATTATATTTTAATTTTCATTTTTTCCTTTCATTATATTTTCACTTTTAGGTCTTCTCATTCCTCTTAAGCCATTCCATTTTAAGTGGAATCAGACCATATCTAGCTTTTCTCTAAATAATTTAAGAAACACAAATATTCTGTTTTCTTTTAGTCTCAGGTGCCCATTCTACAAATGTTTACTGAGGCTACTATATGCCAGACTTTGTGGTAGTTTCTGTGGAAGTAAGTATGAACGTAGCTCAGTTCCAAACTCTAGAGAGCTCCCAGAGTCCTACAGAGCCCCTGTTTCTCACCTGAACAACAAACACTGTCCTCCAAGCTTCCTGTATCTTTAATATCATCAGCTATTCCCATTATTGGTAGCATTAAGCTCAGTGGATCAATTACCTGTGCTATCCCCCTCTGCCTTCTAGAGAGAGAGATTGACTCAAGACAAGTAAAGATGGGTGCACCCCCAGGAGAGAGTTCTAGGGTGCCCGAAGCCTAACCTAGAGTTTTGTAAGCTTCAATTATTTGCACATCCCTATACTATTATGTACTTAATATTTTTCTTTAGATTGACTCATTTAAAAAAATATACAGCCATCAAAATTTTGGGACACTAACTTGGGATTTCCCAAAGTTTCTATCTCCACCATTCACCTGAGAGGAAGAGCTTTCTATGCATGCACACTATGCTCAAGGGTGATCAACTTGTTGAAGTGATTTAAACCACACAGCAGGCAAATAGTCTTCAAAGCCATGTCTTTTGATTTATCTTTTTTTTTTTTTTTTTTTTTTTTTTTAAGATGGGGCCTCACTATATTGCCCAGCCTGGTCTCAAACTCCTGGACTCAAGTGACCCTCCCATCTCGGCCTCCCGAAGTGCTGGATTACAGGCATGAGCCACCGACCCAACCTGATTTATCTTTTTGAGGAAAGAGAAAATTTTTCTTTTCTTTTTAAGGAAAGGGAAGCGTCTATCAGAAAGCAGGATTATAAAAACAGGATAAGCAATATGTCCAAAATATACATGATTCTCTGCTCAAAGGGAAATAAAATTAGATGAGAGGAGAAGGAGCAGGGAAGAGGTAGCTGGAGCTTGATGCTTCATCAGTGGCAGAGAGGGGGTTCAGGCCAATTCTCGCAAGTGCTGCAGAGCAGTGCTTCTTAAACATTAACGTCATGCAGATTCTGACTCAGCAGGTCTGGGGTGAGGCCTGAGAGTCTAAATTTCTATCAAGTTCCAAAGTGATACTGATGTTGCTGATCCACAGACCACATTTTGAATAGCAAGGCTATAGAACAGCCTAAAAGTTCCCATGTTCTCCCCCAGGCAGATGGGTTCTGAGATTGAGCTGTGGACCTTACAAAGCCAGAAGGCAGGTGAGAAGGGAAAAAAATAGACTTCAGGAGCCAATGCTCAGGCATAGTATGAAGGACTCAGGAAACTGCACCCTGTGAAGGAACAGAGGAGACCTGGCACCCTGTTTTTCCCTGACAACAGAGTAAGAATCAGTCAGTCCAGAGAGAAGAGAAGGAGGAGGGGGCATAATTCTAACAAGGATTCTGATCTGACCCCAGAAAAGATCCAATTTTAAATCAGGATTGACTGAATTTAGTCATACTTTCTGTTGCTGAAGAAGAAATAGGGCACAAGAACTAACCTGAGTTCAGTTATAGAGAAATAAAATTACAACTTTTGCACATGGGAGCACATTGTATAAAGTTCATACCTACTAACATTTTTGTTTGAAAGATTTATTATATATAAATGACATACACCAAATTATACATTTTAAAATAATTTTTAAAATAAATTTTGTATAAAATTTATATCATAGCGGAACTTATGTCAGGATCACTTGAAAACCAAATAATATTTTTCTTTTTTTGAGACAGTATCTTACTCTGTCACCCAGGCTGTAGTGCAGTGGCATGATCTTGGCTCACTGCAATCTCTGCTTACCAGATTCAGGCGATTCTCCCATCTCAGCATCCCAAGTAGCTTGGACCACAGGTGTGCACCATCACACCCAGCTACTCTTTTTTGTATTTTTTGTAGAGATAAGGTTTCACCATGTTGCCCAGGATGATCTCAAACTCCTGGACTCAAGCGATTTACCTGTCTCAGCCTCCCAAAGTGCTGGAATTACAGGCATGAGCCACTGTGCCAGGCCAAAAACCAAATAATTTTATTAATATCTAGTTGAAGGCTCTGAGCTCGACTTTATAAAAAAAAAAGTTAGGCCAGGCATGGTGGCTCACGCCTGTAATCCCAGAACTTTGGGAGGCTAAGCTGGGAGGATTGGTTGAACCCAGGAGTTCAAGACCAGCCTGGGCAACATATTGAAACCCTATCTCTACAAAAAGAAAAAGAAAATTAGCCAGGCGTGGTGGTGCACGCCTGTGGTCCCAACTACTGGGGAGGCTGAGGTGGGAGGATCACTTGGGCCCAGGTGGCTGAGGCTGCAGTGAGCCGCAATCTCACCACTGCACTCCAGCCTGGAGTTTTGTTGTTGTTGTTTTCTCAAAAAACAGTTAAAAAAAAAATTAGAGCCTTTCCACTTAGTCTAGTCTGGTCTAGTCAGATTGATTGAAAGAGTACCAAAAAGGCATTAACTTTTTCATTATATCATTCAACATGTTCAATTTGGAAAATTGCAAATATGTGCCAAGTTGACACACTGGTATGATGAAAGGCCCCATCACTCAGCAGCAGCAACAGTCAAACCATGAAGCATCTTGTTTTCATCCCAATCCCCCAGCCCCTCCCCTCACTGATCACTTTGAAGCAAATCTCAGATATTACATAATTTCATTGGTAAATATTTCGTTATATATTCTAAAAGATATTGTCTAGTATATCATTATCATACCTGAAACAATGATATCTCTTGGTGTCATCAAATATCCAATGTTCAAATTTCCAAGTGTCTTTTTTTTAACTGCTTGAATCAGGATCCAAATAAGGGCCATGCATTGTAATTGGTTGATATGTCTTCTAATTTACTGGTTTTCCCTCTATCTCTTTTTTTCCTCTTGCAATTTTTGTGATTTAAAAAAATGCAGTGCCCATGTACCACTTAAAATCATATTGCAGTGAAAGGTGTCCCACACCCCAGAGAACACTGACTATCCATAGTAACACATTGTGTTATATATAACATATGTATGTGTTGTATATAACACATATATATGTTGAAGACCAGCCTGGGCAACATAGTGAGTCCCTATCTCTACAAAAATAAAAAGAAAATTAGCCACACATATATATGTGTTATATATAACTTGCATATTATATATTCATTTATTATATATACATATATATTATATGTATGTGTGATACGTAACACATGCATATAATCTATAATATATGTATTATATGTACATACATATAATATATATGCATTATATATACATAACACATACACATAATATATGTATTATACATATAACACATATATATAGTGATATATATATATATATATATATATAGTGTTATATATAACACATAGTAGCACATTGTGTTATGTATAACACAATCTGTCCATAGTAACACAATCTGTCCATAGTAACACACTGAAGTTCCTGGCACTCATAAGTATTTGTTGAAGGAAAGAAAGGGAAAGGAAGAAGGGAGGGAGGGTTGGGAAGAAGCAAGAGCAAGAATGAATAATCCCCCACCCACCCGAGGCTGAAGGCGGGCACACCAGTGACTCCTAGGTCACTCTTCCTGCACAACTGTCCATTTTCTTTCCAGAATAAGTTTGTCAATGCTATCTCATTGCCTGTAGGGTCAAGTCCTGAGTCCCCAGAGGCTGGCCTGGAGCCGGGAGCCTATGTCCTCAGGGGCCGTCCTGAGGCTTGGGCCTGTGGAGGCAGAATTAGCCTATAAAATATATGTAAAATACATAAAATATATATAACATAGCCCAAGGTTCTGCTGGGACATGCCTAAACTCTGGGTTCAAGGGTTCTTTTCTTAAGTTTTCTTAAAAATTGTGGTAAAATATATATAACATAAAATTTACCATCTTTCCTATTTTCAAGTGTACAGTTCAATAAAGTATATTTGCATGGATGTACAATCAATCTCCAGACTTTTTTATCTTGCAAAACAGAAAGTCTATACCCATTAAACAACTCCCCAGTCCCCCTTCTCCATGACCCTGGGAACTACCATTCTACTTTCTGTCTCTATGAATCGACTACTTTAGTTTCCTCATACAGGTAGAATCATACCATATCTGTCTCTTTGTGATGGGCTTATTTCACTTAGCATAATGTCCTCAAGGTCAACCATGCTGTAGCATGTGTCAGAATTTCCTTCTATTTTAAGGCTGAATAATAATCCATTGCATGTGTCTTAGTCCATATTGTGTTGTTACTACACATCAGCTCATCTGCTGGTGCTGCCTCACAACATGGTGGAAGGTCAGAGGGGAAACAGAAACACGTGAGAGGCAAAACCTGAGGTGCATCCTGGCTTTATGACAACCCATTCTTGTAGGAACTAATCCATTCCCTCAAGAACAAGAACCCATTACTGTGAGAATGCATCAAGCCATCTGTGAGGGATTCATCCCCATCACCCAGACTCCTCCCACTAGGCCCCACCTCCCAACACAGCCACATTGGGGATTGACTTTCAACATGAGTTTTGGTGGGGACAAACCATACCCAAATGACAGCAGTATGTATATACCACATTTTGCATATCCATTTATTTGTCAATAAATATGTCCAAAAGGAGGCTGCATCCACCTTTTGGCTATTGTGAATAGCACTGCTGTAAATATGCATGTGCAAATAACTGTTTGAGTTCCTGCTTTGAGTTTCTTCACAGATATGCCCAGAAAGGGGGTGATATGGTTTGGCTGTGTCCCCACCCAAATCTCATCTTGAATTGTAGCTCCCATAATTCCCTTGGGTTGTGGGAGGGACCCAGTGAGAGATAATTGAATCAGGGGGATGGTTTCCCCCATACTGTTCTCGTGGTAGTGAATAAATCTCACAAGATTTGATGGTTTTATAAGGGGTTTCCGCTTTCTCTTATTCCTCATTCTCTCTTGCCACTGCCATGTAAGAAGTGCCTTTTGCCTTCTGCCATGATTGTGAGGCCTCCCCAGCCACGTGGAACTGTGAGTCCATTAAACCTATTTTTCCTTCCAGTCTTGGGTATGTATTTATCGCAGCATGAAAACAGGCTAATACAGGGGGATTGCTGGATCATAAAATAATTCTATGTTTAATCTTCTGAGGAACCAGCATACTGTTTTCTGCATATAATCTTTACATTTAAATCAATGTTGATGATATTTATAGTTTATGTATAACCATAACTCTTCTGCATTTTGCTAATAGCTTAATTTGGTTTGATTTGATTTTCCAATAAAACTTTTGCATTCCTAAATAGTTTGATTTTAAAAGCTGAAAATTAACAAAGCTGTCTTATCGTGATTTATTTAAATATGGTCCAATTTAGACCCAAATTAAGTATTGTAAAATTTCTTTCCTTGTATATGTGGTTCTCCTAGTTCTTCTGAGTTCCTCCTTTTTATAGGCATGAATTTGGTATATGGTTAGTCTACCATATCCTCAATTTTTTTTTCATATTCACCAACATATCTATTGTATTGAATCACCCTTATCCTTTATTCTTCCAAATCTTTCTTCTGGAGTTCTCCCTCCTGGGTTCTCTCCAGGCCTGTTTCCATGGCTGCACCTCAGGTATTGGTCTGCATTCACCTGTGCTGGATTCACTTTCTAAGGAACTACAGCACATGGAAGGTAAACATCTGAGTACTTATATGTTTGAAAATATCTGTATTCTGACTACACACATGTTTAAGAGATCTAGAGAGTTCTACAGTGAAATGTCTTTCCCTCAGAAGTTGGAAGGCATTTCTTCACAGGCTTCTTATGTCTCTTGCTGATGGGAAGGCTGCTGCTAGCCTCAGAATTTATTCCTTTATTGACTACCTGCTTATTTTTCTATATATTTCATTTGCATTCTTGGTATTCTAAAATTTCAGAATGATGAATCTGAGAATGGATCTTTATTTACTCTGATGGATACCTAGTGAGTCCTTTCAATTTGATGTCTCACTTCCTTCATTATCTTGTATTATTTCCTTAATCATTTCCCTCCACAACCACCTCTGTTCTTTCCTAGAAATCCTAATAATTATAGATTGGACATCCTCGATACATCCTCTTGGTCTTTTCCCCATCCTTTTTTGTTCTACTTTGTGAGGAGTATATTCTAACTCTTCTAATGGATCTTTTATTATTTTTTCTTTTTGAGACAGGGTCTCACTCTGTTGCCCAGATTGGAGTGCAGTGGTATGATCATACTCACTTCAGCCTCAACCTCCTTGGCTCAGGCTATCCTCCCGCCTCAGTCCCCTGAGTAGGTGGGACTACAAGTGCTTGCCAGCATGGCTGCCTAATTTCCTTATTTTTTGTAGAGACAGAGTCTCACTATATTGCCCAGGCTGGTCTGGAACTCCTAGGCTCAAGCAATCCTCCTGCCTCAGCCTCCCAAAGTAGTGGGATTACAGCCTCCACATCCAGCCTGGTAATCCTATTTTTTATTCCCAAATGCAATTTCTTTATCTGAGTCTTTCCCCATAGCATCGTGTTTTTGTTTTCTGGTATATCTTTATAGATCTATATTTATATAGATATCTGAGGACACTAATTATACATTTTATAAAATTATTTTTTCCTTGAATCAACTATGTTTCCTAGGGAGTAGTTTTTGTTTGCATATATCTGGGTCTTTTTCCTTAATACTCCACACTTTTGTCTATCATGCCCACCTACATTTAAGAATAAGGCAATATAAAAACTCATTATCAGTTATATGTCATGGTAGGGCTTGCCACCTGACAGGAGTCACTTCAGATGAGCAGATAGGGAGCAGCCATTAGTCTTTGGATCTTCAAAAACAGAATGAGGAGAGCTGTGCACTGAACAGGGCACTAACTCACACGCTCACTGTCCAGTCTCTCACCAGACACTTTTTTGATTTATTTTGTAAATCAATAGATCAATCAATCTCTCCTTCTCTCTCTCATTCTGTCTCTCTCTCTGTCTATACTTAGGAAGAGTGAGGCATTCTCTGCTGAGATATGTTTGAGTTGAATGTTCTGCCTACAGACTTTCCAGTAACTCCTCTGTTTTCAGCCCCATGTTTTGCTATCTCTGCAGGACCTGGAATTTCTGAATTCTAAGCCTCCCCAGGCTTCTGAGGGGCAGCTGTACAGTTTCCTCAGCAATAGTATCCATCATACCTTCTTTAAATGAGGTTTCCTCCTCCCTGCTTCCCCCATACTTACTCCATTATTCACTTTCAGTCTCCAGAAATTTGTTGAAATCCTTTTACTTTTTATTTTTACTTTTTAAAATATATTTTTTCCCACCCAACCCCTGTAGATGTTGAAATCTCTTAATCAACTGATGTCTTCTATTTATTTTTGTGGATTTATAACTTTAGACTTTACAGTCGTTTTTTGGAGTTAGGAGGGAGAGGAGCTAAACACATGTGCTTAATCCACCATATTGAATTACAGTCTGAAAGTGTCATTTAGAAATCTTGCCGTTTCTAGCACTCTTCTTCCTTCCTGCAGATGCAGGCTGCCATCTGGGATCATTTCTCTTAAACCCCGGGAACTTCCTTAGTATTTTCTGCAGTTCAGGTCTATTGCCAACAGATTCTCTCAGCTTTTGTTTGTCTGAAAAATGTCTATATTTGGCCTTCATTTTTCTGGTTTTTAAACTTTGTACTTTGAACTAATTTTAAGCTTACAGAAAAACTGCAATAGCACCAACAACTCTCAAGTACTCTTTTCAGCTGGTAACATTTAATTGTTAACATTTGGCCACATTTGCTTAATCAATCTCTCTGTCTATGTATATGTAAATATACTTAGACCACTACACACACCACATCTTTTTTTTTTTTTTTTTTTTTCTGTTTTTGAGACAGGGTCTCACTCTGTCACCCAGGCTGGAGTGCAGTAGCATGATCTTGGATCATAGCAGTCTCAACCTCCTGGGCTCAAGCAATCCTCCTACCTTAGCCTCCCAAGTAGCTGGGACCACAGGCATGCACCACCATGCTTGGCTAATTGTTGTATTCTTTGTAGAGATGAGGTTTTGCCATGTTTCCCAGGCTGATCTCAAACTCCTGAGCTCAAGCAATCCGCCCTCTTTGGCCTCCCAAAGTGTTGGGATGACAGGCATGAGCCACCACACCTGGTCCATAATTTTTTTTTTTTTTTGAGACAGCATCTTGCTTTGTTGTCCAGGCTGGAGTGCAATGTTGCGATCTCAGCTCACTGCAACCTCGGCCTCCCGGGTTCAAGCAATTCCCCTGCCTTAGCTTCCTGAGTAGCTGTGACTACAGGCACGTGCCACCAAGCCCAGCTAATTTGTTCGTATTTTTAGTAGAGATAGGGTTTCACCGTGTTAGCCAGGGTGGTCTCGACTTCCTGACCTCGTGACCCGCCTGCCTCAGCCTCCCAAAGTGCTGAGATTACAGGCACGTGCCACCATACCTGGCCCCTGGCCCATAACCTTTTAAAAAAAATTTTCATAGTGATGATGTCTCACTAAGTTGCCCAGGATGGTTTCAAACTCCTGGCCTCAAGCAATCCTCGAACCTTGGCCTCCCAAAGTGCTGGGATCACAGGCATGAGTCACCACACACAGTCAGACCCACAGATAATTTTTAAATTGTTTAAAAATAAGTTGTAGATATAATGAGCCCGATTCAGGGAATGCATACTGATACAATATTATCATCTAATCCACAGGTTCCACTCAAATTTCACTTTGTCTTGATAATGTTCTTCATCCCCTTCCCCAGCTTTATTAAGGTGTAATTGAAAAATAAAAATTGTACATATTTACATTGTACAACATGTTTCAACATATCTTTTGTGAAATAATTAAATCAAGCTAATTAGCTCACATACTTTTTTTGTGGTGAGAACATTTAATATCTACGCTTAGCAGTTTTCAAGTACAATACATTATTATTAACTATAATCACCATGCTGTACAATAGATTTCCAGAACTTATTCCTCTTGTCTAATTCAAACTTTGTGCCCTTTGACCTACATCTTCCCATTCCACCCTTCCCCAGACCCTGGTAACCACTATTCCACTCTTTGTCTACGAGTTCAACTTTTTCAGATTCCACATATAAGTGAGATTACATGATATTTGTCTTTCTTGTCTGACTCATTTTACTTAGTACAATGCCCTCTGGGTCAGTCCATGTTGCTGCAAATGACAATATTTCTTCTTTTTTAAGGCTGACTAGTACTCCATTGCATATATATGCCACATTTTCTTTATCCATTCATCTGTTGATGGACACAGGTTGATTCCATATCTCGGCTATTGTGAATATGCTGTAATGAACGTGGGGATGTAGATATCTCTCTTGGACATATTAATTTTATTTCCTTTGGATGTATACCCAGAGTAGGATTGCTGGATCATGTGGTAGTTCTATTTTTAGTTTTTTGAGGAAACTCCATTCTATTTTTCATAATGGCTGTACTACCCAAGAGTGATCTTTATAAGTCTAGCATCTAACCCGTGATGACACGTCACATTTAGTTATCATATCTCTTTAATTTCCTTCAAACTGGATGAATTCCCTTTTTTTGTCTTTCATCACCTGATATTTTTCAGGAACACATGCCAATTACTTTGCAGAATATCATTTAGTTTGGATTTGTCTGATATATCCTCATCATTCAAGAGAGGTTATTCTTTTTTTGTGTAATTTTGTTTTGTTTTTGGCAGGAATACCACAGAAATGATTCTGTGTTCTTCTCAGTACATCATATCAGCAGACATGTGTACTAGTCTGTTTTCACACAGCTATAAAGAAATACCTAAAACTGGTTATTTATAAAGGAAAGACGTCTAATTGACTCACAGTTCCACATGGCTGGGGAGGCCTCAGGAAACTTAACAATTGAAGGGGAAGCAAGGAGCTTCTTCACATGATGTCAGGAGAGAGAAGAGTGGAGAGTAAAGGGGAAAGAGCCCCTTATAAAACCATCAGATCTCGGGAGAGATCACTATCACTAGAACAGCATAGGGGAAACTGCCCCCACGATCCAATTACCTCCCTCCAGGTCTCTCCCTAGACACATGAGGATTATGGGGATTACAATTCAAGATGAGATTTGGGTGGGGACATAGCCAAACCATATCAGCGTATACACAGCCAAACCATATCAGCATGTAATATCAATTGTCCTCATTACAGGTGATGTTAACTTTTATTATTTGATTAAAATAATATGGGCCCTTGGATAGCCAAAACAATCTTAACTAAGAAGAACAAAGTTGGAGGAATTATATTTCCTGATTTCAAAACTTACTACAAAGCTACAGTAATCAAAACAATGTGGTACTGGCATGAAGAAATACATGCAGACCAATGGAATACAATAGAGAGCCCAGAAATAATCTGTCTATATGAGCAAATGATTTTTAACAAGGGTGCCAAGATCATTCAATGGAAAAAGAACAGTCTTCTTAACAAAAGGTGTTGGGAAAACTGGATATCCACATGCAAAAGACTGACATTGTACCCTTGCCTTACACTGTACATAAAAATTAACTTAAAATGGATCAAAGACTTAAAGGTGGGGTTTCACCATGTTGACAAGGCTGGTCTCGAACTCCTGACCTCAAGTGATCCGCCTTCCTTGGCCTCCCAAAATGCTGTGATTACAGGCGTGAGTCACTGCCCCATATCATACAAAATTAGCTGCACATGGTGGTGCACACCAGGAGGCTAGGGCAGGAGAATCGCTTGAACCTGGGAGGCAGACATTGCAGTGAGCTGAGATCATGCCATAGCACTCCAGCCTTGGTTGCAGAGTAAGACTCTGTCAAAAAAAAAAAAAAAAGCAACTGGACTACATCAAAATATAAAACTTTTATGCATGAAAAGACAATCAATAAAGTGAAAGGCAACTTGCAGAATGGTAGAAAAAATTTGCAAATCATATATCTGATATTCAAAATATATAAAGAATTCCACAACTCAACAACAACAACAACAACAGCTCCAATTTGCAAATGAGCAAAGGGGTCTGGCATGGTGGTGCACATCTGTAGTCCCAGCTGAAATGGGAGGATTGCTTGAGCCCAGGAGTTCAAGGCTGCAGTACACTATGATTGTAGTGAAAAGCCTCTCCATCCTGGGCAACACAGGGAGCACTGGTTTCTTAAAAAAGAAGAAGAAGAAGAAGGAGAAGGAGAAGGAGAAGGAGAAGAAGCAGCAAACAGGCAAATAACTTGAATAGACATTTATCCATGAAAATATACAGATGCCAATAAGCACAAGAGGTTCAACATCACTAATCATTAGGGAAATGCAAATCAAAACCACAATGAGATGCCACTTCACACCCATTAGGATGGCTATTATAAAAGACAAACAAACAAACAACAAGACAGAAAATAAGTGTTAAGGATGTGGAGAAATTTGAACCCTTTGCCCTGCTGGGGGGAATATAAAATGGTGCAGCCACTATGGAAAATAGTATGGCAGTTCCTCAAAAAATTAAACAGAATTACAAACGATCCTGCAATTCCATATATACCTCAAAGAATTGGAAGCAGAGACTCAGTTACTTCTACACCCATGTTCATAGCAGCCTGTTCTCAATAGTCAAAAGATGGAAGCAACCCAAGTGGCCATCAATGTATGAATGATAAACAAAATGTGATATATGCATATGACAGAATATTATTCAGCCTTTAAAAACAGGACATTCTGCAACATGGATGAAACTGGAGGACATAATGCTAAGTGAAATAAGTCACAAAAACACAAATACAGTATGATTCTACTTATATGAGGTACCTAAAGTAGTCAAACTCATAAAGATAGAAAGTAGAATGGTAGCTCTCAGGGTCTGGGGGAAAGTGAGAATGGGTAGTTGTTGCTTAATGGGTACAGAATTTCAGCTTGGGAAGACAAAAAGATTTTGGAGAGAGAGAGTCATGATTGTTTCACAGCAATGTGAGCGTACTTAATGCCACTGAACATGGTTAAAATGAACATGGTTTAACTGAAAATGGTTAAAATGGTAAATTTGGGCCAGGCACAGTGGCTCTCACCTGTATTCCCAGCACTTTGGGAAACCAAGGCGGGCAGATCACGAGGTCAAGAGATCGAGACCATCCTGGTCAATATGGTGAAACCCCGCCTCCACTAAAAATACAAAAAAAATTAGCCGGGCGTGGTGGCAGTTTCCTGTAATCCCAGCTACTCGGGAGGCTGAGGCAGGAGAATGGCTTGAACCCAGGAGGCAGAGCTTGCAGTGAGCGGAGATTGTGCCACTGCACTCCAGCTGGGCAACAGAGCGAGACTCCGTCTCAAAAAAAAAAAGAAGGTAAATTTTAATTATTTAGATTTTACCACAATTTTTAGAAAGATGGCATGTGCCTTATTTCTCCACTGTAAAGTTAATAAATATCTGTACTTATTAACAATTTGTAAGTATTTTGTAGGAAGATAATTTGAAATTATATAATTTCAAATAATTCACACCAATAGTTCGAATACCAATCCAACACCACAAGATTTATTCTAGCATCCTCTGTTACCATATTTGTAATTTCTCCAACACTGAAAACCTAGCTCCTATTATCCTCAATATACTTTTTGGCAATACCCATATGTAATCAGTCTCCTAACTATACAGGCCATCTTCTTAAACCTGTCTCTGCCAAAACTGCCAGCTAAATTCTTGACTCTGTTCCCACTGATTGTGCCAACCTAATTCTTGGCTCTGACAAAGAGGAAGAGGAAGGTGAAGTGAAGGCCCTCAATTTTGAAGAATATTTTTACTGGATATAGAATTCCAAGTAGACAAATTCTTTTCTTCTTTCATCACTTTATTTATTTATTTATTCATTTATTCATTTATTGAGACTGAGTCTCACTCTGTTGCCCAGGCTGGAGTGCAGTGGCATGATCCCGGTTCACTACGACCTCCACCTCCCAGGTTCAAGAGATTCTCATGCCTCAGCCTCCTGAGTAGCTGGGATTACAGGTGTCCACCACCACAATCAGCTGATTTTTGAATTTTTAGTAGAGGTGGCATTTCACCATGTTGGCCAGGCTGGTCTCGAACTCCTGACCTCAGATGATCCACCCACCTTGGCCTCCAAAATTGTTGGGATTACAGGTGTGAGCCACTGCACCCAGCCTCATCACTTTAAAGGTGTCTTTTCATTCTAGTTTTCATTGTTTCCTATAAAAAATTAGCCATCATTTTTATTGTTGTACCTTAAAATGTAATATGTATTTTTCCTTTGGATGCAGTTAAGATTTTCTCTTTATCTTTGGTTTACAGCACTTTGACTACAATGACCCTAGGTGTCATCTTCAAATAATTTATGTGCTTGGGGTTCTCTGAATTTCTTGCACATGTAGGTTGATATCTTTCATAAAATGTGGAAAAATCGAGGGCATTTTATCTTCAAATATTTTTTCTACCCCATTCTCTCTCCATTATACCTGTTAGATTATTTTATATTATCCCTCTGTTCTCTATAACTCTGTCCTATTTTTCTCCTTTTATTTTCTCTCTGTGCTTTAATTTGGATAATTTCCATTAGCCTGTCTTTAAGTTTACTCATCCCTTTTTCAGCTGTGTCCATCTGCTGGGAAGCCCATCCACTGGATTCTTCACTTCAGATTACCATATTTTTCCATTTTAGAATTTTCATTTGACTTTCTTTTTAGTTTCTCTTTTTCTTTTCTTTTTTTTCTGGTTTTTTTATTTTTTTTTTCTTGAGATCAAGTCTCACTCTGTTGCCCAGGCTGGAGTGCAGTGGCATGATCTCGGCTCACTGCAACCTCTGCCTTATGGGTTCAAGTGATTCTCCTGCCTCAGCCTCCTGAGTAGCTGGGACTACAGGTGCATGCTGCCACGCCTGGCTAATTTGTTTTTTGTGTAGTAGAGTAGTTTCACCATGTTGCCCAGGTTGATCACAAACTCCTGAGCTCAGGCTATCTGCCCCCCTTGGCCTCCCAAAGTGCTGAGATTACAGACGTGAGCCACCACACCCAGCTGAGTTTCTCTTTTTCTATTGCAATTTCATCCATCTCTTTTGCCATTTCTTCAATCTTTTCCTTTACATATTGTAATTTATTATCTCACAGTATCTGGTAGGTCAGAAATCTGCGTGTGGTTTAGCTGTCTTAGCTAGATGACTCTGGGCCAAGCTCGCTCATAAGGTTACAGTCAAGTTGCCAGGCAGGGCTTTGGTCTCATATAAGGTTCAACAGGAGAAAGATCTTTTACATTTTAAAACATTTATGAGTTTAAAGTCCTTCTGGTTAATTCCAAAATCTTGGTCATCTGTAAGTCTCTTCGGTTGACCACCTTTTCTCTTAATTATGGGTCAGTTTTTCCTCTGCTGCTTTACATGTTCAGCAATTTTAAAAATCTTATGCTGGACATAAAAAAAATCTGGATTTTGTTATCTTCCTCTGAAGAGTGTCAAATATTTTTCTGAAAGAAAGTTAAATTACTGGTAGATCACTTTGATTCTGTTGAGGTTTATTTTAGGCCTCTGTGGTGAGTCTATTTCCAGTTTTCCTTAGTTCTAGGATTTGGCTCTTACTCATATGGCATGGTCCTTACTCCTAGGGCATGGTCTTTTTGGTGTCTCAACATGGTATCTCCACTCTTGAGTGGATCAGAACTCCAATGTCTTCATAGCTTTGTGCAACTTCTGAAATCTAGGTTTAGTTTTCAGCTCCTCTAGCTGTTTTTTGCTGGTATATCTTACAGAATCTTGCCAAGCACATATGCAGTTTAGCATTTGGCCAAGAGCCCGAAGGAAACTCCTATGTAGATTCCTGGGGCTCCTTCTTTGTCACTCTTTTCTATCTACATACCCTGTCCTGTAATTTCCAGTAACCTCTGCAGGCCCAAACTCCGATTTATTTATCTACTCCAATTCTCTGAAAGTGGTTTGGAAAATTGCCCCCCAAGGTTGAATGTAAAATTCTCATTTTGAGCTTCTTTTCTCTCAAGCATTATAGTCATGCACTGTGCCTTATCCCATACCCAAAAGAAATTGTTCTGTACATTTTGTTTAGTTTAATAGTTGTTTATGGCAGGAGGGAAGGTCTGATGCTAGTTACTTCATCATGTCCAGTACAAGAAGTCCACAAATACTTCTTAAGTTTTTATAGACCAATCCTATTCTTATATAGTGAAAAATTAAAGGTAGGCCAACAAACCTATATCATGTAATTTCCAGCTTAGTCCTCTACATGATAGGAAACACACATGACCCTTATCGTTGTGCTTCCTATAAGTTTGGTAATTTTTTTTTTTTTTTTTTTTTTTGGATACAGAGTTTCACTTTGTCACCCAGGCTAGAGTGCAGTGGCAGGATCTTGGCTCACTGCAACCTTTGCCTCCCGGGTTCAAGTGATTCTTATGCCTTGGCCTCCCGAGTAGCTGGGATTATAGGTGGGAGTCACCATGCCCACAGATTTTTTTTGGGATTGGGTGTTTTAATAGAGATGGAGTTTCACCATTATGGCAAAGCTGGTCTTGAACTTCTGGCCTCAAGTGATCCACCCACCTTGGCCTCCCAAAGTGCTGGGATTATAGGCATGAGCCACCGTACCTGGCTAAGTTTAGTAATCTTAACATGCACTGAGGATACAGAGAAGATGATCTGCGAATTCTTGAAGATAAAGGTAAAACATCAAGAATCCATCCAAGAAGTACCCGGGTGCCATTCAATTATTGGAATATGAAGACAATTTAGTAATCCCATTCTCCTTTGACCACTGGCTCTAAGACTAGACTACTGCAATTTGGAAGCTGCTAAGCCCTAATAATCCCTTATGTAGAAGAGGAAGTGTACATACTGAATTAGGGACATTTTACATTTTGTATGAAACTGTAGCTAGTCACAACATAGTTGTAGTTTGTACCTCTTCACTTTTCTGTCCAAGAAGTTGCCTTTCCACTGAGGCAGAGACAATGCTATGTGTTCACCAAACTCCATTTCATTTTCTTATCTTAGGTACACTAGATTTCTATATTTCCCAGCCTCTTGTGTAACGATGTTAGGGGAATGTCACTGAATCCTGGACAATAGGATGTGGAATAATATATACTATTTCCAGGCCTGCCATAAAATGCTCCCTTCCCCCTTCCACCACTGTACAATTGCCTCAATTTCTTTCCCCTTCCACAGTGACCCAAAGGTCATGGTTTTAGGATGGTGACCTCACAGAAGGAGCCTAGAAATTTAAGTCACTGCCTGAAGGAGAGCCATGAAAGAGAGATGACTGACCCACTAAGACTGTGATAAGAAACAAACACCTTGTGATTTTTTTTTTTTTTTTTTTTTTGAGACAGAGTCTCCCTCTGTTGGCCAGGCTGGAGCGCAATGGTGTGATCTTGGCTTACTGCAACCTCCACCTCCCAGGTTCAAGTGATTCTCCTGCCTCAGCCTCCGAAGTAGCTGGAATTACAGGCACCCGCCACCAAGCCTGGCTAATTTTTGTATCTTTTAGTAGAGATGGGGTATCACCACATTGGCCAGGCTGGTCTCGAACTCCTGACTTCTGGTGATTCACCTGCCTCAGCCTCTCAAAGTGTTGGCATTAGAGGCATGAGCCACTGCGCCCAGCCTCCTTGTGATTTTAAACCACTTAGATTTCAGGGTTAATTACAATAGTAGAGCTTGACCTATCTGGACGTAAGTACCAATCATAGCATGTAATAAGACTTTTTTGTTTGTTTGAGACGGAATCTCGCTCTGTCGCCAAGCCAGAGTGCAGTGGCGCAATCTCGGCTCACTGCAACCTCTGCCTCCTGGGTACAAGTGATTCTTCTGCCTCAGCCTCCTGAGTAGCTGGGACTACAGGCATGCACCACCATGCCCAGCTAATTTTGTACCGTGTTGGCCAGGGTGATCTTGATCTCTTGACCTCGTGATCTGCCCACCTCGGCCTCTCAGAGTGCTTGGATTACAGGTGTGAGCCACCATGCTCGGCCAATAAGACTATTTTTTGAAAAGTAAAAAGGAAGCTACAAAGTATCCATATTGTTCATCACCCATGAACAACAATACCATGAGGATATGTATAAGTATATTTGGATGGCAAAGTTCAGATGTGAAACCCATCTTAACACACATGCATGCATGCACACATACACAACATACATTTAAGTTCCCATGCCATTAAAAGGGGTCTCAGAGATCATTCAAAAAATAACTTCCACATTTAAAAGATTGACTTTCTCACTTCGTACTTTGAGAGTTCAAGTGGCTAATCAATTCTTATATGACCAATAATACAAAATTATACCTATAAGCATTGTCTTATCAAATAACATTTTACCAGAGGAAAAAAAATCTTCAAAGTCAATGTTTTTTTAATTATTAGAGAAATGTAAATTAAAACCACATGCCTGTGGTCCCAGCTACTCAGGAGGCTGAGCTGATCCTGGGAGGATTGCTTGAGCCCAGAAGTTTGAGGCTGCAGACAGCAATAATTGCGCCACTATATTCCAGCCTGGGTGACAGAGGGAGACACTGTTTCCAAAGAAAAAAAGTAAAAGAAAAGAAAAAAAAGAAAAAAAAAACAACAGATATTGGCAAGGATGTGGAGAAAAGGAATGAAGGGAACGCTTATACACTGTTGGTGGGAATGTAAATTAGTGCAACCTTTACGGAAAACAGTATGGAGATTTCTCAAAGAACTAAAAATAGAATTACCATTTGATCCAGCAATCCTACTACTGGGTATGTATCCAAAGGGGAAAAAAATTATATTAAAAAGATACTTGCACTCGTATTTTATCACAGAACTATTCACAATAGCAAAAATGTGGAATCAGCCTAAGTGTCCTCAGTGAAGGATCGAGTAAAGAAAATGTGGTATATATCCATGGAATACCATAAAAAGAATGAAATCATGCCTTTTGCAGGAATATGAATGGAACCGGAGGCTATAATCCTAAATAAATTAACTCAGAAACAGAAAGTCAAATACCACATGTTCTCACTCATAAGTGGGCGCTAAACAAGTGGTACACATGGACATACAGAGTGAAATAGCAGACACTGGAGACTCCAAAAGGTAGGAGGGTGGGAGCAGGGTGAGGGCCGAAAAATTACCTATTGGGTACCATGTCACTACTTGGGTGATGGGTATACTAAAAGCTTAGACTTCACCACTATGAAATATGTGCATGTACGAAAGCTGCACTTGTACCCCCTAAATCTACAAAAATAAAAATTTACTTTAATTTAAAAACAAAGTCACTATTTTTTTCAGGCCACATACTAGAGTCCAAAACCAAAGTAAAGCATCACATTTTAGAAAAACCAAATACTTCTAAAGAGATTATTCTATCTATCTGTCACAGAAATATGAGATCTGCACTTACTACTTAATAGTCTATTTTATTTCTAGGAAATAAGCAATGTTATTATTAATGTCAAATGAGAAGGCTAATTTGCTTAATATGAGACTAGAACTTCAATTCTCCTCTCACACTAAATCTAAGTGTTGTAATGATTCAAATTTGAGTTGGCCTTTGATGGGATTAAAAGGGAATTGATGATGAAAGGCATTGTGCTTTTTCGTTTTGTTTTGTTTTTTAGAGATGGGGTTTCACTATGTTGTTCAGGCTGGTCTCAAAGTCCTAGGCTCAAGCAATCCTCCTGCCTTGGCCTCCCAAAGTGGTGGGATTACAGGCATGAGCCACTGCACCCAGCCAGGCATTGTGCTTTAATGGTATAAGCTGTAGCAGTATAACAATGGACAAGTTACTAAACCTCTTTGTGCCCCAGTTATTTCATCTATAAAATAATAATTTTTATTGATGGTTCTGGTTGTTGTGAGGAATGCATAGAACAACCTGGTACATAAAAACTGCTTAATAAATGTTAACAATCATCATAATCATCATCAATATAGTAAGGAAATTCAGATGTTATTAGTACTGACCATAACTTTGTCATTCACTTCGTATAAGAATGTGAAAGAGTGTAAACAATGCATTTTATCATTTTGGGACTTTCTTCCTACCCCCTTTAGTAAAATAGGAATATTATAAAGGCATACATGTTAAAGTATCTGAAAATTGTGATAGATGTTTTTAAAGTAGAAGCCAGGGAATACATTTCTAAATTAGATTTATCTATATTTCAAAAGAAATTTTCAATTAAATGTTGAAAAATTAGAGCATGTCATCTTGGAAAAGACATTATAAAATTATAAGGAGCTCTCCCTCTCCCCCTCCCCCTCCCCCTCCCCCTCCCTCTCCCTCTCCCCACGGTCTCACTCTCCCTCTCCCTCTCCCTCTTTCCAAGGTCTCCCTCTGATGCCGAGCGGAAGCTGGACTGTACTGCTGCCATCTCTGCTCACTGCAACCTCCCTGCCTGATTCTCCTGCCTCAGCCTGCTGAGTGCCTGTGATTGCAGGCGCGCGCCGCCACGCCTGACTGGTTTTCGTATTTTTTTGGTGGACATGGGGTTTCGCTGTGTTGGCCGGGCTGGTCTCCAGCTCCTAACCGCGAGTGATCTGCCAGCCTCAGCCTCCCGAGGTGCCGGGATTGCAGATGGAGTCTTGTTCACTCAGTGCTCAATGTTGCCCAGGCTGGAGTGCAGTGGCGTGATCTCTGCTCGCTACAACCTCCACCTCCCAGCCGCCTGCCTTGGCCTCCCAAAGTGCGAGATTGCAGCCTCTGCCCGGCCGCCACCCCGTCTGGGAAGTGAGGAGCGACTCTGCCTGGCCGCCCATCGTCTGGGATGTGAGGAGCCCCTCTGCCCGGCCGCCCAGTCTGGGAAGTGAGGAGCGCCTCTTCCCGGCCACCATCCCGTCTAGGAAGTGAGGAGCGTCTCTGCCCGGCCACCCATCTTCTGAGATGTGGGGAGCGCCTCTGCCCCGCCACCCTGTCTGGGATGTGAGGAGCGCCTCTGCCCGGCCCGTGACCCCGTCTGGGAGGTGAGGAGCGTCTCTGCCCGGCAGCCGCCCCGTCTGAGAAGTGAGGAGCCCCTCCGCCCGGCAGCCGCCCCATCTGGGAAGTGAGGAGCGTCTCCGCCGGGCAGCCGCCCCGTCCGGGAGGTGGGGGGCAGCCCCCGCCCGGCCAGCCGCCCCGCCCGGGAGGTGGGGGGCGCCTCTGCCCGGCCGCCCCTTCTGGGAAGTGAGGAGCCCCTCTGCCCGGCCGCCACCCCGTCTGGGAGGTGTACCCAAAAGCTCATTGAGGATGGGCCATGATGACGATGGCGGTTTTGTCGAGTAAAAGGGGGGGAGATGTGGGGAAAAGATAGAGAAATCAGATTGTTGCTGTGTCTGTGTAGAGGGAAGTGGACATAGGAGACTCCATTTTGTTCTGTGCTAAGAGAGATTCTTCTGCCTTGGGATGCTGTTGATCTATGACCTTACCCCCAACCCGGTGCTCTCTGAAACACGTGCTGTGTCCACTCAGGGTTAAATGGATTAAGGGCGGTGCAAGATGTGCTTTGTTAAACAGATGCTTGAAGGCAGCATGCTCGTTAAGAGTCATCACCACTCCCTAATCTCAAGTACCCAGGGACACAAACACTGTGGAAGGCCCCAGGGTCCTCTGCCTAGGAAAACCAGAGACCTTTGTTCACTTGTTTATCTGCTGACCTTCCCTCCACTATTGTCCTATGACCCTGCCAAATCCCCCTCTGCGAGAAACACCCAAGAATGATCAATTAAAAAAAAAAAAATTATAAGGAAAACAGTCTTAAGTAAGCACATACAGGTTTTTCCCCCTGTACTTTAAAAAATTGTTGTTTTGGAACTAACTTGTCATTCCTTTGTGTTTGCATACACACACATTAGACAGAACACAGGGACTACACTAACTCAAACACTGCCGATCAGAGCTCAACGTAAATGCATTATAAATTATCTTTTCACTAGCTAATCTTAGATCCTTGGGTTCTTGGGAGTATGGCAGAATCACACTTATCAGAAGGTCTCAAGGGACACATAAAACTTTCAAATACATGAGGATTTGGATAAGAAGGGAACCTGGCAAATAGGGCTTTGAACTTGGCAGTGCAGATTGCACCATCTACAGCACAAATTGACAAAGCATCCTTTCCATCTCTCTTGGTTTATAGACAGCCAACTAATGTAGCCAAGTCAGCATACCAAACAAAAGTGTTATGTTCCAGGCTCAATGAATTTTGAGTTTCAAGAGTGGTTGGTCTTTCTTTTCATCACTTTGCTAGGGTTAGAGAAATCTAAGAGTCGAAAACTTAACTATAATCTCACATTCAAAAAAAATGCTCAACTATTATAAAGCCACCCAACTACTTTTCCAAAAGTTTTAAACCTACTAAACAAGCCCTACATGCTGCTAAAAAAATATGGAATTCACATGTAGTTACATTTTTACAAGACTGCATACAGGTAAAGTGAGCTTCGAATCAACCAAAAATATATGGTCCCTTCTGGATCTGCTACAGATTTGGTAGGCAAATAAACAATTTTAGGTTTATTCCACTCCAACTAAAATATGATAGATGCACCATAGCACTGATTAAAATGTATTGAGAAGTTGGTTATAGACATAGCTTCTATAAGCATAAAGCTGCAAATCTAAGCTTGGCTGCCTGCATAGAGTTTCCAGGCAGGCCAAAGACCTATGGAACTGAAATTTGTCCCTTAAATTAGTATTGCTTAATACAGTCATAAGGGATTTACAAAACCCATAGAATTGCCCATTTTTTAAAAGCTGGAGTGCTGTTAGCTGAAGTATTACTTGGGACTTTAAAAAATCTTAAAATGGCCTGTTTTTACTTTATTGTTTTGCTTGAAAAAAAATCTAATTGGGAAAAAGTAAATCTCATATTTCTGTTGCATTGAAAGGTTTGAGCTTAATGATTAGTAGTATTGGCAACAGTGTAAACAGTCCTCCTTAAATGCATTTTGATTAAATGCATTTAAGATTCCACTTAAGATGCATTTTGCCATGTTCAATATGATACTAGACATGGGTGGAAAAACAGCAGATATTTTTCCAAGCAGGAGGCATGATATTGCTAAAATACTCAGCTTCCATCACAGTATTAATTAGTGTGTTTCACGAACCAAGACTGTAAGACTTGTAAATGAAATTCTAGAAGGGGCATCAAGCTAGAACAGGATATGGAAGCCAAATGGAAAACATGAACCAATAAAAGAAAAAAGCTAAACTAGCTAGAAGTTTAAGTCTAGTCTTTGAAGTCAGTTCAGGTCCTGCATGGTTTAATTCTGATGTAATCTTAAAATGGTGGATACAAACAAGAACTCAGAAACAGCTTTTGTAACTTTTGGACCAACTGCACATGAATCAGTTTGTTGATGGCTATAATGATTACACAGTGGTCTTTGCTGAATTACATCTGAATTAAAACAGTCATTTTCTCTTAGGCTAAAATGTAATAATGAAGACTTATCAACAAGAATAGCCATTCTCCAAACACATACACCCACACACACACTTATAAAACTTTTTACACAGTATGTTACATTTTGTTGATATATCAAATTATTTGTCTTAACAGCAGTAATGCATAAGCTCTTGCACGCTAGCACATTCTTCCTGTATGACAATGTGTTTGTTCCTTGTTTGTTCTGTCATTTGTCTCATTTCACATTCTAGTTAATGACATGATTGCTCTTCTGTGTGCAAGAATTTTTTCTGAGAAGAGATAATTGTCTCGATTTGAAAAAATATATATTTCTGGCAGGATGGGAACTTCAAACACATATGGCGTAAAAGGACTATGCCCATAATAGTCTTAATGGACAAAAAAAATCCTTCAATTAAAATCACAATCCATTAAGTGCATTCTCCTTTTCTGCCAACAAGCCTTAAAATGAATAGTACACACAACGAAAAATGTACACTGATTTTTTGTTAACAATTCATTTAAAATCCTCAGATGAAATAAGTGTTACCACTATGTTATAAAGTGTTTTTCTTATGAGCCAAATTAATTATTCTTTTAAAGAAATTTAAGCTATTTTCTTCTGATGATGATAAACAGAGAAGTTCAGTAAATAGGTACTACTTTAACTTAGAAAGATAAATAAAAGCTGAAACAGATTTGATTGAAAATACATAATCTCAGTATAACTTGTGATGAGAATTGAATATGTGGGTTAATATTTCTTTGTAAGATGTATATGTAAATAACAAGTAAGGAGATTCAACTAAGAACTATTCAGTTGGTGCCATTACCTTTAATGGCAAGACTACGATTACTTTTGCACCAACCTAATACAATGATAAGGAATAGAGTATCCCACATCTATAGTACAGGGTGATTCAATGGCAGCAGTACTGTGTTTAAACCCTAGAAAACAGTCCACAGAAGAAGAAACAGCCATTGCCACGATTTTCTGGTAAATAATTATAAAATTTCAGTCTCATTAAATTATTCAGTGTCCAATAAGTGCTAAGGATATAAGTAAGACATGTAAACAAAAAGTGCAATACTGTTGTTTAGTACAAAAGCAGATATATGTGTGCCATGGCAAGACAAAAGAGAAAAAGATGAACTCAGTTGGAGAAGAAAAGGGAAGGGGTCAGGGACAGCTTTACAAAGGAAACAATTTTCAAGTTGGACTTTTGAAAAAATGGATAGGAGCTCTGCAGGTTAAAGAGGGAAGGAATTCCCAGACAGATGAACCAGTTATGAAACTGCCATAACCCACTTGTGAGCTGTAAGTAATTTATTTTATAATAGTACAGTGGTTCTCAAAGTATGGCCTGTAAACCTCTTATTCAGGGGTTCAATGAGATCAAAACTATTTTCTTTTTTTTTTTTTAAGTCACGATTTTGCCATGTGGCCCAAGCTGGTCTTGAACTCCTAGGCTCAAGCCCAGACTATTCTCAAGCTCAGCCTATTCCAGCTATTGTCAAACTCTTCCAAAAAACTGAAGATGGGGGAACAGTTCCAAACTCTTTTATGAGGCCATCATTATCTGATACCAAAACCAGACAAAGGCACGGCAAGAATAGAAAACAATAGGCCAATATCCTTAATGAATATAGATGCAAAAATTATCAAAAATACTAGCAAATCACGTTTAATTTAACAGCATATTAAAATAATCCTATACCATGATCAAGTGGGATTTATCCCTGGGATATAAGGATCCACCTGCCTCAGGCTCTCAGCACTGGAATTACAGGCGTGAGCCACCATGTCCAGCCAAAACTATTTTGATAATAATACTAAAATATTACTAACAGGGTCTTGCACTGTCACCCAGTCTGGAGTGTAGTGGCACGATCATAGCTCACTATAACCTTGAACTCCTAGGCTGAAGTGATCCTCCTACCTCAGCCTTCTAAATAGTTGGGACTACAAGTGTGTGTCACCACACATTGTGAATTTTTTATTTTTTAGTGATGGGGTCTTGCTATGTTGCCCAGGCTGATCTCAGACTCCTGGCCTAAAGCAATCCTCCCACCTTGGACTCTCAAAGTGCTGGGATTACAGGTATGAGCCACTATGGCCATCCCCAGTGCACAAGTCTTTAGCCTGCTTGATTGGTTTTATTCCTAAATATTTTATTATTTTTGATGCTATTTTTTGTTAATGGGATTATTTTCTTAATTTCCTTTGTGGACAGTTTTTTGTCAGCATATAGAGGGGCAATTGATTTTTGTGTGTTGATTTTGTATCTCGTAACTTTGTCAAACTCATTTATTAGCTCTAATAGTTTTTGATTGTTTGTTTTGCTGTGTGAAGTGTTCAGGGTTTTCTACATAGAAGATCATGCTGGATGCCTTTTATTTCTTTTTCTTGCCTAATTGTTCTGGCTAGATCTTCCAATATTATGTTGAATGGAAGTGGTGGAGAATGGGCATCCTTGCCTTCTTCCTGATCTTAGAAGGAAAGCTTTCAGTTTTTCCCTGTGAAGTATAATGTTAGTTGTGGGTTTGTCATATTTGATCTTTATTATATTGAGGTACTTTCCTTCTGTACCTAGTTTATTGCATATTTTTTACATGAAAGGGTGTCAAATTGTGTCAAGTGTTTTTTCTGCATCTATTAAGATGCTCATGTGATTTTTAGCCTTCATTCTATTAATGTGGTATATCACATTTATTGATTTGTGTATGTTGAACTATCCTTACATCCCAGGGATAAATCCCACTTGATCATGGTGTAGGATTATTTTAATATGCTGTCAAATCTGGTTTGCTAGTATTTTGTTGAGAATTTTTGCATCTATGTTCATTAAGGATATTGGCCTATCATTTTCTATTCTTGTGGTGCCTCTGTCTGGCTTTGGTATCAGGATAATGATGGCCTCATAAAAGAGTTTGGAAGTGTTCCCCCAATTTCAGTTTTTTGGATGAGTCTGACAATAGCTGGAATTAATTCTTATTTAAATACCTGGTAGAATCACCAGTGAAGGCATAAGGTCCCAGGCTTTTTTTGCTACTGTTAGGAGGTTTTGATTATGGATTCAGTCTCCTTGTTATTAGTCTGTTCAGGTTTTCTATTTCTTCATGATTCAGTCTTGTTGGATTGTGTGTTTCTAACTTCAGGAGGCTGAGGTGGGTGGATTGCTTGAGCTCAGGAGTTCAAGACCTGCCTGGGCAGTATGGTGAAACCCTATCTCTACAAAAATATATATATATATAAAAATTAGCTGGGTATGGTGGCACGTGCCTGTAGTCCCAGCTACTTGGGAGGCTGAGGTGGGAGGATTGCTTGAGCCTGGGAGGTGGAGGTTGCAGTGAGCCTTGATTGTGCCACTCCAGCCTGGGTAAGACAGCAAGAATCTATTTCAAAAAAAAGTTTAAAAAAAAGTGTGTTTTTAGGAATTTATCCATTTCTTCTAGGTTGTACAATTTGTTGGTGTATAATTATTCATACTAGTACTTATAATCCTTTTTATTTCTGTGGCATTAGTTGTAATGTCTCCTAAAATTCATATGGAACAACAAAAGACCTAGAGTAGTCAAAGGAATCTTGAGAGAGAAGAACAAAGCTAGAGGCATATTTCCTGATTTCAAAATATATTACAAAATATATTATAAAATAATTTAAAAAGTATGCTACTGGCATAAAGACAGACATTTAGACCAATGGAACATAATAGAGAGCCCAAAAAGAAACACACACATATATGGTCAATAGGACTTTGACAAAGGTGCCAAGAACACACACTGGGAAAAGAACAGTTTCTTCAATAAATGGTGTTGGCAAAAATGGATATCCCAATGTAAAAGAATGAATCAGACCCCTATCTTACACCATACACAAAAATCAACCCAAAATGGACTGAATTAAATTGATTTAAATTTCTTTAAAAGAATAATTAATTTGGCTTCTGAGAATTTTATAGTTTCAGTTTAAGTTTACAGTTTTTAGTTTACAATTTCAGGTCTTATATTTAAATATTAAACATAAGAAACTGAAGCCGTAAAATTCCTAGAAGAAAACATAGGGGGAATATTTATTGATGATGGTTTTGGCTGTTATTTCTTGGATATGACGCCAAAAGCACAGGCAACAAAGGCAAAAACAGACAAGTGAAACTACATCAAACTAAAACACTTTTACACCACAAAGGAAATAATCAACAGAACAAAAAGGCTACCTATAGAATGGGAGAAAATATTTGCAAGCCATATATCTTGTAATGAGCTAACATTCAAAACATGTAAGAAATTCCTGCAACTTGGCCAGGTGTGGTGGCTCAGGCCTGTGATCCCGGCACTTTGGGAGGCCGAGGCGGGCGGATCATGAGGTCAGGAGATTGAGACCATCCTGCCAACGTGGTGAAACCCCGCCTCTACTAAAAATAAAAATTCAGAAAAAAACTCAAAAATTAGCTGGGCATGGTGGCACTTGCCTATAATCCCAGCTACTCAGAAGGCTGAGGCAGGAGGATCGCTTGAGCCAGGGAGTTGGAGGTTGCAGTAAACCCAGATCGCGCCACTGCACTCCAGCCTGGAGACAGAGCGAGACTCTGTCAAAAAAAAAAAAAAAAGAAAAGAAAAGAAAAAAGAAAAACAGAAACTTCAACAACTCAAAAGAAAATGTGAAACTCAAACTGATTTTAAAATGGGCAAAGGGCTCGAATAGACATTTTTCTAAAGAAGGCATATCAATGGTCAACAGTTATCTTAAAAAGGTGCTCAGTATCACTAATCACCAGGGAAATGCAAATAAAAACTATAATGAGATATCATTTTATACCTGTTGAGGATGGCTATTATAAAAAAAAACCACAAAAGATAATAAGCATTGGCGAAGATGTGGAGAAATTGGAACCCTTGTTCACTACTTGTGGGAATGTAAAATGGTATACATTACGGAAAACAATATGGAGGTTCCTCAAAAAATTAAAAATGGAACTGCCATATGATCCAGCAATCCTACTTGTGGGCATATATCTAAAATAATTGAAACCAATATCTTCAAGAGATACCTGCATTCCCGTGTTCATTGTAGCATTACTCACAATAGCTAAGATATGAAAACAACTCAAATGTTCATCAACAGGTGAACGGATAAAGAAAAGGAGGCCGGGCTGGGCGCAGTGGCTCACGCCTGTAATCCCAGCACTTTAGAGGCTGAGGTGGGCGGATCACGACGTCAGGAGATCGAGACCATCCTGGCTAACATGGTGAAACCCTGTCTCTACTAAAAATACAAAAACAAACAAGCAAACAAAAAATTAGCTGGGCGTGGTGGCGGGCTACCTGTAGTCCCAGCTACTTGGGAGGCTGAGGCGGGAGAATGGCGTGAACCCAGGAGGCAGAGCTTGCAGTGAGCCAAGATTATGCCACTGCACTCCAGCCTGGGCGACAGAGGGAGACTCAGTCTCAACAAAGAAAAAAAGAAAAAAAAAAAAAAACCCGAAAAGAAAAGAAAAAAAAGGAGGCCAGCCACAGTGGCTCATGACTGTGATCCCAGCACTTTGGGAGGCCAAGGCAGGAAGATCATGAGTCCAGGAGTTTGAGACTATCCTGGGCAAGAAAGAGAGACCCCATCTCTACAAAAAACACAACAATTAGCCAGGTGTGGTGGTATACACCTGTAGTCCAAGCTATTCAGTCGGCTGAGGCAGGAGGACTGCTTGAGCCCAGGAGTTTGAGGCTGGGTGAGCTATGATTGTGCCGTTGCGCTCCTGCCTGGGCAACAGAGAGAGACCCTATCTCAAAAAAAAAGAAAAGAAAAGAAAGAAAGAAGAAAGAAAGAAAGAAGAAAGAAAGAAAGAAAGAGAGAGAGAGAAAGAAAGGAAGAAAGGAAGAAAGAAAGAAAATGTGGCTTATTTAGACAATGGAATATTATTTGGCCTTAAAATAGAAGAAAATCCTGCCATGTATGACAACATGGATGAACCTGGAGGACATTCTGCTAAGTGAAATAGCCAATCACAGGACAAGTACTGCATGATTCTATTTATATGTGGTATCTAAAACAGTCAAACTCATGGGAGCAGAGACTAGAGTGGTGGTTTCCTGGGGCCAGGGGGAGGGATAAATGGAGAGTTGTTCAATGGGTATAAAGTTTTAGTTATGCGAGATGAGTAAGTTCTAGGGATTTACTGCACAATATAGTACCTCTAGTTAACAGTATTGCACACTTAAAATTTTAAGAAGGTAGATCTCATATTATATATATATAAAAGAAACCAGGATACATTTAGAGGTGGTGGCTATAATTTTATTGTGATGATAGTTTTATGGGTGTGCGCATACATCCTAACTCATGAAATTGCGTACATTAAATATGTACAGTTTTTTTGTTTATGTTATACCCCAATAAAGCTCGTTTTTAAGAAGAGTCCTCATTTGTATAATGACGAGCAATAGATAAAGATGTTTTTAAAGCAAGAAAAAAAAAAAAGCAAAAAAGACCTCAGATTTGAGGTCTGCCAGTTTCACTTGATAATGTCCAAAAAATTTAACTTTATTAAATGTTGACCCTTGAAGACTTATCTTTTTAATATTCTGTGTGGTGAAATGGAAGTACACAGAAAGTATGTCTGCCACATACCAAAGTACAATGGTTATCTCCAGAAAAAGCACTTGTACAATTGTTTGAGTTGCCAGCTGGCCTAGCCATTTGTCTCATGGAACACCATTTTCACTTTAAGGACTTACATATGAATTATAGTTATTCAGACTTGGGTATTTGGCAGACACTTTCTAAAAATGTACAAAGTGAGACTATCACTTCAGGAAAAACAACAGACAGTATTTTTCCCAGTGATAAAATACAAGCTTATAAGTGAAAATCAGAATTTTGGAAAACATATCTACCATTGTGAATCTGATAGCTTCCCAATACTCAAAGATTTTTCTGATAATATTGGTGGTGATATTAACTAATGATTTTTTGATAGTGTACAATGAAACATCAACATTTGGAATACCTGCATAACTCAATGAACCTTTTATTTTCCCCAAAAGACCAATGATGTTACAAAATCACACATGGATAAAAGATGCATTCGAAGAGCAAAACAGACTAATGGATTTTCATATGGCAGCGTATGGAAATTACTAATTATGGTTTCAGTTTCCACATTGCAACTAACCTTTAAAAATCTACCTCTTTTTCAAGTGTTGGTATAAAGAATGTCCATTATTATATGAGAAGGCTATTAAGATATTCCTCTTTTTTCCAACTACATTTGTGTGAGGTCAGATTTTCTTCATACAGTGTGACCAAAACAAGATGTCATAAGATTGAAAGTAGAAGCAGGTCATCTTTGTTGACCAAACATTGAAGAGATTTGCAAAAAGGTATAGCACATACAATTATGTACAGTACATAACACTTGATAATGATAATAAACAACTATGTTATTGGCTTATGTATTTACTATACTTTTAATCATTATTTTAGAGTATACTCCTACTTATATAAATATTTTAAAGTTACCTGTGAAACAGCCTCAGGCAGGTCCTTCAGGAGGTATTCCAGAAAAAGACATTGTTATAGAAGATGACAGCTCCATGCATATTGCTGCCCGTTAAGACCTTTCAGTAGAACAAGATGTGAAGGTGGACAGGGGCGATACTGATGATCCTGACCCTGTGTAGAATTAGGTAATGTGCGTGTATGACTTGGTTTTTAACAATAACGTTTTAAAAGCTATATATATTTTTTTCTATATATATATATACCCATATATATAGAAAAAAGCTTACAGAATAAGGATATAAAGAAGATATTTTTGTATAGCTTATGATATGTTTGGATTTTAAGCTAAGTGTTATTACAGAAGAGTCAAAAAGTTTTTAAAAAATTAAAAGTTTATAACGTAAAAAACTTACACTAAGGCTGAGTGCAGTGGCCCATGCCTTCAATCACAGCAACTCGAGAGGCTGAGGTGGGGGAATTGCTTGAGGACAGGAGTTCAAGCCTGCAGTGAGACATGATCACACCACTGCACTCTAGCCCTGGTGACCGGGTGAGACACCAACTCAAAAAAAAAAAAAAAAAGCTACAGTAAGCTAAAGATACTTTACTATTGAAGAAACTTTTTTTGTAAATTTAGTATAGCCTAAGTGTACAGTGTTTATAAAATGTACAGTAATGTACAGTAATATCCTAGGCCTTCACATTCACTCACCACTCACTGACTCACACCCAGAGCAACTTCCAGTCCTGCAAGCTCCACTCATGGTAAGTGTCCTACATAGGTGTACCATTTTATATTTTTTATGCCATATCTGTACCATTTCTGGTTTAGATCCACAAATACCACTGTGTTACAACTGCCTACAGTATTCAGTACAGTAACACGTTGTACAGGTTTGTAGCCTAGAGCAATAGGCTATACCATATACCCTAGGCATGTGGTAGGCTATACCTTCTCGGTTTGCATAAGTACATTTTGTGATGTTTGCACAATGACAAAATCACCTAAGGATTCATTCTCAGAATATATCTCTATTGTTAAGCGACACAAGACTGTATTTGCCTGTCTTCTTTCACTTAGCATAATGTTTTTTGAGGTTCACATATGTTGTATCATGTATCAGGAGCTTGTCATTTTTATTGCAGAATGGTATTCTCTTCTATACATGTGCAACATTTTATCTATTCACCAGTTGATTGATATTTGTGTAGTATACATGTTTTAACTATTAAGAATAATGCTTTTATAAACATCAACATATAAATCTTTGTCTTTCATTTTAAAAAATGAAAATATGTTTTCATTTTTTTTGGGTAGATTCCTAGGAGTGGAATTGCTAAGTAGTATGGTAAATATATATTTAACTTATAAAAAAACTGCCAACTTTTCCAAATGGCTGTTATATTCCCACTATAAATATATGGGAGTTCCAGTTTCTCCACATCCTTGCCAACACTTGTTATCATCTTTTCCATTATAGCCATTCTAGTGAGTGTGAGGAGGTATTTCATTGTAGTTTTCATTTGCATTTCCCTAATGACTAATGATGTTGAGTATCTTTCCATGTAGTTACTGGCTATTCATGTATATTGTTTAGTGAAACATTTAGTCAAATATTTTCCTCATTTTTAAATGTTTTTTTCTTATTGAATTGTAAAAGTTCTTTATATAGTCTAGATACAAGTTATTTGGGAGATATATAATTTGCCCATATGTTCTCCAAGTCTGTGGCTTGTCCTTTCATCTACTTAATGAAAACAAATTGTCTTTTAAAGCACAAAAAATTTTAAATTTTATAAAGTATAATTTTATCCATTTATTTTTATTGATATTTTAGTTGATTTGGTATCAAGAAAAATTTGTCTTCCCCAAGGTCACAAAGATTTTTCTCCTGCATTCTTTCAAAATTTTTATCTCTTACATTTAGGTGTATGATCTATTCTGGGGAAAATTTTGTGTTTGATGTAAGATAATTTCCTCACTGAATTGCCTTGGTGCCCTTGTTGAAAAATCAGTTGACAGTAAACATATGGACTTACTTATAAACTCTTAATTTTTTCATATTGATCTGTATATCTGTTTGATGTCAATACCACACTGTCTTGATTACCAATATATTTTGAAATTGAGAAGTGTAAGTCCTCCAACTTTGTTCTTATCAAAATTATTTTGCCATGTATCCTTTGCTTTTCCTAAGCTAAATTTTAGGATCAGCTTGTCAATTTCTACAAAAAACCTAGGGAATTTTGATAGGGATCATGTTGAATCCATTGATGTATTTCAGGAGAATTGACAGCTTAACAATATTCAGTCTTTCAGTTCATGATATCAAATGTATTTCCATTTATTTAGGTCTTCTTTAATATTTATCAGCAATGTTTTGCAGTTTTCAGTGTGCAAGTCTTGCACTTCCTTTGTTAAATTTACTCTTAAGTAATTCAATTTCATGCTATCGTGAATAGAATTGTATTCAATGTGGCCATTTTTGTTTCTTTATTGCTAGTATATGGAAATACAATATTGATTTTTTAATGCTGATCAATAATTCTGTGACCTTCTTGAATTTATTAGGTCTAGCAGTTTTTGTGGATTCCTTGGAATTTCCTACATACAGAACCATGTCATCTTTACATCATCTGCAAATAAAGATAGTTTTATTTCTTTCTTTCCAACCTGTACGCTTTTTCTTTTCTTGCCTGATTGCACTGGCTACAATCTCCAGCACAATGATAAACAGAAGTGGCAAGAGGGAATACCCTTGCACTGATCCCAATCTTAGGGGGAAGCTTTTGGTCTTCCCATCATTAAGTATAAATGTTAGCTGTGGTTTTTTTGTAGAGGCCTTTTATTAGGTTGAATTATTTCAAGGTTTATTAATAAGCATTAGTTTTTTTTTTTTCAAATGCTTCTTTGTCTATTGAAAGGATCATGTGGGTTTTGTCCTTTATTAGTATAGTGGTTTACATTAAATGATTTTTGGATATTAAACTGACCTTGTATCCAATTTGCTTTAAGGTTCTTGGATGTGACTAGTGTTTTACTTTAATTTGGGAATGTTTTTGGCCATTATATCTTCAAATATTTTTATTGCACATTTCTTTCCCTGCCCCCGTGCTGTGGCTCCTTTTGTGCAACACATTCTGTGCTTGATGGTGTCCCTTGGTTCTCTGAAGGACTGTTCCTTTATTTTCATTCTTTTTTCTTTCTGTTATTCAGATTGGGTAATCTCTATTCATCTATCTCTAAGTTCTTTTTGCCAGCCCACATCTGCTGTTGTACTTATGTGATGAATTTTTCATTTCAGTTATGGTATTTTACAACTCCAGAATTTCCATTTAAAAAAATTTCTTTTTACTGTTATTTGTTGTTTAATGAACTCTTGCCACCACATGTTTTCTTTTATTTAAGTATGATTTCCTTTAGTTATTTAAACATATTTATAATAGCTGATTTGAGGTCTATAAGATCTAATATGAGGGCCCCCCTGAGAGAGTTTCTACTGCCTGCTTTTCTTCCTTTGTATGGGTCACACTTTCATATTTATTTGCATGTCTTGTGTTTATCTTTTGTTTAAAACTGGACATTTTAAGCCAGGTATGGTGGCTCACACCTGTAATTCCAGCACTTTGGGAGGCTGAGGTGAGAGGATCACTTGAGCCCCAGAGTTCAAGACAAGCCTGGGCAACACAGGGAGACCCCATCTCTACAAAAAAAATTAAAAATAAAAATTAGCTGGGGGTGGTGGCATACACCTGTGGTCCCAGCTACTCAGGAGGCTGAGGTGGGAAGACTGCTTAAGCCTGGGAGGTCAAGGTTACAATGAGCTGTGATTGCACTGTTGCACTCCAATCTGGGTGACAGAGCAAGGCTCTATCTCAGAAAACAAACAAACAAACAAACAACAACAACAACAACAAACTGGACATTTAAGATAATATGTTATAGCATTTCTGGGTTCTGATTCACCTCCAATCCTGGGTAGTTATTGTAGTTTTGTCATTTATTTCAGTGACTTGCCTAGACTAATTCTATAGTCTGTCTTCCCTACATTGTGTAGCAACTTATGTCTTTGCTCAGTTGTTTTTTTCATTTTTTAATGTTTAAGTCTTGTTTCCTAGGGATCACCTCTGGGTTAGCACAGCTTAGTGGTCAATGATTAGTCAGAATTTACACTTAAACACCCTGAGCTGGAGCTTCTGGGGCAGTGAACACGTGGAGGTGCTGCAAGTCTGGCATATCCAGTGAGGCCATAGAAGCTCCCCGTCCCTTCCCACACTCCTTGCTAGATCCATCTCTTTTAGAATTTAAGAAATGAGAGAATCTAACATGAATGATTCCATCTTGTTTCTAACCTCACAGGCTAAATTGGTTTTTGGATTATTCTAGTGTGAAGACCATGAGAGAAATTTAAACTTTGAGGCAAGGAAAACTGACTTCCCTCCTTGTTCAGAGACTGAAGCCACATTCATAAAACAAGGTTAGAATTATGGTAGGATCCTGAAATTTGCTAAAGAATAGGCATAGTTAAACAATAACCTGCCATGGCTTAGCTTGCTTTTCTACAGGTTGCTTACTGCCCCAGAGTCATATAACTGGAGGTCACAAGATCTGTAACTTCCCCAAATGCTCCTATAGATAACATCACTATTGTGAAACCTAAAGAACTAGTCTTCGAGATATTTTTCGGATTTAGCATTTGGGCAGACCAAGAGATGAGTCCTGAGATCCCTTCTTGGGAACTGACTCAGCTGCACAAAGACAGTTTAGACACTCCTCTAATTTCATCCCCAGCCAATCAATTGTTTCAGTTCCCCAGACCCCTGCCGACCAGAGCACCCTTAAAAACCCTAGCCTTTGAATTCTTGGGCAGGCAGATTTGAGAAATGTCTTCTGTTCCCCTTGCTTGGTTGGCCCTATGATTATTAAACTCTTTCTTTGCTGCAACGCTTGCTGTTCTCAGTGAATTGGATTCTTTTCAGGGAAGCAGACAAGAATAACTCGGCTGTGACATGAGGAAATGCAAAATAACAAGAAAATTGTGAAACATTCAATCTCTTGGTATTGTTATCTGTAATAACTGAAATGAAAAGAGAGTGAACATATTTGGGTTGATGGAGGACCCATAGCTCACTACTGAACAATCATCTATGGCTTTATGTGATCTAGACACCCAGGAGGTTAATCATGAGGGAGAAGCCTGGCTGCTGGATTGGATAAAAGCTGCTGTGAAGTAGGTCTACCCTTTAGGGAGGAGGACTGCCCAATTCCCCTGTAAATGCCAAGTAGAACACCCTAGTTGAAATAGCTGATATTCTCATATGAAAGCTATGTGGCACTGGCTTTATAATGACCAGGATATTCACCTGCTGAAAATGTCCATTACTCAAGTCATAGTAAATGCTATAACTAAGGGGCTGCTTTTGCATGGATAGCCTATGTGATCTTACTGCTGCAAAACTGAGCAACAGACTAGGAAGCCTTATTGAATTTGCTGGCTCAGTTTCCCCTCAATGGTCTTACAGATGCTAATTAAAATATTAGATTAATTAACAAAAGAATGAGAAAAGGCAGAGGCGAAAGTCAAAGGACTCTTCTAACAAGGTGGAAAATTTTAAATGGTTTTTAAGAAACAAGTGAATATAGTAAACATTGATGGGTACAAAACAAAGACGAGAAAGAAAGGGGAGAGCCAAGAGACCTGTCCAGTCAGAGTGGAAATCTTTAAGTGGTTGTTACAATATTGCATGAATAAAATGAACATTGATAGGGTTAAAACAAAGGTCTTACTACAACGTTATGGAAGGTTGGTCAGGCTAAAGGAATGTCCGGCTGGTTCCCTAACATTAAAGAGTCTCAAAGAAGTCCACTCTATTATCACATATGAAGAAATTTTAAAAGGCAGAGGGCAAAGATGACAAGGAGAAACTTGACCCAAAATGGCTTAGGGCAATGCTTAAGCAGATAAGTCAATATGAAGACACAAAGATCAGGGTCTCCTAGCTCAAACCCCTGCTGGGGACCCAAAGCCTTTTGCCCATGAGTGGGAAAATAGGTCAGGGGGTGAAGAAGAGAAGTTTCTGGGACTCCTTGATATGGGAGCCCCACATACTATGGTACTGAAACCCATTTGTGAAGCCCTAATACAAGCTACAATTAGATTGAGAGGCTGGACAACCAAAATGAGTGACTGAGGCATAAGTCTCAAATCACTGACGTTCACTGAGCCAGCTTGAGGGTGCACCCGGGAAATTGTGAGTCAGACACATCTGTGGCTCTTTTTTCCAAAGAGGTTCTCAGGAGCTTTAGTATTTATACATTTTCCTTAAAAATAGTGCCTTGTAAATTTACATTTTAGGTAAGTTAAGGTGAACATTTGAAGAAAAAGAGAGGAAGTAGCTGTCTCAGGGAGGAGTAAAGGATTGAGTAATCTCATCTTGTTTTTGTTCTGTACCTGGAAAGATAAGCTAGAAATGAACATTATCTGTGTCAGGCCTCTGAGCCCAAGCCAAGCCATCGCATCCCCTGTGACTTGCACGTATACACCCAGATGGCCTGAAGTAACTGAAGAATCACAAAAGTGAAAAGGACCTGCCCCGCCTTAACTGATGACATTCCACCATTGTGATTTGTTCCTGCCCCACCTTAACTGAGTGATTAACCCTGTGAATTTCCTTCTCCTGGCTCAGAAGCTCCCCCACTGAGCACCTTGTGACCCCCGCCCCTGCCCACCAGAGAACAACCCCCTTTGACTGTAAGTTTCCATTACCTTCCCAAATCCTATAAAACAGCCCCACCTTTATCTCCCTTCGCTGACTCTCTTTTCGGACTCAGCCCACCTGCACCCAGGTGAAATAAACAGCTTTATTGCTCACACAAAGCCTGTTTGGTGGTCTCTTCACACAGACGCGCATGAAATTTGGTGCTGTGACTCGGATCGGGGGACCTCCCTTGGGAGATCAATCCCCTGTCCTCCTGTTCTTTGCTCCGTGAGAAAGATCCACCTACGACTCAGGTCCTCAGACCGACCAGCCCAAGGAACATCTCACCAATTTTAAATCAGGTAAGCGGCCTCTTCTTACTCTCTTTCTCCAACCTCTCTCACTGTCCCTCAACCACTTTCTTCTTTCCACTCTTCATTCTCTCCCTTCTCTTAATTTCAATTCCTTTCATTTTCTGGGAGAGACAAAGGAGACACGTTTTATCTGTGGACCCAAAACTCCGGCGCCGGTCACGGACTGGGAAGGCAGCCTTCCCTTGGTGTTTAATCATTGCAGGGACGCCTCTCTGATTATTCACCCACGTTTCAAAGGTGTCAGACCACACAGGGACGCCTGCCTTGGTCCTTCACCCTTAGCGGCAAGTCCCGCTTTTCTGGGGAAGGGGCAAGTACCCCAACCCCTTCTCTCCTTGTCTCTACCCCTTCTCTGCTTTTCTGGGGGAGGGGCAAGTACCCCTCAACCCCTTCTCCTTCACCCTTAACAGCAAGTCTCGCTTTTCTAGGGGGCAAGAACCCCCAATCCCTTATTTCTGCGCCCCAACCTCATATCTCTGCACCCCAATCCCTTATTTCCATGCCCCAACCTCTTATCTCTGCACCCCAATCCCTTATGCCCCCTCATATCTCTGTGCCCCAATCCCTTATTTCCATGCCCCAACCTCTCATCTCTGTGCCCCAATCCCTTATGCCCCAACCTCGTATCTCTGTGCCCCAATCCCTTATTTCCATGCCCCATCCTCTTATCTCTGTGCCCCAATCCCTTATTTCCACACCCCAACCTCTTATCTCTGTGCCCCAATCCCTTATTTCCATGCCCCAACCCCCCTTCCTGCTTTTCGGGAGGGTAAGAACCCCCAAACCCCTTCCCTCCATGTCTCTACGCTCTCTTTTCTCTGGGTTTGCCTCTTTCACTATGGGCAACCTTGCATCCTCCATTCCTCCTTCTTCTCCCTTAGCCTGTGTTCTCAAAAACGTAAAACCTCTTCAACTCACACCTGACCTAAAACCTAAATGCCTTATTTTCTTCTGCAATGCTGCTTGACCCCAATACAAACTCGACAGTAGTTCCAAATAGCCAGAAAATGGCACTTTGAATTTTTCCATCCTGCAAGATCTAAGTAATTCTTGTCATAAAATAGGCAAACGGTCTGAGGTGCCTGACATCCAGGCATCCTTTTACACATCAGTCCCTTCCTAGTCTCTGTGCCCAGTGCAACTCATCCCAAATCTTCCTTCTTTCCCTCCTGCCTGTCCCCTCAGTACCAACACCAAGCGTCGCTGAGTCTTTCTAATCTTCCTTCTCTACAGACCCATCTGACCTCTCCCTTCCTCCCCAGGCTGCTCCTCTCCAGGCCGAGCTAGGTCCCAATTCTTCCTCAGCCTCCGCTCCTCCACCCTATAATCTTTTTATTGCCTCCCCTCCTCACACCTGGTCCGGCTTACAGTTTCGTTCCGTGACTAGCCCTCCCCCATCTGCCCAGCAATTTACTCTTAAAAAGGTGGCTGGAGCCAAAGGCATAGTCAAGGTTAATGCTCCTTTTTCTTTATCCCAAATCAGAAGCGTTTAGGCTCTTTTTCGTCAAATATAAAAATCCAGCCCAGCTCATGGCTCGTTTGGCAGCAACCCTGAGACGCTTTACAGCCCTAGACCCTAAAAGGTCAAAAGGCCGTCTTATTCTCAATATACATTTTACTACCCAATCTGCTCCCGACATTAAATAAAACTCCAAAAATTGGAATCTGGCCCTCAAACCCCACAACAGGACTTAATTAACCTCACCTTCAAGGTGTACAATAACAGAAAAAAGTTGCAATTCCTTGCCTCCTCTGTGAGACAAACCCCAGCCACATCTCCAGCACACAAGAACTTCCAAACGCCTGAACCACAGCATCCAGGTGTTCCTCCAGAACCTTCTCCCCCAGGAGCTTGCTACACGTGCCGGAAATCTGGCCACTGGGCCAAGGAATGCCCGCAGCCCCGGATTCCTCCTAAGCCGCGTCCCATCTGTGTGGGACCCCACTGAAAATCGGACTGTTCAACTCACCTGGCAGCCACTCCCAGAGCCCCTGGAACTCTGGCCCAAGGCTCTCTGACTGACTCCTTCCCAGATCTTCTCGGCTTAGCGGCTGAAGACTGACACTGCCCGATCACCTTGGAAGCCCCCTAGACCATCAAGGACGCCAAGCTTCAGGTAACTCTCACAGTGGAAGGTAAGCCCGTCCCCTTCTTAATCAATACGGAGGCTACCCACTCCACATTACCTTCTTTTCAAGGGCCTGTTTCCCTTGCCTCCATAACTGTTGTGGGTATTGAAGGCCAGGCTTCTAAACCTCTTAAAACTCCCCAACTCTGGTGCCAACTTAGACAATACTCTTTTAAGCACTCCTTTTCAGTTATCCCCACCTGCCCAGTTCCCTTATTAGGCTGAGACACTTTAACTAAATTATCTGCTTCCCTGACTATTCCTGGACTACAGCTATATCTCATTGCCGCCCTTCTTCCCAATCCAAAGCCTCCTTTGCGTCCTCCTCTTGTATCCCCCCACCTTAACCCACAAATATGAGATACCTCTACTCCCTCCTTGGCGACCGATCATGCACCCCTTACCATCTCATTAAAACCTAATCACCCTTACCCCACTCAACGCCAAGATCCCATCCCACGACACGCTTTAAAAAGATTAAAGCCTGTTATCACTCACCTGCTACAGCATGGCCTTTTAAAGCCTATAAACTCTCCTTACAATTCCCCCATTTTACCTGTCCTAAAACCAGACAAGCCTTACGAGTTAGTTCAGGATCTGCGCCTTGTCAACCAAATTATTTTGCCTATCCACCCCATGGTGCCAAACCCATATACTCTCCTATCCTCAATACCTGCCTCTACAACCCATTATTCTGTTCTAGATCTCAAACATGCATTCTTTACTATTCCTTTGCACCCTTAATCCCAGCCTCTCTTCGCTTTCACTTGGACTGACCCTGACACCCATCAAGCTCAGCAAATTACCTAGGCTGTACTGCCGCAAAGCTTCACAGGCAGCTCCCATTACTTCAATCAAGCCCAAATTTCTTCCTCATCTGTTACCTATCTTGGCATAATTCTCATAAAAACACACGTGCTCTCCCTGCCAATCGTGGCCAACTGATCTCTCAAACCCCAGCACCTTCTACAAAACAACAACTCCTTTCCTTCCTAGGCATGGTTAGTGCGGTCAGAATTCTTACACAAGAGCCAGGACCGCACCCTGTAGCCTTTCTGTCCAAACAACTTGACCTTACTGTTTTAGCCTAGCCCTCATGTCTGCGTGCAGCGGCTGCCGCTGCTTTGGTACTGTTAGAGGCCCTAAAAATCACAAACTATGCTCAACTCACTCTCTACATTTCTCATAACTTCCAAAATCTATTTTCTTCCTCATACCTGACACATATACTTTCTGCTCCCCGGCTCCTTCAGCTGTATTCACTCTTTAAGTCCCACAATTACCCTTGTTCCTGGCCAGGACTTCAATCTGGCCTCTCACATTATTCCTGATACCACACCTGACCCCCATGACTGTATCTCTCTGATCCACCTGATATTCACCCCATTTCCCCATATTTCCTTCTTTCCTGTTCCTCACCCTGATCACGCTTGATTTATTGATGGCGGTTCCACCAGGCCTAATCGCCACACACCAGCAACGGCAGGTTATGCTATAGTACAAGCCACTAGCCCGCCTCTCAGAACCTCTCATTTCCTTTCCATCGTGGAAATCTATCCTCAAGGAAATAACTTCTCAGTGTTCCATCTGCTATTCTACTACTCCTCAGGGATTATTCAGGCCCCCTCCCTTCCCTACACATCAAGCTCGAGGATTTGCCCCCACCCAGGACTGGCAAATTAGCTTTACTCAACATGCCCGAGTCAGGAAACTAAAATACCTCTTAGTCTAAATAGACACTTTCACTGAATAAGTAAAGGCCTTTCCTACAGGGTCTGAGAAGGCCACCGCAGTCATTTCTTCCCTTCTGTCAGACATAATTCCTCAGTTTAGCCTTCCCACCTCTATACAGTCTGATAACAGACCAGCCTTCATTAGTCAAATCAGCCAAGCAGTTTTTCAGGCTCTTAGTATTCAGTGAAACCTTTATATCCCTTACGGTCCTCCGTCTTCAAGAAAAGTAGAACGGACTAAAGGTCTTTTAAAAACACACCTCACCAAGCTCAGCCACCAACTTAAAAAGGACTGAACAATACTTTTACCACTTTCACTTCTCAGAATTCAGGCCTGTCCTCAGAATGTTACAAGGTACAGCCCATTTAAGCTCTTTAAAAAGCATCTTTAAAAAGATGCTCATTTTTATTAGCCCCCAGTCTCATTCGACACCAGACCAACTTAGACTGTGCCCCCAAAAAACTTGTCATCCCTACTATCTTTTGTCTAGTCATACATACTCCTATTCACCTTTCTCAACTACTCATACATGCCCTGCTCTTGTTTACACTGCCAGTTTACACTGTTTCTCCAAGCCATCACAGCTGATATCTCCTGGTGCTATCCCCAAACTGCCACTCTAAACTCTTGAAGTAAATAAATAATCTTTGCTGGCAGGACTATGCCGAATCTCCTTAGGCACTCTAATCAGATGTCCTAGGTCCTCCCAATTCTTAGACCTTTTATACCTGTTTCTCTCCTTCTCTTATTCCATTTTTCAATTCATACAAAACCGTATCCAGGCCATCACCAATCATTCTATACGACAAATGTTTCTTCTAACAACCCCACAATATCACCCCTTACCACAAGATCTTCCATTCAGCTTAATCTCTCCCACTCTAGGTTCCCACGCCGCCCCTAATCCCGCTTGAAGCAGCCCTGAGAAACATCGCCCATTCTCTCTCCATACCACCCCCAAAAATTTTTGCCGCCCCAACACTTCAACACTATTTTGTTTTATTTTTCTTATTAATATAAGAAGGCAGGAATGTCAGGCCTCTGAGCCCAAGCCAAGCCATCGCATCCCGTGACTTGCATGTATACGCCCAGATGGCCTGAAGTAACTGAAGAATCACAAAAGAAGTGAAAAGGCCCTGCCCCGCCTTAACTGATGACATTCCACCATTGTGATTTGTTCCTGCCCCACCTTAACTGAGTGATTAACCCTGTGAATTTCCTTCTCCTGGCTCAGAAGCTCCCCCACTGAGCACCTTGTGACCCCCCGCCCCTGCCCACCAGAGAACAACCCCCTTTGACTGTAATTTTCCATTACCTTCCCAAATCCTATAAAACGGCCCCACCCTTATCTCCCTTCGCTGACTCTCTTTTCGGACTCAGCCCACCTGCACCCAGGTGAAATAAACAGCTTTATTGCTCACACAAAGCCTGTTTGGTGGTCTCTTCACACTGACACGCATGAAAATCAGTGTGGATTCTGATAAACTAAGTTTAGCCTAAAGCTGCCTCCTTGCATACTTTAAGCTCAGCCTAAAGATTTCTTCGTACATAGTAAACTGAAACCTTAACTGCATGAGTACACAGACTAACCTACTCTTGCGCCGAACACTGAGTTTTCACTAATTAATGGTGGCCAACTGTTCAAACCATGTTCAAATAAGGCAAAAGCTGAGCTGTAACCAATCCAGTGGTTTCTGTACCTCACTTATGTTTTCAGTAGGTCACCTGCCTTTTTCTGTCAATTCATCTTCCATCATGTGGCTGTTTCTCTGAGCCTACTTGGATTCGGGAGGCTGCCTGATTCGTGAATCATTCTTTGCACAATTAAACTCCGTTAAATTTAATTTGTCTACGGTTTTTCTTTTAACCAGTCTTTTGAAAGGTTTGATTTCTGTCTAGCCCTTAGGAAAGAAGGTGGTTAGCAAGAGAAGGGATAGAATTAGGTGTGTCTGTGAACTCAACTTCCAAGATTTCTCTGAGGTTCCTGTGGCCAGGAAGAGGTCCATTCAGTCAGTTAGGGGCTTAGAATTGTATTTCTCATGATGTAGAATCATAAGGGTTGATAGGATTCAGGTGCAAGTTTGGATGAAAATTGGAATGTTTAAACAGGTTTTATGTAAGGAAGTTGTCTCCTGTACCTGAATGTTATATGAAAATGGGTATTATGTCATACTGGGGAGCAGTTCCTCTACCTAGTATTGCAAATCCAAAACCTGCTGAAGTTCCAATGAAGGCTATGGTTAGGAACGAAAGGGTTGATGAGCTGAAGGTGAAAGTTTGGAGAAAAACTAGTATATCTGAACAGGCTTTATGTGAAGTTATTGCAAGAGTGGATTTCTGATAGGATGAGTTTGAACCCCTTTTCTCTCTCTGGCATATGTTCTCTCACCATGTGATGCCTTCCGCCAATGTTATGATGCAGCAAAAAGACCCCTCCAAGATGAAGCCCCTTAGTCTTGGACTTCCCACTCTGCAGAATCATGAGCCAAATAAATCTGTGTTCATTATAAGTTACCCCGTCTGTGGTATTTCATTATACCAGCACAAGATCAACTAAGACAGAGGATATTGACATAAATCAGAGGAGAAAATAGAAACAATATGATGCTTTGGAAAAGAATGAGTAGGCAACAAACACAGTAATCACAATTCATCTTCTGGGTAGGAAGTGTGAAGACACGATGTTAGATACTGAATCTACTCCATGGGAAAAACTCCCTGTCCCTAGTCCTCTGAGGCCCTTGGCTTTACCTTCAGGGAAAATTTTTATCTATTATTCTCTAAGCCAAGTTTGAGGTTGGCATTGGAGAGTGGGCCTCTTTGGGGACTGTACAAATTTCATTACTTGCTTTTTGATGATGCAAATTTGGGGACCTTGTGATTATTTTAGAGACTGAAAAATTACAGATACTTTTATGCCAGGTTTGTGGTTTTGCTGGGAATACAATTCTATCAAAATTTTAGTAAGCTTCAAGTCTATTTACTACCAGTCAGTTCCATGTCAAAATCTCTTCTGGTCATAGTTCTTAAGCCTGTGAAGTCTCTTATTTTATTTATTCATGTTTGTGTTTAGCTCAGTTCCCTCTCTATTATTTAATGGTGGCTATTTTAAGGTCATCTAAAACAATAGGCTAGATTAGGATGGCAACACCTTTACTTTGACCTTTATTACTGGGCTACCATTGTCCAGATGAAAGGTCTTACTGAGAAAATTTTGTAAAGGGCAATGACCAAAGGCTCAGCTTTACAGGGAATAGTTGCAATTGACTTTCCCAACTTTGAGGCTTCTAATTATTAGATTTTACATCAGTTTTAACTGCAAGCCACAGTTAGAGAATGTGCCTCCCTTAGTTGAGTTGTATTCTCTTCCATTTCTACTTGTAAACTAGTTAATGCTTGACTGATTTACCTTCATGATATCTTGCTAAAAGCAGAAAGGGGCAACCAACACACAAACACACACCAACATTCTTTTTTTTAACCTCTTCCTTTACAAAGCTATGGGCTTAGTAGTCACATGGTCTGCCTTCCAAATTATCACAAGTTAATAGTTTTGCCAAATATTTTGTCATAGTATTACAAAAGTCACCACCTTCACCTTTTTTTAATTTTTATTTTTAGAGATAGGATCTCACTTTGTCACCCAGGCTAGAGTGCAGTGACACAACCACAATTCACTACAGCCTCAACCTCCCAGGCTCAAGCAATCCTCCCACCTCAGCCACCCAAAGTAGCTGGGATTACAGGTGGTGCGCTACCATGCCTGGCTAGTTTTTTTTTATTTTTTGTAGACACAGGTCTCACTATGTTGTCCAGGCTGGTCTTGAATTCCTAGGCTCAAGCAATCCTCCTGCCTCAGCCTCCCAAAGTGCTGGGATTAAAGGCATGAGCCATGACACCCCGTCTGGTCACCACCTTTCTAGCTTGCAATTATCTGTTGCCTTGCTGCCCACTGACTGACTGCTTAATCAATGCCACATATTTTAGGTTTTTGTTATGGTAGTTCCCTACTCCTGGAGGCAATTTTTGCATAGTTAAGGTATAGGATAAGCTGCTAAAACAAAAGGCACACAAATAAAGTGACTCAGACAAGAGAGGGATTTGTTTTTATCTCACATAGCAGTCCAGTGCAAGGCAGCTCTCTTTCATGAGGCCTTCCAGAGACCCAGGCTCCATAATTCCATAGGTGCTCCATCTACTCCATCTACACAGTGAAAGGTTGCCAGCCAGCATCGTAACTATGACCCAGCTTACAGAAAGGGAAAAGAGAGAATATGGTTGGCGAGCATTTTCATTTACTTAAGTCTTGAACAGATATCACACACTTCTCTTCACAACCCCTTAGCCTGAACTTGGTCACATGGCTGTATCTACCTGTGAGGTAGATTGGGAAATGATAGTTAACTCCAGTTAGGTCACCTTGGGCACAACTAAAACTTGGGATTCCATTACTAAAAGGAGTAAGGGTAGAATATATGTTTGGAAACACATTTTCTGTCACTGTTACAATGGGGGTAAGGAGGGAGAGTACCACTTACTATTATCATGTACTGTTGAATTTTTTTTTTTTCTAGAACAATAACTATTTTAGGGCCAGGCAACACCCTAAGTATTTGACTCTGTAAAAGGAAATAGTTTAGAAGTTGAATTCTTCTTTTTTTTTTTTTGAGACAGAGTCTTGCTCTGTCGCCAGGCTGGAGTACAGTGGCGCAATCTCGGCTCACTGCAACCTATGCCTCCCGGGTTCAAGCGATTCTCCTGCCTCAGCCTCCTGAGTAGCTGGGACTACAGGCACGTACCATCTTGCCTGGCTAATTTTTGTATTTTTAGTAGAGACGGGGTTTCACCATGCTGGCCAGGATGGTTTCGATCTCCTGACCTCGTGATCTGCCCTCCTTGGCCTCCCAAAGTGCTGGGATTACAGGCGTGAGCCACCGCGCCCAACCAAATTATTCTTCTCAGAAAAATTTGATCTAAGGCTCTAATTCAAAATATAAAAATAAGTGCTCATTGAAAAATAGACCCAAACTCTATAGACAGTTATACATTAAAAAGCTTTAACGTTATAAACTCATAGAATCACATAATATTAGAGCTAAAAAAGGACCCTGAGTTCTTTATAAAAAAAATAAAATAAACTGTGGCTGAAAGGGGTTAAATAAATGGCCCCAAATCAGAAAGGCAGCAACAGATCTAGGACCAGAATCAAGTTCTTCTTTTCTTTTGTCTTTTTTCTCTTCTTTTCTTTTTTCTTTTCTGAGACAGGGTCTTGCTCTGTCATCCAGGCCGGCGTGCAGTGGCGTGATCATAGCTCACTGTAACCCTGAACTCCTGGGCTTAAGTGATCCTCCCACCTCAGCCTCCAGAGTAGCTAAGACTTGAGGTACTCAACACTGCTCTTAGCTAATTTTTAAATTTTTTGTAGAGACACTGTCTCACTATGATGCCTAGGCTAGTCTCAAACTCCTGGGCTCAAGCGATCCTCCCACCTGGGCCTCCCAAAGTGCTGGGATTAGAGGTGTGAGCCATGGTGCCTGGTTCAAAACCAAATTCTACTGAATCATTGGATATATAGCATCTATTTTTTGAGGCAGAAATTTCACTGTAATTTTAAAGAGTATGCCAATTTAAAAAGAAAATGCAATTTTTCCAGATTATGTACTATTAAGTAATTTTCAATTATATGACAAATGATGAACATATTCATTTAAGAAATATAACATAAATCGGTCAGGAATGGTGGCTCACGCCTGTAATCCCAGCACTTTGGGAGGCCGAGGTGGGCAGATCATGAGGTCAGAAGATTGAAACCATCCTGGCTAACACGGTGAAACCCCATCTCTACTAAAAATACAAAAAATTAGCCTGACATGGTGGCATGCACCTGTAATCCCAGCTACTTGGGAGGCTGAGGCAGGAGAATCGCTTGAACCCAGGAGGCGGAGGTTGCAGTGAGCCAAGTTGATGCCACTGCCCTCCAGCCTGGGGAACAGAGTGAGACTCCATCTCAAAAGAAAAAAAGAAAAAGAAATGTAACATAAATTAATTTATGCCTTCAATACTAAATTTGCTTATTTTAAAAAATTATACACAAGCTGAATCTGATCCAACTGGCCACATTACTTTTGGATTATTTCACTATTGTATTTATTTCAAAATATACTTATTTCACTGATGTTTGGTTGGTTTAAAAACTTTTAAAAATATACTTATTTACTTCAAATAATAATGTAAACATACAAAGTATGAGCTCAATTTACCCTGTTTTGAAGAGTATAAGTTGATACAGTATACCAGTACTTTCTGGGTTGTTTTGTTGTTGTTGTTGTTGTTGTTTTGATAGGGCTTCCAGGCTGGAGTGCAGTGGCATGATCATGGCTCACTGTAACCTCGACCCCCCATGCTCAAGCAATCCTCTCACTGCAGCCTCCTGAGTAACTGGGACTACAGGCATATGTCACCATGCCAGGTAACTTTTTGCATTTTTTCTAGAGAAGGGGTTTCACCATGTTTCCCCGGTTGGTCTCAAACTCCTGGGCTCAAGCAATCCACCCGCCTTAGCTTCCCAAAGTGCTGAGATTACAGATGTGGGCCACTGCACCCAGCCTTGTTTGTTTTTAAATCCTAGGAATATTCCAAAAGGGAGCTGTCTTTCTTCAAGAGAATTCATAATATCAAGCAGCTCATCATATGCAAAAATATGGCACTATTATAATTTATTTACTTATTTCTTTATACACACCCAAATCAGATTTAAGGGCACTTTTAAGATTACCTAAAATATAGTTTATGTTACAATAAGCGTAAATAGAAAACTTATTTTAAGTTTTATTAATTCAACAAACATTGGCTGAGCATCTCTGTTAGGCATTATGTTTTCAAATATGATGTAAAAGTAAATAAATTATTCAAGTGGCTTTAGTACAGATACTCACTAAAACAAATGAGTCATCACTGATTTAGAAGACACTGTTGGTAGTTTTATAGAGCTAGCAGGTATGATACCTTTAAAAGCATATGCTATAGAATTAGAATTTAAAGGTTCCATTGTCATCAGAGATTTCAAAAAATACAACATAAAAATGCCCAAAAGTCCAAAGCAGTGGTTTTCAACTAGGGATGATGTAGCAAAATATCTAAATATATTTTGAGTTGCCACATCTGAAGAGGTGCTACTGACATAAAGGGTAAGAGATCAGGGACATTGTTAAACATCCTACAATGCACAGCACAGCCCTCCACAATAAATAGTTATCTGGCCAAAAATGTCACTAGTGCTGAGATTGAGAAATGCCAGCCTAAAGTGATTTAATGTGACTTAATAAGCTTAATTTATTATCTGAGAGACATGACAAACACATAGGTATATTTTCACAGATATGAAAAATGTAGATAGGACAAAAGTTTTACAGTTCACATAAAATTCCACATTACTATATATTTATAATTACAAAGACTACTAATGGCACATTTTTATGAATAGCATTGCACTGAACTTTCTTAGATGAGCAGTGATTTTTACCTTGCTGGAATTTTATAGTGGAGCTATTTCCTTCATCTTTTTCAATATTTAACATACATCTATTTTTAAAATGTTCTATATAAGGTGATGGAATGGAAAGCCAAATAACAACTGTATTAGGGTATACACACATATAATTTAAAAATTACAATCATTGTGACGAACACACTATATTACAGAACAGTGAACAAGACAGTGATAGAACAGAAGAGGATAACTTCTGTAGTTATTTGGGGCATCTGTAGTAAGGGAAGGATACCAAAGACAGCTTCCCAGAAGAACAAATGCCTGATCTGAATGTTTGTCTCAGAAGACAGTGTGTCCGGAATTGGTTCCTTCTGGTGGGTTCTTGGTCTTGCTGACTTCAAGAATGAAGCCGCAGACCCTCATGGTGTTACAGTTCTTAAAGATGGTATGTCTGGAGTTTGTTCCTTCAGATGTTCATACGTGTCCAGAGTTTCTTCCTTCTGATGGGTTCGTGGTCTTGCTGACTTCAGGAATGAAGCTATAGACCCTTGTGGTGAGTGTTACACCTCATAAAGGTAGTGAGGACCCAAAGAGTGAGCAGCAGTAAGATTTATTGTGAAGAGCAAAAGAACAAACCGTCCACGGCATTGAAGGGGACCCAACAGGGTTGCCGCTGCTGGCTCAGTTGGCCAGCTTATATTCCCTTATTTGGCCCCGCCCACATCCTGCTGATTGGTCCATTTTACAGAGAGCTGATTGGTCCATTTCACAGAGTGCTGGTTGGTGTGTTTACAATCCTTTAGCTAGACACAGAGCACTGATTGGTGCGTTTTTACAGAGTGCTGATTGGTGCATTGACAATCCTTTAGCTAGACACAGAGTGCTGATTGGTACATTTTTACAGAGTGCTGATTGGTGCATTTACAATCCTTCAGCTAGACAGAAAAGTTCTCCAAGTCCCCACTTGACCCAGGAAGTCCAGCTGGCTTCACCTCTCAATAGGGGGGCCTTATATGTATATCTTGCCAAAGAAAGAACTTCTATTTTACTAATAACAGGTTTACCAATCATCTCAATGAAGTATTTAGAGAAGAGAATTTCTTAAGGTTTACATTTTAGAAAGATCACTCAGGATGGTTGTAAAGTGGCCAGGCAGGAGAAAGAGATACTAATTAGAACCCATATCCAAGGTGATAAGGCTCTGGAATAAGACAGTCATCCAATAATGAAGGGGAAAAAGGAGGAGATGCATTGAAGAAATGTTAAGAAAAACTGGTAGAACTACAGATGATACTTCATGGGCACATTAATATAAGGAAATTGCCTCTGGTGGCAAAAACTAGGATGAGCCCATGCTGTGGGATGCTTTCAGGGCAGGCTAAAAAGGAATATGTAAATATTTATAATACAAAATTACCATTAGTTTAATATCCATATATAACACAAAACTTTTAATTACTAAATTAACCTTTTTTTCTTTTTTTTGGAGACAGGGTCTTGCTCTGTCACCCAGGCTGGTGGGCAGTGGCATGATCGTAGTTCACTGTAACCTCAAACTCCTGGGCTCAAGTGAGTCTCCTGCCTCAGCCTCTCAAGTAGCTGGGACTACACACATGCACCACCACACCCAGCTAATATTTTTATTTTTTTGTAGATATAGGTTCTCACTATGTTGTTCAGGCTGGTCTTAAACTCCTAGCTTCAGGCACTCCTCCTGTCTTAGTGCCACAAAGCACTGGGACTATAGGCATGAGCCACAATGCCTGGCCTCTTAATTTTATCTTAAGCACAAAACTGACTATAAAATACTTTAAAAATAGAGGTATCAAACTTCAGGGCCCAAGTAAACAATGTGGAGGTCATCATTACCATCCTCACAACAAGAAAAATACCGAACAAACCGAAAATCAACAACTCTTCTTGGAACCATCAAAGAATTATGGTAATAGAGCAAACTGCAGCCACTAAAACTGGAGAGATAGACATGCAGATACAGACAATCACAGCTTAGTGGGAGCAGAAGCCTGAAGCTGCAGCCACTATCTGGAGGAATACTTGAAACTGTAATTAACAAACTTCTGGAGGCTTAGTGTCAACTAACTTGAGAATTAAATACTCTGAGGGGGTCCAGTCTTAGGGGCGCACCCACACTTTCTTGAGTTTTACCTACAGGAGGCCCATCAGGTTCTCCTGTGAAGACCAGAGAAAAATCCCCAGCTGCTCTGGTAGAGGGAGGAGTAAAGTCACCATTTTGAAACACACCAAGGGTTTTCTATTCTTAACAAGGCCTGCCTCAAGGGAAACTATTTTACCAGAACCTATCAGAAGAGGGTTTTACCAAAGCCCTAACAACCTTGGGGAAGGGAAATAAATACCCAACTTAGTTTCAATAAAACACTGAGAACCTAATCATGGGACTATAAAATGCTTTCCCCTCCTCCCGCCCTACCCACCACATCAATAGGTCTGTTGTATAATAACAGAGATTTTAGCTAAGAGAACTTCAAGTCTCAGGCACTGTATCAAGGAGTCTCTATGAAAAGCCCAAAACAACAGGGGAGAGAAAAACAAAGACATAGAGGAAATTTCAGCCTCTAATGCCACAGCTACAGCAAACAGTAAATACAGCCTAACTCCCAGCCAGAAAAACATGAAATTTTACACTAAAGACCTATTGACCTCATTTCCATTTATCTAATACAACATGTTTTGCTTCCAAGAAGAAATTACAAGGCATGCAAAAAGGCAAAAAACAGTTGGAAGAGACAAAGCAAGCATCAGAACCAGACTCAGATAAGACAGAGATATTGGAATTATCAGATCAGAAAGTTAAAATGACTATGATTAATATGCTATAAGCTCTAATTTAAAAATTAGATAACATACAAGAACAGATGCGCAGTGTAAGCACAGAGAGGGAAAGTCTAAGAAAAAAATCAAATGGAAACACTAGAAGTAAAAAACACTGTAATGGAAATGAAGAATGCTATCAATGGGGTCATCAACAGACTACATACAGCTGAGGAAAGAATCACTGCACTTGAAGAGAGATCAATAGAAACTTCCAGAACTGAAATGCAAAGAGAAAACAGAATGAAGAAGACAGAACAGAATATCCAAGAACTGTAGGACAAAAAAAGGGGGTAAATATATATAATAGGAATACCAGAAGGAAAAGAAAAAGAGAAAGGAAGAGAAGAAATATCTGAAGTAATAATGACTAAGGATTTTCCAAAATTAATGATAGACATCAAACCATAGATCCAGGAAGTTTTGAGGACACCAAGCAGGATAATGCCAAAAAAACTATACCTAGGAATAGCATATTTGTGTCTGCAGAAAATCAAAGACAAAGAGAAAATCTTTAAAGAAGCGAGAGGGTAGCAGTGGAAACAATTACCTATAGAGGAGCAAAGATAAGAATTACATCTGATTCATCTTCAGAAACCATGCAAGCAAGAGAAGAGTAGAGTGAAATATTTTAAGTGTTGAAAGGAAAAAAAAACCCACTAACCTAGAATTCTATATTCTGTGAAATTATCATTTAAAAGTAAAGGAGAAATAAAGACTTTTAAGGCAAACAAAATCAAAGGAATTTGTTTCCAGTAGACCTGTCTTGCAAGGCATGTTAAAAGTAGTTCTTCAGAGAGAAGGAAAATTATATAGGTCAGAAACGCAGACCTATAAAAAGAAAGAAAAAGCATCCGAGAAGGAATAAAGGAAAAAGGTAAAATATGTTTTATTTTTTTCATTCTTAACTGATCTAACAGATAACAGTTTGTTCAAAATAGTAGTAGCAACAATGTATTCAGTGAGTATAGCTTATGGATAAGAGAAATGAATGACAACATTGTGATAAGGGAGAGGAGGGAGGGATTGGGAACACTCTGTTATAAGGTACTTGCACTACTCATGAAGCACTATTGTGTCATTTGAAGGTGGACTTTTATTAGTAGTAAATATATATTGCAAACTCTAGGGCAATGAATAAGAAAAATGTAAAAAGTATAATTGATATGCTAAGAGAGGAGAAAAAATGGAATCATATAAAATGCTCAATTAAAACCAGAGAAGGCAGCACAAGAGTAGAAGTCAGAAGAAAAGGAAACTTCATGGCCACTACACTACAGGGTATGTGGCACTGTAGGAGCACAGGAAACTACAGGGTTCCCATGATCAGAAAAAAAAAAAAAAAAAAAAATTTTGAAAACCCACTGCTTTAGAAGAAAAAATGATCTCTGAAGTAGATCTCCTAATAGTTTACCCATTTAAAATATCTAACTCTTCAGAGAATCTGGAGAGGCAGTTTCTACTTTGAAACTGGGATTATACAAAACTGGAAGTCCAGTGCTTCCAATCTGGTGATCTAGGTCATATCCTCAGAGCTCTTGAGTCATGAGGCCCCCAGATGATTCTCCCAGGTCATTTCTTACACACTCTCCTTTTCCTCCAGGAAAAGTATAGGAGGGTATATGTCTGGGTTCTCTTTGCCACAAGTATAGTTCCAGTTAATAAGGTGGCTTTTACCTTTTGACACTCTTTTCTTGCTACCCTAACAGTTTATTTCAAACAGTGGTTTATGGAACATTGCATCAGAATCACTTCAGGTGTCTGTTAAAGAGTGAGATTCCTGGGTCCAGCCCAAGAACTACTGAATGCGACACTCAGGGAGGGGGCTCAGGAATGTGCATTGCTAGCAAATGTCACAAGTGAGTATTAAGCACACTAAAGTCTGAGAACCACTGCTTTAATATATAGTTCCTGGCAGGGCATGGTGGCTCATGCCTGTAATCCCAGCACTTCGGGAGGCCAAGGAAGGCAGATCCCTTGACATCAGGAGTTTGAGGCCAGCCTGGCCAACATGGCAAAACCCTGTCTCTACTAAAATACAAAAATTAGCCAGGCATGGTGGCACATGCCTGTAGTCCCAGCTACTCGGGAGACTGAGGCAGGAGAATCGCTTGAACCCAGGGGGCAGAGGTTGTGGTGAGCCAAGATCGTGCTAATGTACTCCAGCCTGGGCGACGGAGTGAGACTCCATCTCAAATAATAATAATAATAATAATAATAATAATAATAATAATAATAATAATAATATAGTTCCTTTAGAGTTGGGGATGGGGTAGGGAAAACTCTTCCTTTTATGTTTTGGGACAATTTACCACTTGGAATATTTGTCCCCTAATCGCCTGCTGAATACATCTGTTAACCAAATACAGTACATGCTCAAGGAATATTTGTTGAAAGATGACTTGAGGAACATAGCATCATACTTCCTTAATGACTGTGATAAGCAAAACATTTTGGTTCTTCAAACCTAGATAGTAGTTGTTTTATTCTAAATAAGTTAAACAGTTCTTATAGTCTTGTATGTCATGTGTACAGAATAGCTATAATTTTAAAACTGCGAGAGTAAGACAAGCCAAATTTTCTTTATTTATTTCCCACCTGGAAAATCCAGAATCAAACTTTATTTAGATGTTAGGCTTGCTCTGATACAGACCTTCAAAAAAACAAATCACTGGAGCTTCTCATGTCAGCAGAATCTGGTTTAAAGAATTCCTGCAAAGGAAACATAAATGGATGAAAATATAAACATCTATAGAAAATATAAATACAAATATAAATGCAAAACAACAAAAAACTTATATAGAATTGTTGATATGGTTTGGCTGTGTCCCCACCCAAATCTCATCTTGTAGTTCCCATAATTCCCACATGTCATGGGAGGGACCCAGTGGGAGGCAACTGAAGCATGGGGGTGGTTACCCTCAGGCTGTTCTCATGATAGTGAGTGAGTTCTCATGAGATCTGATGGTTTTATAAGGGGCTTTTCCCCCTTTTGCTTGGCACTTCTCTCTCCTGCTGTCTCTTGAAGAAGGACATGTTTGCTTCCCCTTCAGCCATGATTGTAAGTTTCCTGAGGCTTCCCTAGCCACATGGAACTGTGAGTCAATTAAACCTCTTTCCTTTATAAATTACCCAATCTTGGGTATTTCTTCATAGGAGCATGAGAACGGACTAATACAGTTGTCATAAGGATCAAAATGTGAGCAGGAGTGTCAGCAAATGTTAGGGAGACTATGAGGCTGGCCTGAGGGGTGGAGAAATGGGCAAAAGAGTATAGAGGCTAGGGTAAACTAGAAGAGAAAAAAATGAGTGGGCTAAGAACATTAAGGCCTACTCATCAAACCTCCCAAGAACCAGAAAACTAAGGATGTTAAGAAACCAAAAAGCTAATCTACAAGCAAAATATAAAAGAAACAGGACTTTTAACTGGGTTCTTCAAGTATTAGGTCAATGAATTACACATTATACTACATTACTAGACTACTTTGTAAGGCTTTGTTAAACTCTAACACTAGTATCCAATCAAAACTGTATAATCACCTCAGAATCTGTGTGAGAGAAGGGCCCTCAATTTTTAGTTCTTTTTTTTTTTAATTTTAAGTTCCTTCTAATATTCCCAGCTTAGAAAATCTTGGGAAAACTGAGCCATAGCCCATTCTTCCATACATGTTCTTTGCAGAAGAAAACAGACAAGGAGTAAATAAAAGCAATACATGATCACTCTCCAGAGGCCTTACTTCTTAGGAGACTGTGCCATTCAAAAGGGAGGCAAGGCTCTCCTCCCCATCGACTTATTAGTGGGACATGTTATATGTGTGGTATGCTGTGTGTGTGCATGCGTGCATGTACATGAATGAGTGTATTACGAGGACATGTGTGGGACCAACCAACATTCAGACTATGACGTACCTTGAACCTATCAGCAGCAGGATGTAAACATTCACAAGAATGCTGTCACTCTGGAAAAGACATGAAGTTTTATGTATATATTTAGTCTTTCCTCCTTAGCAGAGGAGAGGAACAGAGACAGAGAGAAGCAGGACTCACACACACGGAGAAATTCTCCTAAGTTGGGGGGCAGAATAGGGTGGAGGGGTCGGTCCTCACCCCTTCCTCCCTGTACATTCTGAATGGCCAGGTGAGAGGCAAAACTCCATCAAAAAGAAAGAAACAACTGAAGATAGACTACACTGGAAACTCACTCTGGCTGCTGTGGGCAGACATATTCTTTTTCAAAGACATAGTTGAAGAGCTAGCCTTAAAATTTGTGAGAGGTTGCAAGCCTGCACAAAAATAAAAGAGATAAGAAAAACAGTAAAGTAAATATTGGCAAAGTCTTCTAAAATTAATCTGTGATAAAAGATAAAAAAGTAAACTTGTAGGCAGAAGGCAAAAATTACCTGCAAACAACTTTTTTTCTAGTTCTTCTTGGATCTTAAGAAGAATTCTCTCCTGTTCTAAGGCTTCTATATACTTTGAGTAGCACCAGGTTGGCTAAAAAAAGCAATTTTCAAAGTTAATTCTGAAATGTTTGCTTTAGGAAATAAACTGAAGATAAGATGTCTTCTATCAGCCTCTTCATTTAAATTTTTATTAAAGTATAACACACATAAAGAAAAGTGCACATCACAAGTTTATAATGATATGAATTTTTACCAACTGAATGTACCCAGGTCACCTTTTAACTGGGTACCACAAATTATTATCAACCTACCTTAGTCCATTTTCATAAAAATATTTATGATAAAGTAAGTATATTTTCTTCCATAGCCTTGACAAAATGTTTAAATTCCCTGGTTTGCAGGGAGGAGGTGAGGTGGGAACGTGAGGGTGGTGATATTCTGTTTCTCAGTGAATCAATGTCAACAAAAGCTTTACAGATATATTGACAGCTATTCAGTCATCTTTATATATTCAATTTGATTGTAAATTTAGTGCTTAGGAAAGATCTTTATATATTCAATTTGACTGTAAATCAAGTTTTAGGGGGAGAGTAACTTTGCATTTGGATTCATTATAATTCTTCAATGTGCAAAATCTATCTAAAACAAATTCATATACAGTTAACCCTTTACATCCACAGGTTCTGCATCTGCAGATTCAACCCAATTGCAGATCAAAAATATTTTTAAAAATCAACAAAAAATAATACAAATAAAATATACAGTATAACTATTTACATAGCATTTACTTCTGCTATAGTATACTTAGGTAATATATGTAATCTAGAGATGATTCGAAGTATATGAGAGGATGTGGATAGGTTATATGCAAATACCATGTTGTTTTATATCAGGGACTTGAGCATCTTCAGATTTTGGTATCTGCAGGAAGTCTTGGAACCACCCCACAGTGGACACTGAGGAACAACTGTATAGGGCATCTACATTTACAAAATGTCAGTGTATTATTACTTTACAAATTGCTAAAGTAATTCAACATGTATACTTTAAACAGAAATCATTATAAGCTACATTTATATTTATAAAATATCTTTGGTTTCTAAAAGTTTTTTAGTTTCCTACAAAAATCTTGAATATGACAAGATAGCATCGTCATCACCACCATCATCATCATCATCCCTTTCTCTCTCTCTCTCTTTTTAACCGATAAGGTAAGAGGCTCAAAGGAAATTATGTGATTATATCCAGGTTTCAAGATAATACTGACTTGTGATAAAAAAAGATTAGAAGCCTGTTACCTCACACCTGTAATCCTAGCACTTTGGAAGGCTAAGGTGGGAGAATTGCGCAAGCCCAGGAGTTTGAGAGCAGCCTGGGCAACATGGCGAAACCTCATCTCTATAAAAAATACAAAAAATTAGCCAGGCATGGTGGTGTGCGCCTGTAGTCCCAGCTACTTGGGAGGCTGAAGTGGGAGGATTCCTTGAGCCTAGGAAGTTGAGGCTGCAAAGAGCCCTTGCACCCTTTAACCTGCAAAGAGTTATCGTACCAGTGCACTCCAGCCTGGGTGACAGAGCAAGACCCTGTCTCAAAAAAAAAAAAAAAAAAAAAAGCAGCAGCCTGATATCTCTAACTGGACCCTGATATCTCTAACTGGACATTTCCCCCTTTCACACTGTGTTTCTAAAATTTAATGCTAGTCATTTGCTAATGAATGGTATTATTTGCTAGGTATCATATGCTTTTAGATATCTCTTTCAGTATACAGTTCCATAAAATTGGATATTTCTCTTCTCTCAATAATAGCTTCATAGTTAGCCAGTTATCTTAGCTGGGTAACTGAACTTATTTGACATTCCTAAATGCCAAAAAGATTGTTTCTTGAGTTAGTATTACTCTAAGGTACAAATGCTTTCAATACCAGTCATCAAAAATAGACATAAGTTAAACATACGACATTTCAGGGAAGTAACAGTAATGTACTAGTTATAAATGTACATGTAAACACAGAAACCATAATGTATTGGTGGATGGTCATGTATGGTTAATTTTATGACTACTTCAAAAAACTAAAAATTTGAGACTAAGCATTTGACATTCTTCTGTCATTTTTTAACCCAAGAATACAACATCCTATATATATTCCATCTTGTTCTATTGTACTGTATCTGTCTTATTTTCTTTTCCAACAAGATGATCACTTCAACTTCTGCAATTTGTCTTCCTCATGTATCTCAAGAAGTTATTTTTCTTTATTAAACTATCTGGGATTGGCTGAAATTTTAATGAAGGCTCAAAGAAACTCCCTTCAATCTCTCCTACTATTATAATTGTAGGCTTATTTTCAAACAAACACATTTCTAGTACTGTACAATGACTGAGTTACTGCATTCCACTATCCAATGCTCCAGCGGGGAAATGAGGTCTGCACCATCTTGCATGCTTACCTGTCGGCCATATGGTTGGAGGCCTAGGAAGGAATCACTGAGTAAAGCAGTTTTGATAGCAGGCACTGAAGTATTTGCATATTGTTTGATTCCATCCTGTAATTATATTAAATTAAATTATTACCCAGAAAAGATAATGATATGTTAATATAAACTTATGGCTAAGGAGTTATAACATCATATGACATAATATTTCATAGTGAGTGCTGCACTTAAGGTTTCATCAAGTCAATATCACTAATGTGACAGAGTCTCCTGCTTTGATCTTTAATCTTATTTCATACTAATATAAAAATACTTTAAAATAAATGAGAGAAATGATTAAGTTGAATGTAAAAATCATTCCCAAATTCTGGAATCCAAGAAAAACCACTATAAACATTTTCATGAACATCCATCCATATTTCTCACTAGGGAAAATGCATAGATTCACAATTTTAATCTTTATATTTTATTATATAAATTTTATACAAATAGAATCTAACTACGTTTGCTCTTTTTAAATCTGCCTTTTCATGTAGAATATGTTGTGAAAATGTGAATAAATATAAAGCTGGAATGTATTCTGGGCCTTTGTATTTTTTACCATTGTTTATCTGCTGTAGAACAGTGTCTGCCACATAGTATGCACTCAAATATTTGTTGAATGATGAAATTAATAAATTACATCACCATTTTCAGTGGATGAATGATCTTATGCACTAAAAGGTTTGCTGAATGATAAAATGAATAAATGTTATCATCACTTTTGACAGATAATATTTTAGAAAAAGGATGTATCATAGATAATTTAATTAACAACACTCATTAGAAATTTAGGTCATTTTCTTACTCAGCAACAGAAAGTCAAAAACCACATGTTCTCACTTATAAGTGGGAGCTAAATGATGGGTACACACAGACATATAGAGTAGAGTAACAGACACTGGTGACTCCAAAAGTTGGGAGGGTGGGAGGCAAGTGAACGATGAAATACAACCTGTTGGGTACAACATACACTATTTGGGTGATGAGTATACTTCAAAGCCCAGACTTTACCACACACAACATACCCATGTAACACAACTGCACTTGTACTCCTAAATCTATACAAATAAAAAATTAATTAAATTTCCTTAAAAAAAGAAAAAAAAACTTACCCAAACTTAAGAGGAAAACACATTTGAAGTAATTATAACAAAAAAGAACCATGTATAATTGTATTTCAATTAATACAAATCTTTAAGAAAAACAAATAAGCCAACAGATGAGTAAAGAAGAGACACAACAGAAACTTCCCCAAAGAGGAAATGCTATGCTTAACAGAAATGGACAATTTTTTCAATATCCCTACTAATTAAAGCCATGAAAGTAAGAACATTTCATGCCTTTCAAATTAGTCTTTAAAAATGATAAAATGAGAGTTTCAATGTATGAATTTTGAGGAACACAAACATGTAGTCCATACCAACTACTTTTCATTTCTAGAACTTCATTATCCAAAACAGAAGCTCTGTTCCCATTAAATAATAACTCCTTACTGCCTTCTATCCCCAGCCCCTGGCAACCTCTATTCTTTCTGTTTCTATGAATTTGACTATTATAGGTACCTCATCTGGCAAGATGGCTGAATAGGAACAGCTCCCGTCTGCAGCTCCCAGCAAGACCAACACAGAAGGAGGGTGATTTCTGCATTTTCTCCTGAGGTACTTGTTCATCTCATTGGGACCAGTTAGACAGTGAGTACAGCCCACAGAGCATGAGCAGAAGCAGGGTGGGGTGTTGCCTCACGCAGGAAGTGCAAGGGGTCGGGGAACTCCCTCCCCTAGCCAAGGGAAGCCATGAGGGACTGTGCTGTGAGGAATGATGCACTCCAACCCAGATACTATGCTCTTCCCACGGTCTTCACAACCTGCAGGCTAGGAGATTCCCTCGGGTGCCTATGCCACCAGTGCCCTGGGTTTCAAGCACAAAACTGGGCAGCTGTTTGGGCAGACACCGAGCTAGCTCCGGGAGTTTGTTTTTTTTTTTTGTACCCCAGTGGAGCCTGGAACCCCAGCGAGACAGAACCATTCACTCCCCTGGAAAGGGGGCTGAAGCCATGGAGCCAAGTGGTCTCGCTCAGTGGGTCCCATCTCCAAGTAGCCCAGCAAGCTAAGATCCACTGGCTTGAAATTCTCACTGCCAGCACAAAAGTCTGAAGTCAACCTGGGACACTCGAGCTTGGTAGGGGGAGGGGCGTCTGCCATTACTGAGACTTGAGTAGGCAGTTCTCCCCTCACAGTGTTAAGTAAACCGCTGGGAAGTTTGAATGGTGTGGAACTCACTGCAGTGCAGCAAAGCAGCTGTGGCCAGACTGCCTCTCTAGATTCCTCCTCACTGGGCAGGGCATCTCTGAAAGAAAGCCAGCAGCCCCAGTCAGGGGCTTATAGATCAAACTCCCAACTCCCTGGGACAGAGCACCTGGGGGACGGGGTGGCTGTGGGCGCAGCTTCAGCAGACTTAAACATTCCTGCCTGCCAGCTCTGAAGAGAGCAAAAGATCTCCCAGCACAGTTCTCGAGCTCTGCTAAGGGACAGACTGCCTTCTCAAGTGGGTCCCTGACCCCAGTGCTTCCTGACTGCAGACACCTCCCAGCAGGGGTCGACAGACACTTCACACAGGATAGATCCAAGTGGCATCAGGCAAGTGCCCCTCTGGGACAAAGCTTCCAGAAGAAGGAGCAGGCAGCAATCTTTTTGTTCTGCAGCCTCTGCCGGTGATAACCCAGGCAAACAGGATCTGGAGTGGACCTCCAGCAAACTCCAGCAGACCTGCAGAAGAGGGGCCTGACTGTTGAAGTAAAACTAACAAACAGAAAGCAATAACATCACATCAACAAAAAGGGCACCCACAGAAAAACTCCATCAAAAGGCCATCAGCATCAAAGATGAAAAGTAGATAAATCCATGAAGATGAGGAAAAACCAGCACAAAAAGGCTGAAAATTCCAAAAACCAGAATGCCTCTTCTCCTCCAAAGGATTGCAGCTCCTCTACAGCAAGGGCACAAAACGGGATGAAGAATGAGTTTGACGAATTGACAGAAATAGGCTTCAGAAGGTGGGTAATAACAAACTCTTCTGAGCTAAAGGAGGATCTTCTAACCCAATGCAAGGAAGCTAAGAACATTGACAAAAGGTTACAGGAACTGCTAACTAGAATACCAGTTTAAAGAAGAACATGAATGACCTAATGGAGCTGAAAAACACAGCACAAGAACTTCATGAAGCATACACCAATATCAATAGCTAGACTGATCAAGCGGAAGAAAGGATATCAGAGATTGAAGATCAACTTAATGAAAACTCGTGAAGACAAGATTAGAGAAAAAGAATGAAAAGGAATGAACAAAGCCTCCAAGAAATATGGGACTATGTGAAAAGACCAAACCTACAATTGTTTGGTGTACCTGAAAGTGATGGGGAGAATGGAACCAAGTTGGAAAACACACTTCAGGATATTATCCAGGAGAACTTCCCCAACCTAGCAAGATAGGCCAACATTCAAGTTCAGGAAATACAGAGAATGCCACTAAGATACTCCTCGAGAAGAGCAACCCCAAGATACATAATCATCAGATTCTCCAAGGTTGAAATGAAGGAAAAAATATTAGGGGCAGCCAGAGACAACCCTTTATAGGTCAGGTTACCTATAAAGGGAAGACCATCAGACTGACAGCGGATCTCTCGGCAGAAACCCCATAGGGTAAGCCAGGAAAGAGTTGGGGCCAATATTCAACAACCTTAAAGAAAATAATTTTCAACTCAGAATTTCATATCCAACCAAACTAAGCTTCATAAGTGAAGGAGAAATAATCCTTTATACACAAGCAAATGCTGAGGGATTGTGTCACCACCAGGCTTGCCTTACAAGAGCTCCTGAAGGAAGCACTAAATATGGAAAGGAAAAACTGGTAACAGCCACTGCAAAAACATACCAAAATGGAAAGACCAATGACACTATGAAGAAACTGCATCAAGTAATGTGCAAAATAATCAGCTAGCATCATGATGACAGGATCAAATTCACACATAACAATATTAACCTTATGTAAATAGGCTAAATGCCCCAATTAAAAGACACAAACTGGCAAATTGGATAAAGAGTCAAGACCCATCGGTGTGCTGTATCCCGGAGACCCATCTCATATGCATAGGCTCAAAATAAACAAATGGAGGAATATTTACCAAGCAAATGGAAAGCAAAAAAAAAGCAGGGGTTGCAATTCTAGTCTCTGATGAAACAGACTTTCAACCAACAAAGATCAAAAAAGACAAAGAAGGGCATTACATAATGTTAAAGGGATCAATGCAACAAGAAGAGCTAACTATCCTAAATATCCTAAATATATGTGCACCCAATACAGGAGATTCATAAAGCAAGTTCTTAGAGACCTACAAAGAGACTTAGACTCCCATACGATAATACTGGGAGACTTTAACAACCCCCTGTCAATATTAGACAGATCAATGAAACAGAAAATTAACAAAGATATTCAGGATTGAACTCTGCTCTGGACCAAGTGGACCTAATAGACATCTACAGAACTCTCCACCCCAAATCAACAGAATATACATTCTTCTCAGCATCGGGTAGCACTTATTCTAAAATCAACAACATAATTGGAAGTAAAACACTCCTCAGCAAATGCAAAATAACAGAAATCATAACAAACAGTCTCTTGGACCACAGTGCAATCAAATTAGAACTCAGGATTAAGAAACTCATTTGAAACTGCACAACTATATGGAAACTGAACAACCTGCTCCTGAATGACTATTGGGTAAATAAGAAAATTAAGGCAGAGATAAATAAGTTCTTTGAAACCAATGAGAACAAAGACACAATGTACCAGAATCTCAGGGACACAGCTAAAGCAGTGTTAAGAGGGAAATTTACAGCACTAAATTCCCACATCAGAAAATGGGAAAGATCTAAAATTGATACCCTAACATCACAATTAAAAGAACTAGAGAAGAAAGAACAAACAAATTCAAAAGCTAGCAGAAAATAAGAAATAACTAAGATCAGAGCAAAACTAAAGGAGATACAGACATGAAAAACCCTTCAAAAAATCAATGAATCCAGGAGCTGGTTTTTTGAAAAGATTAACAAAATGGAACACTACCCAGACTAATAAAGAAGAAAAGAGAGAAGAATCAAATAGATGCAATTAAAAATGATAAAGGGGATATCAGCACGAATCCCACAGAAATACAAACTACCATCAGATAATACTATAAATACCTCTATGCAAATAAACTAGAAATTCTAGAAGAAATGGATAAATTCATGGACACATACACCCTCCCAAGACTAAACCAGGAAGAAGTCGAATCCCTGAATAGACCAATAACAAGTTCTGAAATTGAGGCAGTAATTAATCACCTACTGACTAAAAAAAGCCTAGGACCAGATGGATTCACAGCCAAATTCTACCAGAGGTACAAAGAGGAGGTGGTACCATTCCTTCTGAAACTATTCCAAACAATAGAAAAAGAGGGGCTCCTCCCTAACTCATTTTATGAGGCCAGCATCATCCTGATACCACAACTGGCAGAGACACAACAAAAAAGAAAATTTCAGGCCAATATCCCTGATGAACATCGATGCAAAAATCCTCAATAAAACATTTGCAAACTGAATCCAGCAGTACATCAAAAAGCTTATCCACCACAATCAAGTTGGCTTCATCCCTGGGATGCAAGGCTGGTTCAACATATGCAAATCAATAAACATAATCCACCACATAAACAGAACCAATGACAAAAACCACATGATTATCTCAATAGATGCAGAAAAGGCCCTTGATAAAATTCAACACCTCTTTATGCTAAAAACACTCAATAAACTAGGTATTGATGGAAATATCTCAAAATAATAAGGTCAATTTATGAAAAACCCATAGCCAATATCATACTGAATGGGCAAAAGCTGAAAGGATTCCCTTTGAAAACCAGCACAAGACAAGGATGCCCTCTCTCACCATTCCTATTCAACATAGTATTGGAAGTTCTGGCGAGGGCAATCAGGCAAGAGAAAGAAATAAAGGGTATTCAAATAGGAAGAGAGGAAGTCAAATTGTCTCTGTTTGCAGATGACAGGATTGTATATTTAGAAAACCCCATTGTCTCAGCCAAAAACTCCTTAAGCTGATAAGCAACTTCAGCAAAGTCTCAGAATACAAAATCAATGTACAAAAATTCCAAGCATTCCCATACACCAATAATAGACAAACAGAGAGCCAAATCATGAGTGAACTCCCATTCACAATTGCTACAAAGAAAATAAAATACCTAGGAATACAACTTACAAGGGACCTGAAGGACATCTTCAAGGAGAACTACAAACCACTGCTCAAGGAAATAAGAGAGGACACAAACAAATGGAAAAACATTCCATGCTCATGGATAGGAAGAATCAGTATCGTGGGATAGGAAGAATCAATATCATGAAAATGGCCATACTGCCCAAAGTAATTTATAGATTCAATTCTATTCCCATCAAGCTACCATTGACTTTCTTCACAGAGCTAGAAAAAACTACTTTAAGGTTCCTATGGAACCAAAAAAGAGCCCACATAGCCAAGACAATCCTAAGCAAAAAGAACAAAGATGGAGGCATCACACTACCTGACTTCAAACTATACTACATGGCTACAATAATAAAAACAGCATGGTACTCTTACCAAAACAGATATATAGACCAATGGAACAGAACAGAGGCCTCAGAAATAACATCATACATCTACAACCATCTGATCTTCGACAAACCTGACAAAAACAAGCAATAGGGAAAGGATTCCCTATTTAATAAATGGTGTTGGGAAAACTGGCTAGCCATATGCAGAAAACTGAAACTGGACCCCTTCCTTAAACCTTATATAAAAATTAACTCAAGATGGATTAAAGAGTGAAACATAAAACCTAAAACAATTAAAAACCCTAGAAGAAAACCTAGGCAATACCATTCAGGACATAGGCATGGGCAAAGACTTCATGACTAAAACACCAAAAGCAACTGCAACAAAAGCCAAAAACGACAAATGGGGTCTAATTAAGCTAAAGAGCTTCTGCACAGCAAAAGAAACTACCATCAGAGGGAACAGGCAACCTACAGATTGGGAGAAAGTTTATGCAATCTATCCATCTGACAGAGGTCTAATATCCAGAATCTACAAGGAACTTAAACAAATTTACAGGGAAAAAACAAGCAATCCCATCAAAAAGTGGGCAAAGGATATGAACAGACACTTCTCAAAAGAAGACATTTATGTGGCCAACAAACATATGAAAAATAGTTAATCAACACTGGTCATTAGAGAAATAAAAATCAAAACCACAATGAGATACCATCTCACACCAGTTAGAATGGTGATCATGAAAAAGTCAGGAAATAAGCTGGGCGTGGTGGCTCACGCCTGTAATCCCAGCACTTTGGGAGGCTGAGAAGGGTGGATCACCAGGTCAGGAGATCGAGACCGACCAGGCTAACATGGTGAAACCCTGTCTCTACTAAAAATACAAAAAAATTAGCTGGGTGTGGTGGTGGGCGACTGTAGTCCCAGCTACTCGGGAGGCTGAGGCAGGAGAATGGTGTGAACTCGGGAGGCAGAGCTTGACTCCATCTCAAAAAAAAAAAAAAAAAAAGTCAGGAAACAATAGATGCTAGAGAGGATGTGGAGAAATAGGAACACTTTTACACTGTTGGTGGAAGTGTAAATTAGTTCAACCATTGTGGAAGACAGTATGGTGATTCCTCAAGGATCTCAAACCAGAAATACCATTTGACCCAGCAATCCCATTACTGGGGATATACCCAAAGGATTATAAATCATTCTACTATAAAGACACATGCACAGGTATGTTTATTGCAGCACTATTCACAATAGCAAAGACTTGGAACCAACCCAAATGCCCATCAATGATAGACTGGATAAAGAAAATGTGGTGCATATATACCATGGAATACTACACAGGTATAAAAAACAATGAGTTCATGTCTTTTGCAGGGACATGAATGAAGCTGGAAACCACCATTCTCAGCAAACTAACACAGGAGCAGAAAACCAAACACCACATGTTCTCACTCATAAATGGGAGTTGAACAATGAGAACACATGGACACAGGGAGGGGAACATCACACACCAGGGCCTGTCAGGGGATGGTGGCAAGGGGAGGGAGAGCATTAGGACAAATACCTAATGCATGTGGGGCTTAAAACCTAGATGACGTGGCCAGGCACCGTGGCTCATGCCTTAATCCCAGCACTTTGGGAGACTGAGGCGGGCAAATCACTAGCTCAGGAGTTCAAGACCAGCCTGGCCAACATGGTGAAACCCCGTTTCTACTAAAAATCCAAAAAATTAGCTGGGTGTAGTGGCGGGCGCCTGTAATCCCAGCTACTTGGGAGGCTGCGGCAGGAGAATCGCTTGAACCCTGGAGGCAGAGGTTGCAGTGAGTCGAGATTGTGCCACTGCACTCCAGCCCGGGCGACAGAGTGAGACTCCATCTCAAAAAAAAAAAAAACAAAAAAAACCCAAAAACCCAGATGATGGGTTGATGGGTGCAGCAAACTACCATGGCACATGTATACCTATGTAACAAACCCGCACGTTACGCACATGTATCCTAGAAATTAAAGTATAATAAAAAAATGCATATTAACAAAAGTGTAGCAAAATGGGTATTTTCTGCCAATTTAGATTGCAGATCATTTTAAATTGGCATACACATTTTAATAGAATAATTTGTATCTTTTCTGATCTCTGAAGCTAAGCAGAATGGAGCCTGGTTACTACTTGCATGAGAGAGTAATTTGTAAATGTGTTGAATACCTTAAAATGGTTATACCCTTTCAGCAGTCAATTACACATTTAAATGTATAGTTTCATGAAGTAACCCAAAAGTTTGGTGATGGGCTGGGGTTGGGGAGGGGTGATTTTATCCAACAAGACCAATATTACAACAGCATAAGCAACAGTGAGATAGAAATGTTTAGATTTAAATGTTTGGTTAAATAACCCATGGCCATAACCCTTCCATGGAACATTTTCTAGTCATAAAATGCTATGTTCACAAAGAATGTTTAATGTAGACAATGCTTATGATACAATAGTAATGAGAAAAAAAAGATTAAAACTGCATATAACAAATGGATATAAGGCCGGGTGCAGTGGCTCATGCCTGTAATCACAGCACTTTGGGAGGCCAAGGTGGGTGGATCATAAGGTCAGGAGTTCGAGACCAGCCTGGCCAACATGGTGAAACCCCATCTCTACTAAAAATACAAAAATTAGCCAGGTGTGGCAACAGGTGCCTGTAATCTCAGCTACTTGGGAGTCTGAGGCAGGAGAATTGCTTGAACCTGAGAGGCAGAGGTTGCAGTGAGCTGAGATCATCCCACTGCACTCCAGCCTGGATGACAGAGCAAGACTCTGTCAAAAAAAAAAAAAATGGATATAATTATGTAAAACAAAAATAAAACCCTATGCATTAAAAAAAGTCTTAAAGGCCTGGCACAGTGGCTCACACCTGTAATCCCAGCACTTTGGGAGGCCAAGGTGGGCGGATTACTTGAGGTCAAGAGTTTGAGATACCTGGCCAACATGGTGAAACCCCACCTCTACAAAAAATACAAAAATTAGCCAGGCGTGGTGGTATGCACCTTTAATCCCAGCTACTCAGGAGATTGAGGCAGAAGAATCGCTTGATCATGGGAGGTGGAAGTTGCAGTGAGCCAAGATCACGCCATGGCAGTCTAGCCTGGGCGACAGAGTGAGACTCCATCTCAAAAAAAAAAGCCCCAAAGAAAAGACATTAAAATGTAGTCACTATGCATAGATGGTATTAATAAAATAATAGTAATAATATATTGGTATTAGATTAGAAACTTGTAATATTAAGATTATTCTATATTGTTGAACCAACATCTGATAAATCTGTTTGCAGTGGTGACAGAATTTTAAAAGTACCTATTATTTTCTTATTACTAATAATCCTTAATTAACCTGGTGATATTATCAACAACACAGTTCACTCTTGCTTTAATAATGGAAATCCTGTATTTTATTTCTCAATTTCCTGTGTAGCTGGCTAGGGTTATGCTATATTCTGTAAAGGACAAGATATTTTGCTAGTGTGGCACAAATTTGAGAAGACCCAAGGCCTAGCATTTCATAGGATGAACTTGTCCTTGACTTTTTATATCCAGATGATAGTGTGTATTGCCATTAAAATAATTAGATGACCAAAAAAAAAAAAGAAATTTGGGTCACTTTCAACTTTTTACTATTATAAGTGATGCTGTGTATATACATCTTTGTGCATGTTTATGATTCTCTTATTTATTTATTTATTTATTTTAAAATTATTTGTAGAGATGAGGTCTTGCTATGTTGCCCAGGCTGGTCTCCAACCCCTGGGCTCAAGCAGTCCTCCTTCCCTGGCTTGCCAAAGTGCTGGGATTACAGGTGGGAGCTACCTCACCCAGCTGATTCTCTCCTTTAGAATAAATTTCTAGAAGTGTATTTGCTGATTAAAAAGAATGAACATGGCCAGGTGCCGTGGCTCAAACCTGTAATCCAAGCACTTTGGGAGGCTGAGGTGGGCGGATCACTGGAGGTCAAGAGTTCGCGACCAGCATGGCCAACATGGTGAAACCCTGTCTCTACTAAAAATACAAAAATTAGCCTGGCATGGTGGCATGTGCCTGTAGTCCCAGCTACTCAGGAGGCTGAGGCACAAGAATCACTTGAACCTGGGAAGCAGAGGTTGCAATGAGCTGAGATTGCACCACTGCACTCCAGCCTGGGTGACACAGCGAGACTCCATCTCAAGAAATAAAATAAAAAAAATAAAAATAAAAAGAATGAACATGCTTTTTATGGCAGACTGAACAGACTAATACAATATGATACCATTTATGTAAGTTAAAAAACATTAAAACAGTACTTTGTATTGTTTATGAATGCATCCACATGCATGAAACACTGTCTTTTGTTTGTTTGTTTGTTTGTTTGTTTTTGAGACGGAGTCTTGCTCTGTTGCCCAGGCTGGAGTGCAGTGGCGCCATCTCGGCTCACTGCAAGCTCCGCCTCCCGGGTTCACGCCATTCTCCTGCCTCAGCCTCCCAAGTAGCTGGGACTACAGGCACCTGCCACCACGCCCGGCTAATTTTTTGTATTTTTAGTAGAGACGGGGTTTCACCGTGTTAGCCAGGATGGTCTCGATTTCCTGACTTTGTGATCCGCCCGCCTCGGCCTCCCAAAGTGCTGGGATTACAGGCGTGAGCCACTGCGCCCGACTGAACCACTGTCTTTAAAAAGAGCTGGACAAATATATCCCAAACTTAATGACTGCTCCTAGATATAGGGAGGGTTATAGAACTCAGGGCTGAGGTTACTAGATCTTACTCTATTTGCAATGTTTTATTTCTAATGGGAAAAAGAAAAATAAGGCAAAATGTTAAAAGTGTTTATTTTGGCCTGCACAAATAAATGTGAGTGTTCATTATATTACTTTTGTGTCTTTCCGTGTCTTTTACATTTATTTTTAAAAATGAAATAGGTATAAGCTTATAAATAAGATGAAACATGTTATTTGGGAGCAATTACCCCTTCTTAATTAAAACAGATAAATATAAAGAGAGAAAGAGACCAATGAATGAATGAATGAACGGACAGATAGTAGACAAATAGGGAGGCTGCCCAATTTGTGACTTGTTTACACATTTCACAATGTATCATTCTGTAATTTTTCTTTTTTTTTAGATGGAATATCACTCTGTCACCCAGGCCAGAGTGTAGTGGCATAATCTTGGCTCACTGCAACCTCTTCCTCCAGAATTCAAGCAATTCTCCTGCCTCAGCCTCCCAAGAAGCTAGGACTACAGGCGCAAGCTGCCACGCCCGGTTAATTTTTTTTTTTTTTTTTTTTTTTTTGTATTTCAGTAGAGATGGGGTTTCACTGTGTTGCCCAGGCTGGCTGCGAACTCCTGAGCTCAGGCAATCCGCCCGTCTCGGCCTCCCAAAGTGCTGGGATTACAGGCGTGAGGCACCGTGTCTGGCCCATTCTGTAATTTTCATATTGAAAATGTTGCCCCTGCCAGTACATACTATTTGTTCATTCATTTCCTGATTTATTCAATAAACAATATTAATAATTAAGCATGTGCTGGACACTAGTGTAAGGACTTATAAAACAAGGATAAGGCGGATACTATCATTGAGGATCTTAGTCCAATGAAGATGACAGACGTAAAAACTTAATCACAGGACTATATAAAGCATGTTCTACAAGGTGGAGGAACGTTATTGCAGCGGATGCAAGCTGCTTGCGTTGCCACAGAGAGTCAAGGAAGTCTTCACTTAGAAGAGATGACATTTGAAATGAATTTAGAGGAATTCCAAAAGTCTGAAGCTTCTGACTGAAGGCTTAAAATCCACTAATATCTGTATTCCATAACTTCTCTCTATATATCCCCAGACAAAATTATTCTATAATTCACACATATCACATAACTTTTAAAAGTCTGATAAAACCCAAAATGAGTCTTGTCTCACCTTTCCAGATTTTTCGTCTTCTAGGACTGCCAATTTTTTTTTCTGCTTATTATATTCTTGTCTTCTCTCTAAAACACTCATAATATTTTCATCTGTTAAATTCTTCCTAAACTCACAGAACTGAGGCCAGAATTTAAACAGAACCCCAAAAATTGTCATCTGTATAAAAAAAAGTCTAAGATTACAATTTTATACAAAGGTACCAATTTAAACTCTATTCACCATAATAACAGATTAACTATTATATCTTTAATATATACCATGTTTGCTCCAACTTATTGTCTCCAGACATCTTGGTATAGTTTTGCTCAGCACATGCTTATCATCAATGGTTTTTATTACCAATGAGAAGTCTTTCTTTTAAAAAAAAATACATTAAATACACTTAAAAGTCACTTTATTCTTTATGTCTCCCTAACCAATTGATTGTATTAATAAAGAATCCATTAGGTCTTTTAAAATAAGAAATTTATGTTTTCTTTTAAAACATATACTAGTTGATCTGCCATACACTCTGCTGTTTTATGCAAGTATTCCAAATGTCCAGTTCATCAAGGAAACTCCCTCCTCCCTCTTTTCTTTCTTTTAGAGAAAGGAAATACCATTTTGCCTCTGGAAAAGCTCTTAAACAAAGCTGCAGATCTAAGAATAAATCTTGAGTAAATTTTAAATGATATAATCTCTTACTTTTATGTGAGAGCAAGAAAAGTAACATTTAAAAAGCAGAACGGTATCCTGGACAAATGCTTTCTATAAGGACACTTTAAGTGATTAATTGTGATATTTATAGAGATAAGAATAGTTGCTCTAATTCTCATGCCAAGTTTTTCCATTAGTTCCAGAGGCATACATTACTTCCAAGAAGGTAGGACTTGCCACATAAGATCAAGTCCAACATCTTATTGCTAGGAATGGCCTTTACCTAATACCCTGGAAAAAAATGAACCATCCCATTAGGCTCCAAGCCAACTCATAGGGGAAAAGAGGAATCTTTAAAAAGTAAATGCTGCAGTGATCAACAGAGACCTGAAATGGCGTATTTCATTACTCCTCTTTTCCATACATGAATGCTATTAGTAATACTAAAATTATTCACTCCTTCTAAAATACAGTTTTGTTATTGAATTCTATAGCCTCTTGGGAGTGTAAATGTAAAATCTAGAGATACTTTATTTGATGAAACGCAGGCTTTTAAGACATTTTCATTTACATTTACCTGCCATACATTTAATTAAGTAATCCCCTGTTCCAATGTTAAGGGATCATGGCAGTTTTTATTATGAACTGAAGCTTAAATACTCCTCCTCCTCTATTAATCATACTTCTCAGTTATCTTTCTAAAACCTGAGTCAGTCCCAGTTCTTGAATATATATATTTCCATTTAGAAGGCTTTCTAAGTAAAAGTCACCCAATTAAGACACAATTTTTCAATAGAAGGCATAAAACTACTCTATTGTTAGAAGTTGCAATTGAGATTGTAGGTTAATATATATTGTTAATTAAAATTACCCTGTACCTCTCTAATCTTAAAAGATAACCAAATTGTGGATAAGAAAATGTTTTAATAAATATAGAGCTACTTTACTCACTGCCAGTAGATAAATAATGGCTTTAGTATGAGCAAAAGGGGCCAGTGAAAATTTGGCTGAGTGATGCAAACTTTCAGGCTATTGGGAGTGGGAGTGAGGGATAGACAGAGGCTACACTGATACAATGCTAAAACTGTCAGCAGTTTTAAATTTACTATTCAGCCCTTCTGCTCAACTTTGCTCTCATATCCAATTTGATCTTACTCCTTTCTGTCATGATATATTTCTTCTCACATCATTCATTTATGTGTCCAAAAAATGCCTTCTCTATGCCTGGCATTTGGACTGCAAAGATAAATAAGAACCATTCCCTGCCCTCAAAGAGGTTACAGTCTAATGGGAAAGTCAGACATGAGAACAATCACTTTCAATTTAGTGTGATAAGTGTTACAACAGAGGTAAAAACAAGGGAGAGAAGACGATACTGCAAAAAGCTCAGGAGAGAAAGCAGTAAGGGCCACTTATGAAACTACAATTATTTCAATTAGACTAGGGCAGAGATGGCAGGGAGTGGTAAAAGATGTAGCTAGAGAGATATCTAGGAGTATGGACTTCATTCTGAGGGCAGTGGGAAGTATCTGAAATAGTTTTAAAATTATTATTTGTAGAGACAGGATCTCACTATATTGCCCAGGCTGGTCTTGAACTCCTGGCCTCAAGCAATCCTCCTGCCTTGGCCTTCCAAAGTGCTGGGATTACTTACAGGTGTGAGCCAGTGTGCTGCACCGGAATTGAAATATTTTAAGCAGAGAAGTGACATGATCAGATATACATTAAAAAAGGATTGCTCTGTCTGCCCTGAGTTGGATGGTTTGGAGAGAACCCAGAGGCCAGGAGTTTCTGTAATACATTATGAGTCATGTTGCAGATCTAAAGTGAGGTAGTTGAGTGGAGATGTGGATAGAATGACAGATAACGAGGAGACAACTAGGTAAGTTTTAGGAACGGATTAGATACAGAGGTAAGGAAATGAAATAGAGGGAAGACATGGAGATGGCCAACCAGATCTGTGGCTTGTATCCTGGGGTAGGAGGCAATGCCATTCTCTAAACTTCCTTGGGAAAACAGGAATAACAACAGATTCAGTGTGATGTGGCCCCTAAATAAAGATTATTTATTTTCAGATGCTCTAACGTCCATATTTAAGATATATCTAGGACTCCCTTTTAGAAAATCAGGTAGAAGTCATAGGCTAGAAGACTCCAATAAAATTCTTTGGTTACAGTCCCTGAAGAGTATACCAGAACCGAAAGGTATCGGCAGCTCCAGACATTTACCGTCAGACTCAAGGCCTTTGGTATCGATGGGTAAGTCCTGGCCTGGTTACTAGAAAACCCAGGCTAGGTTAAGCTATCTCTAAGATCTTTTCATTAACAGATATTACCATTCTGACACCATGTTTCTCTATAGCACGTCCTCAATCATTCCTCTATATTTCTGCCTATTTTAATGCATAATTTGGATTGTGAGTCCACTTTTAGTTCCTTAGAGGACTTAGAACACAGCTGGCTCTCAAATGAATCTAAGAATAATCGCCTTTTTCCATGCTCAAGGGCAATAATACCCTAAGTCTCTGTTTCATATCACTTCATTCATGACATGGCCTTCCCTATTACCCCTATTATAATTTATTTTTCTTAATCATTTTTTAGTAACAACATCACTAAAAGGCTTTTTAAAATGCAAATAAATTATGTTCACCAAGTCACTGTTTTCTATTATTTATCTTAAAAAGAAGTAACTTGAGCAGGTTAACAGGCACAATTTTCCTTTCATGAGTTTGTATACTTTATGTTGGTAGAGTTCTTAAATCTCTTCTCACTTATTTTATGAGCTATGTGAATATTCCAATCTTTAAAAATACACAAATCTTGGGACACACATATTTTACACATTTTTGTGGTAGCAGATATTTTAAAAGGAATTACCAATAGTGGAAAAGAAAGGAGGAATTAGCTGGAGGTTAACAAGTTAAAAACAAAAATGGTAACCATGGAAAGCCAAAAGGTAATATTTAATTTTATTTACTGTATATGATCACGAAAAAAACTGCATTTAAGTTACTAGCTTTTTATATTTCAGTCACATATGCAAAGATTATTTAAATTAAATAGAATAAGTCCCAGTATTGGGAGGACTGGAACCTTGTCAAATATGAATAACGTACAAGCTTTAAAAGGATATCTATCTTTTTAATTTTTATTTACTTTTTTTTAGGTTTTTTTTTTTTTTTTTTTAAGAGACGGGGTTTCACTATGTTGCCCAGGCTGGTCTCAAACTCCTGAGCTCAAACAATCTGCCTGCCTCAGCCTCCCAAAGTGCTGGGATTACAGGCGTGAGCCACCACGCCTGGCCCAAAAGGATATCTATCTTTAAAAGGATTGTCAATCTATTTTAAAATATGCTTAGCCACATGCCCTGATCTCTTACCTGTGCCTCTCTAAATACATATGGTCCTAACTCCTTCCGGTGTTCAATAATCTTCTGGGCTTGCTCTACTGGAATGTCAATTTGTAAAGCTGGTGGAATACTGGAATTAATAAAGCAGTTGATAATAGTTGTAATCTTCTTCTGGATGACAGACTCATCACAATGAGAATGGCACAAGTCCTGAACAGAAGGAAAGATAGAATGGTATATAATTAATGCATTACCAGAACACTTAATAGAACTGTATCAATATGTGTTTCAATTAATATATGCATTTCAACTTTAGGTCAAGAAGGCAGTGGGATATTTCAAGGCTGTCTTTAAAAAATTACAGATTTTCTTTCTCTTGGATTTGAGGAACCTAAGACTTTGATACATCTACATTACATAAATACAGATTTCATATAATCCTGATCACTTATTCCTCTAGGCAAAGGAATGACATTAGTATCTACTTTGACTCATTTAACAACCGTATAATGAGGGCCTGTTATATACCAGACACTGAGCTGAGCCTCAAGACACAGGCCCTACCCTTTTAAGGTTCAATCTCCACTGGAGGAGAAGTGTGAGAACATGTTGCTCCTATTTTGGATAGTTAATAAATGTTATGATAGAGGTATACATAGTATCCTAGGAGAACATTGAGAATAGGCACCTAACTCCACCTACAGGTGGATATAAAAGCTTTCCCGTCCAGTCCTGCTTCTACGCCAAGGTGATTTAGGCTCAAAAAGGTACTGGGCATGCTGGTTGTCAACAGGTGTGCCATTCTATATCTTTTATTATCTATGTTGTGTAGTTACCCTATTGTATTATCCTCTTTATAGATAACCTAAAATTAATGATCACACATTAAAATGAGCCACTTAAAAAATTGTCAACATTTATTTTAGACACGGGGGTACATGTGCAAGTTTGTTGTATGGGAATATTACGTGATGCTGAGGTTTGGGGTACAGATCCTGTCACTTAGGTAGAGCGTAGTACCCAACAGGTAGGTTTTCAACCCACCCTCCCCTCACTACCTGTTCTAGTAGTCAGCAGTGTCTATTATTCCCATATTTATGTCCATGTGTGCCCAATGTTGAGCTCCCACTTATAAGTGAGAACGTGTGGATTTTGGTTTTCTTTTCCTGCATTAATTCTCTTAGGATAATGGCCTCCAGCTCCACCCACACTGCTGCAAAGGACATGATTTCATTTTTTTATGGCTATGTAGTCTTCCACGGTGTATATGTACCACATTTTCTTTATCAATCTACTACTGATGGGCACCTGGGTTGATTCCATGTCTTTGCTATTGTGAATAGTGCAGTGATGAACATATGTGTACATTTATCTTTTTGGCAGAATTATTTATTCTCCTTGGGGTATACATCCAGTAATGGGATGGCTGGGTCAAATGGTAGCTCTGTTTTAATTTCTTTGAGAAATCTCCAGACTGCTTTCCACAGTGGCTGGACTAATTTACATTCCCACCAATAGTGTGCAAGTGCCCCCTTTTCTCTGCAGCCTCACCAAGCAGCTGTTATTTTCTGACCGTTTAATAATAGCCATTCTGATTGGTGTGAGATGGTATCTCACTGTGGTTTTGATTTGCATTTCTCTGATGATTAGTGATGCTGAGCATTTCTTCATGTTTCTTGGCCATTTATATACCTTTTGAGAAGTATCCGTTCATGTCCTTTGCCCAAAATGAGCTAGTTTTAAAGTCACAGGTGTAGGACTATCATTTTTTAAAATAAAGAGGTAGTTTAGCTCAAATTATGGCATTTCTCTGTCAAAGTCATTATTTTCCAAATCATCAGAAAGCAAATTTGGAAACTTCTCACTTTAGGCCCAGAAATGAACCAACATTTATTAAGTACCCAGTATATGCTGGGCATTGTAATAGCTCTACTATGGATATTACAAAAGAAACAAAAATTCTGATGTCTTTCATGTAAAACTTTATATATAATTTGGTATAAGTTAAGTGTGAAAAAAGCTTAATATAATGTTACATTGTGACAATTAGCACTTCATACTCAATTTAGCATCACCTTAGAATAAAGCCTATTTAGGCCAGGTGTGGTGGCTTATGCCTGTAATCCCAACAATTTGGGAGGCCGAGGTGGGCAGATGGCTTGAGCCCAGGAGTTTGAGACCATCCTGGGCAACATGGTGAAACTCTGTCTCTACAAAAATATACAAAATATTAGCTGGGTGTGGTGGTGCATGCCTGTAGTCCCAGCTACTGGGGAGGCTTAGGTGTGAGGATCACCTGAGCCCAGGGAGGTTGACGCTGCAGTGGGCCATTATCACACCACTGCACTCCAGCCTGGGCAACAGAGTAAGATGGTGTCTCAAAAAAAGAAAAGAAAAGAAAAAGCCTATTTTATATTATTCAATTAGCCTCCTAACTATGGAATATAAGGCTTGTGAAATAAAACAAATTTGTGAAGTATACAATTATAATTTTGAGTAAAAGGACAGCATTTGGTCAGAATTATAACTGATTTTTTTTTTCTAATTGTTCTGCCCTGTTGTGCCATTAGCTTAGTTAACTCTTGCCTATTATTAAGGTCTGAGTTTAAGCATACTTTCCTCTAGTAAGCTTTCTGTGACTCTCAGTCCAGGAGAGATGTCCATCTCAGGTACTCCCATAGCACACTGTGCTTCTTCCCTTGTTGCACTAATCACACTCTTATAATTGCCTTGTCTACCACTCATTTGTCCTTCTTCTGATACTATATGCTCTAACAGGGTAGACTGTTTTGATCACAGTTGTATCCTCAGGATTTGGCCTGCCCCTTGGTAGGTGCCTAATAAATATTTGTTGGATAAATAAATCCTTCCAGTCTTTACGGACACACACACACACACACACACACACACACACACACTTTAGATTAAACCATACTGATTTTTAGTAGCTAGTTTTTAAAAAAGATCAATGAGCAGAACATCTTTTCCCATCATTGATTATTCTCCTGGAACATTTTTAACGGCTAGAGAATCTTCTACTATATAGATATATCGTAATTTAGTAACCAACGTCCTTGTTGTACAACTGGGTTCTTTCCAACTTTTCACAATCCCGAGTAATGTTTGACTAAGATTACTCCAGCCATCTCTTTGTATATTACCACAATCAATACTGAGAAGCAGCACAGCTTAGTGGTTAAGGGCATGGGCTTTAGCAATAGAATGACCTGATTCAAAGTCTAGCTCTACCAGTTAATTAGCTGTGTGATGTCGGGAATTTCTTGGCCTTTCTGTGCATTAGTTTCATCTGTGAAGTGATGAGAATCACATCCTTGACCTCATGGGATTCTTGTGAGAATAAATTCATTATTACATGAAAAGCACTAAGACAATATCTGGCACATAGTAAACACTTAATAAGAGTAAGCCCTATAAGAGTTAGCTCGGTTAGACTTTATCAAAGTGGAATAAATGCCTTCCAACTGGCAAACTCCCTCATGGCCCAATGCAAGTGTCATCACTCTTGCTGAGACCTCCCTGACCTATTGTCCCCATACCCCATCATTCTCTCCTCTGTGCCAAAACCATACCTAGTCAGAACATGCATCAGAATCAACATTATTTCCTAATATTTGTTCTCATGGATGTCTTCCTGCCTGAAAGAGGGCAGTGTGTTGTATTCACCTTTTTACGCCTACAATTTAGCATAATAACATTTGATACTTAATAAATGTTTGTTATATGAACAAATTTACTCCTATAGCATGCTTTTTAATAGCTACCTAGTATTGTAAGTCTGTCATGCTATATTGTAGAAAAGATATTAAAATGGAGACCAAGGGCAGCCTTAAAGGAGAAAGTCATAAAACTAAGGGTTCACTGTGTATAAGTCTATAGTTGGTTTTTAAAATACCTATTTTACAAAGTTTATCTCATTACCTCTTGTCCTAGCAAAGTTAGACTTGTTCATATTCATATTAGCTTAAAGATAGTTCCACCCACCCATGATAAAAAAATTATCTATTGTGGAAAACACACTCTACCTCCTTTCTAATCTCAAAAAAATTATTTTAATATTGCTCATGTGAAAGATTGTGAAAAAACTTCTCTCAAATTTTTTTTTTACCAGCCTGGGCATCATAGGGAGACCCCATCTCTACAAAAAAATTAAAAATTAGCCAGGCATGGTGGTGCATGCCTGTACTCCCAGCTACTTGGGAGGCTGAGGTGGGAAGATCGCTTGAGCCCAGCAGGTCAAGGCTGCAGTGAGCTGTCATTGTGCTACTGTACTCCAGCCTGGGCAACAAAATGAGACCCTGTCTCAAAAAAAAATTGTTTTTTAATATTATAGTCTCAGCTGAGAATAGTACAAAAACTGTTGATAACAGAAAAGGGTAGAAAACAATTTTACTGTATGTTGGAAAAGCTTGGAAATAAATTTTATTGAGCAACTACTAACTGTATGTTGAGCAACTGTATTAGTGTCATATAATATATAGTTATAGGCCATTTGAAAGCATTATGCTCCTAAATTGTTAATTTTTATTCCTCATGTTTACAATGGGATGGAATAGACTGCTTGCAAGGAAATGAGCCTGCTACCTCTGGGAGCATTTAAGCAAAGACTGAAATACCTTTCAGTATTTCTATACAACATTTCTTTATTCAAGTCTAGACAACATAACATGGAAAGTCCCTTCCTCCTCTTCAATGCAAAGATTCTGTATGATTACATTAAACACTTAACCCTGAAAATAAACTGTCTTTGTACCTAGCCATTTCTCTTTTACTTATTTTGTTAAGAATTTGGCTATTCTTTTTCATCTCTAATTCTTTCTAATTCTTTTCTCTTCTCTGTTGGTTTATTTATCCATAATCCAGTATCTTTGATTACTATTACTATAAATATGGCTGGGAGGGATTCTTACAAAGAGATCTTGGTTGTATGGATACACCAAATATAGACATTGTTAGGAAAAAAATATGTACAGTACATTTAAGAGATAATTGATGTGTAGAAATATAGTTAAAACTCTCTGCAGGAAGGTTCTCATTAAATCTTATGTATGTTAATACCTGAAAAAAAACCTAATACAGGTTGAGTATCCCTTATCTGAAATGCTTAGGACCAGAAGTGTTTTAGATTTTGGATTCTTTTTTGGTTTTGGAATATTTGTATTATACCTACTGGTTGAGCATTCCAAACCCAAAAATCCAAAACCTGAAATACTCCAAGGAGCATTTACTTTAAGTATCATGTTGGCACTCAAAAAGTTTCAGATTTTGGAGCATTTCAGGTTTCAGATTTTCAGACTTGGAATGCCCAACCTGTGTTATCATTCCAGGGCTCACTCTTACTCTTCACTGTATAATAATAAATGTATCTAGAGATTGGACAATAAACATCTCAATATTTATATACTGGTAGGAAGAAGATAGCAAAATTGGGATATCTTATACAAATCTTGTGCATAAAGTTAGTTAAAAATCTGACATTTTAATGCATTTCCTCCTCAAAACAGGTGGTTTTCTCTAGCTCCCAATACAATACCTTATATTTTTGTACTTCTTGCCAAAAGAGTAAACCATTTTCCAATAAATCTCCTTTTAGAGCCACAAAACGTTGAAATTGTCTTGAAGTAACTGGATTCAATAATGCTTTGCGAAAAGCAATGATTTTACAAGATGAAGAGATCCACTTACTCTCCACAGGCTGTCCAAAGCAGAGAATATAGGAAATTAGCTCATTAATTAGGCTAACAATTACCAACTTCTATCTCCTAAAATTTTGCCTGTTGAAATGCCTGGCATGGCTATAATAGAATTTCACAACATTTTCACCTATTCCTTTCTCTTTTGTCTCCTTTATATTTTTATGGCTTCATTTTTAGGAGGTAGAGTGAAAAAGAAATGACTAGATGATTTAGACCGTATGACTACAATGTTTAAAAATGTTAACAGTTATTACAGCTTGAGATTATGGTGAAAAACTACTTTTTAGTGCATTGTATGAGTTCTGTGCTTAAACAGAACAAAGTAATCATAATGTTATGATTATATGTTATTACATTATTTATTTTATTATTACATGTTATATATTAATATATAATTCTCCTGCCTTTTAAAAAGTAAAAGTAGTTAAACATTTAATATTTCTCATTTTTAAGAAAAAATTATCAATTGATTCTATAAGTTAAATAATTTACTATAGAGCTTCACTATAATTTTATCCTGAAAATATTATATTTTTAGATGAGACATCTTTATGTTATTTTTAATAAATTATGATTTAAAATAATGATAACAAATAATGATTATTAATAAATTATTTTAATAAAATTCCTTTGACTGATGGTTTACTTTACATAACATAAAAGCTAGAAGCACCCATGGCATTTTAGTAACACCTAAAGGTATTTTTATCAACATTTATTTTATATCTTTACAATTTGGAAATATAAAATATCTACTTTTTAAAATTTTGCCCATTTAAAATCACATATTCAACCCCATTTAGCCTTTCAGATTGAAAACATAAGAAATCGATTTTATTGAATTCACTAAATAGATTTTAATATTTAAGTTTCCCAAAGCTGATTTTTAGCTTACAACCATGCAAGGAAGTATCATTCCAAAGACAATGATTTAGATGGATTTAGCAACACATAAAATAAATTCCTTGAAACAAATATGTGACCATCAATTTAAGTGTTTAGAGAGTTATATTTTTAAAAAGTGCCATGGTAACACAAAGGAAGGAGTAACTAATTCTGCCTGGAGGAGTAAAACCTTTACAGAGAAGGGCCTTGAGGATGACATCTGAGTTGGAAACTGAAAAGTGAAGGCAACTCCAGGCAGTCTAGATGAATGGTGGTGCCATTAACCCGGATAAAGTGAATAGATGTCCATCACTATTTTAGTGAGACACATGTCATGTTCTGTGGACAAAAAGTTAAGACCCCCACCATATGGTCCATATTAAAATTATAGCCCTACAAATAGGAACAACTATGTATTAGACTGGGACGTTTATTTAAAACCCACTCAGCAAATAATATTTTAAGATCTGCTTAAGATACTAAAACTTAGAAATTTAAAACCTGTAATTTAAACAAAATAATAAAATATATGTAATAATTATATAAAAATAATTCCATTCTATGTAATTTTCAATCAAAATTATAGCAAAAAACAAACATTAAAAAAGTTTCTTTCTTTTCAAGAGGAAAATACACAAAAGAGCATATTAACAGTTACATACATTCCTCCAATATTCAAATAAACATCTATTTTTGTTAGTTAGCAGAGGGTCACCTAGGTCTAGTTGGACATTTTATTAGGACCTGCAGAAGGATAAATACACATAAAACTTATAAGCTCAAAAGGAAGACTACGTTTATCATGCTTGTTACAAAGTAAAATAGGCCATTTCTAGCCAGGTATTATATTGTAGTGGTTTTAAGTCACCAAAATGATAGTTATCTTAATTCTTTTAAAGCTAAAATTCTATCTTTTTGCTTTTAATATTTTTATTTCTATTTCAATTTGATTTGATTTTTTATGTATGCTCCTGCTCGGCAAAGTGCCCTTGTAAGGATGCCTGAGAGCAGCGTACAGTTATGATTAAAATGCAGTTCTAAATAGAAGGGATAATGTGCCAGGTGTGTTGGCTCACGCCTGTAATCCTAGCAGTTTGGGAGGCCTAGACAGGTGGATTGCCTGAGCTCAGGAGTTCAAGACCAGCCTGGGGAACATGGCAAAACCCCATCTACACCAAAATTGCAAAAAATAAGCCAGGTGTGGTGGTGCGTGCCTGTAATCCCAACTACTGGGGAGTTTGAGGCACGAGACTTGCTTGAACCTGGGAGGCAGAGGTTGCAGTGAGTTGAGATTGTCCCACTTTATTCCAGCCTGAGCGACAGAGCGAGACTCTGTCTCTAGATAGATAGACAGACAGATAGATAGATAGATAGATAGATAGATAGATAGATAGATAGATATAGATAGATAGATAGACAGATAGACAGACAGATAAATGAAAGTCATAATGTAAGACGATTTAACCTGCTGATTCTGCTGCATGCTACTCATTTGTTGAGTAATTTACTCTCAATAATAAACTGTCATATGTTGGAATGCACAGCTTGTCTCAGTAAATCCATGACATGCAGAATAAAGAAAAATACATACTTAAGGCAATCACACACTTCTAAGGTTGAGCAGGTCAAGGATTTCTTTAAGAATAGAGCTCCTTATTCAGGAGGCGAAGGCAGGAGGATCACTGGAGCCCAGGAGTTAGATGTGATAATGAGCTATGATCATACTACTGCACGGTAGCCTGGGCAACAGAGCAAGACCCTAATAATAAAAAATAATTTTTTAAAAAAGAACAGAGTTCTGAATTCCAAGGGCCGATGGGAAGCCTCTAGCAGGGGACTCTGGCCTTGCAGAAGGACCCTGTTTCCCATTTCTTCCCCCTGCCTTTTCACCCAATAAAACCCAGCTTTATTCACCCTTTAAGCCATCTCCAAGCCTAAATTTTCCTGGCCGTGGGATGGACAAGAACCCAGTCTTTAGCTGAACGAAGGAAAAGTCCTGCAACATTCTTGGCATGCAACGTGGGGGCTCTTGAAGAGATGTATCAGAATTCCACAATGCATATGGTTCTTGGGCAAGTCACTGAAACGTGGGTCAGATGTTGAAAGCTGCTGTACTATGATGTGAAAATAAAGCCCACCGCAGCTCAACAAGGCCTACTGCCTCTAGACTCCATCTCTGTGGGCAGGGCATAACTGAACAAAAGGCAGCAGACAACTTCTGCAGACTTAAACGTCTGAAGAGAGCAGTGGTTCTCCCAGCACGGCATTTGAGCTCTGAGAACGGACAGACTGCCTCCTCAAGTGGGTCCCTGACCCCCATGTAGCCTAACTGGGAGACACCTCCCAGTAGGGGCTGACAGACACCTCATATAGGCAGCTACCCCTCTGGGACGAAGCTTCCAGAGGAAGGATCAGGCAGCAATATTTGCTGTTCTGCAGCCTCCGCTGGTGATACCCAGGCAAAGAGGGTCTGGAGTGGAGCTCCAACAAACTCCAACAGACCTGCAGCTGAGGAACCTGACTGTTAGAAGGAAAACTAACAAACAGAAAGGAACAGCATCAACATCAACAAAAAGGTCATCTACACCAAAACCCCATCTGTAGGTTACCAACATCAAAGACCAAAGGTAGATAAAACCACAAAGATGGGGAGAAACCAGAGCAGAAAAGCTGAAAATTCTAAAAATCACAGCACCTCTTCTCCTCCAAAGGATCGCAGCTCCTCACCAGCAACGGAATAAAGCAGGATGGACAATGACTTTGACAAGCTGACAGAAGTAGGCTTCAGAAGGTTGGTAATAACAAATTTCTCTGAGCTAAAGGAGGATGTTGGAACCCATCGCAAGGAAGCTAAAAACCTTGAAAAAAGATTAGATGAATGGCTAACTAGAATAAACAGTGTAGAGAAGATCTTAAATGACCTGATGGAGCTGAAAACCATGGCACGAGAACTTCGCGACGCATGCACAAGCTTCAATAGCCAATTCGATCAAATGGAAGAAGGGTATCAGTGATTAAAGATCAAATTAATGAAATAAAGCAAGAAGACAAGGTTAGAGAAAAAAGAGTAAAAAGAAACGAACAAAGCCTCCAAGAAATATGGGACTATGTGAAAAGACCAAATCTACATTTTTGATTGGTGTACCTGAAAGTGATGGGGAGAATGGAACCAAGTTGGAAAACACTCTTCAGGATATTATCCAGGAGAACTTCCCCAACCCAGTAAGGCAGGCCAACATTCAAATTCAGGAAATACAGAATACACCAGAAAGATACTCCTCGAGAAGAGCAACCCCAAGATATAATTGTCAGATTCACAAAAGTTGAAATGAAGGAAAAAGTGTTAAGGGCAGCCAGAGAGAAATGTCGAGTTACCCACAAAGGGAGGCCCATCAGACTAACAGCAGATCTCTTGGCAGAAACCCTACAAGCCATAAAAGAGTGGGGGCCAATATTCAACATCCTCAGAGAAAAGAATTTTCAACTCAGAATTTCATATCCAGCCAAACTAAGCTTCATAAGTGAAGGAGAAATAAAATCCTTTACAGACAAGCAAATGCTGAGAGATTTTGTCACCACCAAGCCTGCCTGACAAGAGCTCCTGAAGGGAGCACTAAACATGGAAAGAAACAACCAGTACCAGCCAGCACAAAAACATGCCAAAAGTAAAGACCATTAATGCTATGAAGAAACTGGCATCAATTAACAGGCAAAATAACCAGTGACCATCATAATGACAGGATCAAATTCATATCTAACAATATTAACCTTAAATGTAAACAGGCTAAATGCCGCAATTAAAAGACACAAACTGGCAAATTGGATAAAGAGTCAAGACCCATCAGTGTGCTGTATTCAGGAGACCCATCTCACATGCAAAGACACACATAGGTTAAAAATAAAGGGATGGATGAAGATCTATCAAGCAAATGTAAAGCAAAAAAAAGCAGGGTTTGCAATCCTAGTCTCTGATAAAACAGACTTTAAACCAACAAAGATCAAAATAGACAAAGAAGGCCGTTACATAATGCTAAAGGGATCAATTCAACAAGAAGAGCTAACTATCCTAAATATATATGCACCCAATACAGGAGCACCCAGATTCATAAAGCAAGTCCTTAGAGACCTATGAAGAGACTTAGACTCCCACACAATAATAATGGGAGACTTTAACACCCCGCTATGAATATTAGAGAGGTCAATGAGACAGAAAATTAACAAGGATATCCAGACCTGAACTCAGCTCTGCAACAAGCAGACCTAATAGATATCTACAGAACTCTTCACTCCAAATCAACAGAATATACATTCTTCTCAGCACCACATCACATTTATTCTAAAATTAACCACATAATTGGAAGTAAAGCACTCCTCAGCAAATGTGAAAGAACAGAAATCACAACAAACTGTCTCTTGGACCACAGTGCAATCAAATTAGAACTCAGGAGTAAGAAACTCACTCAAAACCACACAACTACATGGAAACTGAACAACTTGCTCCTGAATGACTACTGGGTAAATAACGAAATGAAGGCAGAAATAAAGATGATCTTTGAAACCAATGAGAACAAAGACACAATGTACCAGAACCTCTGGGACACATTTAAAGCAGTGTGTAGAGGGAAATTTATAGCACTAAATGCCCACAAGAGAAATCAGGAAAGATCTAAAATCGACACCCTAACATCACAATTAAAAGAACTAGAGAAGCAAGAGCAAACAAATTCAAAAGCTAGCAGAAGGCAAGAAACAACTAAGATCAGAGCAGAACTGAAAGAGATAGAGACACAAAAAACCCTTCAAAAAAATCAATGAATCCAGGAGCTAGTTTGTTGAAAAGATCAACAAAATTGATAGACTGCTAGCAAGACTAACAAAGAAAAGAGAGAAGAGTCAAATAGATGAAATAAAAAATGATAAAGTGGATATCATCACTGATCCCACAGAAATACAAACCACCATGAGAGAATACTATAAACAACTCTATGCAGATGAACTAGGAAATCTAGAAGAAATGAATAAGTTCCTGGACACATACACTCTCCCAAGACTAAACCAGGAAGAAGTTGAATCTCTGAATAGACCAAAAACAGGCTCTGAAATTGAGGCAATAATTAATAGCCTACCAACCAAAAAAAGTCCAGGACAAGATGGATTCACAGCCGAATTCTACCAGAGGTACAAAGAGGAGTTGGTACCATTCCTTCCGAAACTATTCCAATCAATAGAAAAAGAGGGAATCCTTCCTAACTCGTTTTATGAGGCCAACGTCATCCTGATACCAAAGCCTGGCAGACACACAACGAAAAAAGAGAATTTTAGACCAATATCCCCGACAAACATCGATGCGAAAATCCTCAACAAAATACTGGCAAATCAAATCCAGTAGCACATCAAAAAGCTTATCCACCACGATCAAGTCTGCTTCATCCCTGGGATGCAAGGCTGGTTCAACAAATGCAAATCAATAAATGTAATCCATCACATAAACAGAAACAATCACAAAAACCAGATGATTATCTCAATAGATGCAGAAAAGGCCTTCAACAAATTCAGCAACCCTTCATGCTAAAAACTCTCAATAAACTAGGTATTGATGGAACATATCTCAAAATAATAAGAGCTGTTTATGACAAACCCACAGCCAATATCATACTGAATGGGCAAAAACTGGAAGCATTCCCTTTGAAAATCGGCACAAGACAAGGATGCCCTCTCTCACCACTCCTATTCAATGTAGTGTTGGAAGTTCTGACCAGGGCAATCAGGCAAGAGAAAGAAATAAAGGGTATTCAAGTAGGAAAAGAGGAAGTCAAATTGTCCCTGTTTGCAGATGACATGATTGTATATTTAGAAAACCCCGTCATCTCAGCCCAAAATCTCCTTAAGCTGATAAGCAACTTCAGCAAAGTCTCAGGACACAAAATCAATTGCAAAAATCACAAGCATTCCTATGCAATATTAACAGACAAACAGAGCACCAAATCGTGAGTGAATTCCCATTCACAATTGCTACACAGAGAATAAAATACCTAGGACTCCAACTGACAAGGGATATGAAGGACCTCTTCAAGGAGAAATACAAACCACTGCTCAACGAATAAAAGAGGACACAAACAAATGGAAGAACTTTCCATGCTCATGGATAGGAGGAATCAATATTGTGAAAATGGCCATACTGCCCAAAGTAATTTATAGATTCAATGCCATCCCCATCAAGCTACCAATGACTTTCTTCACAGAATTAGAAAAAAAACTACTTTAAAGTGCATACGGAACCAAAAAAGAGCCTGCATTTCCAAGACAATCCTAAGCAAAAAGAACAAAGCTGGAGGCATCACGCTACCTGACTTCAAACTACATTGCAAGTCTATAGTAACCAAAACAGCATGGTACTGGTACCAAAATAGAGATATAGACCAATGGAACAGAACAGAGGCCTCAGAAATAACACCACACATCTACAACCATCTGATCTTTGACAAACCTGACAAAAACAAGAAATGGGGAAACGATTCCCTATTTAATAAATGGTGCTGGGAAAACTGGCTAGCCATATGTAGAAAGCTGAAACTCAATCCCTTCCTTACACCTTATACAAAAATTAATTCAAGATGGATTAAAGACTTAAATGTTAGACCTAAAACCATAAAAACCCTAGAAGAAAACCTAGGCAATACCATTCAGGACATAGGCATGGGCAAGGACTTCATGACTAAAACACCAAAAGCAATGGCAACAAAAGCCAAAATAGACAAACGGGATCTAATTAAACTAATGAGTTTCTGCACAGCAAAAGAAACTACCATCAGAGTGAACAGGCAACCTACAAAATGGGAGAAAATTTTTGCAATCTATCCATCTGACAAAGGGTTAATATCCAGAATCTACGAAGAGCTCAAACAAATTTACAAGAAAAAAACAACCCCATCAAAAAGTGGGCGAAGGATATGAGCAGACACTTCTCAAAACAAGACATCTATGCAGCCAACAGACATGAAAATATGCTCATCATCACTGGTCATCAGAGAAATGCAAATCAAAACCACAATGAGATACCATCTCACGCCAGCTGGAATGGCAATTATTAAAAAGTCAGGAAACAACAGATGCTGGAGAGGATGTGGAGAAAAAGGAATGCTTTTACACCGTTGGTGAGAGTGTAAATTGGTTAAACCATTGTGGAAGACAGTGTGGCGATTCCTCAAGGATCTAGAACTAGAATTACCATTTGACTCAGCAATCCCATTACTGGGTATATACCGAAAGTATTATAAATCATGCTGCTATAAAGACACATGCACACGTATGTTTATTGCAGCACTATTCACAATAGCAAAGACTTGGAACTAACCCAAATGTCCATAAATGATAGACTGGATTAAGAAAATGTGGCACATATACACCATGGAATACTATGCAGCCATAAAAAAGGATGAGTTCATGTCCTTCGCAGGGACATGGATGAAGCTGGAAACCATCATTCTCAGCAAACTATCACAAGGACAGAAAACCAAACACTGCATGTTATCACTCATAGGTAGGAATTGAACAACGGGATCACTTGGACACAGGGCGGGGAACACCACACACTGGGGCCTGTTGGGGGGTGGGGGGCTGGGGGAGGGGTAACATTAGGAGAAATAACTAATGTAAATGATGAGTTGATGGGTGCAGCAAACCAACATGGCACATGTATACCTATGTATCAAACGTACACGTTGTGCACATGTACCCTAGAACTTAAAGTATGTATATAAAAAAAGAACAGAGTTCTGATAGAGTCACATTTTCCTCCAAATTCCATTCATCAATTAAAAACAGTATCAGTGCTCAGTTGTCAGTTTAGAAAACAGTGTGTCCTCAGTGAGGATTTTTGAACAAGAAAGGGAAAGAAAAACAATACTTTGACAGAGCAAAACTTACAAGAGGAAGAATATAACAAACATTACTTGCCTTCCAGACCCCGATTTTCTTTTCAGCCTTCTGTAGTAAGAGCTCTTCTGCTATGTCTTTCATCTGTACCTGAAAGCAAAACCAATTATTTTATCCCAGTTATTCAGACTAAAGGCTTGAAATCATTTACTAATTAAGTAGCTAAAAAAATGAGATAAAGGTTAACTTGGACAAGAGATAGTGAAGTTTAGGAGAAAGAGGATCAAACTTAAAAATGGAAGCCCTGTGGTCAGGTACCAAATTTTTCTGAACACTCTAACCTCATCTGTAAAATAGAGATAATACTACCCGATTGTTATTGCCCCAAATGATGATAGTTTCACTTGAGCTCACATGGGAACTGAAGCTGGAAAGACAATTACGACTTCTCAGACTTTTTAGCTATTTTCTAGCCATATACTTTCACAACTAATTTTAAAAGAGTACTAAAAGTTACTCAACATGGAAATACAGTAGATATTTCTTGGGGTTATTGCCTATTCATATCATTTCCCCTTTCTTGGGAACCGCTCATAACAAACCTGTGCTATTGACTCTATCTCCCTGTCCATAGCAGATAGATCCAGAAGCAGATCTAGAGAGATAAGGACTAGAATCACTGGGGCTAAGTCTTTTTGATAGAGCCAGGAGGAAAGATCTGAGAATTCTTGCTGGGTTCCTAGGGCTGTCCTGGCCTACATCTTTTCTAAAGCTTGGATGTCAACTCTTAAGTGTGTGAGGTGGCCCAGCAGCACTTTAGAATCAATCCTCACCCTTCCTTTTGTCTTTGGTTCAAGGTTGCCAAAATCAGTTTATTTTGCTGGCCACCTAAAGAATGCTAAGTCAAGAAATGACTATGCATTGCAATAAAATTACAGTGATAAACATAATGAGGAAACGTGGTAAATAATATTAGCAAGCCAAATGTCCTTTTACTTGACTTTGGATAGAGAATTGGAGTTAGCCTGAAGAAAGAGATTGAGGAGATTTGAGTTTTCCCAAAGCTTATTTCCAGAAACATTTTTCCTAAAGTCAATCCTTCTTCTTCATACTATAAATTCTGTCTTCCCAGCTGCATTGTGTTTTCCATAAGTTGCTCAGCTCAAATGACTAAGGATATTTCCAAATAAGTAGGCCACAAAGTGTTTGAGAAACTGAATATAGAATGAAGCTTTTCAGGTTCTTCCTGATTAGTATTAATGGCATGTGGCTTTGCATACTAAAGTCCAAAACTGCATGTTTTCTGACCCCTGTGTTATTTTTATAAAGATCAGGTTTGCCTGAAACCTAAAAACAAGGTGTGCTAATGACATTTTAAATTATCAAAGAAATACTTCTTATAAAATAAAAACAAGGCAAAGCAAAGACAAACCCACTTTACAAAATAAAAAGTAAAAATCCTCACTCCCCAAACCCATTCCCAGGAGGCAGATCTTTCTAGGTGTTTTTCTACCATAAGCATAAACATAAACAGATGGATGGATGGATGGATAGATATGCATAGACAGAGATGTAAGTAAATGTAATGGGATTATCTTCTATACATTGTTCTGCATCCTGCTTGTTTTGTTCAATAAATGACATCTTTCATATAGTACATGTGGAAATCTCATTTTTATTTTTTAATCTCATTTTTTAAGGAAATCTGCATATTTTTCCATAGTACAGAATTATCATAACTTATCTAATTCTTCTCCCATTTGATATTGCAATGAATATCCTTGTATAACCTTGTCCACTTGTGTGAGGACTTAATAATATTAAAAATAACAACTATATTAATAGATAACATTTGAGTGTTTGCCATGTGCCAGGCACCATTCTAAGAAACAAGCACATGTTAATTTCACTTCATTTTTCAGAACAACCTTACTAAGTAATTACTATGACCAACTCAATTTTTCAAATGAGGAAACAATTTATGAAACTTAAAGGTGGTACAACTAATATGTGGCAGTGTTGAGATTAAAACTTGGCAGTCACAGCTGGGCACTGTGGAACTTTCCTATAGTCCTAGCAACTCAGAGGCTGAGGCAGGAAGATTGATTGAGCCCCAGTGTTTCAAAGCTGTAGTGCACTATGATTGTGCTTGTGAATAGCCACTGCACTCCAGTTTGGACACTGAGACAACAGGGTGACCCCTGACTCTCAAATAAACAAAAAACCAAAAACTTGGGAATTTTGACTCCATGCTTTTTTAAAAAAAAATTATTATTATTATTATTTTAGAGACAGGGTTTCACTCTGTCACCCAGGCTAGAGTGCACTGATGTGATCATAGCTCACTGTAACCTCGATCTCCTAGACTCGAGCAATCCTCCTCCTTCAGCCTTCCAAGTAGCTGGGACTACTTGGTGTTCCAGCTGTGGTGCATGCCACCACACGTGGCTGACTCCATACTTCAAACCATTCTCAACAGAAGTACAATGACTAAGGCCTGGCATGGCGTCTCACACCTGTAATCCCAGCACTTTGGGAGGCCAAGGCAGGAGGACTGCTTGAGCCTAGGAGTTTGAGACCAGCCTGGGCACATAGCAAGACTCCATCTCTTCAAAAAAATTTTTTTCAATTAGCTGGGCATGGTAGTGCATGCCTGTAGTCTCAGTTACTTGGGAGGCTGAGGTGGGAGTATTGCTTGAGCACAGGAGTTCGAGGCTGCAGTGAGCTAGGATCACACCACTGCACTTCAGACTGGGTGACAGAGAGAGCCCATTCCTTAAAAAAAAAAAAAAAGGACAATGGCTGGGTCACCAGGTATGTACATTTGAAGTTTTCAGAGGTACTGACAACTGCTATCAAAAGATTATACTAATTTATATACCTTTATCTTCTGACGTGCTGCAAACTGTTCACTTGCAAGAAACAATGGCAGCCATACATTTTCTAGCCTATTTTGCACATGCTTCTGGATTTCAACTAGAACAGGTGCATCAAGCTGCTCATGAAGAATCTTCCCCCAGCCACCACTTAAATGCATTACCTAAGAAAATTAAGATGGAAACAGAAACTATTGTGCTTTCTAAAAGAAACACTAATAGTCATTAATTCATTCATTCACTACAAAACCATTTGCTGCACCCTGAGGGGTGCCAATTTTCATTTTCTGTATAACATCTCCTGGCTATACTGAGCAATAATTCCCCTAAAATCAGACAGACAATTGTGGTTTATGTGCTGGTTGTTTTAGATGTATGATTTGTGCTTACTTATGATATATCAAAAAGAACACAGAAGTGGGATTTTTATCCTGTGTGACCACAGCAATGGCATTTTTTTCCCTCCATGGACTCAGTATCTCCAACTGAAAAATGAGGACATTAGTCTATTAGTTTTCTAATATCCTATGAATCTCTGATTCTAGTCATATTGATCCACTTAAGAATTTTCTTCTGTGGATGAGGAAAATGTGTTAATTAAACGACAACCTTGACTCAGATATTATAAATACGTATATTACCAACAAATGTTGGGTTGGAGATAGGATGATGGCAGCTGTAGTGCACTATGCACCCAGAACAGTGCAGTTGTAGTGATAGCAATGTAGGGCTTTTCCAACAACCTCTAAGCAGAAAACAGAGGCAACAGGAAACAGAAAAAGGTCATGTTTTATAGATAATAAGTACCATTTGTAAAACACAACTTCTTTGTGATCTAAATTTTCCTTCTGCTTAATGATTGGCTTCAACAAGCTACTAATAGCTTTTTCCTGCCATAACTCATTCTTGTTTCTACCTGTTTCTGTGTACATACCACTCAAAATTTCTGGATTGCTCAGTGGAACAACTGCCCTCTTCTTTGTTCTCCTTTGAGCAATAATGTTAATATAATACCACTACTAATACTATTGTTTTATATAAAAACAAAAAGGAAATCCTCTTCTTAGTTCTCCTTTAATAATATCATTAAATAATATCAACACTAATATTTTTCTGTATAAAAACAAAAAAGAAAAAGAAAAAAAAAGACTACCTTGCTAATCAAAGAGCAAATTGGCTGCACAACTGAAATCTGGACTAGCACGATCTTTATAAAACAATGTGATGCAGACATCCTTAAGTATAAAATACATTTTAAAAGTGATGACAAAGACAAAGAAGGATCATTGGGGAAAATCCTCTGTAGTAAGCACATCTATTTGCTATGATAGCAATGGGTGACTTTCACTGACTTAGATTCTCAGCATGTTGTGTGTACTATGGAGGATTCACACAGTAGCATGAGATACCATGAAACCTCACGCAATGTAGCACAAGCCAAATAGAAAACAAATGCTTTCCATGTGTTTATTTCATACTTGTGCTTATTGAGACACCCAACCACTTTTGCTAATGTGTCCCAGATTTGTATCTCAGGGAACTAAGGACAAAGCATTTTTGTCAAAGTTGCTTAATTCCAGAATTCCTGCTCCCTCTCGCTCCCAAAGCCTTTTGCCAATTTCTCCTGCACCCCAAAGATCTAGCTTTTAAATTTGGTATGCCTTACTTGTGAACCTCTCTGAGTTTTTCTTTAATTTACTGAATTTAGCATTAATCTGAAATTTGTATTTTATTAATATATACCATTAGAACATGCATTCTTGTAAACTACCAAACAAAAAAAAATGATAAACTATACATTACATCTTTAGGTATGAATGTAATATTAACAAACTTCAAGCTAAATAAATTATGATAATTATTTATATTTCAAAAGTATAAAAATTGCATCATATTTCATGAGCAGTGTTACATGAACACAAACCTACCGCTGAATCCCAATTTTTTATATATATATATATATACATATATATATATACATTTTTTTTTTTTTTGAGACACAGTCTCACTCACTCTGTTGTCTAGGCTGGAGTGCAGGGGCACAATCTCCACTCACTGCAACCTCTGCCTCCTGGGTTTAAGGGATTCTCCTGCCTTAGCCTCCCGAGTAGCTGGGATTACAGGTGTGTGCCACCACACCTGGCTAAGTTTTGTATTTTTAGTAGAGACAGGATTTCACCATGGCCAGGCTGGTCTCGAACTCCTGACCTCAAACAATCTACCTGTCTTGGCCTCCCAAAGTGCTGGGATTACAGGCGTAAGCCACCACGCCCAGCCCAATCTTATATTCTTGCTGTCAATCTAATGACACTGTAGTTATTTAGTTATTAATAAATTGTGATTAAGGCCATAGGACTTTGGTCCAACAAAATGTTCAAACTGTCCTGGTCAATAAAAATATTTTCTGGGGAAAATACAATTGTAAGGAGGATTTTCTTTTCTTTCTTTTATAATATTTGCTCAAGGTTCCATAGTAAAGAGGATTTTCAAAGATTGATTATATTTAGAGTAATATCAGTTCAGAGAAGAACAGAAAAGTAGTAGAGATTTAGCTTAATGGTTGATAACAGCTGTTTTCCTACATGTTGACAGGTGCAGGGAGCTTGTCCATCTTCTTCACCACTTTATCTTGAGCACCTAGAACAGTCTGGCATAGTGAAGGCACTCAAATTTATTGAATGAGTCAATGAGTAGGTGAATAAAAGTTATTTTATTCTATAAACTACTTTTTAGAGTAACACATTTTTATACTATATAATGTTTGAGTATTAAAGACATTTAATTTATAGATGCTCATAAATACCTAAATAAATATCAAAGGTCTTTAACACATTAGTCATAAGCAAAAGAAAATAAAATAAGAGACTTTCAGGTTGTTGGCAAAAATAGAAATAAAATACCGGTTTTCAAACATCAATTAAAAAAATAGGTTTGCATGTTGATACCTGGTTCTGCTGATACAGAGAAGCTGGACTGTTGGGTCCAAAGAAATATTTTTTATTAAGGTATTTGTTTTTAATGTATATAGATTTTGCCTTCCTTTGATTTCGATCTCTGTAAGTTATTCTCCGGAACTGCTCAATGTCTGTCCAGCACATAAGATCCATGCTAAAATGAAAACAAAAACAATGTATAGCTCTTCATATTTCTTCCTCTAAATTCTAGTAAACACCCGATTGTTGTTTTGACAGAACTTAGAAAGTGGCTATCTTGACTAGTAGCATTAGATCATGGAAATAACGAACCCAATATTGTATCTCTGATCCCTTTCTAGGCTAGTTCACTTGACTCTATTACACTCCTAATCCTGGCTAAATATATGAATGATGACAAAGGAATTTTGGGATCAGAAAAAAAAATCCGTCACCATTATTGGTGGGATCTCAGAGTTCTTTCACTAATTTCATCAATTTCAAAAATGAGAAAATTTCCACATATGTCATGTCATTCGACAAAAGGTCAAATTTAGAATAATCCTCATCTTGATGGGTACCAAAAAATAGAAAGCTTGAATAAGGGCCAGGCACAATGGCTGATACCTGTAATCCCAGTACTTTGGGAGGCCAAGGCAGGCAGGCAGATCACTTTAGGTCACGAGTTTGAGACCAGCCTGGCCAACATGGCAAAATCCCATCTCTACTAAAAATAGAAAAATTAGCTGGGCGTGGTGGCACATGCCTGTAATTCCAGCTGCTGCAGAGGCTGAGGCATGAGAATCACTTGAACCCAGGAGACGGAGCCTGCAGTGAGCTAGGATCATGCCACTTCAGCCTGGGCGACAGAGTGAGACCTTGTCTCAAAAAAGAAAAAAAAAGAATGAGTAAGAACTACTATTTGATAGCACAATAGGATGACTATAGTCAATAATAACTTAATTGTACATTTAAAAATAACTTAAGGTATAACTGGATTGTTTGTAACTCAAAGGATAAATGCTTGAGGGAATGGATACCCCATTCTCCATGATGTGCTTATTTCACACTACATGCCTGTATCAGAACATCTCATGTACCCCATAAATATATACATGTACTATGTAGCCACAAAAATTAAAAAAATTAATAAATAAAAAATAAAAAGATAGAAAAATCCTCATTACAATGAAGGGAAACCATATACAGTGAAATTTGGCTCCCAGATCTTACCAGTTTCTGTTAACTAGGGAGAATATTAATAGGAAAAAAATATATTGAATACTTCAGTTTATATTAGATAAATATGTTATAAGGTTCCAAGATTCTGGGTAAAACTACAATGTTTCGTTTATAAATCTGTTAATAAAAATTATAAAATATAATTTCAATATCTCAATGAAATATAAAAAGGACACATTCCAGAAACAGTAATTAAAATACCAGTCTAGAGAAATATAAAAGAAAGAAACAGTAGAAAAGAGAAAAAATAAAGCACACTGGTATTTTAACTTAGCCAATGCTGAAAGTATCAACATATGTAACCACTTAAAAGAACAATATGGAGGTTGATACAATCAAAATGTACTCCATCTTTAAAAAGTTACCCATACAGATTTCAGATAATCATGTTTGTCAGTTTTTATTGACATGAGTAAAATCTGTTATAGCACCAAATCACTTTTATAATATGTTGAATCAAAAATAGTAGCTTAGAAAAATGTTTTCAGTGAGAAATATATGGTTATGTCCCTCACCTTGAAGAATGAGTCTCAAGAAACTGACGGAAATGTTCAAACTCCAGTTTGTTGTTAAGCAGATCACTAAACTTAAAATGCTTGTATTCTGCAGGAACATTATCCCAATATTCTGTTCGTTTAGAGACGTTAGAGAGTGATAAAATGCCAGTTCCAATTTCACAAGTGGTGTCCTAGTGAAATAGTACTTTTCAGCAAAAATCTCTTAAACACAACAGATTGTTTACAATTTTAAGTAGAGAAACTGAAAGAAAAATCAACCATTAGGCCAAAGCCATTTAATAATTCAATGGCAGAGTGGGTAAAGACTTTAGAATCTGGTAAAGAATCTGATTCAGATTCTAACATATCAAATTCTGTTCTGTTTATTTTCATTCCATTCCCTTCTTTTCATAAATGTTTAGTAAATATTTACTATACAAAGCACTTGCTTGTAAATTATTAACTTTGATATATTTTTCTAAGTATAGAAGTAAAATGTCTTTTGTAATAAGAAAATAAAAATCATACATAATACTACCATTCAAAGATAACCACCATTAACATTTTTTAATATATCCTTCCAGTCTTACTTATATATGTGTAGTTTATAAAAAATGAAGAAAAGTATAAAAATAAAAATTAAAAATAAAAACAAAAATAAAAAGTGAAGATTAGATACTATGATGGTTGCATAGTTCAGCAGATTGAATTCATGAAGAGATTTACAATGTCTGATGTAGTTTCAAAATATAAAGATAGGATTATGCACCTATTTATAGTTTTGTGATCTGGTTCTTTTTCTTAACAATGTATCATAAACATAAGATATTCTTTTATAACATAATTTTTAAAAGTTATAGAGTAATACAAGCTACTAATCTAATAATACATCCTTCAAATATAATATTAAAATATAATATAAATATAATCGCCTTCATATAAAAGTTAATTTTTAGGTAATTTTATGACCTCTGATGTTTTGTGAACAGTTTACAAGCACGAAAGGGCAAAGGGGAAAAGAGTCTTATTCTTTGTAAGGCCCTTCCTTATATAATTCCTTACATAACTAATTCATCTCCCTATTTGTTTTTGTAAAGGATCCATGAGATAAGCTACCAATGTTTTAAAAATTAATTTCCTTATGTAGAAGGATTGTGGATAGTATTATAAAGTTTAGTTCATAGAGTTTACAATACAACCTTATATCTTGCTACCTTTATGGATTTTTATGTATCCTTTGCAAGCTAGTAGTAGTGTATCAAATAGAGAACTTCTGGATAAGAATAAAAATTTCAGATATGTACAAAGAAGAAAGTTTAAAAAAAAATCACCTGAAACCTTACCACTCAGAGTTAACTATCTTTAATATTTTGGTGAGTGTCTTTTCAGATATTTCTTTTTATACTTATGGATACATGCAGAAATACATATATAATTTTACATAAACAGGATCGATCATACCATACCAGTTTTTCTGTTCCAAAAATTTTAATATATCTTAAACACTTTCCAGGTCAATTAACTGTCATTTTTATGTAGATGCACAAATTTAATTTTATGGCTTTAAGGATTTATTATGTTTACTTAGCCAATCCAAAAGATTCAACTTTATGAATCAAAATAACACTTTAATATCCTAATCAATCCTATGATCTTTTTACCGTCTTCCTCAATTCCTTCCCATACTTTTTCTTCATTGTTTTCCCTATCGCTGTCACGCAACAGTTTCTTTTCTGTTTAGAAAATTTAATTTAACTGTTTTGTAACCTGACAACAAATAGAAAGAGCAGCTGCCATATAGAAAATAACTGATAACATTCAGAGGAATATAACACAGTTGAAGGCTCCAATGTCTGGTCTTAGCTAAGGCAAATGAGTGGCCTGGCTCCCTACCAAATACCTCATCTGCTTTGTTTTTCTGGCTCTCTTGTCAAATATGTCAATAAAATGTAACACCTGTCAAATGCAGCATGCTAGGCAAAGGAACAGCAGAAAAATGAAACTGCCTATATGATCTCGTCACTCTACAATCTCCCCCTGCCCCATACATAAAGTGGTAACCCTCTCCAGGATAAAAAGTTTGTTTTTCTAAGTAGAAAGTTGCCTTACCTCAGCTTTCTTGGAAAATGTCTCTTTATGCAAAGCCTGTAGCTTTCTGAAGTATGTGGAGTCTAACTGTCGAGTTTCTTCCACCAGCTCCACCTAAAAAAAATAAATAAAGCTTGTGACATCAAGAGAATGTACAATTTGCTAGTAACAGTGGGCTGAAAAACAAATACAGTTGCCAATAAAGGAAATTATTTTCAAAGCAAAAGCAGGAAGATAACATAGTTTAAAAGATTAGCTACAGCAGGGTCACACTTCAAAAGGATGCAATAAAAAATGCATACATTTCTATGTAATGATATAGTGCCACCAAAGATCATTCCTCCTTTCTGGAGGAATGTAAACTTACAAACAATGCAAATATATTAGTCACATTTCCAGCTTCTATTCAATATAACTTGATAATAGTCATGAAAGCAGATGCCACTAGCTTTAGGAACCAAATAATTCACAGAACAAGAAATGACCAGACTCCATGTTGTTATTAGTATGTGAGCAAAGGCTTTAATGCTGTAGTAAGAGAGGAGACCATCAATCATCAAATAAAACCTCATAGCAGGTCTCTGTCTTCAGAGTTTGTAATGTACTACTTCATATAGTCAGGAGAACAAGACCATTTTCTATTTCTCTATTGCAGGGGAAAATCAGCTTGGCTGAAGAGCTGCCTGAGAACTTTCTTTATTTAATAGCTAGCTTTGATAGTCTGCTGGGTTATTCTTTTTGGGAAAGAGTCTACAGAATACAGTCAGCTGATCTTTTAGATAAGTCCTCATACTTCCAGAAGGAAGTTTCTGGAACTAAGAGAGATTTATTTTTCCTCCTACTAAAAACTGTACAATTTGTTTCATCCATTTTATAAGAATCATGACTAATGCCGAAACTTTTTGGTTTAGGGAAGTTAGTTATAATTCCAAATCTTTTTTTTTTTAAAACCATTGCACCCTCTACGGCATACACTATATTTAAAATAATGACTGGAGAGAATTTTTTAAAACTTCATCTGATATCCAAATTTCCCTACTGTAATAAATGCATTTTTATAATAAAAAGGATACTAGGCTAATTTTTCAGGACAAAGAGAAATCTAATTATTTTGGTCATTGAACTTAGTAAATCATAATAGTTGTTTCAGTCACGATCCAATAAGGTAACTCTATCCAAGGTGTTTTGGTATTAATTTTGTATGACGATCTAAGAAGTTGTTGAGGAGATGTGAACAAAGAATAACAATGCAAAGGCAGCAGAGTTCCGCCTGAAATGACCTCAGGTACACAGTACATGCATTAACTTAATATAAACGTATACATAGATGGTTTTAATTTGTGATTCAAAGTAAATATTTAAATAAATTGCCTCCACCCGTTAATAAAATAGGGAAAATATTCAAGCATTGAGGCTTAAAATGACCTCTTTCAGGATGACAAAAGACATGCTGAAACTTGTATCCAGTCAAGCAGTCTGACCTGATGAACATCTGGGGGTACTTTAAAATAGAAGTACCAAAGTCAGAGGATCTGCTTTCCACAATACATATGAAACGTTTATGTTTTCCATAGGTGTAATATTAACTGAAACTCATCTAGCATAAAATGAAATAGGCTTTTCTGTTAATCAAAATTCAGGCCACTGCTGAAAACTAGCAAGAAGGGCATATTTACTTATTCACAGGAAACCAAAACTCAGATTTCTCTACTCTGACATACTTGTACGGAGAGCAAAAAATGACATAAAGTCTTTCGTTAGACAACAATAAGAAAACCGGCAAAAAAAAAAGAAAAAAAAAATCAAGTGATGCCACTGCACTCCAGCCTGGGTGACAGAGCGAGACTCTGACTCAAAAAAAAAAAAATTCAAGTGGGTAAATACTTTCCCTGCCCAAATTTTGAGGCTACCCAAATCTTAACTCTAAATCTTAGGGCCACGTGAGACCTTTTTCAGTTTTTCTCTTGCAAGTTAACAATGCTGCTTATCATCAGCAGTAAACCTAACAATTTTTTATTTTTATTTTTATTTTATTTTTTATTTTTTAATTTTTTTTTTTTAGACCGAGTTTTGCTCTTGGCATCCAGGCTGGAGTGCAATGGTGCGATCTTGGCTCACTGCAACCTCTACCTCCCAGGTTCAAGCAATTCTCCTGCCTCAGACTCCCAAGTAGCTGGGATTACAGGCGCCCACCACCACGCCTGGCTAATTTTTGTATTTTTAGTACAGATGGGTTTTCACCACGTTAGCTAGGCTGGTCTTGAACTCCTGACCTCAGGTGATCCACCCGCCTCGGCCTCCCAAAGTGCTGGGATAACAGGCGTCAGTATTGTAGTAAACCTGAATGGTTTCACACTCAATTTATCGGTGGCACGGTACCTTTTTATAAGCAATTTGGTCCGATTTTACCATCTTTGTCCATGGCTCAAGAAGGAGGAGAAGGATATATTCCTCTGCTGTGTCAAAAAGGTCTTCAAATGGTGGCTGTATTTTCATATAAATTTCTTTTTTCTTTTCCTGTTGGAGTCCAATGTCAAGAGTGGCAGAAGGAGCAACGTATGTGGCAAAAAGATACTGAAGGAGAAGAGGGAAGAAGGGAGAAGATGTTAAGAGAAGCCACAATGGTTAGCAGACACCTCAACATAGGCATTTTTTAAAAACTAAGAGAAGGCAAATAAGCCCACGTGATATTTTTCTTGAAAATATGGGTAAAACTACTTAACACGAAGCAATGCATCTATTCGAAAGACTTTGTTTTTCCTTTTGTTTTCCAATTTCTTCATCAGTAATTAGTCAATTTTTCTCAGATTACAAAAATCTGAGGAAGCACTAAATATTATTATGGTAAATTTGAGTTTATGTGCCTCTTTTTTTTCCTTTATCTTCACAACATTTCTAAAACACTTGTGTTACTTTCCAAAGTGGCTTGAAATACTTTTTTTTGGAAACAAGTGGCAAGAATACACTAGGACTAAAAAGCTGGCTATTAGTCTTCTGGAGACCCAACAGACTACCAGCCCTACCAAATTGAGCTGCAGAGTTCTTAAGACTGTTGCTAATTACCCCTTTCTGCCATTAAGTCTTTCCATCTGGTATCCAATGCTGTGGAAGACATAAAGAAAAGCATAAGAGCGAATGGAGGCCAGGTGCAGTGGCTCATGCCTGCAATCCCAGCACTTTGGGAGGCCAAGGCGGGTGGATCGCTTGAGGTCAGGAGTTCAAGATGAGCCTGGCCAATATGGTGAACCCCCATCTCTACTAAAAATACAAAAATTAGCCAGGCGTGATGGTGCACACCTGTAATCACAGCTACTTAGGAGGTTGAGGCAGAAGTAATTGCTTGAACCCGGGCGGCAGAGATTGCGGTGGCCCAAGATCAAGATCATGCCACTGCACTCCAGCCTGGGTGACAAAGTGAGACTCCACCTCAAAAAAAAAAAAAAAAAAAAGAGTGAATGGAAAGATATACATAGAACCTCCAGCAAACCTGCCACAAATATCTGTTCCATTCTACTAATTGTCATGTCTCTCAATAATAGTTATGTATATCTGAGAAGCAATTTAATAACATTTTGTTTAAAAAATGTTTGCATACTGGATATGTCATGCCCTGACATTTTAAATCAAGTTTTACTAAAAATCTCTAGTTAACTTATACTTTATTTCAATTTTATTTCATATACTTAGAATTTGAAACTGATAATATCTAGATCAACTCAGAATAGACAGATACAGATATAAATTTGTACCAAACAGCAAGTAATAGTCTTATTTAAAATAATCTTTTAAGACTTAAAGGGTCCATGTTAACAACAGAAGCATTTACTGAGTACTCCATCTACTGCATCTTAGACACCTGGCTAGGTGCTATGTATGTAAAGATTAATGAACAAGAGTCAATGCCTATTCTGAAGAAGCCAATTTGGTGGTGACATGGAGATGAATATCAATGGTTATAATACAGGACGGTAAGTGCTATAAGAGAGGTATGTATTATAAATAAGATCTTTAATGATTCTTTTAAGCTCATCTCCCATTAATCATCTTTCAAATTTTACATTCAAATACAAAGTTTCTATAATTTCCCTAAGTCTTGCTATTTTGCCATTTCATACCATTGCACATATTGTTCCTTCCATCTTGGATGTCTACACTACCCCACATACCTTGTCTGCTTGATAAACTAATTTAGAGTTTAAAACCAACATAAGGCCAGGCACAGTGGCTCACACCTGTAATCCCAGCACTTTGGGAGGCCGAGGCGGGCACATCACGAGGTCAAGAGATCGAGACCATCCTGGCCAACATGGTGAAACCCCATCTCTACCAAAAATACACAAATTAGCTGGGCACGGTGGTGGGCGCCTGTAGTCCCAGCTACTCAGGAGGCTGAGGCATGAAAATCGCTTGAACCCAGGAGGCGGAGGTTGCAGTGAGCCAAGATTGTGCCACTGCACTGCAGCCTGGCAACAGAGTGAGACTCCGTCTAAAAAAATAAAAAACCAACATGGATTTCCCCTCCTCTAGGAAGCTTTCACTCACATTCTCCCCCAACAATCACAATTTCTGCTGCTATGCCTGTCACTCTATAATGCAGTTATGTATTTATGTGTCTTCTCTTCTAGACTGAGATCCTTGAGGGCAAAGACTGTAGCTTATTCACTGGTGTATCTCCAATTCCTAGAACTGTTCTTGGCAGACAGTAGATGCCATAAACATTTATTAAATTTTCCAAATCCCTAGAAAAGACTCATTTATGTATTGGACTAGGGAAGGAAAGAATTCTAGAAACTCTTCAGAGAGAAGATAATTCTTTTTTTTTTTTTTTTAAAGAGATGGGGTCTTGCTATGTTGCTCAGGCTAATCTCGAACTCCTGGGCTCAAGCAATCTGCCCACCTTGACATCCCAAAGAGCTGGAATTAACAGGTGTGAGCCACCATGCCTGGCCTCCAGAAGATAACTGTTAAGCTGAATCTCTAAAGATAAGTTGGAGTCAATAATCGCACAATAGAGGAGGGTTGATGAAAGACGGCCCAAGCAGAAGCAAAACACAGGTCAATGCATGGAGGCCTATGGGAGCTTTAAAACCTATGGAGGGATTTTAGGCTTCAAGTAGGTAACACTGGCTAAAGGAAAGAGGTGAATAAGAGAAGATACTTTAAAGGGAGGCAGAGACCAGAGCATGAATATGATCTTTTATCCTTTGTTAAGGAATTTGAATTTTTACTTAAAGATATAATGGGGAATCTTTGAAGGATTTTAACTGAGGAGTGACGTCATTGGATGTGATAGTTTGAGTAAGATCAATATTTGAGGCAGTTTGGAAGTTATTTCAATAGCTAGACAAGAAATTATATGCCACCTTCACCTCTTGCTTGCTTTTTTGCAGTAGCCTCTTAACTGGTCTTCCCAGACTCCTCTTGGCTTTCTTACAGTCTATTCTTACCACAGCAGACAGAAAAATCCTTTTGTGCAGCAGTCCTCTGCTCAAACTCTCTAGCAGCTTCCCATCTCACACATAATAAAAGTCAAAATCCTTATAATTACCTATAAATGGAGTTTTTGGAAGTCTCGCAATGATGAGGAGACAAGGATTATAGTTCAGGACCTGTCAGTGGGGAAGTCCCTGTAAACATCCTAAGCTCTCAAAACACCCTGAGAGCAGGAATGGACTAGATACTGACTCCAGCCTCGAGTTTTTAATGTGCCAAAAGAAAATAACTGCCAACATATAATTCTATGTCTAGCAAAAACACCCTTCCAAAATAAAAACAAAATAAAGATGTTATAAATCAGCAGACAAAAAAAGAGACTTCATCACCAGCAGACCTGTACTAAATGAAATATTAAATGGAGGCTCTAGACAAAAGCAGGATGGACTCAAAAACAATGGAAAGTACAAATATGTGGGTAAATATCAATAAATACTTATTGCAAAATAAAATGATAATAACGAATAAAGTCAGAAGAAATAGTAAAAGAACCTGAGAAATAGAAGTCAGAGAGATAAGAGGTAAACCAAGTCAGAGTAATGCTACAGAAGCCAAATGAAGAGTTAGCTTAAAGACAGGAGACAGCAATAAATGGTGTTAATAATATATATTATATATATATATGTAAAGACATTAAAGCAACCAAAGAATCAAAGGTGCTGGTTAAAGTGCAATTGAAATGCTCTACTGTGAGGTCCATGACACGCAGGAAAGCAAACGAGGTCAAAATCAGGGTAGTGATACAGTAATTTGCAGGGTAGAGTATCAAAGAACCAGTGATTAAGATAAGGGAGAAGGGCATGTAGAGTAGTTAAAAGGGAATACTAAAGTTCAGAATATAATAGGCATTCAATAGATATTTGCTGAGTATATAAATAAGAGATGAGTGGCTTAAAGAGCAACAGTGATTTGAAAGGGAAATTTCACAGGTCAAGAATTTAAAGCTGGCAGGGTGTGGTAGCTCATTCCTGTAGTTTCAACATTTTGGGAGGCCAAGGTGGGAGAATCACTTGAGGCCAGGAGTTCGAGATTACAGTGAAATATGATGGTGCCACCGTACTCCAGACTGGGTGACAAGAGTGAGGAGAGAGACAAAGAGGGAGAGACAGTGAGAGAGAGAGAAAGAAAAGAAAGAAACAGAGAGAGAGAGAGAGTTTTTGAAAGTAAACTAAAATAATGTCTTAGGTAAATTACGAAACTAAAGATTAAAATTATCAAATTAACAACATTTAAAAATGTAGGATTTGCTCCAATAATTCCAAATTCACTTCAAGGAAAAGAAAATTTAACAGCCTAAATTACTTACATTAAAAATCAGTAGTCAGGCTAAATTAGGGGAGAAATATTTTTTTGAAATATGCTTTTTTCTTTTGCAATTCAAAACTATAGTTTAAAAAGATCTGATGTGCTACATATCAAATTCTCATATGTTGAGCATTCTGGTTAGTAAAAGAAAAGTTCTCATATAGAAATCAGGATAACGCCTTTGATTTTTTTTTTTTTTTTTTTTTTTTTGAGACGGAGTCAGTCTCGCTTTATCACCCAGGCTGGAGTGCAGTGGCGTAATCTCGGCTCACTGCAAGCTCCGCCTCTTGGGTTCATGCCATTCTCCTGCTTCAGCCTCCCGAGTAGCTGGGACTACAGGTGTCCACCACCACGCCCAGCTAATTTTTTGTATTTTTAGTAGAGATGGGGTTTCACCATGTTAGCCAGGATGGTCTCAAAATCCTGACCTCGTGATCCGCCCGCCTCGGCCTCCCAAAGTGCTTGGATTACAGGTGTAAGCCATCGCGCCTGGCCTGATTTCTTTTTTTAAATGAGAACAGAGAAGAGGGTAAAGTAGGAAAGAAGTTGAAATGGTGGCTAGGATAACAATGACAGCTGTTAGGATTGTCAGCCTTTGGTGGATGCCTACATCTATTTCCCTTCTCTTTTACTCTCAGTCTTGCCTTTACTCTTTCTGTTTTAAGATTTAGTGCTACTCTAAGTTCCATGAGATTATCTACGTGTGATTTAGATAGTCTACTACTATATCTATACTATGGTGGACACTTCATGATGCCCTGTTGAAGCTAAGTTTCTGTATATGATTGTATCCAATTGCCTTGGGCTTTTTACCTTCTTAAATTTTGCTTTATGGTTTTCTTCAAAATAAGTTTCTCTTTATTTTACCACTTACCATATTAGTAGAACAACTTCCTCTCTCTGACCATACTTTTCATCTATTTGTATCTCCTCACCAAGCTTTTCTTCACCTTCAGCACAATCTGAAGGTTATTCTCGTCCTCTAAATAAATCATGCACCAGCTGCTTTATCTTACTTTCTTACACAATTGGGACTGAGAACTGTCCATTATTTCAACTATACTCTTACCAACATCCCTAATTCCTCCCCACTGTATCCTCAAGTTCCTACTAAAAACATAATGACTGACTCCATTATAGACTTCAAAAAAAACTTAGCTGCAATCAAAAAGTTTGTTACATTTTTGCTTATTTCTAATCAATGCCATTTCCCATTTTAAAACTGCCATCCTCTTTAATGCTCCCAACTGTATTCTTACACTTCTTCACTTTCAGTAGACTTTATCTTCCACATAACTGGGAAAAACCACTGGTATAAATGCCCTCAACTTTCCTCTCAAGAGCTCTCTTTTAAATCTTTTTGTTTCTCTGATGTCTCAAAGACATCTTTCCAATCCTAAGCCATTCAGGTGTGCTCGACCATGTTCCTCCAGAGCCTGTAACACCAATTATTTTCTTAGTGCCTTGTTTCTTTAATCTACCTCTCCACTGATTCCATTTCCTTCTTTATGCTACAAAGTTGTTGAAATCTAGTGCCTCTCTCATTCTAAAACGTTTTTCCTGACTCTGTTTTGCCACCTACTTCTTACACTACTTCTCTCTTCCCTCTCTCTACAAGTCTCCATAGTCACTCCTCAATCTATGGAAGTCTGGCTTCCATGCCAATGACAATGAACTCAAAGATCACTAAAAACCACATAATCGCCAATTCAATAGCTTCTTTCCTTAATCTTCATTCAACCTGATCCCTTATGCAGCTTTAATACTGCTTATTATCTCCTCTCTCCTTGACTCTCTTTCCTCTGACTTCGCCAACCCTTTCTCTTGATTCTATGCCAATTTCCGCTTCTTCTCAGGCTCTTTGCTGATTCCTTTTCCTCCATTCCTCCCTTAAAAGATGACACTCACTAAAGTTCTATGCTCAACTACACCTTCTCAGTTCATGCCCCTACAGTTTCTCACATGAGCCAAGCACTCCCTCACAGGATTTTTGTACTCTGCACTCTATCCCTTCTATGCTCTCTACCCTCATCTTCTTTTCCCCTTTCACTGAGCTTCTATTCATCCTAAAGACTCAGCTTCCTTGGCTCCTGAAGTCTGGCTTAAGAATCCATCCTGTGTGTTCCCATGGACCCTGTACTTTTATGTTTTTCCCATTGGACCCTACATTCTACAAAGACAGAGACTGGGTCTACTTTGTTTATTACTGTATCCCTAGCATCTGGCATAATGTGAAATTTAGAATGAGTGGATGAATGGAAGACTTCATCTAGCCCCAAAAATTTAACAATCAATGTGGAAGAACTCCATATATTAATACTAATAGTTTTAGACCTGATTTCTTCCCTGAACTCAAAACCTTTGCTTCTAGCAGCCTACTTTGTTATAGCTACATGAATATCTTCCAGACCCTCAATGACTCAATAATATAGCAAATTATCCTTTCCTAACTTCTAAAGCCTCTCCCTTCCTCCTGTGTTTCCAGTTTTCTTTTCTTTTCTTTCTTTCTTTCTTCTTGAGATGGAGTCTTGCTTTGTCACCCAGGCTGGAGTGCAGTGGCATGATCTCAACTCACTGCAACCTCTGCCTGCCAGGTTCAAGCGATTCTTGTGTGTCAGCCTCCTGAGTAGCTGGGACCACAGGCATTCACCACCACGCCAGGCTAATTTTTGTATTTTTCGTAGAGACAGGGTTTCACCATGTCAGCCAGGCTGGTCTTGAGCTCCTGATCTCAAGTAATCTGCCTGCCTTGGCCTCCCAAAGTTCTGGGATTACAAGTGTGAGCCACCATGCCTGGCCTCCAGTTTTCATTAATAATATACCATTCATAGTATAATTTTTGACTCTTCCCTGCACTCCCCTTTTTTATTCTCTAATGCAAATCCTATGAATTTAATCTCTCCAATGAAACAAGGAGAAACTAACAAAAACAAATATCAGGAGGAAATAAGTAGCATAACTTCCATCTCAAGAAACATCATAAAACTCAGTTTTCTGACCAAGCAAGGCCAGACCTTTCCCAGGTTACTGTCTGCTACCTTTCTTCCTGACCTCACACTCATATTTTGCTCTAGCCACGGGGATTCATGCATATTATTTAGCTACAGAGTCTGCAGTCTCTAGGAGCTATATAATTGGGACAGTCATGTGTCCCTACTCTGGTCTAAGCCTACTGTCTTGGCATAATTATTAATAGTTTCATTCTGAAAAGTATCTGGGTTTAGATGATAAATTATATGGTTCCTCTATATTTAATTGTCATCAGTTAGATAAATTCTGAAGTTTCTCTAAAACAAGACTCCTAGAAACACTTGACACATATTTAAAGCTGAAAATAACGCAAAGAAAAGCAGATGTTAGGTGATAAGAAACAGACATTTGTCTAATTCTCAGTCATATTAATTGAATAGCTATACTCGAATGCCAACATCTCAAACCAAGAATATACAATTTAGAACTTGGGTTGACGCTTCATAGACTTCCCTGTTAAAAATAAATAAACTAGAGAGCAGAGGGGAGGAAAAAAGAAATGAACTAAACGATTGCACCTAAATGTAGGTATTAATTTGCCCTTCCACTTTTTTTTCTTTTGCTTCCTCACCACGTTTATTGAATTATTGTCACCCAAACAATTTCTCTTTGTTCAAGAATATCAACCCCCATCTGACAACCAGCATAATCCTTAAGAATAATACACTCTCCTGCTGGGTGTGGTGACTCACACCTGTAACCCCAGCACTTTGGGAGGCTGAGGCAGGCAGATCACGAGGTCAGGAGATCGAGACCATCCTGGCTAACATGGTGAAACCCTGTCTCTACTAAAAATACAAAAAATTAGCCGGGCATGGTGGCAGGCGCCTGTAGTCCCAGCTGCTCAGGAGGCTGAGGTAGGAGAATGGCGTGAACCCGGGAGGCGGAGCTTGCAGTGAGCCAAGATTGGGCCACTGCATTCCAGCCTGGGCGACAGAGCAAGACTCCGTCTCAAAAAAATAAGTAAATTAATAATAATATACCTAATGCTAAATGACAAGTTACTGGGTTCAGCACACCAACATGGCACATGTATACATATGTAACTAACCTGCACGTTGTGCACATGTAACCTAAAACTTAAAGTATAATTTAAATAAATAAATATTAATAATAATAATACACTCTCCCTACATCCCTGATTCCTTACCAGTCTTTTTTTTTTTTTTTTTTTTTTTTTTTTTTTTTTTTTTAAACAGGGGCTTGCTCTGTCACCCACGCTGAAGGACAGTGGTGTGATCTTGGCTCACTGAAACCTCTGCCTCCTGGGCTCAAGCAATCCTCTTGTCAACTTTCATCACCATGCTCCACTAATTTTTAAAAAATATTTTGTAGAGACAAGGTCTCATTATATTGCCCAGGCTGGTCTCAAACTCCTAGGCTCAAGTGATCCTTCCCTCTTGGCTTCTTGGCCTCCCAAAGTACTGGGATTACAAGCATGAGCCACCATGCCCAGTCCTTTATTGAAAAATCACAGAACTGGAAGCATTAAAAAGGGGCTTGTGAGGTCATCCAATCCATGGCATCCCAAGCCTACATTACACACATTTGTTGTCTTTTGTTGAAGTTGTCTCTGCTGTTCCTCACCTCCCCAGGATGGTAGGGACACAGGTGGTTAAGAGAGTAAGGATGAGAAAACTGAATTCAGTTTGTCAATCCTTTATTAGCCCATACAATAAAATTATAGTACATTTAAACTGAATTATGGAACTAAAATCTGAAGATGTCTTTCTAATAATCCAAGGCAATCTGTAAGTGGATAACTAACAACTGAGTATATATATATATAGCAAATACAAGATATTGTAATTGTATATTTAAAACAAAAGTTTAAAAAGCTAAACAACACACTTAAAATCTTTATAAAGATGATAAAATCATTTTAAGTTGATATAAATTGACTTTAAGATGAAACGTAAAGATTATACTATATGATATATAAATAATATAGTCTGATTATGGGTTAGAAACATTGTTTAAATATCCAAATCATTTGCTTTTTTACTGGCCGCCCAGTTCTTCCTTTCTAGCCACAGAGTAAATAACAATGTAGCTCATGTTAGAGAAGAAAATGCTCCCTTCATATTCCAGTCAGCTACTCTGATTCACATTCAAGCAGAGATTCACTCACACACAGCTGTGGCCAACATGAGTCCAATTTAAACATTAACCTATGATGCTTTAACAACCCAGCAGGAAAGTTTTTGAGAAGGGATACAAGCACTGCCTGTCTGTGATCAAACTGCCTGGCACTGCACACAACATGGCTCTAAGCCTCATCTCTCCTGGAGACACTCAAAGGTTATGTAATCAGGAAATGCACAATGTGCTGCTTTCCCCGCACCTCTCTACACCTGTGCCTGTGACTCACTTTCTTGGCATCTGTATCAAAAAAAAAAAAAAAAAGTAATGCCTGCCCCTAAAAAATCTTTTACAGTACTGAAATTCTGGGAGTTAATTTTCTAGCCTAACTGAACTGTCAATATTACTCGAGAGTTAACAAGACTAGCAAGAAAAAAGATGTAGGATGGATACCATGAGACAGAAGGAAGAGCTGAATTGGAGAGCAGAAAAAAGAATGGAGAAAAAAATTAGAATAAATGAAGACACACACACACACACACAAAAGAGGGTAGGGGAAGAAAATCTATATTTTGATTAATGTTTTGCTTTCTAAATAGCGTTAAAATGAAGAACAATGTTTAATTTATTCTTAATACATATTAATTTGCTGACATTGTTGGGGGAAAAAGTGAACAAATATTCCTGTTTGCATCTTCAAGGAAATCTCAGCTGCTTCATTAATTAGAGACAATATCCTCTATATAATACCTGCATTGTACTATTAATACACATGAGATAGCTCAAACGATTTAAAATACGACATTTCCCATTGCAATTTATATTTTTCCAACATTATGATATTTTTCATGCAAGATTTCCGCACCACTTAATAGTTTCCAAAATCATTTTGAAATTGTGTGTTTATAAGCATATTCTTGGATAGAAGTGAATCCCCATCTCCTTTCAAATGTATCATAATGCATGCCAGACTTACTTTTCCCACATTAATGTTTTCTTATTGAAGATAAGGTCTAGATAAACATACCTGAGAAATGAAAATTGTGTGTTTATTGAATTTATTGTTTTTAACAATGTCAAAAGCAAAAAAAAAAAAATGGAAATGTTTTCCACAACTGTCTGTACTATTTGGATTTCTCTTTGTATCAAAGGCTAAATGATGACAGCTATGGGATTAGATTCCAATTAGCATACTGTAGAAGCACCCAGCAAAGTATTCTCACTGTGCCAAAGGTGAGCACAGGCTTTGGGAAGGCATCTTTTCCATAAGTAGGGGCCATTTGATGAGCTACAGCTTGACACTTATCTGCGTTCCAATGAAAACAAGAACAATTTCTCTGCAGCCTTAAAAGGCAAAGTCAGAAATAATACCAAATGTTGTAACACATGTGTTGATTTGTTATGTTACATTTCAGCTGTTAGTTATGTTAATGGAACAGTTTCACATACTTCGTTTTGATGTATTTATTTTAATGATCATGTGTATGTATCTTGCTATGATTGCCTGGTAACACTGATTACCTGATGTTCTGCTGTCACCACCAGGCCAGGACTGGAAGTAAGAAAGTGAAATGTAAAACTTTGGAACTGTATGACTTAAAATGAGTCCCTCAGTACATAAAGAATAAAATGTATTCAAAACCTATGTACTGTGAGATCTTAATACTAGTTGACAGCACATCTCGTAGAGCGTATCACCAGATTAACTAAAATTGATGACATTTTAAAAGTAGACTTCCAATATCGTATTCCAGAGATTAGGAGAAAACATTCATGCTTCAGCATTTTGTATCACTAATAAGTCCCTTTTTTTTAGACCCATTACTCGACTAAAAAGTAAAAGAGGGAATTCTAATCATGTAATTAGTAAGGCAGCAGAAGGCATTTTAATATGTATCTTTCACATTCTTCTCACAATTTTCCAAGATGCTCACCAAGACAGTATAAGAACTATAAAACCATCTGCTGTTGCAAAAAAAGTACTTTTTTTTTTTTTTAGATGGAGTTTCACTCTTGTTGCCCAGGCTGGAGTGCAATGGTGCAATCTCGGCTCACCGCAACCTCCGTCTCCCAGGTTCAAGCAATTCTCCTGCCTCAGCCTCCTGAGTAGCTGGAATTACAGGCACCTGCCACCACGCCCAGCTAATTTTGTATTTTTAGTAGCAATGAAGTTTCTCCATGTTGGTCAGGCTGGTCTCTAACTCCCGAACTCAGGTGATCCACCCGCCTCGGCCTCCCAAAGTGCTGGGATTACAGGTGTGAGCCACCACGCCCGGCCGCAATTTTCTTCTCCTTACCATCAGGTAGCACTAAGGTTCTGCCTGATGGACTGACAGGGTGGTATTAGCAAAGACCTAGCCAGCCGCTAGGAAAAAGAGATATTCCACAAAAGCCATGGCACTATTTCATACACTCTAAAGACAAAAGAAGAAAAAGCCTTTGGCTACTGAAATATACAAAGCTTTTTCATAAGCTCCTTCATGAAGTTCACAGTAAACTGTGCAGGACCTGGTGATTCTGGAGGAGAGATTATGTGCCTTCTTTGGTAAGCATAAGTGAGTGGTTCATAAGCACTCTCCAAAAGGTGGAAGAAATTTTTTAAAGGTGAAGAGTCAGGATCTCCAGCTGTAACATTAGAGAAAAAATGGAGAGGATTCACAGTGATGCTTTTCTTGTTATTACTTCTCTTCCTCCCTTATAAGCAATGGTTTACTGGAGCCAGCTTGTACCAGCTCACAAGAGCCGATTCATAAACATTCAGGAATTTTGTGAGTCAGTTGTTAAACTCTGTCATTACCAAAAATTAAATCACATAAACTTACAATTAAAGAAATTATGATTCAAGTCCAAAGGCCTCAGGAAAAAAAGAAGTTATATTAAAAACAAAAATAATGACTACTCAAAACTCATTACTTCTTGTTGATTTTACTGTTTTGCGATTAATATTACCCATGGTCTTGAGGTGTATCTGTATGGGGGAAATATTATATGATGGGGTGCTACTGCACATCTCTTCCCAACTCTGCATTCAGTGACGTCACTTTGGCAGCTTGAAATCATCCATGGTGAGAGTATACCCAGAGATCAGCAAATGCTACAAATCAGGGCTGCTTTTTCCCCTAGAGATCTGGTTGTTAAACATTTCTCATCATAGCACTGATTATAAGGCAAATATACTTCTCTTCCTATCATGATCACTAAAGAAAGAGAAATAAAGTAGGAAAAAACAAATGACACCAGCTACTTCAAATATTTACTGGCAGCAAAGCTACATACCAGTATATACCAAGTCACACCAGAATATGCCAATTTATAACAGTTTACTTACATACTCTGTTTAACAGACATCCATTTAAAAAAATATACAGTAAAGGCCCTGTTAATAGTTAGAGTAAAGCTGAACCAGAAGAGGAGGGTCAACAGCTTTTCTTTAAAATTGTTTGTTTACATTCTGAATAGTCCTTATTTAGAAAAGGTCAAAACTAAGCTTCAAATATTACATTTATCCTCAGTCTGATAAATTAATCAGAAGAGGTAAGAGTTTAGTGGGGAAAATCTTATTAGCTTGGCCTGATGAGAAAGTACAAGGAACATATTTGAAGAGGAAACATTAAAGCATTATGAGAAATAGAAATGGTACTAATGGATCTTGATTCAGTGTCTGGACCCCAAAGAGACCAAAATCACTTCACAGATCATCTTAAACACAACAGAACAGATGTCCACTAAACTGTAACAACAACAAAGAAACCATATTGCTGTATGTGATGGCAAATAGCAAAGTAACATGGGATCTGCTCAACTGGGCTCAATAACTCTATGCTTGGACTTTATATAAAACAATGAGATGAACTGTGCTCCAAGAAGCTAAGGGTGAAAAAAAAAAAAAGAGTCCCCAGAGGTGTTTATAAAAGAAATATAAATGCTGTGATACAGGATACTTTCAGAAATCACAAAATATTTACTTCAGCAAAAAGAGAAGTCTGTTTTCATAACCATTCACAGCTCTAGCAGGCATAGAACATTATTATCTGAGTTCATATGCGGCAGAAAAAGAAAATAACAAGCAAGTTCAAGCAATCCAATCTTTTTTTCTGCAAAAGGAGGAAAAAATGATGATTTTTAATGACCTCTCATATCCCACTAGGAGCTCAAAAACATTACTGAGGAGCTATGCCGAGAGCGACTAAATTACAGATGGAGCTTTTCACAGATGGATTTTCATGTGAAGGACCTTGGGTTTTTCAAACAGGAATCTTAAAGATGGGATCTAGGGATTGCAACGTCTTGATACCAAGAGGCAAACTACTGCAGAGATCAACACAAGATGGACTTGTACGAAAAAAGATAATGATGACAAACTAGAATTTTTGCCAATTGCTCAGACCCTACTAAAGAGAATTCAAAGCAAATGAGAGCCTAAGAAAATGCCAATAGGATAAAACAGTAAAACAATTTGAATCATTTGGGACAGAGTAAAAAATCAGAAGGGGAAAATAGAACGTGTTAAGAAAAGACGAGAACAAACCAGGGACAAAAAAGGCTAGGTTTTTAAGATAGATTTGGGTCATTGCTTAAGACATTTTAAGTAAAATCAGTTGAGTGCATGATGAAATAAAATAAACAAGCACACAGAAAAAAAAGTTATTACTATGCAGTTTAAGGCAATCTAAGGAACAAATAAAGGTTTTATTTTATAAATTTTTGGATTTGTTTTTTAAAAAACCTTTAACTGACAAAAGCAAGATATACATTTAAACTAATGGAATTATTTAACTTCTATTAATAAATAATTTCTTGGAAATCAGTGAACAAAAAAATTCAATTAAATTAATTAATTAATTTATTTATTTATTTTTAAATAGGGTCTCACTATGTTACCCAGGTTGGAGTGCAGTGGCGCAGTCTCAGCTGACTGCAACCTCCTAGGCTCAAGCCTAGCCTCCCGAGTAGCTGGGACTACAGGTGCACACCACCAAACCAGGCTAATTTTTGTATTTTTTTTGTAGAGATAGGGTTTTGTTATGCTGCCCAGGCTGGTCTCGAACTCCTAGGCTCAAGTGATCTACGTGCCTTGGCCTCCCAAAATGCTGAGATAAATAATTCAATTTTAAAAACATGATTATATTAAAATTTCTGGCTTGGGAAAAAAAACAAACCTGTTTCACCAGTATGATAATCTATGCTAACAAAGCACACAGGACTGATACATGAAACCAGAGTATCAAGTGATTGCTGTACAATGAAAAATGAGAAAATCAACCATCATTAAGGTTGTAGGTCTATGTTTACCAGCACACCATCTTGGAAAACAAGTTTACATAGTCAGAATAAGTGAAGGTAACTGTATGAACCCTATGAATATTCTCTCCATCAAAATCTTTCAGGCTGACTAGATACAAGGAGCAGACAGCTTAGGACAGTACTTCAAGGGCATGTCAAGGTCTGCCTCTGAGACACTACACCTTCTGGGATGCCACTGCCAAACAATGTCTCTTCATGAGTGAAACATTCTTTCTTTTTCTGTTTTTCTAAGAGCTAGGGTCTCACTCTGTTGCCAATGCCAGACTGCAGCTGGAATACACTGGTGCACTCATAGCTCACTGCAGCCTCCAATTCCTGGGCTCAAGTGATCTTCCTGTTTCAGCCTCCCAAGTAGCTGGGACTACAAGCACGGGCCACCACACCTGGCTAATTTTTTTAATTTTTTGTAGAAATAGGGCCTCACCACGTTGTTCATGCTGATCTTGAACTCCTGGGGTCAAGTGATCTTCCCAGCTCAGCCTCCCAAATGCTGGGATTATAGGTGCGAGCCACTGTGCCTGGCCTGGAAAATTCTTTCTTTACATGTGCTGGCATCTTCATTACAAATCTTGCAGGCCTGTGAAGCCTTTTTGTCTCTAGTCAGCTGCTCATATCTGTTCTGATTTATTACACATTCATTTCCTAGTTCAAATTTCAAAAAGCAACCATATTTTTAGGTTCCTTGGGTGAAGTGGGAGGGGACAGGGAGATTTCATTGCTGCTCCAATACAATTTATTAAGAGCTCCCTTTTTTTGTTGTTTTTTGTTTTTTTCCAAGAAAGAGTCTTGCTTTGTCGCCCAGGCTGGAGTGCAGTGGCGCAATCTTGGCTCACTGCAACCTCCACCACCCGGGTTCAAGCAATTCTCCTGCCTCAGCCCGCTGAGTAGCTGGGATTATAGGCGAGCGCCACCACGCCCGGCTAATTTTTGTATTTTTAGTAGAGATGGGTTTCACTATGTTGGCCAGGCTGGTCTCGAACTCCTGACCTCGTGATCCACCCACCTTGGCCTTCCAAAGTGCTGGGATTACAGGTGTGAGCCACCAAGCCCAGCCAAGAGCAAACTGGAAAGACAGAATGTTGATCATTGCTGAAGCTTAGTGAAGGTATATGGGGGCTCATTAAACTGTTTTCACATAAAATTTTTCTTAAAAAAATAAAAACACTCAGCTGGCTGTCATTTCCAAATAATGACTATCTTTCATTAGGTTTATAATACGTTGCTACAAATATAAACATGCCAATGAGTTCATGAATTTTTTCAATACCTATCACAGCACCTTTTATATGGCACCTTCAGTCCTGAGCATACAAGGTAAACAGAGCAGACTGTCTTCATGGACCTACAGTCTCACGGAGAAAAAAAATATTAAAGGTGATGTTTGACATTTAATGTTCATAAAGATAGTTTAAGATATTAAAGTGAAAGATTAAACAAGGTGATAAACAGATACTCTTTTTTCTAGAGATAATAATAAGAAAGCAATGGCTTAGAAGTTAAGAGTATAGGGTCTGGAGTCAGAATACTTGGTACTAATTCCAAGTTCACCAATTGCTAAATGGATGGCGTTAGGAAAGCATTCAACTTCCCTAAGTCTCAGTTTCCAAATCTGTAAAATAAGGATACCAATCTACCTCTTAGGATTGTCTAGAATTAAATAAAATTATCCATATAAAGTTATTACCACAGAACCTAACAGAAACATTAACGAAACGTCAGGTATAATAGATAATGGTGTTTCAGAGAAGTTCAGGTGTTGGCCTTTCTGGAAACAAGAGGATTAAAAGAGGATCTATAAATAAATAAATAAATAAATAAATAAATAAATGAGGATCTTTGGAGATCCTTTTTTGGTCTATAATCCTACAGTATTCAAAAATCTTAAGACTCTATGCATAACTGGGGTAAACATCAGGAAGTGGGGAAATGAGTGGGTAGCTACAAGCCAGAAAGCTGGCTGCTGTGCTTGTTCTTCCTGAACCCACTTTACTAGCAAACATGACAAAATGCGATGCAACACGAGAACCCTGCTGATTCTGTGCTCAGTGATTCACAGTGTTCAGGAATCCAAGCCTGGCCGCTAATTGGGACACCATCTCTCTGGTAACAAAAACAAATAATGTAACAAAGCCTGAATAGTAATTGCCCAGCACTCCAGAAACAACCTAATTGTGAAGACACCAAAATTTACCATAAAGCTATAAAGAGGTACCTGATTTTCCACATTCAATCACCAGCCAACCTCACCCCTCACCCATGTCCATTCATCTTTTAGAAAACAGAGCTTGATTCTTAATGCTGCTGCTGAATAGAGAAATAATGAGCTCTGTTAGTGCACCTGAAAATACACCATCAGCCTAGAGAAGGAGAACTTAGCTCGTGACACTTTAATGAAAATGTCAGGACCACCCTGAAGTATTTAGGTCCTGTAAATGCCAAGTAAAGAGAGGAGCTAAACAATTAAGGTAATGGATGACAGTGAGCAAAGGAAAAATAAAGCTGATTATCAGAGAAAAATCTTCAACACTGCCCCACTTATGCCATAAAGTTTTTTCAATGGAATTTGTGATTACACCCAAGGTCCTGGGTGTTACCTCAGACTTCATTGGAAAACACTGTAAGAACAATCCAAATTTTACGGGGGAGGAGCTACATAGTCTTAACTGGTTTTTTCTCTCTCAATCTTTCTAGGGTTCTCTGGAAAAGTAGGCAAAAGAAAGCACATTCTTGACCCTTGATAGAAAGAATGCTTGGGGAGCTGCACCTGTGCTTTGTTCACCAAGGTGTTCCCAGCACCAATCACAGCCTAAGGTATAGTAGGTGTTTGGTAAATGTTTGTGGAAATAGCAATAACATGTTTAGGCTAGGAAAAATGTGTGCTCCTAATTGCTAGTCTAACTGCTATTCAGTTTATATTGATTTACTGGTTTGTACACTATAAAAGCAGGAGCAAAGGGGACAAATACATAGACATACTCAGAGAACCTTAAGGCAGGGCTACAATGCACAACCCAGTATGAACATCATTTGGATCTACACTGTGTCTCAGATCACCTAATAGGAGACTGAAATGACCTAGGGCCAGAGAGGATAACGATAGCAATAAATAATTACTGAATAATTTAATGAATTCTGCATTACAATTACATCACAACTTATGGGCTTCCTAAAAACACCAGTGCACAACATGGATCTGGTGACATTTACTGACTCAGCTTTTGCGTTTTCTTTTTCTCTTGTGAAATTTTGCAAATACAAGAGTAAACAGGCAACAGTACTATAAACCCTGGGTAAATAGTAGAAGTCACCAGGACTGACTTATTTGTCATGGGACCCATGAAGTGACTTCTTCATAGAAATAGAAGGAGAAACAACAGGAGTCTCTCACTGGAGCATTACAGCAGAGTATTTTCAAGCTGTCATATCATTGGGTGGAGATGTCAGGAACAGGACTTGCAAATGTTAAAATTTCATTTGGCTATAGCTGAAGATACTAGAAAGATGTAAAATTGATTCTGAAGTTGTTAATCTGAATAAAACAGGACAGTGTCCTAAGAAGCATAAGACTAAAGGACAGCAGCTTTTGGCTCAAAAATGAGAAAAAAGGAAACAGTTCCCTCATTCCTACAGGTATTTGAAAAGAAGCCGATGACTTAAAAGTAAAACAAAACAATAACCAACTGTTTTCTGCCAGTAAAGCGAGAAATTATTTCATTATCAGTTAAGACACTATTACCTGGTCGGGCATGGTGGCTCATGCCTGTAATCCCAACACTTTGGGAGGCTGAGGTGGGAGGATTGCTTGAGTACAAGAGTTCAAGACAAGCCTGGGCAACATGTGAGACCCTGTCTCTACAAAACATTAGCTGGGGCTGGTGGTGTGTCTGTAGTTTCAGCTACTAGGGGAATCATAGGGGGCACCGAGGTGGTAGGATCACTTTGAGCCCAGGAGGTTGAGGATGCAGTGAGCCGTGATCGTGAGCCACTGCTCTCCAGCTTGGGTGACAGAGCAAGATGACCTTGTCTCAAAAAAAAAAGAGAGAGACATTATTATCTGTTTTAAATACGACTGAAGTGCTTTGTAATTATCTCCTTCCCCCACTAGAGAGTGAGACTTCTAAGTCAAGAACTTTGTCCTAATCATCTTTCTATCCACAGAACATTACTTGGCACATAGCAGGCTTCTCAGTGAATGTTCATTAATAAGTAACTGAATATTATAAAGGAGATTCTTAAAAGGTTGTGATTCAATGTAGTATATTTTATTTCATTTTATTTATTTATTTATTTTGAGATGGAGTCTCACTCTGTTGCCCAGGCTGGAGTGCATTGGCATGATCTCAGCTCACTGCAACCTCCATCTCCTGGGTTCAAGTGATTCTCCTGTCTCAGCCTTCTGAGTAACTGGGAATACAGGCATGTACCACCACATCCGGCTAATTTTTGTATTTTTAGTAGAGATGGGGTTTCGCCATGTTAGCCAGGCTGGTCTCGAACTCCTGAGCTCAGTTGATCCACCTACCTCAGCCTCCCAAAGTGCTGGGATTATAGGCATGAGCCATCACGCCTGGCCTAATGTAGTATATTTTAATTTAAGTTATATTGTAGAACTGTTCCTCCACCCTAGTTTCTTCAAATTCCCATTTTCCTTCCTCATTATCCAGGTAATTGATAGAACCTTAAATATTGACCCTAATAATACTGTTTATTCCATTGAGTGCTCTGTACTATATGACAAAATGCTTCCACCTGTATATGATCTTGTAAAATACATATTAAAAATAAATTTTTATAAACATATATATAGTCTTTTTTCACTCTGCATTTCACCTTGTGTATAACCCTTCATAGACCTTGGTAGATGTGGGGGGTCTTAGTGTCACTTTTCGCCTCTAAGAGCCCAGGGCCTTGTCTGTGCCTTGTGGGTCTTATAACCCACACTTCTTGGTTTATCCATGACAGTCCCATTGTCAGCTCATGCTTATCACTCTGGTTCTCAGTACATTTCTTAACCATGGTCCCTGGTGATGTCCCTTACCATCTCGGCCATGCACTTAAAAGTACATTTGTTATATTTTATCCAGCATTTCTAGGTATTTTTTAGATGAAGAGTTTTCAGGTAATCTAGGCTGCCAAGATACCAGAAAAGGAAATCTCTGCAAGAAGCAGTCACATGTTCCCTTATTTAATACCCATAGTAAGCACCAGAAAAGCAAGCTTCTTTATACCTACCAAACCTAGGAGACAAAAAAAAAAAAAAAAGGAAAAAAAAAGCCTTGCTTCTATTGGCCTAGCCTCTTTGTAAAAGAAAGAAAACAACATATCTCCTGAGAATTTGGTATCGTGAGTTTACCATTATGTGGGCTTCATGTTCAAGTTTATACTTGTCTAATTTCTCATCTTGGAAATGATTACAAAATGTGCCTACCAGAAACAGCATAGATAAAAAACCCCACTAAAAAGCTCATAATTCAAAATTACAAAACATGCCAGAAAAGAATCCACCATGTCAGCAGAACTAATACATAGCAGAATTAGTTCTTCCAAGAACTACAAATTACAGAATTATTGAATACTATAGCAGCCAGGCCCCCACGAAAACAGTATCTCCTAGTATTCATACCCTTTCATAATCCTCTCCCACCAAGTATGGGCATAACATGTGGCTGCTTCTAATCAAGAGAATATAGCAACGGTGATGATTTGTACGTGATTACATGTATGTGGTTACATTACATAAGATAGCAATGCCTGTCTTGCTAAGAAATTCTCCCCTTTTCTGGCTTAGAGAAGCAAACTGCCACACTGTGGGCTGCCATATGGAGACAGCCATATGACACAGAACTGAGGGTGGCCTTTAGCTGACTGCCAACAAAAATCTGAGGCCATCAGTCTAACAATGTGTTACCCTGATGTCCAATCCAATTCTGATGCTAGAAAATGAATATTGCTAACAACCATGTGAACACTGAAGCTGATCCTTCCCCAGTCGAGCCCCAGATGAGACACTAGCCCTGGCTGAGACCTTACAGAGAACCCAATAAAGCTGTGCCCAGAATCCTGACCTACATAAACTATGAGATAATGATGTGTGTTGCTTTAAGTCACAAATTTTGTGATAATACTGTTATGACAGAAGAGATAACTAATGCAGCTACAAACTATAACACGTTTAAAATGATTAGAGACATCAAAAAAGAAACTGTAGCAGGCCAAGCATGGTGGCTCATGCCTGTAATCCCAGCACTTTGGGAGGCTGAGGCACACAGATCATCTGAGGTCAGGAGTTCAAGACCAGCCTGACCAGCATGGTGAAACCCCGTCTCTACTAAAAATACAAAACATTAGCCAGGCGTGGTGGTGCACACCTGTAATCCCAGCTACTTGGGAGGCTGAAGCAGGAGAATCATTTGAACTGGGGAGGCAGAGATTGCAGTGAGCCAAGATCATGCCATTGGACTCCAGCCTGGGCAACAAGGCGAAACTCCGTCTCAAAAAAAAAAAAAAAAAAAAAGAAAAAAAGAAACCATGGCATGTGTATACCTATGTAAAAAACCTGCATGCTCTGCACATGTATCCCAGGACTTAAAGTAAAATAAAAATGTTTTTAAAAGAAATTTTAAAATGAGGAAAAAGACCAAAAATCCCCAGGAAATTTTGTAAAACACAAATATAATGTTTAATAATACAAAAACATAATCTTAAAATGATTTAACTCAATGGGTAAGTTAAATAGCAGAATGAAATCTGAAGAATATATGAACTGAAAAACAGTACAAAGAAAATTGATCTATTTCAATCTAAAACATACAACACAGATATTCAAAGGTGGAAAAACCTGAAAGAGGGGTTAAGAGTGACATGAAATATACAGTCATGTGCTGCATAAAATTGTTTCAATCAATGGTGGACCACATATACAATGGTGGTCTCATAATATAATGGAGCTGGAAAATTCCTATTGCCTAGTAACACTGTAGCACATGTATTACTCACATGTCTGTGGTGATGCTGGTGTAAACAAACCTATTGCACTGCCAGTTGTATAAAGGTATAGCACACACAATTATGTATAGTACAAAATACTTGATAGTGATAATAAATGATCATATTACTGGTTTATGTATTTGCTACACTATATTTTTTATCATTTTTTTAGAATGTACTCCTTCTACTTATTAAAAAAGTTAACTGTAAAACAGGCTCAGGCAGGTGCTTCAGGAGGAATCCCAGAAGAAGGCATTGTTATCACAGGAGATGACAGCTCCATGCATGTTACTGCCCCTGAAAACCTTCCAGTGGTAAACACACTGAGGTGAAATACAGAATGCCAAAGTCAAAGAAAAGACTGCAAAAGTAAACATGAGAAAAAACATCCTCCTACAAAGGAGCAATGGCATACTCCTCAATAATAGCAATGGAAGGCAGAAAACAATAAAACAGTATTTTCAAAGTAGTGAGAAGAAACTGTCAACCTAGAATTCTATATTCAGCTAAATCAACAATAAGAGAATAAAATAGACATTTTCAAACAAATAGGGTCTACTACCACTAGCAGGCTCTAATGGAAAAACTACTAAAGGATAGTCTTCAGGAATTAAACTGAAAGTAAGGAATATGACACAAAAAGCAATAGCAAGCAAGAAATTTGTGAATAAACTGACATAAACATTGACAGTATTAAAAAAGTAATGATGACTACTAGGAGGGTAAAAGCCGAAATTAACAAAAATAGTGTACAAAAATTATATGTAAAATGGGCAAGGTATGGTAGAATTAAAGTGTTCTAAGATCCTTGATTTATTTGAGAGAAGGATGAAGATAATGATTAATTTTAGACTTCACAGATTTCCGTATACATGTCAAAACTGTAAGGGTAAAAAGAGAAATATAATATGTAACTTCCAAACCAGTAGAGGAAAACAAAATGTAAAACATTATCACTATCCATATTTTACAGAACATGAAACCAAGACCTATTAAAACTAACTGACTTAACAAAGTTTACCCAGCTAGTAACTAGGAGAATGTAAATAATTCATGTCTTCAATGCCACATTCTGTGATTTTTTTTTGCCTTCTACGTCATATAGCCTCTGATCTAGGTGATATATTAAAATAACAGTGTGTTACCCTGACGTCCAATCCAATAAGACAAAAATCTCACACTGCTGCAAGAATTTCTTTATATTAAATAGCACTTTGTGGTAAAAGTGCTGTGGATTTACCTAGGAATTCTCTTATTTCTCATTTCCATTTCATTCTTACCTACCCTCTTCATTCATTAATTACTACATTTTCCATATAATTCTCCTAGACTCTAAGTTTTTTCCTCCTTCCCATTTCTTACTTTTAAAATTTGGTGCGTGTGTGTGTGTGTACTTAAACATGTTTAATATTTTTGTTTCATACGTTTACTTATTTTTATTTAAATATCATTATGTATGCTATGGAGAGTGATAGATTCTAAATGCACAATTTTTGTTAGGATATAACTTATCTGAAAGATTTCACAAGTTACAAAAGACAGTAGTCCTCAGGTCTGTTTCATTCTCTAGTAGTGCTCTCTCACTGAAGCAAGTATGTAATGTCAAAAAAACTGTAGAACTCTCGGCAGAAACGCTATAAGCCAGAAGACAGTGGGGGCCAATATTCAACGTTCTTAAGGAAAAGAATTTTCAACCCAGAATTTCATATCCAGCCAAACTAAGCTTCATAAGTGAAGGAGAAATAAAATCCTTTACAGACAAGCAAATGCTGAGAGATTTTGTCACCACCAGGCCTGCCTTACAAGAACTCCTGAAGGAAGCACTAAACATGGAAAGGAACAACCAGTACCAGCCACTGCAAAAACATACCAAATTGCAAAGACCATCGATGCTAGGAAGAAACTGTATCAATTAATGGGCAAAATAACCAGCAAACATCATAATCACAGGATCAAATTCACATATAACAATATTAACCTTAAATGTAAATGGGCTAAATGCCCCAATTAAAAGACACAGACTGGCAAATTGGATAGAGTCAAGACCCATCAGTGTGCTGTATTCAGGAGACCCATCTCACGTGCAGAGACACATATCAGGCTCAAAATAAAGGGATGGAGGAAGATCTACCAAGCAAATGGAAAACAAAAAAAAGGAGGGGTTGCAATCCTAGTCTCTGATAAAACAGACTTTAAACCAACAAAGATCAAAAGAGACAAAGAAGGCCATTACATAATGGTAAAGGGATCAATTCAACAAGAAGAGCTAACTATCCTAAATATATATGCACCCAATACAGGAGCACCCAGATTCATAAAGCAAGTCCTTAGAGACCTACAAAGAGACTTAGACTCCCACACAATAATAATGGGAGACTTTAACACCCCACTGTCAATATTAGACAGATCAATGAGACAGAAGGTTAACAAAGATATTCAGGGCTTGAACTCAGCTCTGCACTAAGTGGACCTAATAGACATCTACAGAACTCTCCACCCCAAATCAACAGAATATACATTCTTCTCAGCACCACATAGCACTTATTCTAAAATTGACCACATAATTGGAAGTAAAACACTCCTCAGCAAATGTAAAAGACCAGAAATCACAACAAACTATCTCTCAGACCACAGTGCAATCAAATTAGAACTCAGGATTAAGAAACTCACTCAAAACCACACAACTACATGGAAACGGAACAACCTGCTCCTGAATGACTACTGAGTAAATAACGAAATGAAGGCAGAAATAAAGATGTTCTTTGAAACCAATGAGAACAGAGACACAATGTACCAGAATCTCTGGGACACATTTAAAGCAGTGTATAGAGGGAAATTTATAGCACTAAATGCCCACAAGAGAAAGCAGGAAAGACCTAAAATTGACACCCTAACATCACAATTAAAAGAACTAGAGAAGCAAGAGCAAACAAATCCAAAAGCTAGCAGAAGACAAGAAATACTTAAGATCAGAGCAGAACTGAAGGAGACAGAGACACAAAAAACCCTTCAAAAAAATCAATGAATCCAGGAGCTGGTTTTTTGAAAAGATCAACAAAATTGATAGACCAAAGCAAGACTAATAAAGAAGAAAAGAGAGAAGAATCAAACAGATGCAATTAAAAATGATAAAGGAGATATCACCACTGATCCCACAGAAATACAAACTACCATCAGAGAATACTATAAACGCCTCTATGCAAATAAACTAGAAAATCTAGAAGAAATGGATAAATTCCTTGACACATACACCCTCCCAAGACTAAACCAGGAAGAAGTTGAGTCTCTGAATAGACCAATAACAGGCTCTGAAATTGAGGCAGTAATTAATAGCCTACCAACCAAAAAAAAAAAAAAGTCCAGGACCAGATGGATTCACAGCTGAATTCTACCAGAGGTACAAAGAGGACCTGGTACCATTTCTTTTGAAACTGTTCCAAACAATAGAAACAGAGGGAATCCTCCCAAAAAAAGAATTTTAGACCAACATCTCTGACATCAATGCGAAAATCCTCAATAAAATAATGGCAAACCAAATCCAGCAGCACATCAAAAAGCTTATCCACCATGATCAAGTTGGCTTTTCATCCATGGCATGCAAGACTGGTTCAACACACACAAATCAATAAATGTAATCCATCACATAAACAGAAACAATCACAAAAACCAGATGATTATCTCAATAGATGCAGGAAAGGTCTTGGACAAAATTCAACAGCCATTCATGCTAAAAACTCTCAATAAACTAGGTATTGATGGAATGTATCTCAAAACAATAAGAGCTATTTATGACAAACCCACAGCCAATATTATACTGTATGGGCAAAAACTGGAAGCATTCCCTTTGAAAACCAGCACAAGACAAGGATGCCCTCTCTCACCACTCCTATTCAACATAGTGTTGGAAGTTCTGGCCAGGGCAATCGGGCAAGAGAAAGAAATAAAGGGTATTCAAGTAGGAAAAGAGGAAGTGAAATTGTCCCTGTTCGCAGATGACATGATTGTATATTTAGAAAACCCCATCATCTCAGCCCAAAATCTCCTTAAGCTGATAAGCAACTTCAGCAAAGTCTCAGGATACAAAATCAATGTGCAAAAATCACAAGCATTCCTATACACCAACAACAGACAAACAGAGAGCCAAATCATGAGTGAATTCCCATTCACAATTGCTACACAGAGAATAAAATGCCTAGGAATCCAACTTACAAGGGATGTGAAGGACCTCTTCAAGGAGAACTATAAATCACTGCTCAACGAAATAAAAGAGGACACAAACAAATGGAAAAACATTCCATGCTCATGGATAGGAAGAATCAATATTGTGAAAATGGCCATACTGTCCAAGGTAATTTATAGATTCAATGCCATCCCCATCAAGCTACCAATGACTTTCTTCACAGAATTGGAAAAAATTACTTTAAAGTGCATATGGAACCAAAAAAGAGCCTGCATTTCCAAGACAATCCTAAGCAAAAAGAACAAAGCTGGAGGCATCACGCTATCCGACTTCAAACTATACTCCAAGTCTACAGTAGTATGGTACTGGTACCAAAACAGATATATAGACCAATGGAACAGAACAGAGGCCTCAGAAATAACACCACATATCTAGAACCATCTGATCTTTGACAAACCTGACAAAAACAAGAAATGGGGAAAGGATTCCCTATTTAATAAATGGTGCTGGGAAAACTGGCTAGCCATATGTAAAAAGCTGAAACTGGATCCCCTCCTTATACCTTACACAAAAATTAATTCAAGATGGATTAAAGACTTAAATGTTAGACCTAAAACCAGAAAAACCCTAGAAGAAAACATACGCAATACCATTCAGGACATAGGCATGGGCAAGGACTTCATGTCTAAAACACCAAAAGCAATGGCAACAAAAGCCAAAATTGACAAATGGGATCTAATTAAACTGAAGAGTTTCTGCATGGCAAAAGAAACTACCATCAGAGTGAACAGGCAACCTACAAAATGGGAGAAAAATTTTGCAATCTACCCATCTGACAAAGGGCTAATATCCAGAATCTACGAAGAGCTCAAACAAATTTACAAGAAAAAAACAAACAACCCCATCAAAAAGTGGGTAAAGAATATGAACAGACACTTCTCAAAAGAAGACATCTATGCAGCCAAAAGACACATGAAAACATGCTCATCATCACTGACCATCAGAGAAATGCAAATCAAAACCACAATGAGATACCATCTCACGCCAGTTAGAATGGCGTTCATTAAAAAGCCAGGGGAAACAACAGATGCTGGAGAGGATGTGGAGAAATAGAAATGCTTTTACACTGTTGGTGGGAGTATAAATTAGTTCAACCTTGTGGGGGACAGTGTGGCAATTCCTCCAAGATCTAGAACTAGACATACCATTGACCCAGCGATCCCATTACTGGGTATAAACCCAATGGATTTTAAATCATGCTACTATAAAGACACATGCACATGTATGTTTACTGTGGCACTATTCACAATAGCAAAAACTTGGGACTAACCCAAATGTCCATCAATGATAGACTGGATTAAGAAAATGTGGCACATATACACCATGGAATACTATGCAGCCATAAAAAAGGATGAGTTCATGTCCTTTGCAGGGACATGAATGAAGCTGGAAACCATCATTCTCAGCAAACTATCACAAGGACAGAAAACCAAACACTGCATGTTCTCACTCATAGGTGGGAATTGAACAGTGAGAACTCTTGGACACAGGGCAGAGAACATCACACACTGGGGCCTGTTGTGGAGTGGGGGGCTGGGGGTGGATAGCATTAGGAGAAATACCTAATGTAAATGACAAGTTGATGGGTGCAGCAAACCAACATGGCATATGTAGACCTATGTAACAAACCTGCACGTTGTGCACATGTACCCTAGAACTTAAAACATAATAACAATTTTAAAAAAGAAAAAAAATTGAAATAAAAGAAAAATCTCCAAATTAAAAAAAAAAAACTGTAGAACGATCTACAGTAACAATCTGGTCTCCAAATCTTAGTAGTGGTATATGGTTCCTTGGCAAGCTGTCGCTAGGGTCAAAGATGTCTCTACACTATGGTGATAATTCCCTTTCTCCTTGCCAACACCATTTAAATTGGTTTCCAACTGTGTACTATTCTATCTTGAAGCCATGTGGTGAAATCTTCAGGGTGTACCCAAGACAGTACTTCAAACTCTTGGACTCTTTAGTCATGCTAATCACTGTTACTGATATACCCTTCCCCATCTAGTCTGAATAAAGATATTTCTGCAATAGTTCATGGGGCAATAAAACTTCAGCGTTTATGTACAGAAAATCATGTAAGTCTCTTGAAATCAAATCTCAGTCTCCTAGCACACGAATTGGCAGAAACTTGAAAACAATATAAAATCAAGTTCATAGAAACTTTATTTATTTATTTTGAGTCAGGGTCTTGTTCTGCCACCCAGACTGGAGAGTGGTGGCGCAATCATAGCTTACTGCAGCCTTGAACTCCTGGGCTCAAGCGATCCTCCCACCTCAGCCTCTTCAGTACCTACGACTACAGGTGCACATCACTATGCCTGGCTAATTTTTAAATTTTTTATAAAGATGCGGTCTCACTTTGTTGTCCAAGCTGGCCTTGAACTCCTGGGCTCAAGCAATCCTCTTGCCTCAGCCTGCCAAAGTACTGGGATTACAGGCATGAGCTAACACGCCTGGCCCATAGCAATTTTTACATAGTCCAGCTTATTGTATTGTGCCATTGGCATTATCAATCCAACGATCTAAATTGAAAATTTACCCCTGAAGAGAGTCATATATCTATTATAAAGAAACGAACAGCATTTCATACCATAAAATGAATCTCTAGGATTATAGTATTACAGGCAGTTCTTGTATCTTAAGTCACAGAAACCTGGGATAATTAGAACCTAAACTAATTTAGACAATTGCTCCTGTAACCAAAAAAATAAAGTTGGGCATGGTGGTGCATGCCTGTAATCCCAGCACTTAGGCTGAGGCAGCAGGATCACTTGAGCCCAGGAGTTCAAGGCTGCAGTGAGCTATGATCCCTCCACTGCACTCCAGCCTGCGTGACAGGGCAAGATCCTGCCTCTAAAAAAGTAAATAAATAAAAAAGTAAGACAAAGTAAAATAACTATAGATGCAAAGAGCAAGTATGTCAAAAAACAACAAACACATAGATCTGCTTTTTTATTTATCTTTCTTCATTCCTAAAAGCAAATGTCTCCATTGTTTTCCTCTCACCCTGCTTTAACTATCCAAAAGAGAACCTAGGAGAAGATAAAAACCTTACAGACCTCGAAAATCCCAAAACAGAATAGTCCACCTTCAAGTAACCAAAACTGTGTGGTTTTACAATCATTTATTACTAATAATTAACAAGTCAACCAAGCTCAAATAGAATTTCCTCTTTTACAAGGTCATGGAAATATGAAAATTATTAAGAAAAAAACTCAATTGGGCAGCTGAAGATTTTTGGAGGAATACTCTTTGTAGTAGTGAAAACATAATAAAAATAATGCATGGTACTTGAACAGACAGGGGCAATAGTTTAGGAGGATTAGGGCAAAAGGTTATAGAGAATTACAGGTAAAGGATTAACAAACAGAATAGTCAACTGGGTGGTCTCAGAAATGGTGCTAGTAAATTAGAGATATAATTTCATGATTTCATGGAGACAGATATGGGCTATGTAGGGGCTGAAGCCCTTAATCTCACAGTAAAAAGTACAAAGCTCTGTCAGCTGATTTACAAAGCATAGTTATTAATGCCAGAGTCAGGGTGGGGGAAGTAACAGTGAACATCCAGCGGTACACTATGATACATCAAATAAGATTATAAGATAATAAATAAAATGATGAAGCTAGTTTCCTTAGCATTGTTCAGGGGGAGGTCCTCTGGAATGCAGTTATTCTGGATTGTAAGAATCACTTAAGTGGTGAACAGATATAGAAGTGATTAGCACTTTTCTAGGCTTGGAGACCTGTCTCCATAAAAGATCAGAAGAGCCTGACAATAAAAAACTGCAAAAATAAGTCAGCTTGAGTCACAATTCTGCTCCCTTTTCTTCTTCCCCACAAAAGAGGCTATTCTGTCTCCTTTTACAGAGAATCCTCTGTTCTTCCCCCTCTATTTTTTTTTTTCTTTCCTCCTCTATTTGGCTTCAGGGTGGTCTTGAAACATTCTTTCCTCCACTCCCTGAGTGTCTGTCTCCTATGACATGTAGAACAGAAGCCTAAACAACTACATGGGGCCTGCACTGCATAGTCAGTCAACATCTTTTCCTGCTTATACCAAGTCAACAGCCTAGTATGTCCAACAGCTGATATCTGCAGGAAGCTCAGAGAGCAACATTGGTCAATGTCTCTGTTCCCCATCACTTCAATGATTCATTACATGTCCATTCTCGGGGTCTTCTTTTAAATCACTCAAAACCAAACCAAAAAGGTATACATTAGAAAAAAAAGAGAGAGAGATGTTCTTTATCAGAAGAACAAGTAGTTGGCAAGAGAAAATAAAGCAAACCAAATAAAAGACATAAAACTGAAAACTCACAAATCATATTATAAAACAATATTTTGCTGATTTCAAATACAGTAATCCCATGGCAACAATTTAATTGCTGCCTTTTTGCCTGCGATCCCAGATTTCTCGTTTGGGACTGGACACAATTTTCATTTCTCTGTGTACTTAGTGCTTCACATTGAACCAATATTATTTACTACGTACTTGCGCTTGCTTGCATACTTTAAAAGGCTGAAGTGTTTCTTGGTAGAAAAGCTGATGATAAGCCTGCAGGTCAAACCAAAAGTACACACTGTTCTTCCACAACTACAGATGGAAAAAGTACATAAATTATTACCACCCAATTATTAAAACTCTTACAAAGCTCTAATTTCAAATATAAGTAACTGTTTAGCTCCTTGCTGTTACCATAAATCAGGTTCAATTTAAGATGGTTTTAATCTTCTATCACAAACTGGCAATACACAAAATATTTATTGATATTGTTGCTGGAAGATTATATTTTTGCATGTATGCCTCTCACATAATTAGTCATTAAAATGGTAAGTATTCTAGTTAACAGTTAAAGAGTAGCCATGTATTTTGATATATATGGGCAATGTGTATTACAGCAGAACCAAACATTACTCTAGTAATTGAACCAGTTAAATACTTTTTTTTTTTTTTTTTGAGACAGTGTCTCACTCTCTCACCCAGACTAGAGTGCAGTGGTGCAATCTCGGCTCACCGCAACCTCTGCCTCCAGGCTCAAGTGATTCTCCCACCTCAGCCTCCCGAGTAGCTGGGATTACAGGCATGCACCACCACGCCCAGCTAATTTTTGTATTTTAGTAGAGATGGGGTTTCACCATGTTGGCCGGGCTGGTCTCGAACTCTTGACCTCAAATGATCCACCCACCTTGGCCTCCCGAAGTGCTGGGATTACAGGCATGAGCCACCGCGCCTGGCCAATACTTTTCATTTGAGCAAAAGTAAGACTGATTTTTTTTTTTTAAATTTTGAAAAACCAACTGGAAATAATGTTGCCACTATTCAATGTAATTTGTAATTGTAGGATGAGCAAAAGAATTATAATTGAGATGCTTAAATATTTACTAAATATTAAATATGAATTTTCTTATCACAGATGGGAATTTTAACATCAAATATAATTATGTGAGCACTTAATTATTTTGATGTCTCATTTTTAAATGAAGTAAAATTATAAAATTAAATTTTAAATAATTCTTTTCTACCTTGTTCCCTGAATGCTCGCAGAATTTAGTAAAGAAGAATCCAGCTCTATTTTCTACATACAAAGATTGCAACAAATTTTCCATGTCAGATCCTCCCAAGGCACCAACATCTGACACGGTTTTAACCTAGATAACAAAACAGAAGTCTATTATCCACCCAAAAACATTGTAATTTTTTTATGGCATTACACAACAGGATTTCATAAACTCTACCATGCTGTCATTTTCCCACTGGACTATTTTATTTTTGTACCATATATGTAATTAATGCAGTATGTTTGCATTTGAGAGTCATATAAGATTCATTTGTGGAGCCCAACTATAGCCACAGAATATATTCTATTATAAACCAATCTGATTTTAAACATAATGTTGAAGCAACTTCCCAGCCTCAATTATTTTCATGTTTCAGGCAAAGTAAGACCATTTTAGGAGTATTCCAAATCCTTGTTGGTGGCCTCTTTCATGCATATTTAATGTTATTTTAGCCTTGAAGTGCTGCTATTATAGCTACAGAGGGTTATGATGAGAACTATCTCCAAGGCCTCTCGGTGCTGCTCATTAACTATCCTTAGGGGGTCCCTCTTGGACAGTCTCACCCTGTATAGGTCATGGCCTGCACAGTGTAAATGGCAGTGTAAGTTCTCATAAAATGTTGCTGTTTATAGGCTTCTCTGCCAACAGTGCTGGCAATCCTCATACAATTTTTGAAACACAGAAAGCTGGCTATTTCTCCAAGCACAGGAGTGACTTCAGAATATGAAAGGGCATCTACTATTCAGTTTAACTCTTTGCTATATGTTTTATAGAACTCATAGACTACTTCTTTATAATAAGACAATAATGGTATAAAAAATTTAGGGTTTAAGTAAGGTTCTCACTCTCTTTTTGTCCTACTGTCTCTCCATTTCTCCACCTCTCTATCTGCCTGCTAAACAAATTCTGAAGTGAGAATTTAATGTTTTTACTATGTTTAACTATCAGCATTACAAACTAAAAAAAAAATCATTATTTTAGTAGAAAAAAACAGTTAAAAGAAATGGAGTACTATTTGCATAGAATAAAATAAATAGTTATGCAAAATTATAGCTAAGTGTTCAGACTGTATTAGGACTGCCAAGGTTTCTACCTAAAGTATAATCCTTAGGGAATATGAAGTTTTCATTTAGAACTAGTGCATTAAATCCACATTATCAGGGTAGCTGTACCATGGAAACACCCTGCCCTTTAAAAATTCTAGGCTTTGGCTGGGTGCGGTGGCTCATGCCTGTAATCCCAGCACTTTGGAAGGGCGAGACAGGCGGATTGCCTGAGGTCAGGAGTGCGAGACCAGTCTGGGCAACATGGTGAAACCCCATCTCTACTAAAAATACAGAAAAGTTAGCCAGGCGTGGTGGTGTGCGCCTGTAGTCCCAGCTACTTGGGAGGCTGAGGCAGGGAATTGCTTGAACCAGGGAGGTGGAGGTTGCAGTGAGCCAAGACCATGCCACGGCACTCCAGCCTGGGCAACAGAGCAAGACTCTATCTCAAAAAAAAAAAAAAATTCTAGGCTTCTAAAATGTAACATCAAATACTATTTTTCTTTCAAGTGTCATCATACCAAAACCAGAACACCATTGTGTTTGAAAACAGTAATCAATGCAGTATATAGAACCATGGTACTACAAAAGAAAAACACAGAGGAAATATTTGTGTAAAAATCCTTTGGCAAGGAAAAAAATCAAATGTGTTGCTTAGTAAAGAAAAAATATTATGATAAATCAATACAAATTCTCTAAAATCAGGAGATACTGATCAGTTAAATGAAGAATCAGGTTTATTCAGTCCTCAAAACACTCACCCTAGGTTCTTCTGTATAAGCGTATCTTCTATCCAGCTGGGGCTTGAGACATTCAGAAATGTCAGTAAAAGATGTTAAATGAATGACTTTGCTGCTTTCTGACATGTACTTTGACCTAAATTATAAGGATGAGAACTAAAATTATAAGAATGAGAACTAACTGATCAACAAACAAATTTTGAGCACTTTTGGTATACATAGCACCGAATCTCAAGAGTACTTCTGAGCAATGTGACTCAGGAAAAAAAGGATAAACATCGTTCTAGCCCTAAAGTGGTGGTTCAGAAAATGAGTCATAGTTATACAGAAAGACAATTCTCAAAATAACTGCTGGTTAGATGAATTCAAGATGGTTTATTATAGATGCCAAATGACTGGGATGGATAATAAATATTTTGAGAGGGCAAGAATGAGAAATTCCTTCAACCTATATTAGTAATTTTAAAATAAAATATTTATTTGTGTTTTAATAAAATTAAAAAAATTTTAATGTGTTTTAGAGGGGCTCTTTAGATAGGAAAATAGTGAGCAATAAATGAAGGTAGGTATGGAAATCCTTGTTTAAAAGGCAGCAAACATAATTTGCTTAGGGCAGGAAGACACTAACATTAAAAAGTGAACATTATATACTACATACCAAACACTGTGCTAGATATAATTCATATTATAATATTTAATCCTCACAGAGGTGAGATTCATAGGGAATTATATAGATTAGTTTGGGGTGACATAATGGAAGACTTTGGAGTTAGACTAATGACTTTGGATATTATCTTTTTCTATTTTTTTATCCAGCTCCCTCTCCCACACCCACACTGCAATTATTCTAAAGCCTTATTTTCTTGCTCCATAAAACATGCCTATTCTACCTTGCCAATATTCCTCCATTCCAATCCACCAGCAGATTACCTTGCAGGTTCTTCTCACACAAAATGTATGTACAACATGCTTCAGTTTCCATTTCCTCATGTAGCCGAATGGCATGCTTCTATATACAGTACCACTGAGATCCTGAAAAAGCTAAACATTAACCTTCTAAGACTCCCTTGCAGCGAGACATAGCCATGAGACACAGTTGTGACTAATGAGATACAAAATGAAATGTGCTAGGGAGCTTCTGAGGAAGCTTGCTTTCCTGACAAGAGGGAGAGGGTTAATGGAAATTGCCCTTCCTCCTCCATTCTGACTTGAAAGCCTGATATTAGGAGCCGCAACACTGCTGACCATGAGGGAAAGGCCAAGAGCCTCACAAAGATTCAGGCCCTAATCTTTCTGATCTATTGTACCAACACTGGCAGTTGCCTATTATCGGATTTCTTGTTATGTAAGAAAAATTAGGTCAATTCATCTAAGCCATTGCTAGTTAGGTTTCTGGTATTTACAGCTGAAATCATTCTTGGTATGAACAACAAACATATCCACCTGTACCCATCCTTACTTCTTTCCATGTTGTCTCAGGAAGAAGCGCCCCACCTCCTGCCCGTGGTTAATCTAATTCCCTTGGCTCTTGAACCTGTCCCTCTATTCTCCTTTGAATATGAAGACCTTTGTTTTTTCTCATATATCTTCAGCTTCTCCATTTCCTCTGGATTCTATTCTAGGCATATCAACAGACTCAAGTCTTCACATTAAAAATACTCTTTCTGATGAGAACAAAAACCTTTAGCTAGACTAACCAAGAGAAACCTTTAGTGGCTGGGCACGGTGGCTCACGCCTATAATCCCAGCACTTGGGAGGCTGAGGTAGGTGGATCACGTGAGGTCAGGAGTTTGAGACCAGCCTGGTCCACATGGTGAAACCCCGTCTCTACTAAAAATACAAAAATGAGCTGGGCGTGGTGGCAGGCACCTGTAATCCCAGCTGCTTGGGCGGCTGAGGCAGGAGAATCGCTTGAACTCATGAGGTGGAGGCTGCAGTGAGCCAAGATTGCGCCACTGCACTCCAGGCCGGGCAGAGTGAGACTCTGTCTCAAAAAAAAACAAAAAACAAAACAAAACAAAAAAAACCACAAAAACAACAAAAATCTTTAGCTAGACTAACCAAGAAAAAGAGAAGACTCAAATTACTTAAATCAGGAATAAAAGAGGATACCTCAATACCAACCTTACAGAAATTAAAAGGATTATGAAGGAATACTTAGGAATGAAGAACTATATGCAAACAAATTAGGTAATTTGATGAAATGAACAAATTCCTAGAGAGACACAAATTACCAAAAATTACTCAAAAAGAAAGAAAACCTGAATAGATCTATAACAAGTAGAGATTAAATCAATAATTTGATATCTCCCCACACAAATAAAAGGCCTGGGCCCAAAAGGATTCACTGGTGAACTCTATCAAGTACTTAAAGAAGAACTAATATGCAGTTCTTCCCAAATTCTTACAAAATTAGAAGGGGAGGGGACACTTCCCAACTCATTCTGCTCATTCTGGTTTTTTTGTTTGTTCGTTTGTTTGTTTTTTGAGAGCCTCACTCTGTCGCCCAGGCTGGAGTGCAGTGGCACGATTTGGGCTCACTGCAACCTCTGCCTCCTGGGTTAAAGGTATTCTCCTGCATCAGCCTCCCGAGTAGCTGGGATTACAGGCGTGAGCCATCATGCCTGGCTAATTTTTGTATATTTAGTAGAGACGGGGTTTCACCATGTTGGCCAGGCTGGCCTGAAACTCCTAACCTCAAGTGATCCACCCACTTCGGCCTCCCAAAGTGCTGGAATTACAGGCATGAGCCACCATGCCCAGCCTAAAATTCTTCCTTCCTTTGGCTTCTGTGACACCACTCTTTCCTTATTTGTACATCTCCCATCTCTCAGATTACCCTTTCTTTTTTTTTTTTTTTTCGGATTATCTTTTCTTGGTCTTCTCTTCAAGTTCCTTATTCTCTGCCTTTACTGTAAACCTTGATAACTTAGTTCTCACTATATACTGCTCCTTCTCTCTCTCATGATCATCTCATCCATGCCCACAGCTTCAACTACCCACTGAAGTGTAATGCTTCCTCGATTTTCTACTTGTAATTGATCTCTCTCCTGGGCTCCAAACCTAGATTTCAACTGTTTTGAACATGTATATCCCAATATATATCCTAATGTAGTTTTACATTTTTTATTGAGATAAAATTCACATTGTCAACACACAAAAAATTCGGATGTAGAGAAACGGAAACCCAACATAGTTTCATCTCATCCCTGGAGTACTGGCTGGGCTTGGTGGCTCATGCCTGTAATCCCAGCACTTTGGGAGGTGGGAGGATTGCTTGAGGCCAGGAGTTCAAGACCAGCCTGGGCAACATTGAGAGAACCCATCTCTACAAAAAAAAAAATTAGTCAGGCATGGTGGCACACACCTGTAGTCCTAGTTACTTGGGAGGCTGAGGTGGGAGGATCACTTGAGCCCAGAAGTTCAAGGCTGCACGCCATAGCACTCCAGTCTGGGCAAGAGAGTGAGACACTCAAAAAAAACAAAAAAGAAAAAAAAAAGACTACCTTAGGCTCTATATTCCTTCATTCAACGAATATTAATTGAACACATACTATGTGCCAGATACTGTACTATACCCCGGAGCATTCACCTAGGAAGCACCCCAAATTAAAATCATCTGCCTCCTCCAGTCCTGCTTTTCCTCCTTCTGAGAATAACAAATACACAGAAAATAATGTAGAAATAGTTCTTAAACAGATTTTTTAAAAGTTCAACTTCAGTCAAAAGAAATACTGTTTTTAAAATATATGTTTAGAAAGGGTAATGCATACTATGTTGGTGAAGGAATGGTTAAAAAAAGGCACTCTTATACAAGCTGAAGGAAGTATAAGTTGTTATAACTCCTATGAAAGACAATTTGATATTATCTAGCAAAATTTAAAAAGCACATGAATTTTGACTCAAAAATTCTTTTAGGAATTTATAATATATATGATATATAATATATATATTCAACAATATTAATTGTTGAATTAATGTTGAATAATTCAACTTTTCTCTCAACTCATGCCTGTATGTCCTTTCACTTGTTTCATCACCTGAAAAATGAAGATAATGTTTTCTTTATGGGGATATATATATATATGAAATAGAGCAATGTATAAGAATATCCACTATAACATTGTTTGTAACAGAAAAAAATAGAAACAATGTCACGTCCATCAATAGAGTACAAATGCAAAGTATGGTATAAAATGAAAGAAGCAGACATAGGAGGAGGCAAGATGACAAGAATAAGAATCAAAATAGATTATGGTATATCTATTGCTATAGCACAATCACTGCTATGGAAAAAATCTAAGATATTTTAATAAAAATTTAAAATAAAAAAACAAGGCACAAAACAAGTGTATAGCATGCCACTATTTTTGAACTATGTTTATATTTCTAATTTTTAAGAATAAAACAATTTCAGTAAATGACACACAAAAAACTCTCCAGTTGTTCTTGAGTTCATAGAGAATAATCTCCAGATTCTTTAATATGACAGATAAGAAATAGCATTCTGAACCTCACTTTTCAGCTCATCTCCTGCTTTTTCACTGTAATACTCTAGCCGTAACAATGTATAGTTTTCAAAATTCAGCTTTTCTGTCAACTCATGACTATATGTCTTTTCACTTGTTTTATCACTTGAAAAATGATGATAATGCTTTCTTCATGGGGATCCAGTAAGAATTAGCAGATACATGTGCCTTCAGAACGGTGTTGCAATTTAAAAAAAAAAGAATTAATTTATACAATGCAAGCAAAGTGTCAATGCCACAAAAGCTCATTAACTGCTACTTTTGGAAATGGCAGAGAAGGTGATTTGGATCAATCTCAGGTAGAAGGCAACTAGATAAGCTGAAAAAACTTACAAAAATAAATCTGCTTAAAGGCATCTGCGTGTTAACAATGTAGTCAAGAATAACTCAGCCAAAACCCAGAGAATAAGAATTCACAGAGGTGACTTCGGCATTTGAGGCTGCTTTTTCCTGAGGCTTTGCTTACGAGAGTCAAAGACACTGGTAAACCCTTCATACCGTTTTTTGTTTTTTTGTTTTTTTTTAGATGGCGCCTCACTCTGTCGCCCAGGCTAGAGTGCAGTGAAATGACCTTGGCTCACTGCAACTCTGCCTCCCGGGTTCAAGTGATTCTTATCCCTCAGCCTTCCGAGTAGTTGATACTACAGGCACGTGCCACCACACTCGGCTAATTTTTTAAAACTTTTGTAGAGACATGATCTCAGTATATTACCTAGGCTGGTCTCAAGCTCCTAGGCTCAAGCAATCTGCCTGCCCTGGTCTCCAAAATGCTGCGATTACAGCTCTGAGCCACCGTGTCTGGTCAGTAACAATATTCTTGACAATATTCTTGAGAGTCTTATAAGTTCTCAAATTTGAGAAATATAGAATTATTGAATAGAGCCAAAAAAGAATTAGAGGGCAATCTTCTCAGAGAAGTCTTGAGAAGCTGGAGATCAGAGGCATCATCTCTTTAAAATTACTAATATCTGGAACTCTACTCCTAATTTAGAGTATTCATGCAAAGTATAAGCCTCTAATACATATCATTGAAAATTAAGAACCCATGTAAAAATATCAAAGTACTAGTTTTTAATTTCTGTTTAGTTTTTAAATTCTCTAAAACGCTTAGTATTGCAGAAAAGCACTTAACACACAAAAAGTTGCACCTACCCTTTCTCAATCACATCATCCTTAGAAGAACCTGGATACAAAAGCTCCCGCTTCCAAGGCTTTTGAGTTGCTGTTTTTACTTCAGGTGATTTATTGGGAGATTTAGGAGGTTGTGATAAGCTGAATTCTTCTTTCTAAAAGATGGTAACATAAGCAAGATGAAAATGAGAGAGAAAAAAGCACAGCTCTGCACCTATACCTCAAATTTGTTCTCATCACTCGAGTACTTTTTCTTTCCCTTTGCCTCCTACAATGCTTCCCAATAAAATAGAAATTTTTTCTTTCTCCAACTCCTACTTTTATGCAAGCTGCAAAGTGGAATCAAACAGCAATTTAGACTGTAAAAAAGGAAGAGCAAAAGGCTTATATCCTTACTTCCACCATTGTGAAAGAAGACTCTTTCCTGGAGAAAGAACATTGTAAAAACGATTCTTTATTCTATAACTGAATAGGTATTAGAGCTAGATGTATGTATGTGTGGCGAGGGCTGTGTGTGTACTGGGGGGGGGTGCGGGTGTCAGCGGTCACAGGGCAGGGAAATGAAACAAAGATACCCTTGGTCCACATAAGAAGGGCTCTATATCTTAACAGCACTATTTCCTTCCATTTTGGGACATTTATTTCATGGTTATTTTTCCCATTCTTAGAGTTATTTATGGTAAAAGTTAACAATTTAAATCCAGAATATGAGATGCATGGATTAAAAAAAGTATAAACAACTAAATGTCCAAATGGAGAATGGGATATACATAAATGTAACATTATATAATACTTAAAAGTAGTAGTTACAAAAATGATGACACACATGGAAAAATCCTTATGATAAAAGAGATAATCAGAAAACAAAAGTCTAAGTACAGTAAAACAAAAAATTCACAGAAGCAGCCTAAAATAAGTTAGTAGTTGTCTGGAAGTAGGTAAGATCAGAAGTGATTTGTCTCTTCTCCAGTTTCCAAATTTACAGTAGTTTTATTATTTTTATAATTTCAAAAACAAACATACAAAACTTTTCTAATACGTCAACTTCCATTAGAATACTATATACATTGCAAGAAAGCAAGGAATATACTTTTAATGTTTTATTATCCAGAACAAACAATAAAACCTTATATATACTCTATGTAATAACTACTAATAATTTTTTCAGAATTCTATAAAGAAAATTAATAACAAGTATATTCTATATATAACTTCCCATATATAAGGGCTTACATCTGTTTTAGTAATTCAGAACACAGCATGACATTAAACAACACTCTATAAATGAGAGTTACCACAAGAGGCTGAGCTTATTATTAAAAGTATATAATACAAAAGTAGCCAAATTTATAGAAACAGAAAGTAGGGTGGTAGTTACCAGGGGCTGTGGGGATGGGGAAAAGGAGAGTTGGTCTTTAATGGGCAGAGTCATATTTGCAAGATGAGAAAGTTCTAGAGATCTGTTTCACAACATTGTGAATATAACTAATACTATTGAACCCATACATATAAAAAGTGATTAAGATGACAAATTTTATGTGTTCTACCACAATAATTTTTTAAGTTTTCTTAAAATAAAAAAAATTAACATATCATGTAGACAAAGGCCTATATTAGACTTTTTGAGCTTGCTGGCTTAGGTGAAAGCTAGAAGTACCCAGAAAGTAACTGATGGGGATGGGTGGGGAAACAAAAACAAAACAAAAAAGCCTGAGGAAGGGTCACAGTGGATTGTAGCAGAGGGCGGTATAAAGGAACTGCTCTCCAGCATGAGTGTGATGGTGGATACACAATGTATACTTTTGTCCAAATTTACAGAACTATACACTAAAAAGGGTGAATTTTGCTGTATATAAGTTATACCTTAGTTTCTGTATGGAAAAATAAAATGGAATTGAGCTCTATTCCTTAGAGTATTTTCTGCCAAGGAGACAGAGAGTGAGACCAGAATGAGCTGTCCAACTAGATAACACCAATGACAGCATATGGTAATGATTTTCAGGAAGTCAAATGAAAACAACAGATGAGAAGTCAGGTTTATACCACTTTTTCACACAAGCTAATCTCTACCCACTCCTTTGGCATTGTTCTCTTATTCGAGTTCCTTTCATCAAGCACGTCACTTAATTTTTCTTCCCCCTTTCTTTTCAGCTTAATAACGTTGTTTGTACAAATGTTCATATGTTATCAGATGATGTGCTCCCTGTACTACAGCTCCAAGATGAGGAAACATTCGTGCACTAAAGTACATTAACTTAAAATGTGGTCCCCAAAGCAGCAGCAAGAGCATCACCAGGGAGAGAGCTTGTTAGAAATGCAAATGAGGTTAGGCGTGGTGGCTCAAGCCTGTAATCCCAGCACTTTGGGAGGCCAAGGCGGGCAGATCACCTGGGTCAGGAGTTCGAGACCAGCCTGGCCAACATGGTGAAATCCCATCTCTACTAAAAATACAAAAAAATTAGCCAGGCGTGGTGGTGGGTGCCTGTAGTACCAGCTACTTGGGAGACTGAGGCAGGAGAATTGCCTGAACCTGGGAGGCGGAGGTTGTGGTGAGCCGAGACCATGCCATTGCACTCCAGCCTGGGCAACAAAAACGAAACTCCATCTCCAAAAAAAAAAAAAAGGAAAAAAAGAAAAGCAAATGAATCCTTGGGTTCCATCCCAGAACTACTGGATTTTGATCTCTGGGTGAAGCCCAGGAATCTCTATTTTAACAAGCTCTTCAGCTGACTTTTCTGAATGCTATAAAGCTTGAGAACCACCAGTCTACAGCAGTGTTTCACATATGAATCACCTGAGAATCTTAATAAGTTGCAGGTTCTAAAATGTGGCTCTAATGTTCAGGAAGCGTTGAGAACTTCAGTTGTAAGCCAAACCCCTGATTTTACAGAGTGACCCTGACCCATTCCAGATCAATTAAATCAGAATCTCTGAAGGCGGGACCCCTGTATGTCTGAACAGTTCTGCAGGTGATTCTAATGTTTCCAGGGTTAAACTACAGACAGGGTTAAGGTCCCTCCAGCTCTACAACACTGCTTGTGGAAGTAAAACTTTAAAAACCACATTATATATCTTCTGCCTTTTAAAATAAGACATCCTGAATATAAAGCAATCTTTCCAAGAGGTTGTATGTGACTATATGGCCAATAACAGTTAACAGGTGACACCTTTAAGGGCTACTATGATTAATAAGGCTCTTTACTTCTGAAACACAGGTCGTATCTACAGTTACTGCAGCTCTATGCCAAAATGTAGGGTTATTTATTTCTTCTCTATATAGTTAACTTTTCTTCTCTTTTTGAACTTTCCCCCTTTATATTTTTGTACTGTTTTCCCCATTTGAAAAAATGCTCATGACTTATAATTCAGCTATTGCTACTTCTCACTCATTCATTCAATTTATACTTACTCAGCAACTATTATGTGCCAGGCACTGTTCTAGGCACTGGTGAAATGCACTTAAAGAAAAGTTCTTTACATTCTAGTAGGAGGTAAAAGACAATAAATAGATAAATCACATGGTAATAAATATAGTAAAGCAAAATAAAGGAGGGCAAAGGGTATAGATAGTGATGGAGGGTATGTGTGCTATTCTATGTAAGTGTGCTTATATAGAAATAATAAGCCTCAAGAATAGCCTCTCTGATTAAGTGGCACTTGAGCAGACACCTAAAGGAAGTGAGAGGGAAAGCCATCTGCATATCTGGAGGAAGAGTGCTCTAAGCAAGGCAAACAGCAAGCACAAAGCCCTGGAGATTTTTCTGTGGTGTCCTCAAAGAAGAGCAAGGAGACCAATGTGGTTGGAATGCAGTAAGCTAGAGTGGTAGGAAATGAAGTCAGAGGGTTAGCAGGAGCTTATACAACTGTGTAAAGACTTTGGATTTTATTCTGAGTGAAAAAGAAGACCACTGGAGAATTTTCAGAAGATGAGTGACATGATTTTATATATATTTTTATATATATATTTATTATATATATATACATTTATATATTTATATATTTATTTATATTATATTATATATAAATATATATTATATATATTTATATATAATATATAATAAATATATATAAATATATTTTTATATATTTATACATATATATTTATACATGTATTTATATAAATATATATTTATATATGTTTATACATATATAAATATATATTTATATATGTTTATACATATATAAATATATATTTATATATGTTTATACATATATAAATATATATTTATATATGTTTATACATATATATATTTATATATACGTATATATAAATATATATTTATATATACGTATATATAAATATATATTTATATATTTATATATAAATGTTTATATATATTTATATATAAATATATATTTATATATAAATGTTTATATATATTTATATATAAATGTTTATATATTTATATATTTATATATAAATGTTTATATATTTATATATTTATATATAAATGTTTATATATTTATATATTTATATATAAATGTTTATATATATTTATATATTTATATATAAATGTTTATATATATTTATATATAAATGTTTATATATATTTATATATTTATATATAAATGTTTATATATATTTATATATTTATATATAAATGTTTATATATATTTATATATTTATATATAAATGTTTATATATATTTATATATTTATATATAAATGTTTATATATATTTATATATAAATATATAAACATATATTAATATATATATAAATATATAAACATATATAAATATATAAACATATATAAATATATAAACATATATAAATATACACATATATATGTATATTTATATATAAATATATAAATGTATATAAATGTATATATATATTTATATACATATTTATATTTATATGTTTTCTTTTTTTTTTTGAGACAGAGTCTCGCTCTGTCCCCCAGGCTGGAGTGCAGTGGCGCTATCTCGGCTCACTGCAAGCTCCGCCTCCCGGATTCCCGCCATTCTCCTGCCTCAGCCTCCCGAGTAGCTGGGACTACAGGCGCCCGCCACCATGCCCTGCTAATTTTTTGTATTTTTAGTAGAGACGGGGTTTCACCGTGTTAGCCAGGATGGTCTTGATCTCCTGACCTCGTGATCCGCCTGCCTCGGCCTCCCAAATGCTGGGATTACAGGCATGAGCCACCGCGCCCGGCCATGATTGTATATTTTTAAAGGCTCACTTTGGCTGCTTGGTAGAGAACAGACTGTAGGTTTTCTTATTTCCTAAATGTTGCAGCTTGTACATTAGCAAAAATCACAACAAAGCTTGTAATGAAAATTATCAGTGCACAAACACTCAAGCATACATATTTTACTACAAACTTAGTAGAGATCACAGCATGAATGTACACCCTACCTGGATCTCAGGTATCTGTGGAATGCAAGATTTGGGTCTTAATGGCAAGAGGGTTGCCATTTGTGGAAAAGGGTCAATATCCTTCCTTGGTTTTGCTTGACGGAGGTGCCAGAATTTCAGTTCAGCACTAGCATATTTTGTTGAGGCTGAATGAGTAACACAGAATCTTGGTGCCCTGTTTATTGGAAAAATAAATGTAAGATTGAACTAAACAACAAGCCTCAAAAATGAAAAGCCTACAAAATACATAATAGCTGTGCTCACAATTAACAGTCTTGCCATACCTCTTTTCTAACAACTTTTACTTCTTTCTCTACTACATAGCCTTGAAAAAATATTTTTCTGTGATATGTCAGCTGCCTGCAATCCCATTGACTCATACAAAAAGGCAATATACATTGGGAAAAACATCATAAGTAAAATTATGTTCAAATTATTAGCTGCTTGATAAGAAAACTAAAAATATAAAAATTAGCTGGGCATGGTGATGGGCGCCTGTAACCCCAGCTACTCAGGGGGGTGAGGCAGGAGATTTGCTTGAACCCAGAAGGCGGAGGTTGCAGTGAGCCCAGATTGTGCCATTGCACTCCAGCCTGGGCGACAAGAGCAAAACTCCATCTAAAAAAGGGAGGAAGGAAGGAAGGAAGGGAGGGAGGGAGAGAGGGAGGGAGGGAGGGAGGAAAGGAAGGAAGGAATCTGTCTATCCATAAAGGAATTTTTAAAACAACTTACAGTTTCTAGTAAAATAAATATAAAATGTACTTGGGATAATTTTAAAGCACTTTGGCATTTATCTATAATAAAAATTGTTAGAATAAAATTAACGTTTAAAACATACAAACTTTTTTTTTTGACACGGAGTCTTGCTCTGTCACCCAGGCTGGAATGCAGTGGTGCGATCTCAGCTCACTGCAACCTCTGCCTCCTGGGTTCAAGCAATTCTCCTGCCTCAGCCTCCCAAGTAGCTGGGACTACAGGCGTGTGCCACCATGCCCGGCTAATTTTTTGTATTTTTAGTAGAGACAGGTTTCACCATGTTAGCCAGGATGGTCTTGATCTCCAGACCTTGTGATCTGCCCTCCTCAGCCTCCCAAAGTGCTGGGATTACAGGCGTGAGCCACTGCGCCTGGCCTATAAACATTTTTATAATGCTTAAGTATGCTACTAAAGTAGGTTATAATGCATACTATTTATTTTCAAGCCTTAAATTTGAAGGTAAGAATTAATTTTACAACAATTTATATAAATCAAAGACCAACATTACTGACAGAAACTTAGGGAAAAGAATGTCTGGCACAATATTAAGGCCACACTTAATTGGATAGATATCATGGTATTCAGTATGTGGGCTAACACTTTATTGGATATAGGGTTAACTCCAGCTGTAAGAGCCTGCTGCTAATTGCTTCTTGGACCAGGTCTTCCCCTTAATGCCACAGCCCAAAGACTAATTCTTATTCCATATTTCAAGGCCTGGTAGAAAATTACTTCCCTTTAAAATAGGAAGAATGACTATGCATGATGGCTCATACCTGTAATCCCAGTATTTTGGGAAGCCATGGTGGGAGGATTGCTTGAGGCCAGGAGTTCAAACCAGCCTGGACAACATACCAAGCTTGTCTCTACAGAAAAATTTTTCAAATTAGCTGAGCATAGTGGCATGTTCCTGTAAGTCCTATCTACTTGGGAAGCTGAGGTGAGAGGATCACTTGAGCTTAGCAGTTCCAGGCTGCAGTGAGCCATGACCATGCCACTGCAATCCAGCCTGACTGACAAAGTGAAACCTGTCTCTAAGAAAATTTAAAAAATTTTAAAAATAAAATAGGAAAAAGATGGATATCTCTCCTGATATGGACACAGATTGGGAGTGAAAGAGAATCCAAAGTCCATAATTAGTTTAGGATCAGAAAGCATTTGGTATAGATCTCTGTGGTCATTCTCTACTGTGTTTCAGAACCTTTACTTGCAGACTTGGAAATATTCAAAATTACTTATTTGCATGTCAACCAGTAAGGGGGCATATCTATAGACTTTTATCAAATAAATCATACATGGGATGGCTGGCAGAACTCCTCATGGCCCATGGTGATGGTGGTTGTGGGGTAAGGCTCCTCCACCTTTGGAAAGTGGAAGGAACAGTGGGAAGCACTACAAGTTATGCTTTGAGTGTCAGCTCAGCCACAGTACAATAGAACACCAGGTAGACTTCTAAGGTGCTTGACTCCAGTCCCTGACTCCTGGATGGCACCTCTGGACCCACCTAGGGCCTGTGGGAACTTGCCACCCTGAAGGGAAGGACACAAGCCTGGCTGGCTTTGCCACCTGCTAATTGTAGAGCCCAGGGCTTTGAGCAAACATACACAGTAGCCAGGGGGTGGTTACAGCAGGGCTTGGGCAAGACCCAGTGATATGCTAGCTTCAGATCTGACCCAGCACAGTCATAGTGGTGGTAGCTGCACTCCACTCCCAGCTTTAGGTGGCTCAGAACAGAAAGAGAGACTCTATTTGGGAGAAAGTAAGGGAAGAGAACAAAAGTCTCCACTTGGGGTCCAGAGGATTCTCCCAGATATTGTCCGAGACCATCCAGGAGGTACCTCTATGAGTTTGCAAGAACAACAGCATTACTAACCTTAGGGTGCCCCCTAAAGCAGATACAGCTTATATCACAATACCCAAGTCCTTTCAAATATCTGGAAAGCCTTCCCAAGAAGGATGGGTACAAAAAAGCCCAGGTAGTGAAGACTACAATATCTACCTCATATGGTTTGGCTCTGTGTCCCCACCCAAATCTCACCTTGAATTATAATTCCCACGTGTCATGGGAGGGATCCGATGGGAGGTAACTGAATCATGGGGGCAGGTCTTTCCCATGCTGTTCTCCTGGTAGTGAATAAGTCTTACAGTTCCCCTGCACAAGTTCTTTTGCCTGCTGCCATGTAAGATATCCCTTTGCTCTTCCTTTGTTTTCTACCATGATTGTGAGGCCTTTCCAGCCATGTGGAACTGTGAGTTCATTAAACCTCTTTGCTTTATATATTACCCAGTCTCGGGTATGTCTTTATTAGCAGCATAAGAATGAACTAATACAGTAAATTGGTACCAGTAGAGTGGGGTGCTGCTGTAAAGATACTGAAAATGTGGAAGCAACTTTGGAACTGGGTAACAGGCAGAGGTTGGAACAGTTTGGAGGGCTCAGAAGAAGATAGCAAGATGTGGCAAAGTCTGGAACTTCCTAGAGACTTGTTGAATGGGATTGACCAAAATGGTGATAGTGTGGACAATAAAGTCCTGGTTGAGGTGGTCTCAGACGGAGATGAGGAATTTGTTGGGACATGGAGCAAAGGTGACTCTTGCTATGTTTTAGCAAAGAGACTGGTGGCATTTTGCCCCTGCCCCAGAGATCTGTGGAACTTTGAACTTGAGAGAGATGATTTAGGGTATCCGGGGGAAAAAGTTTCTAAGCAGCGAAGCATTCAAGGGGAAGCAGAGCATAAAAGTTTGGAAAATTTGCAGCCTGATGATGCGACAGAAAAGAAAACCCATTTTCTAGGGAGAAATTCAAGCTGGCTGCAGAAATTTGCATAAGTAATGATGAGCCAAATGTTAATCGCCAAGACAATGGAGAAAATGTCTCCAGGGCATGTCAGAGACCTTCACGGCAGCCCCTCCCATCATAGGCCTGGAGGCCTAGGGGAAAAAAAATGTTTTTGTGGGCTGGGGCCCAGGGTCCCCCTGCTGTGTACAGCCTAGGGACTTGGTGCCCTGTGTTCCAGCTGCTCCAGCCATGGCTAAAGGGGGGCAAGGCACAGCTTGGGCCATGGCTTCAGAGGGTGCAAGTCCCTCTGAAGCCTTGGCAGCTTCCACATGGTGTTGAGCCTGCAGGTGCACAGAGGTCAGGAATTGAGGTTTGGGAAACTCTGCCTAGATTTCAGAGTATGTACGGAAACTCCTGGATGTCCAGACAGAAGTTTGCTGCAGGGGCGGGGCACTCATGGAGAACCTCTGCTAGAGCAGTGAGGAAGGGAAATGTGGTGTTGGAGCCCCCACAGAGTCCCCACTGGGGCACTGCCTAGTGGAGCTGTGAGAAGAGGGCCACCATCCTCCAGACCCCGGAATGGTAGATCCACCAACAGTTTGCACTGTGTGCCCGGAAAAGACGCAGACACTCAATGCCAGCCCATGAAGGCAGTCGGGAGGGAGGCCATACACTGCAAAGCCACAGGGGCAGAGCTGCCCAAGACCATGTGAACCCACCTCTCAGATCAGCATGACCTGGAGGTGAGACATAGAATCAAAGGAGATCATTTCAGAGCTTTAAGATTTGGCTGTCCTGCTGGATTTTGGACTTGCATGGGGCCTGTAGCCCTTTCGTTTTGGCCAATTTTTCCCAATTAGAGTGGGTTTATTTACGTCATTCCTGTACCTCCATTGTATCTAGGAAGTAACTGACTTGCTTTTGATTTTACAGGCTCATAGGCAGAAGGGACTTGCCTTGTCTCAAATGAGACTTTGGACTGTGGACTTTTGAGTTAATGCCAAAATGAGTTAAGACTTTGGGGACTGCTGGGAAGGCACGATGGTGTTTTGAAATGTGAAAGGAACATTAGATTTCTGGGAGGGGCCAGGGGAGGAATGATGTGATTTGGCTTTGTGTCCCCACCCAAATCTCACCTTGAATTGTAATAATTCCCATGGGTCATGGGAGGAACCCAGTGGGAGGTAATGGAATCGTGTGGGTGGGTCTTTCCCATGCTGGTCTTGTGGTAGTGAATAAGACTCATGAGATCTGATTTTTATAAATGGGAGGTCCCCTGCACAAGCTGTCTTGCCTGCTGCCATGTAAGACATCCCTTTGCTCTTCCTTTGTATTCTGCCATGATTGTGAGGCCTCCCCAGTCACATGGATCTGTGAGTCCAATCAACCTCTTTCCTTTATATATTACTCAGTCTCAGGCATGTCTTTATTAGTAGCATGAGAATGGACTAACTCTTCAATGCCCAGACACTAAAGAACATCTACTAGCTCAACATCATCCAGGAAAAAACAACCTCACCAAATGAATGAAATATGGCAACAGGGACCAATTCTGGAGAAACAGAGATATGTGACCTTTCAGACAGAGAATTCAAAATAGCTGTGTTAAGAAAACTCAAAGAAATTCAAGATAACACAGAGAAGAAATTCAAGATTCTATCAGATAAATTTAACAAAGATATTAAAATTGTTAAACAGAATCAAGCAGCAATTCTGGAGCTGAAAAATGCAACTCACATTTTGAAGAATGTATCAGAGTCTTAACAGCATAATTGATCAAGAAGAAAGAATCAGTGAGCTTGAAGACAGGCTATTTGAAAATACACAGAGGAGACAAAAAAAAAAAAAAACAACAACAATAAAGCATGCCTAAACAGTCTCAAAAGGGCAAATCTAAGAGTTATTGGCCTTAAAGAGGAGGTAGAAAAGAGATAGGGGTAGAAAGTTTATTCAAAGGGATAATAACAGAGAACTTCTCAAACCTAGAGAAAGATATCAATATCCAAATATAAGAAGGTTATAGAACACCAAGCAGATTTAACCCAAAGAAGACCACCACAAGGCATTTAATACTCAAACTCCCAAAGGTCAAAGATAAAGAAAGGAACCCAAAAGCAGCAAGAAAAATAAACAATATACAGGGAGCTCTAATACATCCAGCAGCTGACTTTTCAACAGAAACATTATAGGCCACGAGAGAGTGGCATGACATATTAAAAGTAATGGCAAAAACTGCAATAACTTTTGCACCAACCTAATATTTAACGTGCTGAAGGAAAAAACTTTTACCCTAGCATAGTATATCCAACAAAAATATCCTTCAAATATGAAGGAGAAATAAAGACTTTCCCAGACAAACAAAAGCTGAGGGATTTCATCAACACAAGACCTGTCCTACAAGAAATGCTAAAGGGAGTATTTCAATCAGAAAGAAAAGAATGTTAATGAGCAATAAGTAATCACCTGAAGGTATAAAACACACAGGTAATAAATAGCAAGTAAACAGAAAAACACAGAATATTATAACACTGTAATAGTGATATGTAAACTACTTTTATACCAAGTAGAAAGACTAAACAATGAACCAATCAAAATTAATAATTACAGCACCTTTTCAAGACATAGACAGTACGGTAAGATATAAACAGAAACAACAAAACATTTAAAAGTGGGGAGGACAAAGTTAAAGAAGTTTTCTTTTTGCTTGTGTGTTTATGCAGTGTTAAGTTCTCATCAGGTTAAAATAATGGATTATAAGATAGTATTTGCCAGCCTCATGGTAACCTCAAACCAAAAAACATACAATGGATACACAAGAAATAAAAAGCAAGAAACTAAATCATATCAACAGAGAAAATCACATTCACTAAAGGGAGATAGGAAGGAAGGAAGGAAAGAAAGAACACCACAAAACAACCAGAAAACAACAAAATGGCAGAAGTCCTTACTTATCAATAATGATATTGATGTAAATGGGCTAAACTCTCCAATCAAAAGACACAGTGGCTGAATGGATGAAAACACAAGACCCATTGATATGGTGCCTACAAGAAACACACTTCACCTACAAAGACACATACAAACTAAAAATAAAGGGATGGAAAAACATGTTCCATGTCAATGGAAACAAAAAAAAAAAAGCAGGAGTAGCTATACTTCTATCAGACAAAACAGATTTCAAGACAAAAACTGTAAGAAGAGACAAAGAAGGTCACTATATAATGATAAAGGGGTCAATTCAGTAAGAGGATATAACAATTTTAAATATATATGTACCCAACACTGGAGCACTCTGATATATAAAGGAAATATTATTAGAACTACAAAGAGAGATAGGTCCCAATGCAACAATAGCTGGAGACTTCAACCTCTGACTTTCAGCATTGGACAGATCCTCCAGAGAGAAAAATAACAAAGAAATTGTATCAAAGTCAATGTCCTCATTGTGATATTGTACTATAGTTATGCAAGATGTTACCATTGGGGAAAAATATATGAAAGATACACAGTATATCTTTGTATTATTTCTTTTTTAATTTTTCTTTATTTTAAAAAAATGGTTTTAATAAAATAGAGATGGAGTCTTACTGTGTTGCCCAGGCTGGTCTCAAATTCCTCGCCTCAAGCGATCCTCCTGCCTCAGTCTCCCAAAGTGCTGAGATTACAGGCATGAGCCATCATGCTTAGCCTTCTTTGACTATAAGTTTACAGTTATCTTAAAATAAAAAGTCTACTGTAGATAAGTGACACAATCAGATCGATCACACTCACATGGAACAATTCACCGATCTTCAAATGGTATATATTTTTTTCCACTATGCCCATTCTCTTTCCCTTGCTTCAAGTCCCTCAAGTTCCCAGGTAAAATATTACCTCCTCTCTATATCCTGTGCATATACCATACTTTCTTTTATTATACTAATGTCACATGTATGTTCTTCCCATCACACTATGAGCACAAGGATTTGATCATGTTTCACCCTTGTATTCTCAGCATAGCACTTAGTCTATAGTAATACTCAAAAAAAGTTTATTAAGATGATAAATCTGCAACTTTAGCTACGTGTATATATATATATATATATACACACACACACACACACACGCACCCCAACTTTATGAAATACCAATCATAAAAATGTCACATATAGAAGAATGTGCTCCAAGCTGACAGCCAAATCAGGAACATACCCCTATTCACAACTGCCACAAAAAACATACCTAGGAATATAGCTAGCAATATAGCTAGGAATACCTAGGAATACAACTAAGAAGGGAGGTGAAAATTTTCTACAAGGAGAACTACAAAACATTGCTCAAAGAAATCAGAGGTGACACAAACAAATGGAAAAACATTCCATACTCATGGATAAGAAGAATCAATATAATTAAAATGGCTATACTGCCCCAAGCAATTTATAGATTCAATGCTATTCCTATTAGACTACCATTGAGATTCTTCACAGAACTAGAAAAAACTATTTTAAAATTCATATGGAACCAAAAAGAGCCTAAACAGCCAAGGCAATCCTAAGCAAAAAGAGTAAAGCTGGAGCCATCACACTACCCGAATTCAAACTATACTACAGGTCTATGGTAACCATAACAGCATGGTACTGGTACAATAACAGACACACAGACCAATCAAACAATAGAGAATGCAGAAATAAGACCACATACCTACAACTATCTGATCTTTGAAAAACCCAACAAAAACAAGCAATGGGGAAAGAATTCCCTATTCAATAAATGGAGCTAGGATAACTGGCTGGCCATATGCAGAAGACTGAAACTGGATCCCTTCCTTATACCACACACAACAATTAACACAAAAAGACTTAAATGTAAAACTTAAAAGCTATAAAAACCATGGAAGACAACCTAGGCAATACCATTCAGGACATAGGCACAGGCAAAGATTTCCTGACAAAGATGCCAAAAGCAATTGCAACAAAAGCAAAAATTGACAAATTGGATCTATCTAAACTAAAGAGCTTCTGCACAGCAAAGGAAACTATCAACAGAGTGAACAGACAACCTATGGAATGGGAGAAAATTTTTGCAAACTATGCATCAAACGAAGATCTAATATCCAGCATTTGTAAGGAACTTAAACAAATTTACAAGAAAAAAAGCCATTAAAAAGTAGGTAAAGGACATGAACACTTTCAAAAGAAGACATACATGTGGCCAACAGTCATATGAAAAGAAGCTCAACATCACTGATCATTAGAGAAATGCAAATCAAAACCACACTGAGATACCATCTCAAGCCAGTCAGAATGGCTATTAGTAAAAAGTCAAAAAATAACAGATGCTGATGAGGTTGTGGAGAAAAAGGAAGACTTATACACTGTTGGTGGGAGTGTAAATTAGTTCAACCACTGTGGGAGATAGTGCAGCAATTCCTCAAAGCCCTAACAAGAGAAATACCATTTGATACAGCAATCCCATTACTGGGTATATACCCAAAGGAATATAAATCATGCTATTATAAAGACACATGCATGTGTATGTTCATTGCAGCACTATTCACAATAGCAAAGATAAGGAATCAACCTAAATGCCCATCAGTGATAGACTGGATAAAGAAAATGTGGTACATATATACCATGGAATACTATGCAGCCATAAAAAAGAACAAGTTTATGTCCTTTGCAGGAATATGGATGGAACTGGAGGCCATTATCCTCAGCAAACTAACACAGGAACAGATAACCAAATATATCATGTTCTCACTTATAAGTGGGAGCTAAATGATGAGAACACATGGATACACAGAGGGGAACAACACACACTGGGGCCTATCAGAGGGTGGAAGATAGAAAGGAAGGAGAGGATCAGGAAAAATAACTAATGGATATAAGGCTTAACACCTGGGTGATGAAATAATCCATACAACAAACCCCTAATGACACAAGTTTACCTATGTAACAAACCTGCACATGTACCCCTGTACTTAAAATAGAAGTTAAAAGTAAATAAATAAATAAAACATAAATTCTGCTGAAAAAAAAAAAGAATATGCTCACCAAAGTTAAAAGGCAACTTAAATACTGTCCCACCTTATTATGGATTTAAAGTCACCCAAACATCCAAATTATCTAAAGGACAAGTACCTTAAAGAAGGCCAAAGATACAATAGTCTTGTCATTTTATGTTTCCATAAGTTATATATCCGTAAGACAAAAAAAGTATAACTCATAACTGGCGTAAGGAAAGTGAAAGTAAGTAACTGATTCATGTTTTCTTACCAATACAGAAGTAAAGGTTTTAAAACTTCAGACTGAATATTTCTTAAATGCTCTTCATTCCACTGTGATCCATCTAACAGTTTAAATTTTGATAAGATTTCTGCAGAAAGGTAGTAATCTCCATTGCTCACTAGATAGCATTTTTTCATCTTCTCAAGATGTCTGAAATAAAACACATTTCCATATATACACACACACATTGGTAGAATATTCAACTACCAAAATGTAGTTGAATATTCAGGAGAATAAACACAAGTTAAAGACTTTCCTAAAACAGGGTTCTCTTAAGGTTCTTCAACTTACAGTAATCTAAAACATACAGAGCTGACCAAAGACCTGAGCCCCATCAGACCTCCAAGAAGTTCTCTAGTGGAGAGACTCATCCAGATACCCAGCTACCTGGCATCCAACCAAGGTTATGGAATTTGTTAACCAAGCAGGCTGCTAGGGAGAGTAGGTGTCTATTTTATGCTAGTGTGGTTATATAACTGATAAATTATTTTATTCTATAAAAATTATACATCATTTTAATGTTATAAAAATGAAAATAGAATAATTAATTTGAAAGTAGTTCTAGAATGTATGGGCAGAAACATTACGCAAACCCAAATAACTGTTATCATTAGTATCTGAAAACTATGAAATCAGAAAACTAGTGTGATCAATATTTACTATTATAATAAGTTTTATTATCATTCATTCCTCCAAGAGTAAAAAATTACATTTTTTAAAATTTACTTTGGGCTTTCTCCCTGTGCTAAATAACCCAAATTAATATTCATAATTTGTTTTTAAAACTATTGAAAAATAAAAAAATAGAATTACCTTTGATGTCTTCCAGGATCCTTAAGAACTTTTAACCTCTCAATATCCATCCATAGCCACCAATATCTCTCTCCCAATGTACCTTTTATAAATTTCTTAAATCTTTCAAACTCCTTTCTATTGCCAATGTCATAAGTCCTATGAGAAATACACCAGTCCGCCCTGCTCTCTGGTCCAGCGCTCTCATTCTTTGAACTTAAACTTGTTTGTTCTATCTCTTCTGACCTCTCCTTTGTAGTTTGAACTAATTCACTTAAAAAATTCTTGCCATGAATAGACTCAAAACAATCATCAAATGACACTTTTGTTATATTGTTGAAGTTTATATAGTCTGGGGTTTCTCCAACTGGCTTTCCAACAATTTGCTGAATTGCTCCTCTCAAAATAAAGTATATATAGGAGCTTAAAAATTCTTCACATGTTGAGAAATGCATTGTCAGGCTTTCATCAACATCCTGTTTCTTTTCAAGGTATACTCTCAGAAGAGCTTGAGAAGGAGTGTCTTGTAGAGATACAGACACCTCTTCTTCTTCTCCTTCTTCTTCTTCAAATTCAGAAATCAATTTGTTGGTTTTAGATGGGTCCTTTTTTGTCCTAGGGTGAACTCCATCATCAAAGATAAAATTCTCTGTATTAAGTCATAAAAAGCTATTAGATTAGATATGAATACAAACCTTTCTTATTATTAAATAGATGCTATAGAGCCAGAATGGCAAATGGGTTTATCATAGGTAGTGACTGCATGGACCGGTGTCTTAAGAAGGATTCTGGGCCAGTCACGGTGGCTCACGCCTGTCATCCCAGCACTTTGGGAGGCCATGGTGGGTGGATCACTTGAGGTCAGGAGTTCCAGACCAGCCTGGCCAACATGGTGAAACCCCTTCTCTACTAAAAATACAAAAATTAGCCAGGCTTGGTGGCACAGTAATCCCAGCTACTCTGGAGGCTGAGGCACAAGAATCGCTTGAACCCAGGAGATAGAGGTTGCAGTGAGCTGGGAGCATACCACTGCACTCCAGCCTGGGCAATAGAGCAAGACTCTGTCTCAAAAAAGAAAAGAAAAGAAACAAAAAAGAAAAAAAAGAAGGATTCTGAGGCTACATTTGGAACCAGTAGAAAAAAACTGCCAATGGGAATTAACCTTGTCTTCCCTGGATTTGGAGGAAAAGAATGGTGGCAGATGGACTAAATATTTGACATCCCTAACACACAGAAGATATACAAAAATACATTATGTACTTTTAAAATGTAATATTCCAGACTAATATATAATATCAATATATAAGGGCCAAATCTATTAAGGAATTAGAATATGTATACTAAATGATTATATGTGCTTTGATATTTCATGTTGTATGATAAAAGAAAATTCACTACCATAGATTGAGACCATGTATGAACAGACCAGAACTGGAAACAATAATAGCAAGTTTTAAAATTCACCATTTCATTAAAAGATTCAATTACTATCAAACTTACAGTCTATCATTAAACTTACAAAATGGCACGAGATACTTATGAAGGTTTACAAAGGGATTATTTGTATGCTTTTTCTAAAGATATAGTATTCAGCTCCTATTTTCTCTTTCAAAAATCAGTGACATGTCTGACGTTAGTGCTTTATTTCACATAGTAAATCTGCGCCTTGAATTGCCACAGATCAGTTAACTGTTGTCATCCATGCCCCATTCTCAATGACCATTTTCTCAATTACCAGAGTTCAAATCTCAATGAACTGGAAACATTTCATTACAATTTTTATTGCAAGTAAATTCCCCAATATTGAGAGATTAGACTTTGTAAATCTGTGAGAGGATGCTGGATGTACACTCAATCCCATGGAACTGAAGGGAGGATGTCGCACAGAGCGAGGCAGGCATTCCAGCTCACCATCTCCTGCCATCCTTCTCTTCCTGTATACTATTTTTATCTCCAATTATATACTTCAATATTTTGGGAAAACAACAAGAAGCCTATGAATCCAGGTATTTTCAATTGGGGAGATTATTTTCTTCTTTACCTAGACTCAGGTTCAATTCTAGGGAATCCAGATTTAACTTCCCCAGAGGTTGCTTATACTTCTTAAAGAGATTAGTTAAGAACTGTAAGTGAATTCCTGGGTTCTTCTTCTGAGTCCTCACACTTAAGTTTTTTTCTCTAACAATATCACTGTTAATGACTCCCATTTCTGGAAGATTCCTTTTATTTTTATGAAAAGTCAGTATATCCACAAAGCTCCCCACAGTAGAAATTTATCTGCTTTTTAAGGTGAAAAATAGTCTGAACTTAAAAACAGAAGGGAAACTCAATTTCCATCAATAATTTTTTTTTAGGAAGGGAAAAATGTTGTACCCACTTTATTGCAAAGACTTAACAAGAATTTATAAACTGTGATAAGAAATAATGACATTGATTGACTGCATATTAGGTACCAAGCACCAGGCCAGGCATTTTCTATCCATTTAGTATATATCATTATTCTAATCTTACAGATGAGAAAAGGCAAGGCTCCCAGAAGTGGAAAAACTCATCAAACATCACACAGCTAATAAATATCAGAGTTGCATTCTAAACCCATCTCCTTTTCACTATACAAAGTTGTCTCTCAAAAAACATAGGAAGTCGAGTGAGGCAAAGCGTATGTGGATAATTTTTTCTCCCCAACCACTAAGTACTGTACTGTAAAATTAGAACAAACAAACAAAAACTTAAAGAGAAGTTCTGAAGTCATTCTTGTCCTTTTCTGCTTACCAGAAACAGATGAAATAGCTGGTGATTTAAGTTTGTTGTAGGGTACACAACAGGGTAACGAAAAGGTTGATACTGTTTGCTGACTTTGTTTTGCTAATGCAAACCAATCTTTTGTTTGAGTATAGGAAGCCTAGGAAGAAGGGAGCATATTAGTTTAACATATGATTAGCAGTATTACTCTGATCACAAACCTGGAAAAATCATTATAATAATATTCAACTTGCACAGTACAATATGTAAAGTGAAAATTATCTCATGAAGGAAAATAAAATTCTACTGAAAAAATTAATTAGCTAAGAGGACACTGAAGGAAATTTCAATCCAGATTTTTTTTTCATATTTGATAACCAAAGGAAAATATGTGTCCAATACCTATAAATTCTCCACTCTCACTCTCAGACTATTGTTGACCAAAGGCATGAAACCCTACTTCCTGGATTCACTACAATCCTGGTGATGGGCAGTCACCAGGCCCATCAATCCTTTTGCTAGCTGCTCCCCTTTACAACTTTCCCAATTACTTCAGGTCCCCCATTCTGTCTCACCTGGCTCAGTGTTTTTAACAACTGCTCCCCCAGTATGACAGAGACACTATTCTTAGTGCCACTGGAACCTCTCCAAACTCAGCTGCCCCTTTGCATTAGATTCAGTTTTCACAAGTTTGCTTAGATTGAATGCTTCTTGCAGACTGATTCCTGACTCCATCTGCCCCTGAATGGAGCATTCCATTTTTCCTTTCCTCTATGTACCCCTGAACTAGCCAATTCAATTCTGAAGTTGATCCTTAGCTTCTAGAACCCCAGCCCTAAGAAGCTCCTATCCTAGCCTTCTTGGGAAGATTCCTCTGCCTGCCTCTCTCTGTAATGTCCTTTTTTATTTTTACTAGAGAATCCAAGTTGTTCAACAAGAGCAGAGAAGAGAGTTTCCAGCATTCCTCTCATTTCTGATTTATCCAACTCAGTCAGCTGGTTGGTCAGCACTTAGTCTAAGAAACACTTGGAGAATAGGTACCTCAAATGGAAGAAAAATTACTCCCTATCTATTAAGCAGAATTAACATAGCAAGTCAAGCCACATAAGAAGACCAAAGCAAGACAGAGAAATCAGAGGTGGCATCTATGTAGTCACCATCCCTCTTAGAGGTAAGGTTTCCTGGGTGCATAAAAGCTTTCAAAGACTAATTCACTTTTGTTCCCCTTTTCCTTTAAAATCAAGTTACTTATTATTAATTATACATTCATCTAACATATAATTATCGAGTGACTACTTTATTCTAAGCAATAGCCTAAGCAGGAGGCCAAAATAATTAAGAAACATTCAAGGAGTTCAGAGAGACCAACATACAAGGTCCTTGCTATTTCAACTGCAAAAAAAGAATGAGGGAGTAGGACACAGGAGAGAAAGAAGTCATCAGTCAGACTTTAACATCTTTAACATAATTATTCCACTTTATACATTTTTTTTTTTTTTTTTTTTGGAGACAGAGTCTCACTGTGTCACCCAGGCTGGAGTTCAATGGTGCAGTCTCGGCTCACTGCAACCTCTGCCTACTGGGTTCAAGCAATTCTCCCACCTCAGCCTCCCGAGTAGCTGGGATTACAGGCGCCCACCACCATGCCTGGCTAATTTTTGTATTTTTAGTAGAGATGGGGTTTCACCATGTTGGTCAGGCTGGTCTGGAACTCCTGACCTCATGATCCGCCCGCCTCAGCCTCCCAAAGTGCTAGGATTACAGGCGTGAGCCACCGCGCCCGGCCTATACTTTTAAGAGATGTGCCAATTGTTTTTTAGATGGTATAACTTAGGGCTCAAAGAAATATTACCAATTATCATGAAGATTAATCCCTATGTATAATCATGACATAAATAATGTAAGGGTCCAAGAACTTTGAATCTGCAAAATTCAAAAGCTATTGAAAAATGGTAATATATAGTTAAAGCGGCAATGTGTGGTGGTTCATGCCTATAATCCTAGCACTTTGGAAGGCTGAGGTTGGAGGATGGCTTGAACCCAGGAGTTCAAGACCAGTCTGGGCAACATAGACCCCGTCTCTACAAATAATTTTTTAAAAATTAGCCAGGAATGGTGATGCACTCTTGTAGTCCCAGCTGGGAGGCTGAGGCGGGAGAATCGCTTGAGCCAGGGAGGTTGAAGCTGCAATGAGCCATGATTGCATCATTGCACTCTGGCCTGGGCAACACAGTGAGGCCCTGTCTCAACAAAAAACATTTTGTATATATATATACAGTGTTAAAGTATTACTCAAGTGAATACAAATGAGTTTTTTAATCTCAGAAAATAGCAAAGGTAAACTAGTTTGGATTTTAACTCCCTTATATTTAATTAAATTCACATATAGCAAATCAGAACTTATTCCCCAGATTGATTCTTCCCTTTACATGTTTATTGACCTCAACTATGAGTACATATTTTTTAGGACATTTCCAACATTTCTATAGTATATAAATTAAGGGAAAAAATATGGCCAGGCATAGTGGCTCACGCCTGTAATACCAACTCTTTGGTAGGCTGAGGTGAGTGAATTGCTGGAGCTCAGCAGTTCAAGACCAGCTTGGGCAACATGGCAAAACCCCGTCTCTACAAAAAATATACAAAAATTAGCAGGGAGTGGTGGCATATGCCTGTAGTCCCAGCTACTTGGGGGGCAGAGGCAGGAGGATCCCTTGAACCTTGGGAGGTCAAGGCTGCAGTGAGCTGAGATTGTACCACTGCACTCCAGCATGGGTGATAAAGTGAGACCCTGTCTCAAAAAAAAAAAAAAAGAAAGAAGAAAAAATACTTAAAATCAGTATAAGAGAGAAGAAAAATGTGCCTTAAATACACCACTAAACATTATCCAGTGGAAATAATGGAACTGGCATAACTGTGAACATTTTTGACAAATATTGCTGATAGAAATGCTGAACTACAAAATTAATAGCAGATGCAAATGAAAAAAAAAAGTTCAAGTAACCTTAGCCTATCTATTCCAACACAGAAAGCAAAGAGGCTTCCTCTTGTATGATAATTTTGATCAACTGAAAGTGCCTTATTTGCAAGTTTGGAAGTGCCTATCCAGAATGCTGTGTTGTAAAGAATCTGGAGCCAAATCCTAGCTCAGCAGAAAAAATTTCCACAATTGATTAACAATATCTGTCATAGGGAGTAGCAGCACAAGGGCTACATAGATGCCATTCCTGATTTTGTATAGAATTGTGTATTAGAAGTATAGTTCCAGAGATAAGATCTAACAATTAGAGGCCAAAGATCAAATAACAGTTCTCACTACATTATGACTCTCCAAAAGGACATTTGATTCTAGGTTAAATCTCTTCAAATGCTCTCATACAACCTCACATTTCTCTAATCATGGAGGACAAATGTATTTGATAACAACTAAACAATAACACATTTTACTACTAAGGAATAACCTAGAGAACAGGAAGGAAAAGACTCAATTTATCTTTTTGTACAAAAGAAATGAATCCAAATTATAGCAATTTTGGAATGAACAATGAAACCATGGATATAATTCAAGTTACTCTTGCTTCCCAGGTGACACAGCATGTTCTTCAACCTTGCCTTTGTCTCTTCAGACACGAGGATAATATTTCTAACTACATTTCAAATTAAAGGGAGCAGAGCACCTGACCTCGTGATCGACCAGCCTGACCAACATGGTGAAACCCCATCTCTACTAAAAATACAAGAATTAGCCAGGCGTGGTGGCACGTGCCTGTAATCCCAGCTACTCGGAAGGCTGAGGCAGGAGAATTGCTTGAATCCTGGAGGTGGAGGTTGCAGTGAGCAGAGATCATGCCACTGCACTCCAGCCTGGGTGACAGAGCAAGACTCTGTCTCAAAAAAAAAAAAAAAAAAAAACAAAACAAAACTAGGAGAGTCAACTAAGAAAAATAACGAATCTAAGTGATAAATATTCAAGAAATTCTCTAAATAAGAGATTTATTTACAATTTTAACATCTCAGAGTTCTTTTTAGGTTTCCAGGGGAAAAGAGCAGGATAACAGTGTGGAGACTGCTAAGTTGAGAATTTAAAACAAATGAGAACATAAGATTTTTAAAATAGCACTGTGAATGTAAAATTTTTATCAATCCTTTGCTCTCACTCTTCTAGACATATTGAGAAAATGTTAAATAGAAAAAATTGAGAAATTTTAATAAGATGTTTCAGATCTTTGAGTATGAAAAATATAACGAAAAAGCCTAATTTCAAAAAACTATTTGAGATCAAGGGACAATGGTGTGACCAATATGAAGGGTCAAGACTGAAATGTATTGTCTTTACTATCAAGAACTCTACTTTCAGTTTTTTCTCGGACAGTTAATTTCAGCTTCATAGAGATTTCTGACCAAATTAAGGAACACTGTTTTCCTGGGTTTTGGGTATATGTCATTATAGCTATGTTATTTCTTGTTGAAATTTATAATTGTGGGTTTTTTGTATTGTTTTAGTATTTAATGGTGTATAATGTGTTATTAAATCATATGTAGTTATGCCAAAAAAAAGAGAGCAGAGCAAATTAGTTAGCATAAATCTACAAGAATTATTGCTAAATCTGCTTTACATGTATTTGAAATCATTTTTTCTGTTCAGGTAATACTAATGCCTTAAAATGAGAAGTTCTGGCCAGGTGTGGTAGCTTACGCCTGTAATCCCAGCACTTTGGGAGGCAGAGGTGAATACCAAAAAAAAAAGAGAGCAGAGCAAATTAGTTAGCATAAATCTATAAGAAGTATTGCTAAATCTGCTTTACATGTATTTGAAATCATTTTTTCTGTTCAGGTAATACAAATGCTTTAAATGAGAAATTCTGGCCAGGCGTGGTAGCTTACGCCTGTAATCCCAGCACTTTGGGAGGCGGAGGTGAGTGGATTCCTTGAGCCTAGGAGTTCGAGACCAGCCTGGGCTACATGGTAATACCCCGTCTCTACAAAAAATGCAAAAAAAAAGTTAGCCAGGTGTGGTGATGCATGCCTGTAGTCCCAGCTACTCAGGAGGCTGAGATGGGAGGATCAGCTGAGCCCGGGAGATGGAGGCTGCAGTGAGCCATGATCATATCACTGCACTCCAGCCTGGTGACAGAGTGAGATCCTGTCTCAAAAAATATATGTATAAAATAAAAAATAAAATCAGAAGTGTTAGTGAAGCGCTAAGTCATGAAAAAATGCTCATACTTTTACCTCACCAAGTGATACATAGAACTTTTTCATAATTACAAGATTATCTTCTTCAGTGGCAGGAGGTGGTAGACTGGGTGGTTTTTTCACGATCCAGGGAGAAAAATTTGATCCTACTGTGAAATTCATGCCGGACTTGCTCCATCTTACTTGTGAGACCAATTTGGCTAACCTGCATTTTAGAAATCATACAAATTTAAAACAAGTTTCAAATATGGCAGAATTCAGGGAAAAAACCTAAAATTTTATGTATTCAAGCCAATCTCCTCTCCTCACTCTTGATGATGATTTTCTTTGGCTCTGCTAAAATTAATAGCTTATTCATAAAACTACTAATTAGTTAATAATTATTCATTTTAATTGATTTTGACTTAAAAATTGTTGTTCAGAGGTCAAATTTTAGGTTCTTACATGTTAAAAGTCAGGGAACATAAAGGAAAAACTTGGCTCTGGACTACGGCATTCTATGTTTTTCGCGTCACACTAGTATTCATTGTTAAACGCCCTGCACCTAAATACCATTATCACCAATAGATAATTTTTAAAATATGGCTGGTTGGAGAGGCTCACGCCTGTAATCCCAGGTTTTGGGAGGCCAAGGCAGGAGGCTCTCTTGAAGCCAGGAGTTCGAGACCAGCCTGGGCAATATAGCAAGACCCTGACTCTACAAAGAATTTAAAAGATTTGCCACACATGGTGGCATACAGCTGTAGTCCTAGCAAATTGGGAGGCTAATATATATGTATTTAAAAATACATATATTGATGGGACTATAGTACCTGTATTCAAAGTAACAATCACTTTCCAGAAATGCTGGAAGTCTTTCTTTTTTGATCCACTTAATACCTTCTTCACGACTGAGACACTATGAGAAGAAAGAGAAAAAGAAAAAGAAGGTCAGAGAAAATCACTTTTAGGATGATTAACACCTAATAGTGAGAGCAATAATGACCTCCAGCTGTCAGCAGGAGCCCTACCCCTAGGTCTTCTATTTCCACTAGAGAGATCAATAAACCTGAGCCACAAATGTGAGGCACTTCTTGCCCCTGGTACGTTTTTAATTCTCTTAACAATCCTATATTAACTATATGTTATTTCAATTTTTACAGATTAACAAATCGAATCCAGAGAAGTTAAGTAACTTGTTGAAGGAGGGAGAATGAGGGAAAAAAAGCCAATGCATCTCAGTATTTTCACAGTCATAAAATGGGTTAAAAATAATCACAAACAGAAAAAGAACCACCAAGAAAACTTGGTAAGGCCACCAAAGTCACTGCAGGCCCCTTGTTCTTCAAGTTTAAAAAAATGTTTTAACTATTTAACATCTCCAGGCGCTCTCTTACTGATACAAAAGTTAACAATGATAGTAGAGTGTTACAAATACTACAGTGTAGGCTTCTGTGGGAGCCTACAGAGACACTCAACTTAGGAGAGGTTTCCCACAGAACACGCACTTCACTCTCTGACCCGAAGCAAAGCTAGCTAGGTTGAGCAGGGAAGCAAAAGAGGAGACAAACCATAAGTGTAGCAGTATTAGGTCACAGGATGAGAGAGAGAAAGGTTGGAGAGGTAGAAAGGGTCATGATTGCAAATAGCCTTTTAAATAACATTAAGGAGTATAGATTTTATCTTGAGGTTGTGAGAGCAATACAGAATTACTGAAGAGTTACTGTTGTTCATCCTAAAATACTTACTCACTCTTGATTCTACTTTTTCTTGTATTCACTTTTTCTAGAATTCTAAATAATATCAGTACCTTGGACACAAAACATATGTTACTAATAAATAAAACAATCTCAGTGAGGTAAATGTATTTGCATTTATGTGGCTTCCATGGACAATCTAAGGTGATAGTTTTGCTATGATATTGCATAAGAGTTAACACATAGACCATTACAAACTCTAGTGAGGAAATTGAATGTCCATACAGAGTGTTGCCGACATCCAATGTGCTGATGCTCATGAGGGTGATGTGTGCTCATCATTGCTGATACGCGCAGAAGTCTTTAGGCATTCAGGATTGGAACATAAAATAGTTTCCTTCTAATCAGCAAAAAACAAAACAAAAAAAAAAAACAAAAAAAACATGTATTTGCCTTCACCAAACACTATCTTCTGCATAATGAAAGAATAGAAGAAAACCATGGAAATAGCCAGCACCTAATCAGCAGCACCTTGTTGACAGTCTCACTGCTTATCAGTGAGATCTGAAGGACATTTGGATCTTGTAGTTAGAAAGACTCTGCATAGGCTACACACTGACAAGCATGCAGGACTCCTGAACGCCCACTAGCGCTACATTCAATGTATCACAGAAAGATACCAAACTACATATAAAGATCCACATAAACCCTTAAAGAATTCTATAAGGTTGTCAAACTAGTCAGTTCATTCAAAACCAATTTGCTGAATATTCAGCTAGTAAACAGTTTACCTATAATTCATCCTCTTTTGAGTGTTTTTGTACCTATGTGACCTAAAAATAAAATGAATTAAAAAGTTTAAAAAGAATAAAATAAAAAATTGAAGAAAAGTCTTTAGCCAAGCTGAAAACAAAACTCTTCATGGTTTTAAAAAGTAACTAAATACAAAGACCAAAAACATACAAGACAATCCTGATCAACCATAAAATAACTTAATAAATACTTATAAGAAACACAAAAAGAATCTATCTAAGGTGAAATTATTTAAACCTTAAAAAAATTTCTTTAAGTTGGTTAAGAAACAAAAAGGGATGACCAGAAGGTTAAGGGAAGATGGCTTTAGGTAAATCAATACAGAACCATTTCCAAATAGCCATACACAAGCTGTCTAAAATGCCTACAGAATTGGATTAATAAAAAATTATATTTAGATGTACAAGGCAAACAAAGCATCGTTATCAGCCAATAGATCTTATTGGTTAGATTTATTGAGGTATAAATTACATACAGTGAAATCCACCCTTTTTAATACAGTTCTACAAGTTTTGACAAATGCATATAATCATGTAACCAGGACTACAATCAAGATACAGAATAGTTCCAACACCCTCCAAATGTCCTCATGCCACTTTGTAGTCAGCAACTCCCTCCAACCCTAGGCTCTGGCAACCACTGATCTGTTCCGTAGTTTTGCCTTTTCCAGAATGTCATATAAATGGAATCAATATAGTATGTACTTTTGATTCTAGTATCTTTCATTCAGCATAAAGCATTTAAGATTTATCTATGTTCTTTCATGTATAAATACTTCATTCTTTTTTGTTGCTGAGTAATATTCCACTGTATGGATATACCACAGTTTGTTTATCCATTCCCCAGTTAAAGGAATCTGGATAACTTTCAGCTTTTGTGATCATGAATAAAGCAACTATAGACGTTTACATGCAGGGTTTCTTTTTTGTTTTTTTTTTGTTTTTTGTTTTTTGTGGTTTTTTTTGAGATGGAGTCTCGCTCTATCGCCCAGGCTGGAGGGCAGTGGCGTGATCTCGGCTCACTGCAAGTTCTGCCTCCCAGGTTCACGCCATTCTCCTGCCTCAGCCTGCCGAGTAGCTGGGACCACAGGCACCCACCACCACGCCCGGCTAATTTTTTTTTGTATTTTTGGTAGAGACGGAGTTTCACCATGTTAGCCAGGATGGTCTCGATCTCCTGACCTCATGATCCAGCCGTCTCGGCCTCTCAAAGTGCTGGGATTACAGGTGTGAGCCACCGCGCCTGGCCGCATGCAGGTTTTTGTGTGAGTATAACTTTTCATTTCTTTTGGGTAATACTCAGGAGTAGGATAGATGGGCAGTGATATGGTATGGATATTTGCCTCCTCCAAATCTCATACTGAATGTGATCCCCAATGCTGGAGGTAGGGCCTAGTGGGAGAGATGTCTTGGTCATGGGAGCGAATCCCTCATGAATGTCTTGGTGTCCTCCTCATGGTAATAAGTGAGTTCTCACTGTTAGTTCAGGTGAGACCTGGTTGTTTAAAGAGCCTGGTGCCTCCCTACTCTCTCCCTTGCTACCTCTCTTGCCATGTGATATTCCTGCTCCCTCTTTGTCTTCCACCATGAGTGGGAGCTTCCTGAGGCCCTCACCAGAAGCAGATGCTAGTGCCATGCTTCTTATACAGTCTATAGAACCATAAGCCAAATAAACCTCTTTCTTTACAAATTACCTGGTTTTGAGTATTCCTTTATAGCAACACAAATGGACTATAGATGGTATGGTATATGTTTAACTTGGAAAGAAGTGCCAAACTGTTTTCCAAAATGGAATTCTCACCAATGAGAATGGACTTTTGGGTTGCTTCCACTTTTTGGCTATTATGAATGATGCTGCTATGAACATTTGTATATAAGTTTTTGTGTGAACATATGTTTTCAATACTCTTGAGTATATACCTAGAAGTGGCATTTCTGGGTAATTTGATAACTCTTGGGCTAACCTCTTAAGAACTGCCTAATATTTTCCAAAGTAGCTGTACTGTCTTACAATTGCAGCAGCAGTGTATGAAGGTTCTAATCACTTCAAATCCTCACAAACGTTTGTTATTATTTGCCCTTTTTTTTTTAATCATAGCCATCGTGTTGGGTGTGAAGTAGTGTCCCACTGTGATTTTGATTCCATTTCCCTTATGACTAATGATGTTGAAAATCTTTTCATGTGCTTATTGTTTATCTTATTTGGAGAAATGTCTATTCTAAACCCTTTGCACATTTTTTAATTGGGTTATTTGTCTTTTTATTTTTGAGTTTTAAGAGTTATTTTTATAGTTTAGATACACATCCTTATAAAATATATGATTTGCAAATATTTTCTCTCATTCTGTGGGTTGTCTTTTTACTTTCTTGGTAGTGTCCTTTAGAGCGTGAAAGTTTTGCATTTTGATTTATCTTTTTTTCCTTGTGCATTTGGTGTCATATCTAACAAAACCAATGCATAATCCAAGGTTATGAAGATTTACACCTGTATTATCTTCTTAAATAGAATTATCTTTTTTGCATTGCTGGATTTAATTTGCTGATTTTTTGAGGATTTTTGTGGTCTGTGTTCATGAGTGATGTTAAGTTGTAGGTTTTTATTTTCCTTCAAATTCCTTCATTTAGTTTTGGCATCAGTGTAATGCTCATCTCATTAAATGAATTAAAAATTGATTTCTTTTGTTTTTTGTATAAGTTTTTATAAATTCAAGTTTACTTCACTTTTAAGTGTTTGACAGAATTAACCAGTGAAGCCATCTGGGCCTGGAGTTGTCTTTGTGGCACGATTTTAAACTGTGAATCCAACTTCTGTAATAGATGTAGGACTATTCAGATTATCTATATCCCCTTCAGTGACCATTGATAATTTGTGCCTTTTAAGAAATATGTGGGCCGGGCACGGTGGTTCATCCCTGTAATCCCAGCACTTTGGGAGGCCGAGGCAGGCGGATCACTTGAGGCCAGGAGTTCGAGAGCAGCCTGGCCGACATGGCAAAACCCCATCTCTACTAAAAATGCAAAAAGTATCTGTGCATGGTGGCATATGCCTGTAATCTCAGCTACCTGGAAGGCTGAGGCAGGAGAATCGCTTGAACCTGGGAGGCGGAGAGTGCAGTGAGCTGAGATCGCCCCACTGCACTCCAGCCAGGGCATCAGAGCGAGACCCTGTCTCAAAAAAAAAGAAAAAAAAAGTCTATTTCATTTAAATTCCATGAGCTTATAGACATAAAGTTGTTTGTAAAATTCTCTTATTTTTTTTAACTGCCTGTAAAATTTGTAATGACATCCCCTTTTCATTTCTGATATTGGGCATGTATATCTTTCTCTTTTTCTTCATCATTCTGGCTAAAAGGTTATCAATTTCATTGATTTTTTCAAAAAACAAGGCTTTATTTTCATGGATTTTTCTCTCTTGTTTTTCTGTTTTCAATTTCATTGATTCTGTTCTTTATTTCTTTATTTTTGGTTTAATTTTAACTTAATTTTTCTAGTTTCTCATAGTGACAAGTAGATCATAGATTTATTTAGTCTTCTCTATTATAAGCACTTAATGGTACAAATTTCCCTGTAAAGACCAATTTAGTTGCATCCCACAAATTTTGATATGTTATGCTTTAGTTTTTATTCAATTCAACATAATTTTTAATTTCCCTTGGGACTTAGTCTTTGACCTATGAATTATTTAGGAGTATGTTATGTAATTAAGTATTTAAGGATTTTGTTACCGATTTATAGTTTAATTCTGAAGTGGTCTGAGAACATAGTTGGCAAGATTTCAAATCTTTTAAGTTTGCTGAAATTTATTTTATGGCCCAAAATGTGGTCTATTTTGGTAAATATTCCCAGTGCACTAGAGAAAAAAATGTATACTTTACTGTTGTGGGATAAAGTGTTCTGTAAAGATCAATTAGATTTACTTGGTTGCTAGTGTTTTTCAGAACTTCCATTTCCTTACTGATCTGCTATCTTTTCTATCAGTTACTGAGAGAGCAGTGCTTTAGTCTCCAACTATAACTATAAATTTATCTATTTCTCCTTTCATTTCTATCAGCTTTTGCATCATGTACTCTGAACCTCTGTTGTTCGGTGCATATATGAGTTGTTAAGCTTTCTTGGTGAATTGACCCTCCCCCCTTTATCATTATGTAATGTTCCTCTTTATCCATAGTAAGATTCCTTGTTCTGAGGGGTGCTTTGCCAGATATCAATATAGTCACTCCAGCTTTCCTTTAATTCATAATTGCATAGTATACCTTTTAATATCCTTTTTACTTCTAACCTATTTATGTCTCATTTTTAAGGTTAGTTTCTTGTAGACAGCAAATAATTGGGATTTTTTTAAAAAATCATCCCTGACTCTGGCTTTTACTTGGGGTGCTTACGCCATTTAAATATCATGTAATTATTGATGTATATTATTATTATCATTATTTTTAGAAATGAGGCCTCACTCTGTCACCCAGGCTGGAGTGCAGTGGCACCATCATAGCTTACTGCAGCCTCAAACTCCTGGGCTCAAGTGATCCTCCTGCCTCAGCCTCCTAAAGCTCTGGAATCAAACGAATGAGACATCATGACAACTCAATATGATTAATTATATTATATTATTAATCATATATATTATATGATTAATGTGATACTAATTATTGATATGGTTTGTTTAAAATCACTACTACCATTTTCCTAGTTGTTTTATTCTTTATGTGTCCCATATGTTCTTTGTCTGTTTTTTCCTCATTTTCTGTCTGCTTTCCATTTAGTACTTTTTAATTCCTTTGATCTCCACTATTGTTTTTATTTTTATTTATTTTTATTTTATTTTTGAAACAGGGTCTCACTCTGTTGGCTAGACTGGAATGCAGTGGTGTGATCACAGCTCACTGCAGCCTTAACCTCTCCAGGCTTAGGTGATCCTCCTACCTCAGCCTCCTGGGTAGCTGGGACTACAAGTGTACGCCACCATGCCTGGCTAATTTTTGTATTTTTTGTAGAGATAGTGTTTCGCCATGTTGCCCAGACTGGTCTCTAACTGCTGAGCTCAGGCAATCCACCTGCCTTGGCTTCCCAAAGTGCTGGGATTATAGGTGTGAGCCATTGCAGCTGGCCTGTTCTCATTACTTATGCCTCTTTCTAAAAACTTCTAAATTGCTGCTCTAGTTTTATAATAGACATGCTTAATTAATCAGTCTATCTTCAAATATATCAAATAAGATCATCCAGATCTTTTTGAGAAACTTGTGCCAAAGCACATAACTCAAGAATCTCCTAAATAGCTTTTGTTTAACAATAAATAAATAGGCTATAAAGACCTCCATACAATCAAAAATTTCTATTCACTGAAGGAAGTGAATAAAACAATAAACATTGTCCCACCTAGTAAAAAATTTTTAAACTAACAATTATATAGTACTGTGTAGCGCAGAATATATATCCTTGTTCTGGCTTCGAAACAATGTTGTAACATGGTTATTACTATTAGCATTTAGTTTGATGAAAGTTAAAGATAGAAACTATTAGCATTTAGTTTGATGAAAGTTAAAGATAGAAACTATTTGGTGAAAGTTAAAGATAGATACTATTTGAATTCAGTAACAGAAGAATTGAAGAACTTTCAGGCTAGAGTAGATCTATGTCTTAAATGTTAGACATACTTTAGCCTGGTTATACTAGACATTTTGAATCAATGTGAAATAGTATTGTTAAACATTCATTATTATTTTCATTTCATCCACACAAGAAACCTAAGTAGTAGGTAGTAAAGGCATCATTTGACAGATGATGAAAATCAGATTCATCAAAGTGACTTGTACACAGAGTCAGTAAGCAGAGGAGCCAATATTAGAACCCAGGTTTTCCAACCTCATGCTAAGGAGACAAAATCCAGAAGCTGAAAATGAAATTTAAGGCCAGGGAGGTCAGAGCCACACAATGCAACTTGAGGGTCAGAAGTCTCAATTCCCAACTGCTTGATAGGATTGGTTCAAAACCCAAATGAAATACATTGCCTATATATCCACATTTTCAATAACGCATCAAAATTATAAAGGACACTTATATTTATATGACTCAAAACTAACCTAATATTCAAATATTCAAGGTAAATTATATGAATCTTCTCAAATTGATAAGTGAACATCAACAAAACTGCTGAACTGGCCATTGGATTTGAAAAGTGCTTAACAAATACTATGTGTACGTACAACACAAGCTAATAAATGTAGCTACACTTCAAAAAGGGAAGCCTAAGTAAACTCATGTTAATTTCACCAAATGCTTTATCTATCTAACAAGATAAAACAGTATACTTTCTTACCATAATATTGTAGTTGACATTAATGGTCTCATCTTCATCGGGGGCATTCATTTGAACAGGTTTAACCTCATTCTTTCCTTTCCTTACAACATCATAAATGGGATTTCGAGGTTGCTGGTTTTGTAGAATTTTTTTCAGTTGTTTTTCCAGAAATTGTGGAGCATCATTAGCTACTTCAAAAACTCCATAATCTGCATTAAATCTAATTGCCTCTGAAAAGGTCTGCAATATAAATTTGTGGAAATTAAAACATTTTTTAAACCTGGAAACTCATGGTCTCTAAGAAGACTTGTGGTTTACATACATGCATGCATACCTCACAGAGTTCTGTGTTTGTAATCATTCCCTCTTCCTTTTTAGGAGCTAGGAAATCCCTTGGGTAGAGGTCAGGGAACCCACTAAACTCTTCCTTGCCAATGCACTTATGCCACGAGTAAGTGTCAGGGTATGCTATGGCAGAAATTCCCTTTGTATAAACATCTTAAGTCTGTGATTATTTGAAACTGGAGAGAAATATATACCTGGCTCTACAAAGCAATGTTATTCTCTTAGAAGGGGGTGGATCACTAGGGAAGAATGAGTAAAGGAAGAAATAATGCTCCCATTGTCTTTCATCCTTAGGAGCCATGAAGGCTAACAATCTCCCTTGTCCAAAAGGAGAAATTTAAGTACAATATGTTCTTCAGTTAAGACTATTTCAACACCATCCTTTGCACTGTGACAAAAAAAGAGAGAAGAAAATAACATTTCTGAGGTTTTTATCAGTAATTCTAAATGCTGCCAACTTTTATTTAAAGCCAGTCAGTTGATATACAATAGTCAGGAGTCTTGAGTTTGAATGCCAGCTTGCCAATAAGTACCTCTGTGACTCTAGGTAAATCACTGAACATTTTTGGGGCCTCCACTTCCGTAAGAAGTAAATGGTGAATTGGCCATGTCTTTTCCCATTTGTCTTCCAAATCTAGAATCAGGTCCCTTTTTCAGAATATTCATTTATTTTAGGGTGCCTTCAGTGAACTGACTACTCATGTAGATTAACTTATACATGCTTAGGCGAGTGGTAGAAGAAATTAAATTCTTCCCCTTGGATCAGTAAGTGTTCTAAGTAGAACATTAATTCAAGTTTTACTAAGGGATTGCTAGATATACTATAGTCATAATTTAAAAAGTGGCAGAATTTCACAGTAAAATTGGAACTAGAAGTATGTGTATATATGTGTGCGTGTATGTATATATATATATATATATATTTAAATTTTAATGTCTCATAATATCACATCTCTAAGGTCTGACTGTCTCCCCTTCTGAGGAATTTAAAGTACATGGATGATACGGTTCAAGATGAATGTCAGTCCACAGTCTCAAAAGCCTTAGGACTAAGAGTTTCTCCCAAAATGATAAGTATTGCTCAATGAGTAAGAAAGAATTAGCCATAAATTACATATAAAATTTCTTCAATAGATATATTTCATTAGTTGCCCACTGCATCTGTCTTTCAAACATGGGATTCAAACAGGCACCATTTACCTAAATGACATAAATACCATCCCTAAACTATGCTATCACTTAACTAAAGAGAAAAAAGAGTCTGCTGATATCGCAGATTAGATTTATCTGGAGATAGGAAATTAATTAAACTTGGTAGAGAATGACATCAAATATTAATGGGAGTAGGAGAAACTAAGCTGTATAAAGTGAAAGACCATCTGGAAAACATTTCTTCTAGTTCTGAGTATCCATGGAACAAGAGAACAAGTTTGACTTTTATTGTTTTCCTTTTTTTTTTTTTTTTTTGCCTCCTACCCTCTGACCTGGTAGCCAGAGGAACAGAAAGCTGTGATAATCCAACGCAAAGAATGTTAACTAGTTAGTTCAATGGATAAATAAAACATTTCCTACTAATCAAGTAAAAAGTGCTCAAGTAAAAAAATTAGGAGGGGCTATTGATACTCCAAGACCCTAGTAATCAATCTTACTTAGTAGTAGTGAGTAGTTACGGTATAGTTGGCAGAAATAACGAAGATGATAAGGACTATTTACTGAATGTCTATCATGTGATAGGTGTGTGATGGACACTTTATTTTTTTTCTTTCCAACTTTTATTTTAGGTTTAAGGGGTACATGTGCAGGTTTGTTACATGGGTAAATTGCATGTTGCAGGGGTTTGGCATACAGATAATTTTGTCACCCAGGTAAGCAGCATAACACTCAATAGGTAGTTTTTCAATCTTCACCCTCCCTCCACTCTCCATCCTCAAGTAGGCCCCTACAATAGTAGGTCTATTGCTCCCTTCGTGTCCATGTGTGCTCAATGTTTAGCTCCTACAGATAAGTGAGAACATGTGGTATTTGGTTTTCTGTTCCTGCATTAATTCCCTTGGGTTAAAGGTCGTGATGGACACTTTAAAAGCCCTCTCTTGAATCCTTCCACATTCCTGACATAGCTCTTTACAAAAAACTGATGGTAGGGATGGCTAAGTGGTGGTCCATGGACTCAGAGCTATAAAGTGCTAGACAATCAGGGTTATGGAAACAAGTCTGTCTGGTCCCAAAGACAGAACATTTCCTCTTTAATACACTGCCTCACGTATGACAAAACTAGTGTGTACTGACCACTTCTCTACACCAAGTTCTTTGCTAAGCAATAATCCTATGAAGTTAGGGTAGCTGTGATTCAAACAAAGCATTTTGATTCCAAAGCCCATACTCTTATCTACCCTGGTTTTACTAGTAAAGGCACAGAGGCATGAAGCAACATGGTGTATGTGGGTAACTCTACGCAGCTGGATTAGAACAAGAATAGCCGTAGTTGGAATAGTTTAAGGAACAAAGAAAAAAGACTTGAAGTAGATAACATAGTATAACCAGATCATGAAAGGCTTTGCATGCCATTTTAACAAGTACGGGCTTTATCTTAACCCTCTAGGAAACAGGGAGGCACATGAACACCCTAAGTAGGAAAGTAAATAGTTACTTCTAATTTGTGTTTTAGAAAGGTTCTGGAGCAGTCTGGAAGATGTAATGGTTGCTTGTCAGCTCATGAGCTGGTGGGGTTGGCTGCTCACATTACAGAAGCAGAACCATCACCACACTCTGGGGAGACTGGCTGTTATCTCAGAGCTACTGCTATCACATCGCGACCAGGTTTTATGTAAAAATTACTAACTCTCTGGATGGGATACTGTCCCCGTCACATGCAGAGGCCAGGGCAGTATTTAAAGCAGGTAGTTAACAATTACTTTTGGTTTTTTTTGAGACTGAGTCTTGCTCTGTCCTCAGGCTGGAGTGCAGTGGCGTGATCTCGGCTCACTGCAACCTCTGCCTCCTGGGTTCAAGCGATTCTCTTGCCTCAGCCTCCTGAGTAGCTGGGACTACAGGCACACACCACCATGCCAAGCTAATTTTTGTATTTTTAGTAGAAATGGGGTTTCACCATGTTGGCCAGGATGGTCTCAATCTCTTGACCTCGTGATCCACCCACCTTGGCCTCTCAAAGTGCTGGGATTACAGGCATAAGCCACTGTGCCCAGCCAACAATTACTTTTATATTTACATAAAAAGCAAAACTACAGCTGAGAAAGCCTAAATGAACTCTTCATGGCTTTACAGCAAGTCCCCTAATGAGCTTACAACACAACTCTGGAGTTATCACTATGCAACTGCTTTAAACCTAGAACTGACCGCGTAATTTCTTTTCTTTTTTTTTTTTTTTTTTGTTTTTTGTTTTTTCTGAGACAGAGTCTTGCTCTGTCGCCAGGCTGGATGGAGTGCAGTGGCGCGATCTTGGCTCACTGCAACCTCCGCCTCCCGAGTTCAAGGGATTCTCCTGCCTCAGCCTCCCAAGTAGCTGGGCGCCACGACGCCCAACTAATTTTTCTATTTTTTAGTAGAGACGGGGTTTCACCATGTTGGCCAGGATGTTCTTGATCTCTTGACCTCATGATCCGTCCACCTTGGCCTCCCAAAGTGCTGGGATTACAGGCGTGAGCCACCACGCCCGGCCACATAATTTTAGTTAAGGCTTACTGTGGATGCTGTGGACTGGCTCACTCAGAATCCATTCCAACCTCCTAAAATGCAAAGCCTGGAAAAGTAAAAACTTTATTTCTCAGACTCCCTACAGCTACGATTTCATGTGTGCTTTAGGTTGTGCTACTCGTATGCACTTACAAAAATACTTGAATTCTGAATGGACCTAGTAGGGAAAAAGGCAGTGTATCCATTCTGAGGAAGAAAGTGTATGTAAGCATGAAAGTGAGGAGAGGAACTGGTCAAAAAGAAGTGCTTTACAGAAACAGCACAGTAAAAACAACAAAAGGAAAATTGGAATTATGTTTATAATAAAATGGCATGCAATGTTTCTATTTATTATAAAAAAAGAAATGTGAATGTATATGTAAAAATGTTTATACTTTTAAACTTAAGAATTTCTTTCTATGGAATTAATTATAATAGAACAGAGATCTTTCCAGGGGTAAATCAGTGTTTTTGTATTTGAAAAGCCACGCATTAGCTTAGATCCTGGAAGGTCCTTAAAAGCACTATGATTCTAAGATGATAAAAGTGGCAAACAACTGTTTCAAAGCTTCTCTCAGTAATTCATTTTACCAATAGCAAAATGTTTGAATTACCAAGTGCCAATTATTGCCCTAAACCTAGAGGATACAAAGATGAATAAAACATTATTTCTGCCCTTGAAGGAACAAGTACATGATCTTTCATTTTTGTCTATGATAAAGAGTAAACAAAATACCGAAATAAATTAAAACTTGTGTAAATGCAAATGCCAAGGGCAAATATGTCCCCAGTGACAAGGGTAGTAATACTAGAATATTATGTCTGGTCTGGTTATCACACTTTAAAAGGGATTTGGCTAAACTAGAAACTACCCAGAGAAACATAAGCAGAATGATTAAAAATGGAAGAAATGTTGGGCAAATCACTTTGCCTTTCTGAGACATATCAGTAAAAAGAAGTTGTAACTAGATAAACCGAAGGTGCTTTCCATGTTTGATACTCCATCAGTCCATGATGGACGTTCCAGGAAAAAAGTCTATATCTTCTGCTCTTTAGTAAGATCACTCAGCCCCACTATTCCTTTGTTAGCTCATTCATTTATTCAATAAGTATTTAATTATTATTATCATAATATCCTATTTAATATATTGAGTGAGCCAATACAGGGCATCCTCCACAAGGCCCCAAATGAAATGAAAAAGACACAGATCCTGCCTCAGAGCACACATTATCCAGCAGAGGAAGACAGATAAGTAAACATAAATAGGCAATAAAGACCCATCCTATGAGGGGAAGGGATATGAAAGTCAGCACATAAGGTGAAATCATATTTAGTCAAGATTATCCCTTGAAATCTTGAAAACATCCATAAAGTTGTCTTCAACAATGTTCTCAAAAAGTTCATGAGTCAGTTGTTCCTCTGGATTGAAATGAGTCACTGATTCTTCAGTTAGGGACTGGATGAAGGGATGGACTTGTGTTTAAAGCTCATGCTGTACACAAAATGTGTATGTTTAACACTAGAATCACCCTTAGCATGATGATATGACAACATACTGTAAGAGGCAGGAAGGATGACACTCATTGATGGAATGGCAGTTTCTCATCTTCCATCTCACACCCTCTACAGGGCACATACACATAGATTGGTACAACAGACAAAATCATTGTGACTCTTTAAATCACTCTTCATGTCACTCTTTAAACCTCACTCTCTCTGCAGAACATGAGTAGCTCAATTTGAATAAGAATGGATGTATATTGAACTCCAGTTTAACACAGAACAAGCACAATAGAAGAACATACAAAGTAATGTGATGGCACAGAAGGATTCATTAACTATTAATATATTCTGGAAATTAAGGAAGATGTATAGGGAAAGTGGGCTGCTAGAGCTGAATTTTAAGAATGAACAGGCAATGTCAGGTAGACAAGGGAGAAGAGGGGGAAGAGGTGAATTCACAAAAGTAATAGCCAATGCATCAAGATAAAGGAGCATGACACCTACCATGTACCCACAAAAATTAAAAATAAAAATAAAAGATACAAGAGCACAAAATAATAGGTTACATTTGGTGAACTGCAAGCAGTGAAACATATTCAACTTTAATATTTTAAGGGAGAATAGCAGAAATAAGACTGGAGAGAAAGGATGAATTCGTTGAGGACCTACTATCATATGCTGTAACTCTCAACTTACACTGTTGAACCAATGATTCTCATAGGGTGGTTCCTAGATCAGCAATATCACCATCACCTGAGATCCTGTTAGAAATGCAAATTCCCTCCTAAGCAAATTAACACAGGAACAGAAAACCAAACACCATATGTTTTCACTTATAAGTGGGAACTAAACATCGAGTGCTCATGGACATAAATGGCAACAATAGACACTGGGGACAACTAGATGGGAGAGGGAAGGATGGAGATAAGGGCTGAAAAACTACTGGGTACTATGCTCAGTACCTAGGTGAAGGATCATTCATATCCTAAGGCTCAGCATGACGCAATATACCCAGGTAACAAACCTGCACATGTACACCCCTGAATCTAAAATAAAAGTTGAAAAGAAAAAAGAAAGATAAGCAACTTATCGGTCCCCTCCGTATAACAAAATCTCTGGGGAAGGAGCTCAGCACTCTGAGTTTTAACAAGCCCTCTGATCATTCTAACGCATGCACATGTTTAAGAATCACTGCTTTACAACAAGGAGGAGCCACTGAAGAGTTTTTAGCTGAGGAGAGGCAGAATCCAGATGAAGACAAACTGCAAAGCCACATTCTGTTGGTTACTTCATGCTGACTCTCATGGGTATTCATATATGAGGTGGTGCCAGCCGTCTGTGTTTGATACCCAGGAGAAAGAGCCCTGGTCTTTCATTAGTACCCAAATTCCTGTTGTTTGCTTAAAAAGAAGCTCTCTTAAACATCAAGTCCTTTGTTTTAACCATTTCTAAGCTTATCTATAAAACTCCTATAGTTTAGTAAGTAACAATACAAGACACATAGGGTATGGGAGACAGAAATGAATGATGTAGAAAGTCTTTTCTCCAAAATGCTAAGTTGGCTGATTTAGAGAATGCTCAACCTTAAATCATATAACAGGAAAAACCTTCAGTTTGAGCCTCAAACCCAATCCTCCACAAGCTGTTACAGACTGCTCTTTTCCTTACTTAATTTTCTTATTTCAAGGATATCATTTTCCAAATATTCCAAAACGAATTGACCTGAAGGTGGTGAAAGCTAACTTTGTAGTACTAGTCATCCATGTGTGAAAAATATTTTCACAGAAAAAGCAAGTGCATGAAAATATTTTTACCAGAGTAAATTGCTGGTTCCACATTTCTTTGAAAAGGGGAGAGAAAAAAAACCTGTGAATAATTAGTGACGTACTTAAACTGCCAGCCCAGCACCAGTGAAACTTACCGGGTGCCAAATTATTTAGCTGAACAGTATTTAAATTAAAAACTAATGACTAGGTTAATTTAATACATGTTCATCTCTGCTCCAACTCTGTCTTTACTAATTGAGCTCCAAAGCTGTATTTTAAACATGCATCCCTAGTCAGTGAATGGAAAACATCTGACTACTTGAATGTAACAAGTCAGTTACCAATAACAACTTCTTTTAATCTAAGCTTTATTGTCATTTTAGATGTTTAACCATAAACTGTTTACTAGATATATTCACCAATGGGATGGAATGAATAATGTGCCACATAAAATGTATAGAAAATATCCTTAGTTAATAAATGAGTTAGGTAATTTGAGTGCTGTATTTTTGAGCTACAAGTCTTATCAAAACACCCAGAGGTGCAAACACTGAACTAAGCAGTTTCCTAGAGCTTTATCAACACCTGTAAAAATCAATTTCTGAGTATTTAGATTTTGGCAAGAGAAGACCCAAACCCTTCATCCCATGCATTCCCCCAAAATATACTCTCTCTTTCTCCCCACTGGCCCCCCACAACAGTCCATCTAGCATATAACTCCTTCATAAAGCTGCAAGAAATTATAACTGTTTACGGATTGTAAAAAGTGTGGAGAATCAGTCCAAAAAAAGAAGTTATGGTAAAATTTCAACAGCACATAACTAAGCATGGTCTGGCAAACACATGACATACCTATCCTTGCGAGGAGGGTATAGAACAGGCCACCCCTTCAGCTTCTGCAAACTATAAATGTCACAAACATTTGAAACCACCCACAGAGGACCAACCTAAATCTACGTGGGCTCATCTACTCAATCCCACAACAGTCACTAAGCATAAAACACACAAAACAAAGCCAAAAGGAAAAAAATGTTTTCACACTATAGCACGGAAGAAAACTTAATAAGCAAACACTTGTCCATAAAGAGTTGACAGCAAAAAACCTCCCAGACACCAAATGAAAACAATATCTGAATGTGAACTTGGCACAAGAACAAACGGAATGAAGTTATGAAAGCTAGGATTTGGAAAGTGCTGCAATCATTTATAATAGCAGCAACTGTCCTGAATTCCCCTCATCAAAAAATAACATGGAGGCAGGCTACCAGCCACCAGTTTCAGGATCTTACAATGTGTCCCAAGGGTATAATGGTGTAATGGAAAGAAATAGTGTAGGGGCCAGAATGCCTGATTCCTAGGCCCATTTCTACCACAATCCGGTTATAGGACCTTGGGCATGTCATTACAGATAGGGAAAAAGTCTCAGAAGTCATCTCAGAGATGACCTAAGGGCCCTATAGTCTATATCTACACTCTAGGGCTTAGGCTATTGCTTTTGGTGGGGACTGAGGGTAGAGGTGGGTGAAGAAAGGAGGCAGGAGAAAAGATTAGAAGGTTTACTTGTTTATATTAAGGATCTTACATGGAAGATGTTGAAATAAAAACAGAATCATAATCAAGAATCTTTGGGAGATACAGAAAAGACCTGTCCTTGCCCCCAGGAAATTTACAATGTAGCTCCTGAGATAAAATAAACAGAGAAGAAGGAAATTTTCTCTGGTCAAGAAAGTCCAATCTTCCACCATAGATATATATACATAATAGAGATACACGAGATACACACACACACAAACACACACACA